>NC_000006.12:52642734-53288418 GCF_000001405.40 Homo sapiens
TACTAGGCACTGACGCTAGGCACCTGTTTCTGTTATCTTTTATTAATGTGGAAATTGGCACTCATAGAAGTTGATTTGTTTACCATCACAGAGCAGAAAACTGTTGAAGATGGAAAGCAAACAACAACAACAAAACCTAACAGTCCTATGGCCTCCCCACATTCTTTGCCATTTACATCATAGTAGTTAAAAAATATGCTGGTGACTGCAAAAGCCAATGTATCAACCTTTAAAATGAAGAAATAATGAAATGAAAACTAACTTTGTTGAAGATTAGGACAGTCCTTGGGATGGTATGTGATATAAGTTTTAAACTCTGTGTAAAAATAAAACCTGAGTGCAAAGCCTGTTGGATATATGTCTACTTCTGCCACATTCTATTTTCCAAAACCCAGCAATATCTTCTATTGAATTGGAAATTGTAGACTAATGTTAAGAAGGGCCTAATGTCAGCCCTCACTGCATTGGGCACCAGAGATGTGTTTAGTCACTGAGAAGCAGGACCTGGATAACTGCCACAGAGAAAACAGGGGCTGAGCTGTCCACACAGTGAAACTCACAAGGCACACAATGGCAAAGTCAGTTCATCCAAAGGACCTGTTGTAAACTGCTAGGCTGCGGCACTGAGATTGTGTGTCAGTTACAGATATCCAAGCTGCTTTGAAATCCAGGGAGCAGCTAATCAGTTAAAAAGCGTTCAACTGAGAAAAAACAAAACTTCAACCATACCCAACTGTGACTGTGATGGAGAAGATTAGCGCCTATCTGAAGGTGGTTTGTGACATTAATGTGTGTGTGTGCTGTGTAGGTTTGGTCTGAATAACCCCTTATTCACAGCACCATGATTCAGGTGCCCTGTCAATGCTTCCTTCTTCTCTCTAAATTCTCCTCCTTCAAGGTCTTGCCTCCATCCTCAAACAGTGTTGGTCCATCTGCTGATAAACATATGGAATAAGCAGGACTTGTAGACATTTTTAGACCCTATCTGGAGCAGTGAGAACTGTCTATTTCAGAAAAAGATAGAGACAAAAGCAGATGCAGAAAGGGAGGCAGACACAAAGAATGAAAGTGCCAAGTAAAGAAAGTGACAGGCAGGTTCTTGGAGACTGAGGTAGAGAAGCACAGACAGGATAAGACAGAGAAAAAATAAGGCAGAGACAGGGAGAACCCCAAAAAGAGAGAGAATAGAAAGAAACAGAGGTAGAAACTCTTGAGAAAGCTAGGCAGACAGTAATGACAGCTTCAACCGGTCAGTATTGGAGGGAGAGAGGAATAGAGAGAGGTAGCAGAGGAAGTCAGATAGGAGACAGCGGTAGTCCAAGAGAGACACATTCCGAGCAGAGGCAGACAGGGTGAAAGGGAGATGGAGGTCAGCAGAGAGCTAATGCCAGGCAGGAGTATGGAAAGTTTTGTGTGCATTTCTCCTAGAGAAATGAGAAATGGGACTGGTTTGCCAGGAGAGACAGCCTTTCCAGTCAGGACTCTTGAAGTGTATGATTGTAGTCATCCTAAATGGAAATGGGATTCCTTCCTCCCCAAGCCCATTCCTGCTCCATCTGGAGGGCAGTCTGGTGAATGTGGTTTTCTATGCTGGTATTCTGGGCCGTAGGAGGGCCTCACAGAACTGCAGAATGTTGGAACTGAGATCTGCATGGTAGATGTGTGTGGTTTCTTGGCCAGCCCCTCTTCACTTACCCTGTTTCCAGGAACGGCCTCCAATGTTTGTGGGGGATCCACCCTTCCCCACTTTCCATCCCTGTGGTTTTTGTGGAGTTGACAGTCCCTCCCTACCACCTCGCATTCCAGGGATGGTGTCCGACCCAGGACTGGCATATGATCCAGAGTGTCAGTTTCTCCTGTGGTCAGTGATTGGTTCAGGGATAAGAACATAACTCAGTCTCATTTTGGAGGGTCTGTTTGGGCTTCTGAGTTTGCCCTCAAATCCACATTTGAACCATGGAGACATGTTGGCTGGTACTGGGGCTGCCATCTTGCCGCCATGCATGGTCTGAAATGAAGCCAAACACATGGAGCAGTAGAGAGTAAAATAAAGAACAACTTGGTTCATGTGGCCTCTTTGGAACACTGTTCAAACTGTTTCTGAAGTTAGAACTATCTCTAGATTTTATTTGCAAGAGCCAATAGAGTAACTTTTTGCTTAACAGTTTAAACCAGTTTCAGTTGGATTTTCTGTCACTTGCAACTAAATCCTAACTGATGTAACGTCTTAGATACCATGCATCACCACATTTTATAGAAACTGAGTTTAAGTAATTCATCTAAGACTATGGCTAGTTAGTGGCAGGATATGAACTAGGTTTTTTCTACTATGTACCCCCTTAAACCCACTCTTTCATTCTCTCCACTTTATTTTATTTTTAAATTAAGATATAGGGCTCATTTCAAATATATGTTTTTACTCCAGTGACTTCATAAGTTCTAGAAATGCTAGCCCTAAGCAAAATTGCCACCTGATATGGTTTGGCTGTGTCCCCACCCAAATCTCATCTTGAATTGTGGCTCCCACAATTCCCATGTGTTGTAGGAGGGACCTTCATGGGGTGGGTCTTCCCCATGCTATTCTCATGATAGTGAATATGTCTCATGAGATCTGATGGTTTTATAAAGGGGAGTTTCCCTGCATGAGTTCTCTTCTCTTGTCTGCCACCATGTGAGACATGCCTTTCACCTTCCACCATGATTGTGAGGCCTCCCCAGCCAGGTGGAACTGTGAGTCCACTAAGCCTCTTTCTTTTGTAAATTGCCCAGTCTCAGCTATTTCCCCTTTCTGTGTGTCCTCTCTCCCTTCCTAAGCCATGGTAAGCAGAATATGACAGATATCATTGATACTTTTATGTGAGCTTACCATACAGAACATTTACCTTTTAAAAAAGAACAATAAAAAGATGCCAAATAAATAAATTTCTAATGCAGGAATTCCAAATATTGTAGCATGTGGTTAGAAGACATGCTTTGGAGTTGCCGAAACTTCTTGGAATTCTTTGAACTGTCAGCTCTGAGCACTAGGTCCAATATTTATTTATAAGATTATGAGAGAAATTACTGAAGAATCCTGAAATGTGTCTCTCATATAACAAAGTTTAGAGCAGTGGTTCTCAAACTTCAGTGTGCATTAGAGTTACTGGAAAGCTTACTAAAACACAGATCAGGCCGGGTGCGGTGGCTCACACCTGTAATCCCAGCATTTTGGGAGGCCAAGGTGGGTGGATCGCTTGAGCCTAGAAGTTTGAGACCAGCCTGGGCAACATGGCAAAACCCCGTCTCTACTAAAAACACAAAAATTAGCCAGGCTACTCAGGAGGCTGAGGCAGAAGAATCACTTGAAACTTTTGCTGCGGTGGAGGTTGCTGTGAGCTGAGACTGCGTCACTGCATTCCAGCTTGGGCAACAGAGTGAGACTCAGTCTCAAAAAAACAAACCAAAACAAAACAAAACACAGATTGCTGAGCCCCATTCTAAAGTTTCAGATCTGGTGGGTCTGGAATGAGGCCTGAGAATGTGCATTCCAACAAGCTCCCAAGTGATGCTGATGCCACAGGTCCAGGCACCACACTTTAAAGATCACTGTTTATATGTAAGAATAAACTGAGAAAGGTCGACTATGTGATGTAAAATCTCAATACTGCTTTGCTACAGTCCCAGAAGTTAAGCCTCACTCAGCAAAGATATGGGCTAGGGCTTCTTGAGACACAGCCTGGGCAATGGAGGGTGGGGGCTGGTGTCCTGCAGGTGAACCCACTTGTGAATCAGAAGCCAGAATATAGCCAGGAGTCCATGAGTGCTCAGATCGGCTGATGCTTGGGTGGTAGGAAAACTTTTTGAAATACAAATTTAGGGTTTCCCCCTTTCCCATAATTCCTATTAGTCTAGAAGCTGCCCTACCTGTGCTTCTCTTCCCCAACTCTCTCCATTCCAGGCCACAGCTAGAATAGCTCTATTCTCATTGCATCAGGGAAGGGATGATGTAGTACAAGTAAAAGAAGAAGTCTGTTCCCTGGCTTTCCTATATCTAAGTATGCAGGCAAGTCAGTTCATGAGTGTATGGACAGGGCACTACACTCAGAAGGGCTCTGAACCTGGGGTTTAATGCTCCTTGATGACTGTCTGGATATTTTTAATACTTTAATCTTTGATTTTGTGTCTTGTAAAATCCAATGGGACAATGGCATGTGCTCCAGGGGCTTGGAGCCTTGGCTTTCCTTCAGTCCTGCCTTCCACTTCCTCCAGGAATGGGTTGTCTGCCACTCACTGCCCTGTTTCTGGGTGCCACAGGCCCTACCTGCTTGGCCTTCCTCTCCTTGAGTCCTGCTGTCTGTCTCCTTCCATGCCTGTCAGTGGCCTTTTGGCCCCAGGCTGCTGGTGCCACAGCAATTTGGTAGACAATTCTGCAGAGTCTCTTGCCATTTCCAACCCAGGAGCTAAGTGTGTGCAAGCAGGAAGTTTGCAATCCCTTGGTGTTGCCTGCCTGTCCTGGGTTGGTGCTGTGGGTCCATGGGAAGGGGAGACTGATTTTGTAATCTCCAACCTGAAATTTTCATTGTTCACCAGTTTCAGAAATGCCATAGCTGGCCTGAAACAGCCTCAGGAAACCTCTGCATTTTAGAGTGGCAGTGATGCAACAATGTGTCAGCAATAGCTCGACTGAGATTTTTCACTCTTCCTAGCATTGCATGGGAACAGAAGACTCATCCTTTTCACCTCAAAGAAGTAAAGAAATGAGCAGAGAGAGAGCTGGAACTAGGGAGCCTTGGGTCAGAGATGACTTAGGCAGACCAAAGGCAAAATAGAAAGAGGGATGCCTCAGGGGATGCCAGCGTGGATAGATAGTGACCCAGACTAGGCGAACCCCACAAGTGTGTGCACGGTATAAATTCCATCTTGACAGATTAAGTTCCTGCCATCAGATGAAATGGGGGTTTGAAGTAGAAAATAAGTTGCATTATAGAAAAAGAAAGAATATTAAATTTCTTAGCCAGGCATGGTGGCTCATGCCTGTAAAGCCCAGAACTTTGGGAGATTGAGACAGGCAGAATGCCAGGAGTTTGAGACCAGCCTGGGCAATATGGCGAAACCCCGTCTCTACAAAAAATATAAAAATTAACTGGGCATGGTGGTGCCTGCTTATAGTCCCAGCTACTTGGGAGGCTGAGGTGGGAGGATTGCTTCAGCCCAGGAGGTGGAGGCTGCAGTGAGCTGCAATCACACCACTGCACTCCAGTCTGGGCGACAGAGCGAAACTCTGTCTAAAAAAAAAATAATAATTTCTTGCCTCCTTTTACATAGATTAAGGTTTGCAGCTGCCACGCTTGCCCACAAAATGGGAAGAGGAGTTTGCATGTGTTAACAGCATGCAAGAAAAGGAAACCTCTTATAGGCATGAGAGCTGGGAGAGATTGGTCAGACCTGGCAAGAAACCACTTTTCAGGGGACTTAAAAGAGAGCTCTAAAAGTCAGCCACAAAGGCCAAATTACCCTAGGGGTCAAGAAACATAAAGACTGAGGCTGGTCAGAGGAAGCCTACCAAAGAAGCAGTAAGTATGGATGCACAGCTTTCTTATAAGAGAGCTGTTTAAATTGCTCTTTAAAATATTTTGTTCTATTACAGACATATGTTCCTTTTGTACTTTATCTGGGAGAAAACTTTCCTTAAAGCCACGTAGATAAACGGTTTGGAAAAAAAAAAAATGCTGGTTGCTAAGGGCAATGCCAGGACGCAGGGGAAAAACACTTGATGAAAATTAACAAGAACTGAGTCTCAGAAAGACTGAAAAGAGTGAAGTGACCAAGAAGCCTGATTTTTATTGGAGAAAATTTTGTTTGATTTTTTTCTTTTAATCAATATCTTCTAATTTTTTCTTTTTATTGACATCTTCTAATTTTTCTACAACAAACATGTTTTAGTCGTGCAATTTTTACAAGCAGAGAGACCTCTACAGTGCAAGGGGACTCATAGTGCTTGTGGTAAAGAGGCATTTATGATTCTAATCTCCCTTTCTCTGCATTTGAGAGAAGAGGAGGAAAGAAAGGAGGAAAAAAAAAAGAGAGACAAAAAAAACCATAGTTTCATTTTCTTCCCCATTAGCTGAATCCAGACATAAATGAAAGAACAAATATTTCCAGTGAGGAACCAGGAAGAAAGCAGAGGCAGGGAGGTCCTAAAGGGGACCAGGTCTTTAGAGGCCCAAAGCCTACCCTTAGGAGTCCTCTCAAGGAGTTACTATAGACTCAATAACAGCCTACCTGCAGGATGAACCACAGCAGTTTACTGTGCTTTTGGGATTATACTGGTGGTGACAGGAGGTGGATTTTGTGTCCAGACTAATTCCATGCCAATACAAATTCTCATATAACCAAATATGTTCCAGATTGCAGTAAATAATACAAAGCTCAGATAAAACAGAAACCACTGCATTGAAAGTGCGGGAATAGTTCCCTGGAGCTCCCTGGAACTGGATTTGACTTATGGAAGGTTTTAACTTCTCCATTGGGTGCCAAACCAGCCATAAGAGAGAATTCCTGATATGAATGCAATGCATACCTGTGATAGACCAAAACAGAATAAGCCATTCCAAAAGCCGAAGCACCCAAGGAAAACCAAAAGAGAGAAGAGAAATACAGACTCAGGAAAAAAAAAAAAAAAGGCACTTGATGACTGAGAGTAGATAACTGATTTGTTCTAAGGAATCAGGTAGGGTAAAAAGAGGTTCTTCAGAAGGGGGTCAAATCCTGACTCATTTGAGAGTGTACGCCCTGCTTGGCCAGGTGCCCTTCTGTATTGGGGTGGCCTCTATGCAAAAAGAACTGGATTCTGGCTCTCAGAAGCTCATGTTTCCTCTCTGTCAGGGATCTTGTTTAGCTCATGATGGAAATTTTGTCCTCATCAGCATCAGTTTTCAAAATTCTACACACTGATACAAAATCAAGAGGGAGGGAAGAGTCCCTTTGGGATGTTTCATATCATGAATCATCAGTCCCTTCCTAACTTTCCTGGGAATTTCATCCACATACAGAGGTCCCATTGACTTCTGTGGTTCTTGTCAAAGCCAAATTCAAGAATGGAAAAGATGAGCTGGAGTCAATTTCATGTTTTGGACTCATCAGCTAAGTTCTGTTGCAGTCGGGGGTCAGAGCAGCTTAGCTTTAAAGAGGCAGAAATAAAAGAGCTTGCTATTCAAGTAGCTGGGGGTTTCTAGCCCTCTGATTGTAAATGGATTCAATGATTTATATGCAGATCATTGAGCAGGGGATGAATGAACAGCAGAGCTCTGCAGTGTCCTTTTTAAACATGCAGTTCAGCCTGTTTTGGTGGTAAATGTAAACATGTGCAACTAAAGGAAGTGCTGGTGTCAAAAAGCCTCGCCAATTTTATTTTATTTTAATTCTACAGCACACAAGGGAGGAACAGAGTTTAAGAAAGTTCACTCAAACCTGTGCAATCCAAATGCTTTCTAGAGACATAAAACATTGGGATTTTGAAAGACTTCTCTGACTTAAAGATCCAATAAGAAAAGTTACAGTTTTTTACTCACTTAGGCTAAAGCCTCTCTATATAATATTGCTCACTCTTCCAGGAAGAGAATGGAGGAAAATTGACCATGTCATAGTTATTAGAAATTCGTTCCTTGGAGGCATGAGTTGTTCTGTGTTATCTGTAAATAAGTCATAAGACTTTGCTTCATTCACTCATTCATTCATGGATTCACTTTGTTCATTCAAAGAACATCTATTAAGTCCCTTCCCTGTACCAGGCACTGTGCTAGGCACAGGACATAAAAAATTAAATAAGATGGATTCAGTTTCATGTAAGGTAGAGTAAATAATATCTCTCCCACCAAATGCAGCTATAAAACCTGGATACATTAAGCAGGTATTTAAATACCATGAGAAGTAAATATTAACAGGTAGATTGACGAAAAGACCATAATTTGAAGTACCACTAAACTGATGGTGAGCTTATGATTTTTTTTCTTCTGGTACTCCCCGGCCTAGATTTAAGGCAGACTAAAACCTAGATGTGAGCATTGCCAAGAACAGAGAGAGAGCTGCAGGAAAACCTTTTAGTCCTGACATGAGGAGTGCAAAAGGAGTCTCCTAAATTTTCCATTTTCTTTTGTCCTTCTTTTTCTTTTTTCTAATCTTTCACATCACCCAGCCTGTGATGGCCCGTAGGCACCTAAAACTCAGGGAGAGGAACTTCCTTTCTGATTGGAAGAACTGTGGTTCCCAAAGGGTGGCGCAAATGCCTGTTGTTTTTTTCTCTATCCTCCCACCACTTGGCGCCTGTATTAAAGAGTCTGATTCTATTTTTGATGTTTGACTGCTGACAGCTTTCAAACCTCACCACTCCCCCATACCCTTTGGCCCCACATCTGGGCAGGCTGATGTAAGAGCTCAGATGCTCCCTTGGCACTGGATGGAAGTTCAAACCATGTAAGCTCCAGCCCACATGCAGAAACTCTCACCCCAGCCTCACCCGCTAGCCATCATAAAAACAAGCCAGTACCCTTTGTTGGCTCTCTCAAGCCATTTTCAGATCAACTTGGGGACTCTTTCTGCTTTCCCCAGAAAGCTTCATCATGTGAGTGATAAGCCTCTTCTTCCCCTCTTGTTGCATGTGTGGCATCATTGATCTCAATATCCAAACTAAATTTTGTTTTGGGGAGGGGCCCATTTCATTTTGGTTGAGTGACCACAACAACCCCAGACAAGGGCCCAGTTATGGGAAATGCAGAGCAGATTAGGCTCAAAAAGGGACTTTTAGGCTTTAGGGAACCAGAATGTACCAGGGAGATCTCAGAGAGGAGAGAGCTGGGAAAGTGACCCCATGAAGTTGTTTTAAAAACTTGAGAGTGGGTGCAGTGGCTCACACCTGTAATCTCAGCACTTCAGGAGGCTGAGTAGGGAGGATCCCTTGAGTCTAGGAGCTCGATACTAGCCTAGACAACATAGTGAGACCCTGTGCCTACAAAAAAAAATTAAAATTAGCTGGGCATCGTGGTGTACATCTGTAGTCCCAGCTACTTGAGAGGCTGAGGTGGGAGGACTGCTTGAGTTCAGGAGTTCCAGGTTGCAGTGAGCTATGATCATGACATTGCACTCCAGCCGGGGTGAGACAGCAAGGCCCTGTCTCAGAAAAAGAAAAGACAAGGAAGAAAGAAAGAAAGAGAGAGAGAAAAAGAAAGAAAGAAAAAGAAAGAAGGAAAGAAAGAAAGAGAAAAAAGAAAAAGAAAGAAAAAGAAAGAAAGAAAAGAAAGAAAGAAAAAGAAAGAAAGAAAGAAAGAAAGAAAGAAAGAAAGAAAGAAAGAAAGAAAGAAAGAAAAGAAAAGAAAAGAAAGAAAGAAAAGAAAGAAAGAACAAACTTCGGCTTATTCCCAAATGGTGCATACATAGATCTGACCATGAAAAGCGTATCTTTAAACTTTGAGAACTGAACTATGGGAGAGACCATTACCCATGTGCCAGACTGGCCACTAGGTGGCATATACATCAGCTGGATCTGCATTGCACTGCAAAGCCTTTGCAAACAGAACTGACATTGAAGCTGCAACCCACAGAAGGTTGGTCGGAACTTGGAGCTTGAAATCAACTGGTTTGACTGATGGCTAAAGCAAAAATGTCAACATTCCATCTGATTTAAATAACACCAAGAGTCTCACAAGCTAATATTCAAAATGTCCAGGATATGATCCAAAGTTATTCAGCATACAAAGAACCAAGAAAATATCAATTTACATGTGTTAAAATTCACAAACTGTATACCAAAAAAGTCAGTTTTACTGTATGTTAATTTAAAAAATGATGCCATTTCCTTGCAGTGAGTACACAATCTAGTTAGGGAGATAGAATCATAAATGAATAACGACATGATGTTAAATACCCTATGATGATTTAAAACAAAAACATGGATAGGATAATGCGGGAGCACAGAGGGATACCTAGCCCAGTCTGGGGAGTGGAGATCAGGAGGTTGAGATTAGTTTTCAAGAAGAACAGATGTTTTAATTGATTCTGAAAGAACAAGTAGAAGAAGCTAGGTAAAGTGGCAGAAGGTATTCACTCCTAAATAAGGGGCAGTCTGAGCAAAGATATCAAGAAAAGTAGAGGTGGGAAGTATAAACGGTTCTATTTTATTGGGGTATTAGCTGACAGGCAGAGAGTGGCAGAAAAGATGGTGGATTTCCCAGGACCAGGTCATGGAAGGCTTCAAATACCATCTTATACCACATTTAACCCTATTAGAAATCCTATTGGGAATAAATTCTTAGTTTTGTCAACATTAACACGATGGTCACAGCAAAATCATGGCATCCCTGTGGGCCTTGATCTCTTGTGGCAGAAACTATTGGTATACACCAGGGTCTGTTTGGTCTTCCCTGTTTTGCAGCTTCCCTTGCAATGAGGTTGGCTGTGTGATCAATCCTGCTTATGGATGTGAGGGAAAGTGCTGCATGCCATGCTCTGGGTTTGGATGTTAAGTATCCAGGGTGCCTTTCCAAAAATCTGTTTCCCTTTCACATTGACCTTAGAGGCCATGTGTTGAAGAGCCATCAGACAAGATGGAAGGAACCTGGATCACTGAGTCATCACTTGACTGACCAGGAACATCTATGTGCAATTGCACAAGTGAGCAATAAACTATCCTCCTGTTAAACCACTGAGATTTCATACTTTGTTTTTTAATACATTATAGCCCAGCTTATTTGACTAACAGTTTCTCCATCTCTTTATCAAGAGCATGAATAGCCTTCCTCCAAAGTCTTTCCCAGCTCCATAAATCCAACTTATTCTAAGGAGGCCCTCTCCAGTCAGCTGGCTCCTTCCTGGTGCCTTGCTCAGGCTTCTTGGGATCTGTCCTGCCTATGTTCTTCCTCTCCAGGATAGTTCTATATCTTACCTTGGAGAAGGATCATGACACCAGAGGCACTCAGGATTGGATAGATCCTCAAAGCTCACCTAGTCTACCTTACTTTGTAGTGCCTGAGTCACCTCTGCAACATCCCTGCCAAGTGGTGGTCCAGGGTCTGGTTATTGAAAACCTCCAGTACCCGGAAACTCATTGCTTCGCCATATAAAAGTTCCTTCTTTCTCTACATTCTAAAAAGCACACTGCACTGCCCATAATGACTAACCCCCGTGGACTGCACCTAAGTTCTCCCTATTTTATTTTTTAAATGAATAAGTAGGGACTCCATTTAAATGAATGAATAGTAATTGCACTTGAGATATCTGAGCCTTTTTCTGACCTCTTCCTATTATGGTGACATTTTTTTTTCTTTACACAATGGCTGTGTCTTTGATGAATTTGTGTAGCCTGTATATGAGTTCAGAAATTATCCTTATGTCCATCAACTCCATGTGCCCTCTAGCAGAGAGCCCTTTCTTTGAGAAGATCTTGTCTGTAATGTCAAGGACAAAGTCTGATAATAAGTCATAGCTGTCCTGCAGTTCAAATCTTTGGAATCTTTAAGTCTCTATATGTCCACAGGGAATCTCTAAAACCACAAACATCTTTAAAAGGTCAATACAATGAAAGAAGAAAACAAAAATGAATATCCTTATCTGGCTGGAAAGTTTTAACGTGAAAGCTTTTTGTAGTGAGGGACTCTCTGATATAGAGGCTATTCAGTTCATAATGCTGGATAATCAAACCCAAAACTACAAAAGGAAAAATTGACCAATTTGACACATCAAAATTTCAAATTTTACCTTGCAAAAGACTGCTGAGAGCATGAAAATACAGACTGGAAGAAAACATTTGCAAACCACATATGACAAAGGACTAGTGTTTAGAATATATAAAGAACTCCCAAAACTAAACAGTAAGAGAAAAAATTCCAGTTAGAAAATGGGCAAAAGACATTAATATAGTTTGGATATTTTCTTCCACGCAAATCCCATGTTGAAATGTAATTCCCAATGCTGGAAGTGGGGTCTGGTAGGAGGTGTTTGGGTCATGGGGGCACATCCCTCATGGCTTGGTGCTGTCTTCATGACAGTAAGTTCCCATGAGATCTGGTCATTTAAAAGGTATGTTGCACCTCCCCCACCTTGCTCCTGCTTTTGCCATGTGAAGCGGCTGCTCCTGCTTTGCCTTCCACCATGAATGTAAGCTTCCTGAGGCCTCGCTAGAAGCTGATGCCAGAGCTATGCTTCCTGTACAGCCTGTAGAACCGTGAGCCAATTAAACCTCTAAATTACCCAGTCTCAGGTATTTCTTTCTTTTTTTTTTTTTTTAATTTTCATTTTTATTTTTATTGATCATTCTTGGGTGTTTCTCACAGAGGGGGATTTGGCAGGGTCATAGGACTATAGTGGAGGGAAGGTCAGCAGATAAACAAGTGAACAAAGGTCTCTGGTTTTCCTAGGCAGAGGACCCTGAGGCCTTCCGCAGTGTTTGTGTCCCTGGGTACTTGAGATTAGGGAGTGGTGATGACTCTTAACGAGCATGCTGCCTTCAAGCATCTGTTTAACAAAGCACATCTTGCACCGCCCTTAATCCATTTAACCCTGAGTGGACACAGCACATGTTTCAGAGAGCACAGGGTTGGGGGGTAAGGTCACAGATCAACAGGATAAGAATTTTTCTTAGTACAGAACAAAGTGAAAAGTCTCCCATGTCTACTTCTTTCCACACAGACACCGCAACCATCCGATTTCTCAATCTTTTCCCCACCTTTCCGCCCTTTCTATTCCACAAAACCGCCATTGTCATCATGGCCCGTTCTCAATGAGCTGTTGGGTACACCTCCCAGACGGGGTGGTGGCCGGGCAGAGGCGCTCCTCACTTCCCAGTAGGGGCGGCCGGGCAGAGGCGCCCCTCACATCCCGGACGGGACGGCTGGCCGGGCAGGGGGCTGACCCCCCCCACCTCCCTCCCGGACGGGGCGGCTGGCCGGGCGGGGGGCTGACCCCCCCACCTCCCTCCCGGACGGGGCGGCTGGCCGGGCGGGGGGGCTGACCCCCTCACCTCCCTCCCGGATGGGGCGGCTGGCGGGGCAGGGGGCTGACCCCCCCCACCTCCCTCCCGGACGGGGTGGCTGGCCGGGCAGAGGGGCTCCTCACTTCCCAGTAGGGGCGGCCGGGCAGAGGCGCCCCTCACCTCCCGGACGAGGCGGCTGGCCGGGCGGGGGGCTGACCCCCCCACTTCCCTCCCGGACGGGGCGGCTGGCCGGGCAGAGGGGCTCCTCACTTCCCAGTAGGGGCGGCCGGGCAGAGGCGCCCCTCACCTCCCGGACGGGGCGGCTGGCCTGGCGGGGGGCTGACCCCCACCTCCCTCCCGGACGGGGCAGCTGGCCTGGCGGGGGCTGACCCCCACCTCCCTCCCGGACAGGGCGGCTGCCGGGCGGAGACGCTCCTCACTTCCTAGACGGGGTGGCTGCCGGGCAGAGGGGCTCCTCACTTCTCAGACAGGGCGGTTGCCGGGCGGAGGGTCTCCTCCCTTCTCAGATGGGGCGGCTGGGCAGAGACGCTCCTCACCTCCCAGACGGGGTCGCGGCCAGGCAGAGGCGCTCCTCACATCCCAGACGGGGCGGCGGGGCAAAGGCGCTCCCCACATCTCAGAGGATGGGCGGCCGGGCAGAGACGCTCCTCACTTCCTAGATGGGATGGCGGCCGAGAAGAGGCGCTCCTCACTTCCTAGATGGGATGGCGGCCGGGCAGAGACGCTCCTCACTTTCCAGACTGGGCAGCCAGGCAGAGGGGCTCCTCACATCCCAGACGATGGGTGGCCAGGCAGAGACGCTCCTCACTTCCTAGACGGGGTGGCGGCCGGGCAGAGGCTGCACTCTGGGCACTTTGGGAGGCCAAGGCAGGCGGCTGGGAGGTGGAGGTTGTAGCGAGCCGAGATCACGCCACTGCACTCCAGCCTGGGCACCATTGAGCACTGAGTGAACCAGACACCATCTGCAATCCCGGCACCTCCGGAGGCCAAGGCTGGCGGATCACTCGCGGTTAGGAGCTGGAGACCAGCCCGGCCAACACAGCAAAACCCCGTCTCCACCAAAAAAATACGAAAACCAGTCAGGCGTGGCGGCGTGCGCCTGCAATCGCAGGCACTCGGCAGGCTGAGGCAGGAGAATCAGGCAGGGAGGTTGCAGTGAGCCGAGATGGCAGCAGTACAGGCCAGCTTCGGCTCGGCATCAGAGGGAGACCGTGGAAAGAGACGGAGAGGGAGACCGTGGGGAGAGGGAGACCATGGGGAGGGGGAGAGGGAGACGGAGACCGTGGGGAGAGGGAGACCATGGGGAGAGGGAGAGGGAGAGGGAGAGGGAGAGGGAGAGGGAGACTGAGACAGAGTCTTGCTCTGTTGCCCAGGATGGAGTGCAGTGGCGCGATTTTGGCTCACTGTAACCTCTGCCCCACCCCGGTTCAAGCGATTCTCCTGCCTCAACCTCCCGAATAGCTGGGACTACAGGCTCAGGTATTTCTTTAAAGCAATGCAAGAACGGCCTAATGCAGACATAAAGAGACATTTCACCTAATAGTGGCAAATAAGCCCATGAAAATCTCATCGTTAGCCATTAGAGAAATGCAAATTAAAACCGCGATGAAGTCTCCTCATAGTGCAGCTGCCATTACCGCTGCCCTCTGCCCTCCGGCCTGTCAATCTACCTGCAGCATGAGCAGCCTGCACCTCTACAGCACATCGGTCACTGGCTCCCACAAAATCAAGTCCCAGCAGAGTGAGGTGACCTGAATCCTGGATAGGAAGCGCATCTAATACCAACTAGTGGACATCTCCCAGGACAACGCCCTGAGGGATGAGATGCGAGTCTTGGTGGGCAACTCCAAGGCTGCCCCACCCCGGATTGTCAATGGGGACCACTACCGTGGAGGCTTTGAGCTCTTCATGGAGGCTGTGGAACAAAACATGCTGCAGGAGTTCCTGAAACCGGCCTGAGTCAAGCTGGCCCACAGTTCCCCTGCTGGACTCCATCACCACACTCTACTTACAGCTCTCACCTGGCCAAGAAAGACCTTGTGACCAACTCCCTGTCATTCCTAACTTGACCTTAGAGTCCCTCTCCACAACACAAACCACTTCTCCCCCTTTCTAAATGTAGTCTCCTCTTCTCTATTCAAAGGCAACATTCCTTACCCACTAGTCTCAGAAATTGTCTTAAGCGACAGCTCCAAATGCTGGCATCTCTGTTGCTTCCATCGGCCAGAGCTTTGCCAAAGGCCCCACAATCCCTCTCCAGGAGGACCCTAAGGACAATTAAATGTGCTGTTCCATTGGAAAACACACACACACACACACACACACACACACAACAAAAGAGAAAACCATGATGCAATATCACTACACACCTAGCAGAAGGGCTAACGTATAAAATAGTGACACCACCAAATCTGGCAAGAATGTGGAGAAACTGGATCACTCATTCATTGCTAGTAGGAATATAAAATGGTACAGCTTACTCTGGAAAACAGTTTGGCAGTGTCTTAAAAAACTAAATATGTACGTGTTATATAATTCCACTCAGAGACATTTATCTCAGGGAAATAAAAATGTATCTTCACAAAAATGATCTGTATACAAATGTTTATAGCAGGTTTATTCTTAATAGCCCAAACCTGGAAACAATTCAGATGGTTAAACAAACTGTGGCATATCCATACCGTGGAATACTGGTTAGCAATAAAAAGGAATGAACTACTGATACGTGCAACGACCTGGATGAATCTCCAGAAAATTATGCTGAGTGAACAAAGCTAATCCCTAAAGGTTGCTCATGGTATGATTATATTTATATAACATTCTTGAAATGACAAAATTATAGAAATGGAGAACAGATGAGAGCTTACCAGAGGATAAAGAGAAAGTTGCAGTGGGTGGGGAAGTGGGTGTGGTTATAAAAGACCCACGGGAGGAAAGGATATTTGTGGTGATGAAAATGTTCTGTATCTTGACGGTATCAAAGTCAATGTCCTGTTTGTGATATTGTATTATTAGAATTTTGGAAGATATTAACATTGGGGGAAACACCATTGAGGGAAACTGTTTGTGTTATTTCTTACAACTGCATGTAATTCTGCAACTATCTCAATATAAAAAAATTAATTTTAAAAACACTCCCCAGCCGGGCATGGTGGCTCATGCCTGTAATCCCAGCACTTTGGGAGGCGGAGGCGGTGCGGGGAGGGGGGATCACCTGACGTCAGGAGTTTGAGACTAGCCTGGCCAACATAGTGAAACCCTGTCTCTACTAAAAATACAAAAATTAGCCCGATGTGTGGCAGGTACCCGTAATCCCAGCTACTCGGGAGGCTGAGGCAGGAGAACCGCTTGAATCCAGGAGAAGGAGGTTGCAGTGAGCCGAGATTGCGCCATTGCATTCCAGCCTAGGCGATAAGAGAAAATTGTCTCAAAACAACAACAAAACACTTCTCATACCTAGGTTGCAGCCCATAGCAATTAAATTACAATGTCGGGAGAAGGAGCCAGACATCAGTATTTTTAAAAGATGTCCAGGTGATCCAACAGGCAGCAAATTTGGGAACCACTGAATTAAGCATCTCAGAAGCCTCTGAGATGTTTAAGAAGAGAAGGAAACAAAAGTTTTCCTAAAGTTCTCTTTATAGAGATATCTTTGTAAAAAGGAACAACATAGACGCATCCTATTACATTTTGGCCACAGCCTCAGTCAGTATGAGGGAGAGGCCTTGGACATTTCTTATTCATCTGACTTCACTAATTGAAAACTTAAGCCTAAAAGCCAACATTACTAACTACTTTGCTACTGGAATAATTTACCAAAAATGTTTTATTTATTTATTTTTCGAGGTGGAGTCTCACTCTGTCGTTCAGGCTGGAGTGCAGTGGCGCAATCTCTGCTCACTGCAAGCTCTGCCTCCCAGGTTCAAGCAATTCTCCTGCCTCAGCCTCCCCAGTAGCTGGGATTACAGGTGCGTGCCACCACACCTGGCTAATTTTTTCTTTTTTTAATTTTTAGTAGAGATGGGGTTTCACCATGTTGGCCTCAATGCTGGTCTCAATCTCCTGACCTCAAATGATCCACCTGCCTCAGCCTCCCAAAGTGCTGGGATTACAGGCGTGAGCCACCGTGCCTGGCCCCAAAAATGTCTTAAAAAGCCATTTCATGAATAATGCAATTCCTTCCCCTTCATCTTCATCCCAATACAGTAGATTTATAGTTTCACTTTCTGCGGTTTTAGCCAATGGTTGTCCAAAAATATTAAATGGAAAAATTCCAGAAATAATTAATAAGTTTTAAATTGTGCACCATTCTGAGTAGCATGATAAAATCTCACACCAACTGCTCCAGCCCACTTGAGATGAAAATCATCCCTTTGTCCAGCATATCCATGCTGTCTATGCTACCTTTTGTTTAGTCACTTAGTAGCCCTCTTGGTTATCAGATCAAAAAAACATAGTAGACTGTAATACGGTTCAGTACTATTCAGTTTCAGGCATCCACCAGGGGTCCTGGAATGTACTCTCCATGGATAAGAGGGCTACTGTAATCTTTATGAAATGAACCCTGAGAGGAGAGCTATAAAAATGCTCCTAGGTGTTCCACAGTCTGCGTAAGGTGTTACAGGTGTGTTGTTCTGTTTCAAAAGTAACACTTCATCTACACCTGGCTGGCATTTCAGATCCCTTTAATATTCACTCCCCTTATTTCCAAGAATTTTTTTTTTCTTTTTTTTAACACAGGGTCTCTCACTCTGTCACCCAGGCTGGAGTGCAGTGGCACAATCCTGGCTCACTGCAGCCTCATCCTCCAGGGCTCAGGTGATCCTCCCATCTCAGCCTCCCAAGTACCTGGGACTACAGGCATGCCACCACACCCAGCAAGTTTTTGGTATTTTTTGTAGAGATAGGGTTTCACTGTGCTGCCCAGGCTGGTCTCAAACTCCTGGGCTCAAGCCATATGCCCTTTGGGGGCTCAGCCTCCCAAAGCTCTGGGATTACAGGCGTGAACCATTGTGCCCAGCCCTTTCTATGAAATTTCTTAGAGATCCCGCTTAAACTTGTTATAACGAGCAGCCCTCTTAGAACAAACTATAAAAGAAAGGAGGGAGAAAGGGACTGAACCGTTTCTCTCATTAAACTTGTACCCAATTTGACCTTAACAGTGAGCGTGTCCCATTGCATTGTTGAGAGGATTTTAGAAGGTTCCTGAGTTGCATATTTTCAAGTATTATCATGCCCTATTTTTCAGTCTAAGCCTTCTCTTGGGACTTTTTCTTTTAAATTAAAAACATTGTTTAAAATGTGTTATCAGAGTAACATTAATGTAATGAGAAGAGGCAACCTTATCAGATAAGATAATCTGTTTTTCCTGAAGGATGCCATTTTCATTGCATTAGGTTGTTTGCTCACAGAGACCTGTAGACACATAGATTAGCCCTGCACATCAAGTCTTCTTTCTCACCAAGCCAATTTCCTGTTTGATTTTTACACTCCAAGAATCACAAGTACAGTAGCAGCTCCATGGGGACAAACAGAATAGGAAAGATTGAGTTATCTTTAATATTTGTTTTTGTTTTTTATTTCCAAGAAAATCTCTTTTAGAAAAGATGAAGTTGTCTTGTCCATATATGCCAGTGAATGCATGTAAATCCATTTACCATAGAGAAGAACACAGTTCTTTTACTGTTAAAGCCAAATAGAAGAGTCAGTAGTCATGTCATCCAAGACAGAGGCTCTTCTGGCCTTCAATGTACAGAGACATGTTGCATTAAATTCAGTTAAGGGCAACCAATGAAAAACAAGCTACACACAAAGATTACCTCTCACCCCATCATGCAAAGTTTCCATTCAGCAACATCTGGAGACTGCACAGCCCATTTGATTTAAATAGAAGACTCAGAGGCAGAAACCATATTCAGCCCAGATTCTTTGTGAACATAGCTTGTTGCTGAACCAATTCACTCTGCTTCTAATTCACAAATCTTCAGCCCTAAGCGGCATCATTTGGTTCTTATGAGGCACAGAGCCCTTTCCCCACCCAGGGCCTTTGCTTGGTCCATTCTCGCTGCCCGCATTGTGGCTCCCCTGGCTCTTGGCCTGCTGGCTCCCTCTCAGACTTCAGGTTTCAATTAAAATAACAGCCCTTCCCACTCTCCTTACTTCAGAGTTAGTCTCTGACATGGCAGTCTGTTGATTTCTAAGTCCTATTCCAGGGCTTGACATCTCATAGTTGCTTGTTGAATTAATAAATGTTAACTCCAAAAAATAATAATAAATGCTTTCTCCAGTTAAAAAAGTAGATATTACACCGTTTTTTAACAGAATAGTAGTGACAAATAACAATTGATCGCCTTAGCTGGGTGTGGCAGTTACAGCTACTTGGGAGGCTAAGATGAGAGGATCACTTGAGCCCAGGAATTTGAGGCCACAGTGAATTATAATCTTGCCACTGCATTCCAGCCTGGGCAACAGCGTGAGATCCTGTCTCTTAAAAAAAGCCCAGAAGAGTATATTTTAGTTAAACATACACATGCCTGTGATCATCAAATACCAAGACTGTAATGATTAGCTCAAGCTGTTGAGAAGCAGAAGCTGCCTTCTAATGGTGACATGCAGGATGCTCAGGCAGAATTTTAAATGGGTGCCACATTGAATACCTGACCACTCTATTTCAGAACTGTTCCTCCTCTGGATGCTTATATGCATTTATTATCTATTCCATTCACCCATCCAATAAGCACTACTACTGCTTTAAGACTCTTATGAACCTCTTCCACTAAAGTTTAAGCTTCTGGATACCAGGGACAACTCTTTTTAATAATAATGGCAAATACTATTGAGTATCTCTTACGTGCTAGTCATAATGTTATGTATTTTCCTGTATTAATGTATGTGGTGGAGCTTTGACTTAAACCCGGACAGAATGACAGCAGAGCCTGCACACCTACACTTTTCTTAAACCTGGATCTGGGCCGGGCACGGTGGCTCACACCTATAATCCCAGCTCTCTGGGAGGCCGAGGTGGGCAGATCACTTGAGGTCAGGAGTTTGAGACCAGCCTGGCCAACATGGTGATACCCCATCTCTACTAAAAATACAAACATTAGCCGGGCGTGGTGGCGAGTGCCTGTAATCCCAGCTACTCGCGAGGCTGAGGCATGAGAATCGCTTGAATCTGGGAGACAGAGGTTGCAGTGAGCTGAGATCGCACCACTGCACTTCAACCTGGGAGACTGAGTGAGACTCCGTTCTCAAAACAAAAACAAAAACAAAAAACAAGCAAAAAGCCTGGATCTGACACTTCTTAGCTGTTTGCATGACCTTTGGTGAGTTGCCTCAGTTTCCACCTCTGTAAGGTAGGGAGGATAGAGTATCTACCTCAAGGGTTGTTGTGAAGATTAAGAGTTGATACTTGTAAAATGCTTAGAATAGTTCCTGGCACACAATAGGTACTCATTAAGTGTTTGTTGTTTGTTGTTGTTGTTATTGTAACCATTATTGCTTATAGGAAAGTCCCTTGTCTGGGAAACCCTCGGTCCTGGTTTTAGCATGGAAAGTCCCATGGCCTTGGTAAAAGTTCAAAACGGGTCCATATGGCAGGCTGAGGACAGAGAGTCAGCCTGGCGCCCTGGTGGTCACTCTCCACTGTCCTGCATCTTTTTCAGAGCTCACCTCTGAAAAACTGCCCCTTACTCTTTGTAATTGCCACCCTCCCAGTATTTCAGGACACTGTACTACTTAGCCAACAGGGTGTACAGAAATCATATACCTTTTTCGCACATTCTTCTATGTACTAAGCTTGTCCAACCCGCCTTATTCTGTTGTCGTTGTTGTTCTGTTTTGTTTTGTTTTAGGCTTTTAGCAGCCTGAAGCCGTGGTTTTTAGTTTCTGTCTCTAATGAAGCTGAAAAGAGGGATGAGGAAGGGGCTTTACTGGCCCAGCCAGAAACAGAAACTAAGAACCTGTGACTGTATTCAGTCTCTTTAACATCCCAGATTGTAGACCATCACTCTAGTTTCCCCACTTCCTGTTAACTTTTATAACTATCTCTGAACTTTAACAGAACACTATTTTGTGTTTGCAAATAACGTGCTAAAACGCCTTTCCTAGCCGAATCAAACCCTAGCATCTAGTGCCCCCTGCTGCCCTTTCATAGGAAAGGCAAGAAGGATGAAAGTTTGATTCACTGACAGTAAAATTTTTACTTGTCGAGATTTCAATAGGAATCGGTATAAATATCCTAAATTATATTCACGTTTCATCTTTTCTTTGAACCTACTCCTTGACTTGGTTTTTTGTCTTGCCTTTGCGAACATTCATTTTTGCTTAATTATATTTTTCTCATTTATATTTGCTTTCCTTGAATTTCCTTTTGGTTGTTTTGCTATTGCTATTTGAACTTGTTTTGTCTTGGCTCTTTCTCACTTTGGCCATGCCTTGACACAGACGCGCGGGGTCGAGAGGCTGCGGGCTCGGCGGGCGGAGGGCGCATGGGAGCCTCTTGGCCCTGGACCTGCCCCTGCAATCCTTCCGCGGGATCTCTTGGACCCTCTCCAGGGTCCTGGCTCTGAGACGTTGCTAGAGGACAAATCCGCGGGATTTAGAGCGCGGCCAATGGGACAGCGGTGCCTGGCTGAGTGTCAGGCAAAACTAGCCAATAAACATGTAGTTTGGGCAAGGTGGGTCCGTCCCCTAACTCGGACCTTATAAAGCGCGCCCGCTGCTCCCACAAAGCCGGGCTGTCCCAGGCTGAGGCGGTTGCTCCCCTGCCGGGTGTGTTAGAAGCAAGTTAGAGGAAGAAGGTCTTGGGGACTACGGGCGCCACCGAGAACCCATACGAGGCAGCCGCCGACGGCGGGTCGCCGGGGCGGGGCCAGAACGGCGCCAAGGCCAACCAGAACGGCGGCAAGAACTAGGGGGACGCGGGGCAGGTGCTGTGGGAGTTGGCTGGACCTGTGGGATCGACGTCTGCGCCGTCCAGGAGCCGCCCAGGGGAGAGAGCGGAGACTCGGGAGGAGGATGTGCGCTCCGACCCGGGCAAGGCTTCCCATCCCTCCCTTCCTCTTCTCTCCTTCCCTCCACCTGGGCTCGGAGTCAGGATCTGACCGCGGGCTCTGCCCAGGAAGACCGAGTTCCTTGAGAGCGACACCTAAGCGCCGGGGAAGACAGGGATAGAAGAGACGACAGCCCTTTGATAAGAGGGTTTTTAGACTAACTTCCACCTGTGACGAGTGCATGGGGCCTGCGCCCTGAGAGGTTGCCTTTCCTTTTCCTCTCCCACCCTGGGGGTTTGTGGTGATGTTAAGTTCTGTTAGGACCAAGGTGGATCTCAGTAAGGAGGTAGAGTAGATTTGTGAACAGCTGTCGGAGGTAGAATCTTTGCAGACCCAGAGTGGGTGGGTGTAGACACTTTGCCATGGGTGGTAGCTTTATTTGTAATCCTCCCAGTGAAAGCTTTGGGAAATCCAGCCCTCCCAAACTCTTGCCTTTCTTGTAAGACTTTCTAAGCGCATGGCTTTGTCGTAAGACTTCTCGTGGCCATGTGTCTCACCCTACCGTTCGTCTCACCAATGAACCAGAGCTGGGATACCAGCAAAAAGGACCCAAAAGACTGTTTCACCACAATTGAAGAGGTCGTGGACCATCCCCCAAAATGAATCCCAACACTGGAAGACCAAGAGGGTTGACGTTTGCTATCTTGAAAGCTGCAGCCCCCGTAGAGAAGGTAAGCTGTGTATTCCATCAAAGGTCTGTGTGTGCAGGATTGCATTTCCAAGAGAAGGCATTCCTGGATCATGATCATTTTGTCTGAGCTGCATGTGGCCAAGTGCACTGGGGGAAGCAGAGTTTAGGAACTTGTTCCTGTATGGATTAAGTGGGAAGTGAAAAGTATTAAATATATGGGCGGGAGTGGTCCAGGAAGGGGAGAGTGGACATTTAGTACCTGTTTGGGCCCCTGCACTAAATGCTTCACATATAAGGATTAGAAAAACACCCAAAGATTCTTAGATAAGCATTTCAGTGCCATTTTACAGAAGGAAAAACTAAGATGCAGAGAGGATTAAGCAACTAGAAGAGACCACATAGTGAGTAAAGCGTGGAACAGCAAGGATTCCAACCCTGTAGCGCAGCTTTATGTCTGGAGGAAGCAAGTCTTAGACTGGGACTGTCAGGCCAGGAAGAAAACTCAGAGCATGGACAAAAGGTTCAGAGGGAGTGAGGACCGATTTATATGTGTTGAGGTAAACCAGGTGGATTTCTGTTTTGGAGAAAATTGGGAAGTCAGGCTTAGGTAGAGGGTGGTGTGTTTGGAGGGGATAAAATATTTTGTGCACCTGTAGTTTGTGTATTCCACCTGTGGTAGAATCTTGTGGCTCAGAAAGAAAGAACCTGCCTCGGGTAATGCTACTAAGAAATGCCAAACAGAATTAGAACCAGAGTCTACTTAACCCCCTTCTCAGAAGAAATTGTCCAGGTTTTAGCACTGAAAGTCTTACATCTTGGGAAACTGAACCGTCCCAGTTTTAATGCTAAAAGTCCCTCATCCTGGGAAATCCCTTAGCTGTGGTTTTAGCACTGACAGTCCTGCTTCCTAGGAAACTCCTTACTTCTGGTTTTAGCCCTGAAAGTCCCCAAACCCCTTAGTCCTTGGCAAATCTGGATGATTGATCCACTTACCCTTCTGTTGGAACAGATCCTAGAGCAGAAGGAGCACAGGCTGGGCTGCCATAGCATGGACCCCCAAAAAGCCACTGTCATGAAGAAATATCCTGTGAAGAAAATCTTTGCAGGGCACCTGAACTCCCAAAGCCACTGAGGAGAAGGTAAGGGAGTACTTTGGTGAGTTTGGGGAGGTGAATTTCTCCCCAGGATATGGTTTATGCTCCCCACCAGCCACCAGTGGATGCTTTTTTCTGTTTTCCTTGGCTGGTGGAGTTGTCAGTGGAGCTGCTCTCACCTCCTTTCTTGCCTTTGGAGGGCCGCCTTTTCTGAGTTCCCTTTAGGGCCTGAGCCAGGGGAAGGCATTGGCCCTGAGCTTTGCCTGTGTTTCCAGATGGAGGCCATTGAACTTTCAGTGGATCCAAAGTCTAACAAAAGACAATGTCTTGTTTTCGTCACCCCCCAAAGAAGAGGAACCTGTGAGAAATATTCTGGAGAAATTTAACACCATCAGTGGAAGCAAGGTGAGGAGTCTCTACCTCCATGTGCCTCCCCTCCTGCCTCTGGAGAGGTAGCCCTTTGGTTAATGGCAACCCAATAGGGTAACCAACCATCCCATTTTAGCATTGAGAGCATTGTGTCCTGGGAGACCCTTCCCTGGAATGTAAATAATCCTGGTTTTAGCAACAAAGTGTGGAAGGTTGGAGGAAATGCACAAAACCCGTAAGTTTTAGAGGGTCTGAAAGCAACATTGTCTATCAAATGGATACGGCACAGATTATTCATCTTTACTTGTTGTCACCCATTTGACCACTGATACTGGCAACCATAATTTGTAGTTCAGAATGGTCATCCATCCATCGTTGCATCATTCAAAGTGATGTGGCTTAAGTGTATATAATGATTATTAATAGTTCATCTTCGACTTTGCCTGTGGATTAATTGGTGTGCTTTGTAACAAGATAGTGCTAGTTTAATTTTTTAACATTGTGAATATTGTGACCATGTTTTCTAAGAGGTCAGATAATGAGAATGGTTATAATACCAATGCAACCATGACCCCATCACTGAAGAAGAAGGCTAAACGACTATGTAATTTTGATGATGGATGGAAGGACACATACTACTGAACTAGGAAGGTAAATAACCAAAACAGAGCATACTACATAATATACAGAAAAAAATTTGAGATTGGACATGGTGGAGAAGGGGATGTGCAAGCACATATGGAGGGCAAATCTCACAAGTAAGATGGGACAGGTGAATGCTTCTAAACCAATCAAAAATACCTTTGTTTCCCCAAAAGACACCAATGCTCAGTCAAAAATAGCAGCTGCTGAATTAGCATGGGCATACCAGGCAAATAAGCCTGCATTGTCATAGCGTTCCCTTGATTGCTCTATGAAACTGAGTAAAGTTTCATTTCCTGATTCAAGAATTGCAGCTAAAATATCCTCTGGACAAAGAAGAAGGGAAATTTTTTGATAACAGATGTGTTGGCTCCTTACAGTATAAAGCCAATTTCTGTCATATCTCACCAACAATCCTGGTTTCTACAGTACATCAATTTTAAGTAATATGCCAAATCATGGCAGCAAAAATATGTTCCCTCTAGCTGTTAGGTACTTTGACTTGAAAACAGGAGTTTCAAATCATCTTCTTCATTTCTGTGAGGATTTTAATGAAACTGCTGAAATCATAAAATATTGTTGATATTTTGTCTAAATACAAACTAGACTTAGCTCATCTATCTGTGTATTCGTCAGACAGTATAGATGTAAAATTTTGGCAAATTGCATTCAGTCTACAAACTTCTTACCAAAGAAAATGAAAAGATCTTATCCATTCAATGCCTTGTACATCTTATATACAACACTGCTAAAAAGGGATGTGAGTTGCTTAAATGTGACATTGAGACTTTCATAATGAAAGCTTTTGGTTACTTTTCAATTTCCTCAAAAAGTGCAAAAGCACTTATGGAGATTTTTGACTTCACAGAAATGGAAGGTAACCTCTTTAGACGTGTGCCTGCAAGATGGCTGTCATTGTAAGTGAGCCATAGAAACGATGCTAAAATGTTGGCCTGCCATAAGATCATATTTTCAAAGGACAAGAATAATGTCCTTTGACATTGTTTGAAATCTGAAAGGAGAAAAAAATCAAGAATCTGAAGTGGGCCTTAAAAAAATCAGTAAGTCCCTTGTGACTCTGATTTTTATGAATCTGTCTCTCAAAAGCCAGGGTGCCCCCAGAAGAACTGAGACAAACTGAGTTTCTGAACATTTGAAAATGAGGAGCAGGCTCAGGATCCACAGGGTGTAACCATCCCGTGAGGCCCTGCCTGAGCAGCCAGCCAGTCAGTGAGGCTCTTCACCTTACTTCCATTTCTCTGATTCCATCTATGTACAACTTACGAAAACTTGCATTATTATAGACTGGGAGTTCTTAAATTGGAATCTGTGAATCTAAAGGGGCCAGAGGATAGAAATCAGGAAATCTGAAAACTTCGATGGAAAAAAGTTTTTATTTATTTCCATCAGGAAAATAGGCAACAAACCACAGCAGTATTAGTACCTGTGTCTCTGTCATCACTAGGAATCACAGATATCCACGTTACAGATATCTTAAAATATTTATGTACAGCACCACTCTGAAATTATGGTAATAATTAGATCCACCCCCTAGGTCTTGTAATCTTTAATATGTTAATAAAGAAGCACATCTATTATGTGACAGATTTAAATGTTTAAGAATTTGATTTCAATGAAATTGCATTTCAATAAAATTGGCTTCCTTTGCAATCCTGTGTATTTTATTTTGTGCATTTCTCCAGACTGCCAAAGAGGTTGGTGACACATTGAAAGTTAAGAGTCTCTGCTGTGGATCATGCATAGAAAGCTTTACAAAACAGTTGAGGGGAATAGGCTTTCCTGCATCCTTACCTTGGGCTGCAGCCTTTCCATTAGCTGGAGAAGGCAGCAGCTGGTGCCTATGAGTTGAGAGGGCAGTGGTCCCTTTGCCTAAGAACCATCCTGTTCCCACATATTCAAGGGTATGGAATTCCCATAATATTCAAAGAGTTTTTCTTTAGTTTTAGGTGATACGCCTTGAGTAGGAATATCATGAGGCTGTTTCCAGCTTCGAGTATGTTGGTGATAGGGTGTAAGGGATCTCAGAGCATCTAGTCTTGTCCATATCTTAAATCCAGGCACTGAGGTCCAGAGGGGAGTTATTTACCCAGGTCACATCAGATGAAGATAATGAAGTATTCCAAGAGGATTTTAGTTTTATTCCAAATAGGGTAAGTGTTCTGAGAGTGTGAGGAGAGAAGGTGAGGAGGCTGGGGTAAGGATGGGCATAGAAGGGGATGGAAAGGAGGGCTGAGAGAACTCAGAACCAAATTTCAGGCTATCACTTTCTCCACGCCACATTCCAGTGCCTTGCCATCAACTCTTCTGTGAATCTTCAGGAATTTTATTAATTCCCCAGGACCAACTTAGACTTTCATAAGTTAGATGTAGTTATATTACTTCCCTGAAGCACTTTTATGCACAAAGAATAGATGTAGCAAACAAACTTCACAAGATTTAATTTTTGAGTTTCCTTTTTTATTCTGAGGAATTCCGCTGTAATTCTCAGTGACACAGAACCTCTAGAGCTACTTCACTATGACAACCTTCTTCAAATCTCCAAAGGGCTGTTACATAAGGAAGAGGGTCGGAGTTCTGTATTCAATCAAGAAGGCAGAAGATTGAGATGATAAGTTGCTACAGGGAGGCATAATTTAAAGTCAATTTAAACTGTAATCCCAGCACTTTGGGAGGCAGAGGCGGGAGGATTGCTTTGAGCTCAGGAATTCAAGACCATCCTGGGCAACACAGTGAAACCCCGTCTCTACAAAAAAAAAATAGTCGGGTGAGGTGGCACACACCTGTAATCCCAGCTACTTGGGAGGTTGAGGCTGGAGAATCGCTTGAACCCAGGAGGCAGGAGGCAGAGGTTGCAGTGAGACGGGATGGTGCCACTGCACTCCAGCCTGGGCGACCGACTGAGATCCTGTATTTAAAAAAAAAATAAGGTCAGTTTAAGTTTCGTTCCTGGGATTGAGCGGATTGCCTTGCATTAGGCAAGGTTTTAAGTGCTTTCCAACTCTGGAATTCTATACCTTTCCCAGTAGATATCTAAACCCAGCAAATCCTGGGCCTGAAGTTTAAAACTAGGATCCTCGTCTCCCAACCACATCTAGATGATCCCATAGTGTAATGAAGGGTGCTTGGGCTTTGACACCAGGCAAACTTGGATTTTGACCTGGGACAACTAAGTCACTTGACCTCACTGAACCTTAGCTCCCTCCACTGACAGTGGGGACAGTCTGCTGGAGGGTGTGTAGAAGACCTCGGGTTGCCTTTTGGAGGTTCTGGAAATGTCCCTTGAAAGATGAATGGAGTTAATTTAAAAATCTTCGCCTTCTGTAATTTTGGCTTCTTGCAAACACGCTTCCTGCCAGTCCTGCTCCGTCAGGCGGGAGGCAGCAAACCCCAGCCCTGGCTCCAGGACAGGGCCGAAGGCAGGATAGACGGAGCAACGGGTCCGGCTGCCGCCGGGATGTTGCAGCACAGGGCCTCCTGGCTGCCTGGCCTACAGGCCGCCCGGATTCAGCCGGAGGGCATGGACCGGGTGGAGTCCTGCAAGGCGAGAAGGGACACAGCGCATGCGCGCGGCAGGGAGGGCGTTTCCAGGAGGGAGCGGCCTTTGCTCAGCGCGAGACGGCTGGGCGCCGAGTGGGACAGCGCTGGTGCGGAGACTGCTTCCGGACTCCAGGTACCGCGCTTGGCGGCAGCTGGCCCCAGACTTCTGTCTTTTCAGCTGCAGTGAAGGCTCGGGGCTGCAGGTGAGCTGTGCATCCCGCAATGGAGACCTTCCTGCTCTGAATTTTCTTACAAAACTGCAGAAATATAAGGGGCGTTGCTTAGCGGGCATCCCCTCCCCCGCGCCAAACCTGTACAGCAAACGATGATGCAGAGGACCTTGAGGGGATTTTGCAGGGCATCGGTCTTACCTCCGCGGTATCATTTTTCTCCTCCTCCCGAGTTTCTGCCTTCTGGTATCCCTAAATATCCCACCTATCCTGCCTCCTACCTTCCTGGATCTGGGGTGGTGGGGTGGGCTCATGGACCATTGCAAAATGCTTGGCAGGATTTTAACCTTCTCAGCACCACCCAGACCCCACTCGAAAATGTGCCTTTTGTGCCCTCCAAGAGCTCAAGGGTAGGTAATTGTTATATCTTTAGCATGTGAAAATGCTTTTTATGTAACAGTTCACCGAAAATCTCTTAATTCTCCGAATTTTGGAGGATTTGGGGCGGGCAGCGAGGCTGTCCCCTGTCACCTTGTTTTGTACCTGGTATGGTAAATCGTTTTGCTGCATTGCATCCAAGATGCGTTTTAGTCCTTCCAAGGCTTGAGCATCACATTTGTGATGAGAGCGTGTGATGTGCTGTGCACATCCTCTCCCACCTTATCCCTTCCATGTTAACACAGCCTCTGGCTTTAATGTGTGCTTCTGGCCTGGCCACATGGCTCCGTCATGGAATAGGTGATTCTTTTGTCTGAATATTCTCTGTGAGAACAGAATCTTCTTGCAAGCATTGGGAGTAGATTTATTTTGCCTCTTTAGAACAACAGTCAGTTCGCTAAGGAGATTAAGGGGCTACCTGTTTCCTGGCAATAAAGCTGTATTGGGTAGGTCAGTTACAGAATGTCTTCAGGCAGAAGCTGTTCCTTTGGTTCACTCACTCATTTATTCATTTAACAAGTATTTTAAGTACCTGCCTTGTGCATGGCAGGGTTCTTGGTGCTGTGAGGAGGACAAAGATAAACTGAACCTTGGTTTGCCCTCAAGGAGCTTGGCTGGCTGAGAGTTGAGAGAATCCCAACCAAGTAAAAGGGTATGGGTCCTCAAGAGAAGATCGCAGGAAGAGCTGGGGGGCTCAGGATGGAGTGGAATTAATCTTTCACAACAGCTACTTAGCTTTAGGAGAAAATTAGGTCTAGAAGTTACACCTGATAATGAAAGAACTCTCATAAGCTTCAGATCTGTATGTAAGGGTGTTTTCCGGACTGTGTGTTGGGCGTCTCAGACTGAATACATTCTAAACAGGTCCCATCATTCCTAGCCACCTCCCTCTTCCCACCGCCACACACCTGCTGCTGTTCCCATGTTCTCTGTCTCAGGGAATAGCATGAGGCTCCCCGACTCCCTACTTCTCCTAATGGTCTAAGCCAGATACCTAGGGGTGAGTCATCTCTGATTCACCCCTGACTTTCCCTTCCCGCCTCAAATTCAATTCTGATTCTACCTCCTGAACTTCTGAAATCTGTCCACCTTCTCTCCATTCTCATTGCCATTTCTCTAGATAAGCCTACCGTTATCAACTAAGCTCTTGCTTACTTTACTGCAACAGCTTCCCGATTTATCTCCCTGCCTCACTTCACAACCCATCTTCACTACTGCAACTGGGAAGTGCTTGCTGGAATTTAAATCTGATTGTGAGGCTCCCTTCAGTGATCCTTCATTGCCCTTAGGACGGAACCAGACTCCCTTTACGGGGCTTATGTGGGTGTACAGCCCTGTCTTTCTCACCAGCACCCTCTCTTTTCACAAGCCCCTTGCACTTTTCATTTTGAGAACATGCTTTCTTGTGCCATTAGGGCCTTGCACATGCGCTCCCTTCTGCCAGGAACACCCTTCCCTGCACCCTCTTCACTTGACTTATTCATGCTCCCCTGTAGGGTAAATGCACCTGACAGCAATAATTAAAGCATACCCTTAGAATGACCCTGTGTGGCAGATGAACCTGAATGTGTTTTCTGAACTAGGGAACCCAGGCCTGCCCAACCCAGAGATTTATTTCTTGTCTATGAAGAACATCTGAGCCCCTGCCCCACCTGTCCCATAGAACAGGGGCCATACGGGGAATTGAGGCCTTGAATTTTGAGTTAAATCAAGTTGCCAGGTAGAGGTCATTGAGGGGAGGGTGTTAAGTGAAAATGCTGCATAAATTGCATGATGTTTGCAAGCGGTTGTTTTCCTGCCCAGCTCACCACCACTGGACTCCCTCCTCTGTTTGTAAGCCCCTAATGGGTCTCTTTTGGCCTCTTGAACCTGTTGCCTTCCTTATTGAGGTTAATAGGGGTTTGGCACAACATCTCTCCAAGGTCCCAGCTGGGACCCTGTTTGATCTGGGCATCCTTAGGCTCCCAGTCCTTGCTGGGTGCCACTCCTTGTTATGGTACCCACACCTCTCCTCTTAGGGCTCATTCACACATCTGCCTCCTACAGCTGTGTTGTACTATAGTTCCTGGAGGACCAAGGCCATGTCTTAGCACTTACCATTGCTTCCTGCTGCCTTGCCTAAAGAAAATGCTAAATAAATAGCTGTTAAGTCGAATTGACTACAAATATATGTTATAATACTATGGTATGATTCATTAACTAAATTACAAATTCACCCTACCTCAGTTTTCTCAGTGTGCTGAAATAGTAATAGCCTTACACATGTCAAGCTTAAAATAGGTGTAAGGGTGAATGAGAAGAGTAATCATTGGAGCAGCTAATATTTGTTGAGTGCTCAGTATGTGCAGGCACTGTTCTAAGTGCTTTACAGTATTAAATCATTTAATTCTCAGAACAATCCTATAAGGTAGATATTTTTGTTATCCCTATTTTAAAGATGGAGAAACTGAGTTATTGAGGTTCCACAGCTAGTAAGTGGTGGTATCAGGTTTGAAGATAAGCATACTTTATAGCATATGGTTAGCTCCTTTAGAAAGATAATAAGTAGGATCAAACATGAGAAGTTCATGGGGCTGAACATTGTAAGTTACCAGATGGAACACAGTGCCCTGTGGTCACAACTTTAAGCTATGAAGAGCATGTGATTGATCCAGAATTGAAAACTCTGAAGAACATGTTTGGTTTACATGTTCGCTTTTTTTCAGCAGCTAACTCAGTTATCAGAGGTGATGTTGCATAGAGGTTAGGACTGAGACTTCCCTAAGTCAGAGATCTTTGTTTTGCTGTATAACCTTCAGGCATTGCTTGCATTCTCTGTGTGCCACTTTCCTCATCTGGAAAATGAGGATAATCATGACAGTACATACCATAGGGTGTGGTCATGATTACATGAGTTGATACACATAAGGCACCTAGAATGCCTTAGAATGGCACCTAGCACATAGTAATTGCTCAAAAACATTATAACCTCTTTATTATTATTATTTGTTTAGCCATCATTCAGTCAGCAAATGGTTTTTGGACCCAGGTTCTCCCTACATGCTACATCCTACTGTACCACTTCTCGGCCACAGATGAGCTCTCCTGTTTTAATTCTCCTTCCTGCAGATGATGAGCATTTTTCAGTGTTGCCTCCTTTTTGGTGCTGTCATCTCCTGTGCCTCAGCTTCCCTCCCCCATACCCTTCCTCATAGTAAGTTCTAGTGGATGACTCTGAGATCAGCTCAAAATTCTTCTTCTTTTTTTTTTTTTTTTTTTTTGAGACGCCCAGGCTGGAGTGCAGTGGCACGATCACAGTTGATTGCAACCTCTGCCTCGCAGGTTCAAGGGATTTTCCGGTCTCAGCCTCCTGAGTAGCTGGGATTACAGACATGCACCACCATGCCACGTCCGGGTAATTTGTTGTATATTTAGTAGAGAAGGGGTTTCACCATGTTGACTGGGCTGGTCTCAAACTCCTGACCTGAAGTGATCCACCAGCCTCTGCCTTCCAAAGTGCTGGGATTACAGGCGTGAGCTACCTCGCCTGGCCCCTTTTTATGTTCTACATTAATTTATTACCAATTGATAATGGGAGATAAAAGGCCCATTAACCTAAATGATAAGCAATGAGAAAATTGTAAAAATATGCAAGGAATCTCACTTACCATTCCTCACATTTACAAAGATAATTACCTTCCCTGTGGAAGAAATATAGACGTGAGAAAGCTCAGAAATAAAGGCACCACTAGGGGTCTTAGAACTTAAAAAGCTGTAAAGAACTCCAGAACTCTTTTCATCTATTCTCCTAACTTGCAGGGAGAGTTGAGGGTGAGGGAGGGGCATGGTCTGAGGCCCAGTGGCCACATCTCTAGCCTGTGGCTGGCACGCTATCTACTGCATCTGAGAGAATTGTGGGCAGGGTTTCAGTGGAACTTCTCACCACTGGGTATGTTTCAGCTGCTGCTATGATGCACAGTAGGATGTCATTGTCATCCATTTAACTTCATGCTGGGGCTATATTGTATTCTTTAGTGATTTGCCATTGATTAAGTGTGGATGTCTCTGCTACCACAGAAGAGCTATCTTGCAAGGAAACTAATGACAAAGCCATTGTTTAAACTGAATTAGTCAATCTCCAAGAAGACATCCATCTGTAAAGAATGAGAGGACTAATATCTGTACAGACATGAAAGAATTATAAGATGGAATTGTGGAAGTTAAGGAATTTAGAGGAGGAAGAAGGCATTTGCTCCAGATCACTTTGATAGTACAGACTAGAGTCAAGGAAATTAGGAGGTAATTAATAAGGGTAGAAGTCAGGGGAGAAGGTTTAAAGGGAGGTGGCATACAGGGGATAGTCGGGCTTTTGGAGGTGGACAGGGAGGGAGGACATTTCAGGCATGGAAGTGAAAAGTGAAGATTGTAGTGTCACAGTTCAGTGAAGAGACCTGGCTGACCAGAGCAGAAGTTTTATTTGGGTAAGTGGAAAGAATTGAACAGCTGAGAGTATGGCAGATCTTGAAGACAGGCAGAGGAGAATCAGCTTGAGGTACCCCCCAGAGTGTGCTTAACAGTGATGAGGATGAAGGGGAAAGTAGAGGGTTGGGAGAGGTGAAGTTTGAACCTCTTTTTTCCCTTGAGACAGGGTGTCACTCTGTCATCCAGGCTGGAGTGCAGTGGCACAATCACGGCTCATTGCAACCTCAACCTCCAGGGCTCAAGCAATCCTCCCAACTCAGCATCCTGAGTAGCTGGGATCACACGTGCATGCCATCACACCCAGCTAATTTTTTGTATTTTTACTAGAGATGGGGTTTTGCCATGTTGATCAGGTTGGTCTCAAATTCCTGGGTTTAAGCCATCTACCTGCCTTGGTCTTCCCAAGTACTAGGATTACAGGCGTGAGCACCATGCCTGGCCGAACTTCCCTTTCTTTAGTAGACTAGAGAAATTAATTTCTGTAATTCTGTGGAATGTCTTTGTATTAGTCATTCTCACACTGCTCTAAATAACTACCTGAGACTCGGTAATTTATGAAGAAAAGAGGTTTAATCAACTCAACTTCCGCAGGCTGTACAGGAGGCGTGGCTGGAGAAGCCTCAGGAAACTTATAATCATGGTGGAAGGCAAAGGGGAAGCAAGCATGTCTTCACATGGCGACAGGAGGGGGAGAGCACGTGAAGGGGGAAGTGCTACACGCTTTCAAACATCCAGATCTTGTGAGAACTTTAGATCATGGAACAGCACTAGGGGGATGTTGCTAAACCATTAGCAGCCACCCCCGTGATCCAGTCACCTCCCACCAGGCCCCACCTCCAACACTCAGGATCACAATTCAACATGAAATTTGGGTGGGGACACACAGCCAAACCATATAAGCGTATCATTTTTAGATACATTCCCTCCCCAAAACTTTTTTATTTTGTATAATTTGTCCTTTCCCCCTTGCTTTAGAATTGCAACCTTGCCAATGGACCTGATCGGTTTTGGTTATGCAGCCCTCGTGACATTTGGAAGCATTTTTGGATATAAGCGGAGAGGTAAGCCTAACCCAAATTTTCATGAAAGGGAATTAGTGGGGGTTTGGAGGTTGTGCTAGGTCATGTGAGGCTCTGTAAGTAGGATGAGAAGCTAAAGATGCCTTAGAGGTGGCTGAAGACCAGCGTGTCTTGGAAGGGACTCATGAAAGGAAGAGGCTTCCGTGGGGCTGAGCATGACAGAGTGTTCCAACCTGGGGGTTCTGGGCCTCTCTTCCACCACAAAACTCTCACTTCACTTCATCATCAGTTGCATAGTTAATTGATTTAATCTCCCTCAGGACCACTGCTTATTATTAAATGAGGATTTTTTTTTTTTGCTTTACATAATCGTGGTACCAAAAAACTGAGTTATATTGATCCTGTGTGTTGTAATGAAAACATTGTTAAATATTCAGTTATCATATCCAAAGTTGTCTCTTCACCTTTGTCCAAAAGAGGGGGGAAAAAAACTCAGGTAATCAATTAAAGAGTTTTCATGGAGAAAAAGGAAAGGTCAAATTTTTTTATTTTACTTTTATTTTAGAATCATTTATAGTTATGATGTCTCCTAGTTATGTTTCATATATATACACAACCTTTAGTCATCTTTCTGACAAACTGTCTCTTACGTTTTAATGACATTTTTTAAATGAAGTTTTTTATTTCAAAGGGTATTGTATTTGTGGCAGTGGTTGACTTGAATTTGAGTGAAAAAGCCAGGTCTACATGGTTACCAGTTAGCTTCCTTCCTTAAAGGCTGCTAAGAAGTCAAAGACCAGAAGCACCGTATAGCTCTTGTAGCTGGGGGGCTGGCAGGTAGAATTGACCATCATCTACGATTCCTTAAAGCCTGTAATTCACCTTGGATTTTTGTTCGTTGTTTCTGTCTTAATGTATGTATTAGAGATGTGTATTTGAAGGAAAAAAAAAGATGATGGCACCAAAGTAAGACCTGTAAACCAAGTACTCAGAGGTTGATGTTTCACAATCTACTTTAGAAAGAACTCAGTTTAAAATGCTAAGATTGTTTTTGAAAAAAAATTTTCACTGTCAAAGACAATGTCTAAATAACTTCTATTACAGAACAGAAAAGAACATCTGGGCATTTTTGCCTGCCTTTATGAGAGGTGGAAAGAAAGTGGGGAGAGAGATATAGAGAGTGTGTGTATGTGTGTGTTTGTGTGTGTGTGTGTGTGTGTGTGTGTGTGTGTGTGTGTGTGGAAGGAATCATTTTATTCTAACTCACATCTCTTCATTGTTTACCAGCTGGTGGGAACAAATGAAATTACATTAGCTGTGAGGTCTCTGATTTCAAGGGCTTGTTGTCCACCTGCACAATATGGTTTCTTGGCCTCCTGCAAGAGCCCCCTACTAAGTGATCCTGGAAGCCCCCAAGGGTATTATGGGTTCACAAGGAAGCTCACTTTGTAGTATAATGTGGGTTAAAAGCATGGGCCACAGAATCAAGCATTCCTGCATTCCAGTCTTGACGCTGCCACTTACCAGCACTGATACTCAGGTGAGATGTTTCAACATCTGGGCCTCAGTTCCTCACCTGTAAATTAATCTGTTAGGATTAAATAAGATGATGCATGGTACACATTTCACATGGTGCCTGGCATAGAATAAAGTTTTAATCTTCTTGTTTTTTTCTGCTGCTACTGCCCTGCCAGTGGGAGGTCTGTGAGCCATGAGGCATAATACCTTTTTCTAGTTTTGTACTCTAGTTTTGTATTATGTTCTAAGCTGCCAGTGGCTCGAATGTCTTAGAATGTGTGTGTAAAGTGAGTTAACTCTCCTTTGACTTAGAGCTTCCCTAGGTATGAGTCCTATGTAGCTGGGCCAGGAGACCCTTCTACGGGACAGTTATTGAGAATAATCTTGGGTCGGTGAAAGATGTGATGTCGAAATGGTGTTTAGTGGGAGGACACAGATGTATCCAAATCCTAAACTAGACCAGCTGTGAGACACAAGTTGGGTTAAACGGAGAAGCTGATAGATTTTTATTTTGATGGGGGTACAGTGGGGAGAGAGGGCAGCCAGTGGCGGGACACAGGATGCTGAGCACTGTGCTTGCCTGGGCTCACCCCTCCTCCCAGGTAGGTCTCCAGAGAGGTGGATGACCAAGAAGATGCTATGATATGGAGGCTCTTCCTAGGCCAGGTAACATCGAGTGCCCAGAGTGAAAGAGGGCCAGATGGCATTCCCTGCCTTGTCCCACACTAGGGCTGAACCAGACCTTACACCTTCCTACTCCAGTTGAAGGGAAGGGCACTGACACAGCAATCCCTTCAGAGAGGTGCAGGTGTGCTTGCTGGGCAGGCTGCTATTTGGACGACCATAAGAGCACCTGCAGGGAAGCTCCCAGATGCATCTTTCAACTCTTTTTAAAACTCCTCTTCCAAGACTGCCCCACCCAGATCAGGCATCCCAGGAAGTGGGAAGGAAAAGAGCTTAGAGCTCCTTTTCTTGTAGCCCCCACTATGGGTCACTGAGCTTGTTCTCAGGATCTTTGCTTTCTTCCACCAGCGTGGTTTTCTTGTAAAACAGCCCACAGTCCTGCCACCTTCCTCAGGCAAGATGAAATGTCTCAAGAACCTTCCTGGTTCTTGCTGCTGGTGAGCCTGCCCCTGCTGTTTGCTGTCTGATCTCATCAAGACTGAAGTGTAGACACTGCCACTTTCTCCACATACTTAAGTGTGCGTGTTTGGTGGTGGTGGGGAGGGTGGGGTGGGGTGATCCTAACAGTAAATAAACCTTCAGGGTATACAGAAAGGAGCATCATAGAATCTCTAGGTGAGAAGACACCTTAATGGTCACCTAGTTGTGCATTTCAGAAAGTGTTTTAATCTCCTTAATATCCTTATCTGGTATCTTCTGCTTGAACATGACCCATAATAGGGGTGCATTAAATCAGTATTTATCAAGTGCTCCTATGTACCTGGCCCTGTGTCTCGCCCTGGGGAAACAGCAATCGCTCACAAGTGAGTAAGGGCAGACTGACATTCAATCCATGAACAGCATATAAACATATGATCAGGAATAGCGGAAGACTATGATGGGGGCCCTTGTTCAGAATGGTGGGTTGGAGAAGACAACACTTAAGCAGACATCCGAAGGTGAGCTACACTTGGCCAAGTGAACAGTGCAGAGACAAGCAGTCTGCACAAGGAACAGTATGTCTGAAAGCCATGACGAATAGAGTTTGGTATATTCAGAGAACTGAAAGAAGGCCAGGGTTCCCACAATATAGCAAACTGGATTATTTTTCCTAAGAGCTTTGGGAAGCACTAAGGTTTTTAATTAGGAGAGTGACCTGTCCAGATGTATGTTTTTAAAAGATCATCTTACTGTGTTTGAAGAATAGCTTTTGGGGGAAACAATGTGTAATTTAACATTATCTCCAACTGTAACATTCTAAGCCACTATATATTTATATATTTATATATATATATATATATGTATATATATGTGTATATATATATGTGTGTATATATATGTGTGTGTATATATATGTGTATATATATATATACATATATGTATATATATATATACACATATATATATGGCATGGATGATTAACCCCGTTTTACAACTGCTAAAACTTAGAGAGGCTAAGTGACTTAGCCAGAGTCCTTTAGCCAGCAAGTGAAAGAATTAGGAGTAGAACCTAGCGTGTTTGTCTTCTCATTCAGAATGCTGCTCTGGTGTGTGTGTGTGTGTTGTGTGTGTGTGTTTGTGTGTTGTATGTGTTGTGTTTGTGTGTTTGTGTGTGTGTGTGTATTGTGTGTGTATGCATGCATGTGCTGCAGTGGTTCTTAACCCTGGCTGCACATTTGAATTTCCAATGGATATTTTAAAAATGAGATGCTTTGACCCTACCCCCCAGGGATTTTAACCTAACAGATTCTAAATAGGGTGAGTTCCATGAAGCAAGGATTGTGTGTGTCTTATTCATAGTGTCACTGCCATGTAACCCACTGTCCAGTGCACAGAAAGTGCTTGGTGTTTGCCACAGTGCTCTGGGGTGGGTATGTGGGTTGGGGGCTGGGAGTGTACTGGTGGGGTGAGTGCATGGGATAGGGACTGGGTAGCTGGGGTCAGTATTCTGATTCTTCGTCTTTCTTGGTAGGGCCTCTATTAGTCCTTGAGTCCTGACATCTTGAGGCATGAAGGTTTGTTAATTATTCAGGATGGAACCATTGCTTGGTTTGTATAGCACTTCTGTCTTTACCTCTATAAACTAAAACTACCTTTGCATCTTAGTTTTTATCATCACAACCTCATTGCAAAAAGGAGGCAAAGAGAATAGGAAAAATTAAAAAAGAAGGGCTTAAGGAAGTTAAATAATTGTCCAAGATCATGTAATCAGTGTCCAAGCCACCAGAACAAGGCAGGTTTTCTTATTTCCCCAAGTGACATCTAACCCCACTGCACTGCTGTGCCCTCAGGGCTCCTCTGCCTTGCATTTGGGTTCAGCAGGAAACAGTCATCTCCTAGAAAGTATCCATGAAGAGGCCTATTCTTAATTTGGCTTTGTCCAGTTACTGTGCCCAAGTAGGAATACATTTGAAGGTGCCTGTATCATACTAGAAGTAATGGAATGAATTCCTTTCCTTTTGGGATTCTCTTTGTGATCTCATATTTTTTTCCCCTTCCAGGTGGTGTTCCGTCTTTGATTGCTGGTCTTTTTGTTGGATGTTTGGCCGGCTATGGAGCTTACCGTGTCTCCAATGACAAACGAGATGTAAAAGTGTCACTGTGTAAGTAAGGCATTTTTCCTGGTTACAGAGACTCAAACATTGGAGGTGATCTTTTTGATACCCTATGCTAGATATACTAGAACATATTTAGTCAAATGGCAAATGGCCATATGCATGTGTTGAGGCTGAATACAACACTTATTCCTTTCTAGAAAGACCTGATAAAAAATGATGGTACTGCTACCAGGCCTTCCAACTCAGAAGAATATTTCTATAAAAACTCGTTACTAGAAAAATTGAATTAGGAAAAGCAAGGAATTATTTTCAGATTTTCTGCTAACTCTCCTAAATGCATATTTAGCATAGTTTTTACATTGCTGTGGAAATAACTAAAAAAGAGACAGCCTTGCATTATTTCATTTAATTCACAAACATCTTTTAGATTCTGCACTGCCTTAAGACTTAACCTAAAAAAGCAAGGCTGACGCTTTTTTAGCTACTTCCCTTGTTAAGTTTAATGGGAGAATATCCACAGAAAAAATGGAAACCTGTGTGTTTAAAGTCACCAGGACACTTGACTTTCATCTCACTTGAAAGAGATACACAGTGAAGATTTAGAAAACCATACCAAGGACATTTTCTCTAGTTGATTTATTATTCAAAGTGCCTTGGTCGTGTATGGAAAAAAATATAAATGAAGACAAAATTGTTCTATATTTGAAGGAGAGTGAGAGATTTGGGGTTTTTTTTTTTTTTTAGTTATTTTTATAAGGGGCTAGGGATATTTTTAGTAATGAGGTTGTGTTAGATGTATCAGCCAGATGTAGTGATATTAGGATTTTTATTGATATGCATTTAAATAGTTCACAAGTATTTATTGTCAGTCATTTTATTTTTTATATCAATAAACAGTTTTTCTTTGAAAGCTGTTTTTAAATTGTGGCATTGATGTCCTAATCTCTTACATAAAACTACCTCTCCCTTCATAGATACAGCTCCAAAAAGGCTGACATGATGCTTCTGAATAAAATACTATTGCTTAGACTATTATTTAGTCTCCAGGCATCAAATTCTCCAAAATGGGATGCTACAAAACAAAACCAATCAGCCTTCTTTTTAGTATTTTTTTTTTATTAATCAGATCTTACTTGTAAAAGATACATTAACTATTTTCTTTATATTCAGTTAACTGAACATTAATGAGTGTCTCCTGTGGGTCCAAGTGTGCTACTTAGTGTTTCTGAGGGAAGTTGAATAAAGCTCAGTGCTAGCCTTCAAGGCGTGTTCTTTGAATAGAAATTTAGGTTAGAAAAAGACTTTCTTAGCTAGGCATGGTGGCTCATGCCTGTAATCTCAGCACTTTTGGAGGCTGAGGCCGGTGGATCACTTGAGGCCAGGAGTTCAAGACCAGCCTGGCCAACATAGCAAGACCCTGTCTCTACTAAAAGTACAAAAATTAGCTGGATGTGGTTGTACATGGCTGTAATCTCAGCTACTCGGGAGGCTGAGGCAGGAGAATTGCTTGAACCCGGGAGGTGGAGGTTGCAGTGAGCTGAGATCACGCCACTGTACTCCAGCCTGGGTGACAGAGCAAGACTCTGTCTCAACAACAACAACAACAACAACAACAAAAAAAAAAAAAAGAAAAAGAAAAGGTCTTTCTCTTTTGAAGATATTTCAGGAATGGATTTTAACATGTTTGTTTACCCAGAAACCTTTTCGGCGAGGTAGATGATGATGAAGTGTTTCTTTGTTTGTTCTTTTGTTGTTTTTTTGAGACAGAGTTCGCTCTTGTTGCTCAGTCTGGAGTGCAGTGGCGTGATCTCAGTTCACCACAACCTCTGCCTCCCCGGTTCAAGCAATTCTCCTGCCTCAGCCTCCCGAGTAGCTGGGATTACAGGCATGTGCCACCATGCCCTGCTAATTTTTTTTGTATTTTTAGTAGAGACGAGGTTTCTCCATGTTGGTCAGACTGGCCTCAAACTCCCAACATCAGGTGATCCACCCATCTCTGCCTCCCAAAGTGCTGGGATTATAGGCGTAAGCCACTGGCCCGGCCATGAAGTGTTTTAATAGAGCACTTTATCTTTTCAAGACAATGGCAACTCAGTACCTATCCATAATAGTTGTAATGTTAGAAAGCTTTAAATGGTACCCGCTGTTTTCCCACAAGCATTGATAACATGTTTGAAACTCTGGTTCATGAATTAGTTTGGTTTTCAGTTACAGCTTTCTTCCTGGCTACCATAATGGGTGTGAGATTTAAGAGGTCCAAGAAAATAATGCCTGCTGGTTTGGTTGCAGGTTTAAGGTAAGTAAAACTATTTTGATCAATACTTTCCTCTGCTGTTGTTTTGAAGTGCTGAATTTTTGGGAAACATCAATTTTAATTTGAAAGATCAAAGTCCTTTTTGTTATAATAAGCATGACAGTAAAAACCTTAAGATAGCATGGATTCAGTGGGTCTTTGATATTGATGTACCCATGAACATTCTTATTGGATACGCATAGTGTTGCTGTAGTATCTGGTCACATAGGCATACTTGCCTTTTTCAGAAGAAAGAGCTAACTAAACTCAGCCTCATTTTTCCTCAAGATTCACCCATCTGCAACACTAAATGTGTTCATTTAAATCTAATACTCAGTCCCTTTTAGAGAGTTTGACAGAGTGACAGTGTGATACAGTTATTTCAAGTTTTTAAGGGACAGAAATTTAATATTTTTAAGAGTTTTTAAGAGAGAAGTTTTAATATTTTTTAAAAGATAAACAGAGGGCCTCAAGTTTCTCTTAATTTGATCCAGTAATTCTATCCATGAGATTAAGCATATTACCAAATAAAAATTTAGAGATAACATTTTAAAAATTTCTCCAGAAAGCTGGCTTTATATGTTGAAAGCCATAAACATGTTTATTTCCTTTGATAGACATTTTCACTTTTTGGAATTTATTCCAAAGCAGTGAGATATGCACAAAGACTGATGTTCATTGCAACTTTATTTCTAGTGAAAACACAATAGACTGAAAAATTAGGAACAACCTAACAGTTCACCAGTAAGGAGATGTTTGAAAAAATGTTTTGTCCATTTAATGGAATATTGAATGAGCATTACATTTTTATGTTTTCAAAAATGATTTGGTGGCATTGGAAAATCTTAGTGACATAATAAGGTATAAAAACAGGATGAAAACAACCACATATAGTGTGATTAAAAAAAGTTTGTGTATAAAAAAACAGGAAGGAAATATTTCAAGCTGTTAGTGTTTTTCTGTGGGTGATAGTGTGATGAATAATTGTAATGTTCCTCTTTCTACTTTTGTGTAGAATTTTCTAGTGTGACTATGTATTATGTTTCAGGGAGGGGAGGAGGAGTGTGATTACAAAAGACAGCTTTCCAGTTATAGCCCTGTTCTAAAAGTGATACTTGGTGGTGGGAAGAATCAGAAGTAGGGTTTATGGGCTGGGTGCGGTGGCTCATGCCTGTAATCCCAGCACTTTGGAAGGCTTTGGCGGGTGGATCACTTGAGGTCAGGAGTTCAAGACCAGCCTAGCCAACATGGCAAAACCCCATCTCTACAAAAATTAGCCAAGTGTGGTGGCGGGCACCTGTAATCCCAGCTACTTGGGAGGCTGAGGCAGGAGAATTGCTTGAGCTCAGGAGGTGGAGGTTGCAGTGAGCCGAGACTGCGTCACTATACTCCAGCCTGGGTGACAGAGTGAGACTCCATCAGAAAAAAGAAAAAAAAAAGGAAGAAAAAATGAAGTAGGGTTTATGGATCCGGAAGAAGGCCTCAGTTAATAGAAAGTAGCTGAGATTGAATTAGTAACTGCCCCAAGTTGGTCCTCGATTATTTTTTCAAGTTGCTTTATTTTACTAGCTTCTGAAAGTTTGTTTCTTCCCAAACCTTTCTCTTATAAACCCTCATCCAAGGTTTTCAGAACAACAGGTTCTGATTTTTCCTTATTCATTTAGCGAACATTTTAAAGTGGCTAATTCAGTTATGTCTGGGATGTTTTAATCCTCCAAGGGGTTGAGCTGGGAGAGCCCCCAAGCCAAGGATTAGTAACACTACTGGGTAGGCGAGTGCATGGCCCTTTCTGTCTTATGCCAGATAAAAGTGACTCTCCCTTTGTCTTTGTTTTATTTTAAATCCAGCCTCATGATGATCCTGAGACTTGTCTTGTTGCTGCTCTGAGCATCTGGAGGAACAGAAAACTAAGTTCATGTCATCCTGCTGTAATGGGCAGAGCATATTTTTTTTGTATTTAAAAGATAAACTTCAATATGGAATGCTAGAAACACAAATAGCACTGTCACCTCTAATATGAACATTAGTTTGAGGTAGTTTTTTTCTAAAGCAAAAATTTTAACTGTTTTCTAATTGTCAAGCACTATTTTCATTAAAAGTGTCTAATGAATCATGATATACTCTTCCATTTGTTGTGTCTATTTTTTATATATTTGGTATTTTTTGAAAATTCCAAATACTCATGTCTCAAGTAAGCTTAAACTACAACTTGTCACATAAAGGAAGTCTTAAGTGGAGTTCACAGAATGATAATGTATCTATTTGTCATTTGTGTTATATTTGAAATTATTAGAAATTATGCTTTTTCCATTTTAATTGTATTGCTGCCAGTGCTATTTTTTTCTTTAAAAAATTTTATTCTTAGCACACTGTTATGTCCTAACTGAATGTATTCAGTATTCAAATAAAAGACATTTTGGTTCAAACCTGTTTCTTTCATGTCAGTTTTTCCTCTGAATACTCAAATCATCTTTGACATTTAAATATTCAATTATTAACGAAAAGGGTTGAGAAGGAGGGTTTATTTAAGCCAACATTCTACTTCCTGAGGCGTAGATATTTTTTCTCTCTGAAAGAGTAACGATTCTGAAACAAACTGATTTTGTTTCAAATTACCACTTTATTTTTAGGCATAGTTATAACTTTTAATGTCCAAGGCACTTTTAGGGCCCAAATTGAACATCGGGAGACCTGAATCCCAGCCCAATTCTTCCACCCACTTGATGCTCTTTGGAAGGTCATTTCCTTTTCCTCTGACTCAGTTTCTCATTCTTAAGGAGGAATTGAACTAAATGATCAACCCTTTAGAGCTCTAAAAATCTACAGTTCCTATCCTGTTGGTTATGTGCAGTGGTGTCATACTTCAAACCCTTTCTTTAAGTGAAAGCGTAGGGTCCTCAACTGATAACGGCAGAGTTCATATGGTTCTGTTAGATTGGTTACCTTTCCCAACTGACTTTCAAGGAGGTTGTTAAACTTTCAGTGATAAGTAATTCAATTAAGGGAAGAAAAAAGCTGTACCAGTTGAACCGAATAGGAAATCTAGATAAAATTATTTGATGTACTTAAAAAAATCCCAATTTAAAGAAGAAGAAAGAAAATCCCATAAATCCTAATGGTGGCAAAGAGGTTGTTACCACAGGCAAGGCTGGAAAAAGCCGTCATCATTGAGGTGCTCTGCTCACTTGCTAGCTGTCAGAGATGACTGAGGAGAACCTTCAGATTCAGACTGACAGCAGCTTATAGTCAAAACTGATTACGATACTGAAGTAGAAACTAACTGTGAAATTGATCCTAGAAATACATGCTGTGTCTGCAGAATACTCTAGTGATTCAAAGTTTAAGAAACTGGTTTGAAGCTATGCTGTTCCCTGGACTTTTCCCAAAAGGTCATAGAAGTGAATGATAGTGATGTGTGTGCTTTTTTTGTTTTGTTTTTAAAGAAATCTTTGGCATCCATTTGCATATTTGTGATTTTACTCTTTTGCAATACGTAGAATCCAGAAGGATTCATATTTGGATGGCTCTGATTAATTGGTGTTTTCTTGTTTTATGAAAAGTAGAAGAGGCTCTGTAACTTACAGGTATTAGGCAGTTTATTTCCTCATGTCTTATTACTTTATTACATTAATGTGGCTTTATGATATTTTTATGGGTCTGCTACCAATGCATAGTGAAATATTTACTACGTTTCTTAGACTTTGTTTCATTTGTTAATACTCAGCTACTGTAGTGCTCATGTTTTTAAGAAACAGGCCATGTTCAAATTTAAATATATTCTTCACAGTCTCAATGGATTCTTCATCCAGTGGAGGCTTCCTTTGGCTTCCAGGTTGGAGAAATTTATTAATTGTGGGGATGTGGCTGATTCTGGCCTTGAATTTCTAAAATGCAAAAGAATACTATCCAAGAGAGAAGAATATAACAAAACAAAGTAAAATGCAAATGAGCCACATTCTGGTGGAGGTGGGGGATAATTGGGATTTTCATACATTGTGGACATTGCAAAGTGATACTGCCACTTTGCAAGTTAGCAATATTTCTCAAGAACCACAAAAACGTTCATAGGCTGTTACGAAGTGATTCCATTTTAAAAATTGTGTCCTAATGATGTAATCTTAAATGTGGAAAAATCTATACCTACAAAGATATTGTTGCAACACTATTTATAAAAACAAACATTCTAAAGCATCCTGGTATACAATAAAGAGAAGTCCTCATTTTTCTTATACCAGAAGCATTTTTCATGTTATGTAATCTTTGAAAACTTTAAGTGGCTGCATAGAATTCTATCCAATGAACATATCCTCATTTATATAGATGTTTCTCAGTTTAATATTAGACATTTAAGTTGTTTATGATTTTCACTATTTAAAATCAGGTTAGGCTGTGGCATGGGTGAAAGTGGCCACTTTGGCGGTGCCTCGTCCTCACAGCTAATGGGAAGCAAGCGTGTTCTAGAAAGCCAGAGTCTCCAGCGACCCCTCTTACCACCATCATGGCAGTCCCAGGTTGCAACAAGGACAGTGTCAGAGCAGGCTGTAAAAAATATGGCTTCCTGGTCACCTGACTTTTGAATGCTGCAACTTTCTCCAAGTAGACCCCAAAGGGACATAGTTTTGGATGTCAGCAGTGCAAACAGTGAAGATTGATGAATAAAATGAAGAATGAATAAATTGCAAGCATTACTGGAAAAAAAGAATAAATGAAGAGGAGAAGAAAAAGCAAAGAGAAAAGCAATTTTTTTAAAAAAGGAAAAGGTCTTATTCATCCAGTTCCACTGAAAAGGACATTTCAAAAGAAACAAAAATATCAGAACAAAGAAAAGAAAAAAAAAGCTGGGTGTGGTGGCTCACACCTGTAATTCCAGCACTTTGGGAGGCTGAGGTGGGTGGATCACGAGGTCAGGAGTTTGAGACCAGCCTGGCCGACATAGTGAAACCCTGTCTCTATTAAAAATACAGGAAAAAAAAAAAACTAGCCGGGCATAGTGGCAGGTGCCTGTAATCCAAGCTACTTGGGAGGCTGAGGCAGGAGAATCACTTGAACCTGGGAGGTGGAGGTTGCAGTGAGCCGAGACCACACCACTGCACTCCAGCCTGGGCAATAGAGCAAGACTCCATCTCAAAGAAAAAAAAAAAAAGAAAAAGTAAATCAAAAAAAGGAAGCCAGGTGCAGTGGCTCACACCTGTAATCCCAGCACTTTGGAAGGCAGAGGCAGGCGATCACCTGAGGTCGGGAGTTCAAGACCAGCCTGGCCAACATAGTGAAACCCGTCTCTACTAAAAATACAAAAATTAGCCAGGCATGGTGGTGTGCACCTGTAGTCACAGCTACTCGGGAGGCTGAGGCAGGAGAATCGCTTGAATCCGGGAGGCAGAGGTTGCAGTGAGCCGAGATCGTGCCACTGTACTCCAGCTTGGGGAACAGAGCGAGACTTGCATTTCAAAAAAAAAAGAAACAGAAAAAAAGAAAAGCATTCTTCAACCCCTACTTGTTATGAATCCTCCAAAAAGTAACTGAGGCTTTGGCTTAAGCCATTAAATTTAAAGATTTGTTTAAAAATTATTTGCCCTTCCTTGGAATTTGCTATATATTATGCTTTGCAATAAATCACAGCCTTTTCTATATAGACATTTTTGATGTGTGGGACCATTATCCCTCTGGCAATATATTTTTAATGTGCTATGACTGTAAAGTATTAAATCAGTCTTGTTACTTGATAGCCATGCCCCAAGTATAGCTATTTGTACATACTAAACATATCATTTTTGATGTTTGTGTCTCTGTGTTTGGCTGGTGTTATTACTTCCTAAGTTGATTGTAAAATGGCTTTACTACAGTCAACACAGTTCATCTACCTAGCAGTTAATGAGTATTGCTCAATCAGGTGTCCACCTTCTAGTGATGAAGCGAGGTATGGGGTAATATTTCACTCTTGACACTGAAAAATTTAATAGCTTTATAAGATGTAATATATAAAGATAGTGAAATTCTTTACTGTTGTTTTTTAAGTCTCGGGTTTTTTTTTAATATAGAAGATGAAGCTGCTTAATGGTCTTGACTAGGACTTTTAAAATGAATGGTGTCTGCGGAAAGATGATCATGAAAACATTTAAACAAAGTTTCATTGTTTTATGAAATGCAGAGTTTCTAGTATCTGCCTCCTTTGTTTTTGTAACAATTAAAATATTTCTTTCTTGTTAAAAAAGGTTATTCTGAACACAATAAATGGAATATACATATAATCAAGAAAAGTTTCAAAAATAGACTACATTGTAAAGAAATGAGGCAGACTAACAATGTTAAAACATGTTTATAATGTAATATGGGTCAGGTGCAGTGGCTCATGCCTGTAATCGCAGCACTTTGGGAGGCTGAGGCAGGAGGATCATTTGAGCCCAGGAGTTCAAGACATCTGCTTTCTCTTATCATGTTACGTTTTAGTTTACCACATTATATTGAAGTTACCGGTCTGTATGCTTGGTTTCACCAGGAGATAGCTGCCTTGAGGGCATCTTTGTATTTCTAGCACAGGCCTTGGCATAAAGAAGTTAGTAGGTTCATAAATGATGGTGAATGACTGAATGAAAGAATAAGTGGATAATACAAATTCATTCTCCCTGCAGTTCTTGGGAGCTATTTGGATAGCATTACCTGTAGCAGAGGAAAGCCCAAGAGGACACTGGGTTTGCACTCTTCAGTCATTAAGATGACTTCAGGTTGCTGTGTATCAGCCCAGCTCAGCCGATTGCCCACAAGAAAATCTTGTCTGTGGTCTCTCAGTGCCTGCATGATGGTTAATAAGGAAAAGGTAGAAGATGAAGGACACACCTAACATATAATTTAAAGTCAGCTTGATTTGGCAGAAAGTCTTCTAGAAGTTAAGAGACCTGGCTTCTAATCTGTTCTTTGCCACTGACTAGCTGTGTGAGCTCACGCAAACCCCATTTCTCTTGGGCTTCGTGAGGTGAAAGGAATGGAATAGCTTAAACCCTCCTGACTTATTCTGAACATAGGAAACAGCTTTATCTCATGTGCTTGTCTTCTTTTCATCTCCTCTCCCTGTAGCTATCCCGTGAACCTCTGTAGAGTGATTTTAGCACCGACCCTCCATTGGTGGCTCTTCCTGGGCTGATGGTATTTCTACTTGCACCATCTCAGGGTGGATTCTTGAGGTGTGCTGCTCTTCGGAAGGTACTGTGTTTGCAGGGAGAGTGTCATTCTCAGAGGGACCCAACCCTCATTTTTATAAGCGAATTTTCTTCAAATAGGGCTGTAAATTATGGGTCACTTTGAGTCAAAATTGATCAAATACAAAATGAAATGTAAGTTTGGAGGAGGTGGTCACTAAGGTACATTCTAGGCCATAGACTTCATGATGTTTTGATACTTGGGCATAGGATCAGGACCTAGAGAGACCTGAGTACAGGTTCCAGCTTTATTAGTTGTATGACACTGGGCAGGTTACGTTGCTTCTTTAAGATATAGTTGCTTCACCTGTAAATGAGGAAATAATTTATCCTTATTTACAGATGAAGCAACCACATAGTATCTTGTGGAGTTATTATAAAGATTAAATGGATTAATGCATGCGAATCATATAGCACAGCACTTGGCACTCAGTAAAGGTGAGCCATTATTATTATTAGCACTGTTGTTAGTGCAGTTACAGTCACATTTTTAGTTATGAGAAGTCTGCACTTCATAGTATCTTACAACAAAAACTTCATGCATTAGTTTACCACATGGTGGTGGTAAACATTCACTCTGTTGTCAGTATTTGTATGGTAAAAGATCTTAAGTTACATGCTGATTACAAAGGAATACATTATCTTTGAAACACTTTTGAAGGAAACAGTATGGGGAAAACCTGGGGGTTTAGAATATTCACAATTTGATCCAGTTGGAGCTAGGAACTCACCAGGTATAATTAAGGGAAAAGTCTAACCGAGGAAGTTAGGGTATCTGTCATCTATGCCAAATACATAAGTATCAACTAGATAATCTATGTTACATGATTAGGCTCTAAAACTGTTGATCATGATAAATATATTCAAATACATGTATTAAATCATTTAATGAGAACTATTGTTATTCAACCCAAAAAGGATAGGTTAAAACAGCATGGCAGGTGAGTTTGAAAAACTTAACTGGCTCTTTTTTCTTTGTTTTTACCAAGCCCTAACATTTTTCATCATCTTTTCCTAGACTTACTAATATTATAATGACTGCACCTGGAGATGAAGAGCATTAATAACTAAAGAAGGCATCCAACCCTGACCAAGTGCAAGCTTTCAGACAGCATTTTACAGCTGTTAAAAATGCAGAGACATGAACGCTCAAGTATTATGTTTAAAACAATTTTTTAACTTTTAGAATACTGCTTAGAATTCTAACCTTACAAACAGCCCTGAACCCCAGGACTGTCCAGTGTATTTTAGAAATAATATCCATCCCCTCTCCCCCAGCTCTTTCATTAGTGTGGGATTTCCTCCCTTAGAATCAGGTAACTGAAATTCTATCAGCACCAGAACCACAAATAGTGCTGAAATTATGCATAAAATAAAAAAAAATCCAGAAGACCAGGGTGTGAGGAAGGAGAGCAGATTTGTTGTCTAACTGCAAGTGGGGGAAGAATTTTGAGCTTTCGCAAAGGGTTTGGAAACCTTTATTGATAAAATTCTTTGTCTATTTTTAGTTTCATTTGTTTTTCTCCCCCTTGATTCAAGTCATAAAGCAGGGCAGGAGTTTGTTGCTTACCTTCTCACAGACAGGGAATAATCTTGTAGTGGCTCTTTCAAGGATGTATGCAAGATTCATCTTCTCTTCAGGCAGAGAGAGTGGCTGGAACATAATCATGTCACTCAGGTCCTTCAAGCCTTCTACATACATGTGAATCCTAGAAAAAGGGTGTTAATTCAAAAAAGAGTTACAGATAAAGGGAACTGTCATTTAATGGGCCAAAGAAACATTTTAAGTAGTGCCTCTGTTTTACCTGCTTAGTTATCAGGTGTTTTCATGGAACATTGTTCCAGGAACTGAAGCCAGGTGTTTTCAGAGGCATGCTGTTCCTTTGAAATATTAGGGAAGATGCATCTGGGAGATAGAAAAGTTGTAGGATCAAAGTGTGTGAGCAATTATATGTGTGTGACTATCAATTATGTAACACTAGTGTTAATAAAATACATATACACAAAGTATTAAAATAATCCCAAAACAGCAAATTGGGCAAATATCATTTATGGCTATTTAGTTGTTGTAATAATAGTGAGATCACCCATGCTGCTACTGGTGATGCATGTGGAAGAAGAGGTAATAAGGGCCTCTGCACTGCCAAACACATCTCCATCTGGATTGAAGGTTCTCAAACATAGTAGAGCAATTTCATAGAAGACAAAACTTACTCCACAAGTTCCCACTTGCCACCACCCACATCTCTGTGCCAAAGTGTATGGAAACATGGATGTTATGTTTGACAAGACACCATGACGTAGTGAGACTACTGGTGTGGGCCTTGGGAAACTTTGGTCTGGGTCCAAGATGAGTCTCTTATTAATCTTTTTGAACCACAGTTCCTTTAACTTTAAGCTACAGTAGCAGTGCATGTCTTGAAATGGACTCAGATTCTTTGCTACTTCTCCTATTGAGAGTAAGTTTCATTCTCCCCTTGAATCTGAGTGGGCCTTGGAGACTTGCTTGGCCAATAGAATGTGAGAAGTAATGTCCTTAGACTTGTATATCTAGGACATAAGCCTCACAGCTTCCACGGGGTTCTCTTGGAACATTTGCTCAGAGGCCAACCAGCTACTACGTACAAAGTCCAACTACACTGAGAACCTCATGCCATGTGGAAGCCCAAGCTAGTCCTGTGAAGAAGGCACGTAGAGAGAGACCGATGCCCCACTAGGCCCATATGGTCCAGCTATATGGCAGATGCACTTGATAGCAATACCCTGATAATGGTCCTATGGTCTAAGAAGAATGTGTGTTTGGAGTTCCAAGCTAAGGAATCCAGGAGTGGCCAACCTCTAGATTCATTCCTTATCTATGAGGAGCATCTGAACCCCTGGCCCATCCCATGGTGTGCAGGCCATGCAAGGGATTGAGGCCCTTTGTTCTGGGTTACATAAAGGTTGCCAGGTGGAGGTTGCAAGGGAGAGGGTGCTAAGTGAAAATGCTATATAACCAGCATGCTTTTTACAAATGGTAGTGGTTCTCCTGTCGAGCCTGCCACCACTGGACCGTGTTGTATGTAAGTCCCCTCAATAAATCCCAAGTCTTGTTTGCTGGCTCTAGGTCTCTTCTTCAGACTCTCAAACATGGTGCCATCCCTATTGAAGTCAATAGGGATCTGGCATGACAGCAGCCCTCCCAACACAAGTTCCAGACACATGAGTAAAGCACTCCATGAGAGACTTGGAGAGAACCACCCAGCTGAGCCCTGTCAACTCAGCACCGTGAGAGATCATATTCTATAGCAACAGATAACCAGAAGAGTACTATTCTGAACATTAGGATTGTTGTGGGTTTATACAGTTGAAAGAGTTTTAAAATACAAAGTTTCTAACATGTATGAGGTTTTATCACAATACTATACCAATGAAAGCACTAATAGTAAATAATTCATTTTCAGTTTATATGAAAGATCTATTTAAAAACTGTTTTTCATTAAAAGGAACCAGAGCTTCTTAGAGAAATGACTGAGTCCAGTTCTGGAGCAGGAGATGTTCAGAATTAATTGGGATTATCATCTTATACCAGATAATAAGGAAGTTATCAGAGATCACTCAGGTCAGACCAAAAATTCCCATTGGCTCCCATTGGCCAAAGGTGGGACAATTTGAGCATAAATAAGAATGATACCTGAAGTGAACTGAAACACATCAAAGATGTTTTAAATTGATGAGTTCATAATGATATGAAAACAACACTAATTAACTGGTCACTGCAAATGAAACAACTCATTATTTGGAAAATTGGTAAACAAAGGGAAAGAATCAAGCATCAGTCTTGAAAACTGTATGTCCAAGTAACCAGATAGTAGATGAAAGGAAGTTTTTTCTTTCCTTTTTTTTTTTTGCGATAGAGTCTCGCTCTGTTGACCAGGCTGGAGTGCAGTGGCACAAACTCAGCTCACTGCAACTTCTGCCTCCTGGGTTCAAGTGACTCAGCCTCTCGATTAGCTGGTATTACAGGTGAGCACCACCATGCCCAGCTAATTTTTGTATTTTTAGTAGAGACAGGGTTTTGCCATATTGGCCAGGTTGGTCTCAAACTCCTGGTCTCATGTGATCCACCTGCCTCTGCCTCCCAAAGTGCTAGGATAACAGGCATGAACCACCATTCCTGACCCTTGTTTTTCTTTTTTGATCTTTTATTTTTCTTGTTAGCCCTTTTGTTGTGTTAGCAAAAGGTTTTCTTTATAGAAATATTTCAGGCCGAGCACGGTGGCTCATGCCTGTAATCCCAGCACTTTGGGAGGCTGAGGCAGGCGGATCACGAGGTCAGGAGTTCAAGACCAGCCTGGCCAACACGGTGAAACCCTGTCTCTACTAAAAATACAAAAATCAGCTGGACGTGGTGGTGTGTGCCTGTAATCCCAGCTACTCGGGAGGCTGAGGCAGGAGAATTGCTTGAACCGGGACCCGGGAGGCGGAAGTTGCAGTGAGCCAAGATCGCTCCACTGCACTACAGCCTGGGCTACAGAGTGAGACTCCGTCTCAAAAAAAAAAAAAAAAGAACATTTCAGGTAATAGATGCAGAAGGAATGTTAGCCCTGAACATCAATGGCTACTGATATCATAAAGAATACACAACGACACTGAAAGTAGCCTTGCAAAACCGACTAGAACCTGAATCTGATAAAGCCTCTAAACCCAGCTACCAATTTATAAAAATACAGAGACAGGGGAACATGTTAAACTACACTGCAGGGATGTAATTTGGTTTCAGCAGAAATTTGGTTTCTAAGTCAGTGAGAAACTACTAGAAAGTAAGGGAAAACTTTTGTTGAGATTTCAAAATACGAGATCAATTTAAAAATGTTTACTACATTGAAATGTTTAAAGCTAAGTTTCTGAAAACACATGCATTTTTGAAATAAAACAATGGCTTCAGAAATTTATTTAAAACACATCTCATTTAGTAAAGATGGATTATTTGTTGTTTACCAATTAATGGTTTTCTAATTCTGTGCAATAATTTACAATTTAGGGTTGCTGTTAAAAACCCCAGGTAAGATAAGACTATTTTGTCAGTTTGTAGATAGGTCTGCCTATTGTAAAAGGACTGATGTCTGCACAAGGGAATTAACTAATGTCTGGGAGGCCAGGGGGCAGATATTGGTGTGACCAGAGATTAATGAAGTAGTTTCCAACAACCACTTCTAGAATCAATTGCGTGGGGATAGAATGCTCCTCCTCCGAAAATTTTGGGTCTGTGTTCTGGTGATTTACTCTGTGTGCCACTTCCACCTTGTGGAGGGAAACACAAATTCACAAGAAAGTGGTAGATGTACTCTACTAACGTCTTTGCTTTAGTAAATAAATAATACATAACTAATAAAGAGCTAAACATAGAATCAGAAAATTAAAGAAACTGTTTAATTGGCCATGAATTAGTCATTGTCGAAGGTAAATTTTGTACATAGGGTTTATTATACTAGTCTCTCTCCTTTGATATGTTAGATTTTGCTACAATAAAAAGTTAACCAGAGAAGAGCTTTGTATTAATCTGTCAAGAATTATGCTACACATGACTGCTAATAAGCTTAAAACTTTTTTTTTAAGTTTTATTCTAAGAAAGAAGCGATTGTTGTACCAGGCTTGTTCCTTCATGTTCCTTCCATACAAGTCATATTTTGCAGCTATGTATCTTAGGAAGGCTCTGGTTTCTACCTAATTCATTCCATGAGTTTCGACCATGGGCACTTGTCCATACATCAGGGTTCCACCTTAAAATACACAAAGGAAAGTTGGGTTATTTATTGTCTGTGATAATAATAACTGTTTTCTTTAAAGGTGGTACAAAATGGAACTATGTAATCAAATATTTTTAGAGGCCAAGTAAAAGGAGAAATATTTACCCATTCACTCATACAAAAATGTGTAGAGTGCAAGAAAATGATGTTGAGTACTCTGGTAGGCACAAAGCTTTCTGTCTGACCAAGAATTGTCCTTTCTCATTCCTTACTCTCCTTTCCTATGGTCACCCTCTTTTTACCTCTGGACTACCACGACATTTATCTACCCAACATGCTCTGCCTGGTTGTTTTTCTGAAGCCATAAGCCTCTGCCTAAAACCTTTCTGTTATTCCCCATTTTCTTATAGGAAAATAAGCATACATATTTTAACTGCCTGGAATTCAAAGCATGTCTTGACATTTGCCTCCCTGCACCTTCTTCTGCACATGGTTTCCCACCGTTCTCCTACATCAACCTTCCATGTCCTACCCCTCCCTTCTTGGAATCCCAGTGATCTCCCTTCTGGCTGACAGCTCTCTGCTTTGGGCTTACTTTTTCAATCTTCCCAAGGAATATTTGCATTAAAACCAACCAACCAATCAACCAACCAGCCAACCAACTGTAACTAGAGAGAACAACCGTTTAATTTAAAAGACTGGAGGGACTTTCTCTCTTTCTCTCTCTCTGCCTCAGAATGGCAACAGTAAGGCTGGCTCTGCCCTTTTCCCATTTAACACCTGAAGTTGAGGCAGTTCTCCTTTCCATTGTTTCAGGGTCTAGCTGGGAGACAGAACCACATCAGGTACTTTAGCACAGAACATTAAATATAAAGGAATGAATTATATCTTGGAGAACTGAAAACAACAAAGGAACAGTGCAGTATCATGAAGTTGGCAACTGTGAAAGCAGACATTATCCCTAGGGCAACAAAAACAAAGGAAGGGGGTTGGAATTATGACAGCTTAGAAGCTTGGAGGCAGGGCTCCTCCTAGTTGCAAGATCCAAGCACTACCTTCCTTATATGGAGATAGGATATGGATAGATACTATTTACATAATTTTCACTGCTCTTATTTAGAATATGAGAGAGAGAGAGAGAGAGAGCCTTTCATATTAATGGAGAGACCATCTCATCTCTTTGGTCTAATGCAACATCACGAATAACAAGGCGTTTATCTCACCTTGGATTAATTTCTCAAATTCTTCGTCTGTTTCAAAAAGGTTTTCTTCAAATTGAAAAATGAAAGAATATAAGAATATGTTGCTATTAACATTTTTATTGTTATTACTGTTGATATCACAGAAAGGAATAGAAAGTAAAAGGCCTAACCACCAAATAAACCAATATTTCAAGTAAGTTGTTGAACCCATGCTGTCGTTTTCTGGATCTTACGAAAGCAAGGAAGTTTTTATATAAAACCAAAGCAAAGGGTTTACTGAACTCAGTTGATTGAGAAATATCTATAGTCTACTATTGTGCAGATATAACTTGCCTGGTAAACTTTTCAGCCGCAATTTGAATGCAGGCTACTCCCCTTAATTGGCTCAGATAAGTTACTCTCTTCTAATTTCAGTTTCCTAACATGTGAAATGAAGCTAATACCTACTGGTGGTGCTGTCATGATGGTTAAATGACATGATGTATAGTAAAGACTAACTCCCATCTTGGCTCAGTATTTGACCTTTGTTATTTTTTTTCTCATAACTTTCCCTTGGGTGGTGTTTGTTACCCCTTATTCCTAGTGCTAAAGAACAGGCAAATATTTGATTGTCTCATTACATACCTTCTCTTTAAGCCAAAGAGGCTTAGACATAGGAATTAAGTTGCAGCTAATCTTAGAAGTTACTTGGTAACAATCTAATAATAAAACAAAATTAACTTAAAAGATCCTTTGTTGCATATTTAAAGAAACATAAATCAAGCTATCTTTTCTTACCACTCACAAGAGTTTTTAATCAGTGTTATTGTTAGATTGTTACCAATTAACTTCTGGATACTTTCGCTTTAAAATACATTTACCAATTAAATGTGTGCATTTTGTATAGCATAATTTTAACATAAAATTGAAATACAATTAGTTTTCCTGTATTATTAATATTTTCTAGCATAGAGATGTAAAAACCCAACAAAAACTGGAAAATATTATTTTTCCCAGATTGTATTCTATCCGTTTTACAATAAAAAATAATTTGAAATGTTAAATTTTACAATTTGGAGTAATAAAAAATATTCAGAGAAGATGCTAATACATAGCTTCCTGGTCATAATTCCTAAGTACTTAATGTTAAATAGTGTTAAACCTTGATGTCCTATCACTCTCATTCCTATACCTGAAGACCAGCATTAACTTCAACTCTCAAACACAAGAGTAAGAGACATTTCAGTCTCAGGGAATTCTGCCATTTTTATAAGACAAAGAAGATGGATGTAAAGCTCTCTTCCCCTTATTTATTTAAAAATATTTTCAATATTATTGCAGAAGTGCTAAAACTCATTGTAGAAAAATTAGAAAATACGGATAAAAATTTTCAGCCACCCATATTGGCCTTTCTCTAAAAATGAGCAGATGTTTAGTAGACATATTATTTTCCTTATGACTATGTCTTAATGAACAGAAATGTGGCATTCAGAAGTAGAAATTGGATGCTTACTAAATTTAAAAATAATCTGTATGCAAGGGTAGAGTGTGAGTGTGAATATGGGGAGGGAGTTCGTCTTTATCCCCTCTGCTCTTTGTTTTTGCAAAATAAGTTCTCTCTGGGTCTGCTTTACAATCCCCAGTACTAGATGTTTTCTCTTCACTACCTTCGATGCTCCAAAACACTTCCATGTTTCAGAGAGTTGGTGGGTCTCTTTCTCTCTCTCATATTTTCACCAGGAAAAAAGGAAAGGCAGCAGCTGACATTATAATATTGGAGCTCTTCTTAACCAAAGCTTCCTTTGGATGCTTAGGAAGCCTAGAGAGGTCAAGTGACTTGCCTAAAGTCTTTCAGCTAAATGGTAGAAGAACCAGAGCTAGGTTGCCCTCTCACCAAGCCTACTACATCTTCAATATTATCATCTTGGTAAATGTGTAATTTTATGTAAATAATTATTATAAAAGGAAGTCATCATATTCCAAAGTTAACAAATATGAGAATATGGACAGTGATTACCAAGGTATAAAACAAAGCTTTCCAAAAAGCAGCATTTTTTTCCTAAACATGCTTTACTTTACTTATTTTTTCCTAAGCACTATTTACTTACAACTTACAATATTTATGAAGTGTGATGAAAAATGCATACATTTGTGATTTCAGTTTCTCCTACAATTTTTCATGTCAGGAACTCTGAGGTAACTTAGGCTATCTGATCCGGCGAGTCTCCAAGAATCAGAGAGGCAGAGCTCAATCTCCAATTCCAACAAGGGCTTTACCAGGGTAAGCCCTGAGAGGAGGTGGGCAGACCGCGGGAGGGTGGCAGGTTGGAGGGAGAGGTAGGGTTGTGGGAAATAGGAGGCAGTCCAGCCTGCTGGCATTCACAGTTCTAGGTCTGGACATGAAACTATATGGGGTACATCCAGATTTCTCAGACTAGATACTATCTGAAGAATTTTCTGCTACGTTTTGATTGAGTTTCGCCGGATCACACCAAAGAGGTTTCGCTCCTGAACTTTTAAAAATCTTCAATTTTATCTTTTGCTTAAAGGCTAATTGTGTGAGGAGCTGTGTTAGGTACAGCAGGGGCTCCAAAGACAAGCAAAGCACAGCCATTTCAGCAAAATTGTAAATCTTAGAGCATAATTATTAAACTTTTGAAAATTTACTCTGACTCATAACACAAGGAAATTTCAGGCACAGGAGGTGGCTATTGGCTACGGTCATGTGCTACATAATATTTCAGTCAACCATGGACTGCTTATACAATGAGATTATAATACTATATTTTTACTGTAACTTTTCTATGTTTAGATACACAAATACTTTTTTTTTTTTTGAGACACAGTTTCACTCTTGTTGCCCAGGCTGGAGTGCAATGGCATGATCTTGGCTCACTGCAACCTCCGCCTCTCGGGTTCAAGCAATTCTCCTGCCTCAGCCTCCCAAGTAACTGAGATTACAGGAATGCGCCATCATGCCCAGCTAATTTTGTATTTTTAGTAGAGACAGGGTTTCTCCATGTTGGTCAGGCTGGTCTCAAACTCCCAAACTCAGGTGATCCACCCACCTCAACCTCCCAAAGTCCTGGAATTACAGGTGTGAGCCACCTCAACCGGCCTCACAAATACTTATTATTGCATTACAGTTTCCTACAGTATTCACTACAGTAACATGCTGTTCAGGTTTGTAGCCTAATAGTAATAGACTGTACCATAAAGCCCAGGTGTGTAGCAGTCTTTACATCCGGGTTTGGGAGAATAACCTCTATGTTGCTCACATGACAAAATTACCTAATTATATATTTCTCAGAATGTATCCCATTGTTAAGTAATGCATGACTGTCTAGAATTTCCATCTAACTCTGACAAACCATAATAATACCAACCCTAAGTCTAAAAAATGGTGAGGAATCAGAAGATCCAATAAAGAGCTTCATATAGCTCAGAAAAGAGAATTGGCCTTTTATTGTTTTGTAAAAATTAGGTCATCAGAAGAAGCAATGACAAATTCAGCTTTTTAAAAAATTACACTAAAAATATTTAATGCCCTCCAAAGATACTGGAGTGTTTTTGATAGGTAGGCTTTGGATTCACATTGTCTTCTGTGCATGTTTTATCATATTTTATTCTGATCTAATTCTAATGCAACAATACCTAAACATTGAAATTTTGAAAACAATTATAAAGGAATGAACCGGAGTCTTCCTCCACCCCCTCTCTTTCTCCCTCGGTCTCATCATTTGTCCATCTGTCATCTATCCATCTCAAAAAGGACAAATTGCAAAAACATAATATTGATTGTAAAGAGGAAAATACAGAATAGTACACAAAAGGAGCCGTTTATGTAAATTATTTCCAAAGGTCCACAAGTCAGAGGTTGGTGAGCCCACATAGTAAGTGCAAAAATATAAAGACTGGACTGACTGGATAGAAGTTGCTTAAGTGGAGATGGAGGTGATGGTTCTATTAAATTTTAGACTTATTTGTTAGTATTTTATATTTTAAACAAGATTATATTAATATATTAACTGTGGAGTTTCTTTCTTGTTAGAGACAGAGTCTTGCTCTGTTGCTCAGGCTCGAGTGCAGTGGCACGATCATACCCCAATGCAACCTCAAACTTCTAGGCTCAAGCAATCCACCTGCCTCAGCCTCCTGATTAGCCAGGTCTACAGGCATGTGCCATCATGCCCAGCTAATTTTTAAAATTTTTATGTGGAGACGGGGTCTTGCTATGTTTCCCATGCTGGTCTCCAACTCTTGGCCTCAAGGAATCCTCCTTCCTTGGCCTCCCAAAGTGCTGGGATTACAGGTGCCTACCACCACACACAATTCTGTCTGTGTTTTTAAAAAATATATATTGAAGGTAAACATGACAAAATATTAATAATTACTCAAACCAGGTAGTGAGATCATGTTTGTTTATTGCAATATTCTTTGTACTTTTCTTTGTGTACTTTCAAAAATTTCATTTAAGACTTAAAAATTCAAACCAAAAGATTAGAAAAAAAATGGTGATGAACCTTTTACAAAGATTTTTTTTGCATTATTGTAGCACTATCAGATTACATAAAATTGTACATTTCACAAAATATTTAAATATAAACCATGTTCTGGGCTGCATTCATATAAAGTATCTCCATTTCTAGAGAACAAATGAACTTAGTGCCTTCTGTCAGGGGTAAAACAGTGTATAGAACATTTTAGTGAATATCAAGTCACCGGGGTTACTTGCTGTCCCCATGTTAAACCACAGTGGAGCTGGACACAGGCTTAAAGAAAATTCCCTGCTCCTTCATCTTTGAATCTAAGAGACCATTTTGGAATGACTACAGAAATTTTTTTGAATGGGTTACAGAAGAGGCTGATTCCTTATATTTACAATTAATATGCATATAGAAAAAGATTTATTTTTGAAAGGTCTTTATGAACTTCAATAGCTTAGCTTTTAAGTATGTTGAGAACAGAGTTTTTAAAAATCCATTAAAAAATAGGAGACATATTTTTGGCAGTGAAAGATAATGCTCTTGTGTCAGTACCTACAAGATTGTTCTATACTTTTAAAGAAAATGATCTGTTTCTTATTATTCTTGAGACAAATGTAGTTAAATGAATGCAACACCTGGATGGTAAGAATGAAGTGAGAAGAAGCAGAGTTGCTTCCTTCCTTCCTTCCTTCCTCCTTCCTTCCCTCCCTTCCCTCCTCCCTTTACAAATTCTTCCTTCTTTTCTTTGCTAACCATATAGAACTTTATTGTATCACCTTGGATGAGCTTAGTATCAGCAAACAGTTATCACAGTATTTGGGCATTTATTTGAAAGAACTATGTAATTCACAGCCCAATGTTTAAAGACCGTGTGGTGAAAATTGCTTTTTCTTCTGGGAATCATGTAAAGAGTTTTCTACAACTTTTCCCTAAGTAAATGCTCAGTGACCCCAAGACAAAATAATCTGAATAAATCCACATCTTACCTCTACTCTAGCTGCAGCCAAGAGCCATCAGATGGATTCCATCCTGCCTCTTCCATTGAAGTAGTAAAGCTTGGGCTTCCCCTCCATGCTTAAGGATTTTTGAAAATCAACATAGAGAGACTGATTGAGACTCTTCTGCACAGAGAAGGATAAATACAAGCTTACAGAGCAGCACAAGGTTGATCACAAAGCTGTGGACTTGCAACTTATGCCCCAAATTAAAGCTGCTTCTCAGCTAGAAGGCTACTTGCATTCTGTGTTCTTTCTCACAAATGGAATTTATCCTCACAAATTGGTGTTCTAAATATCTTGAAAAAAAAAAAACTAAATGAACAACTGGTATATTACTTTTAAATAGGAAGAGAGTGAGGAAGCCAGACAGATGGAAGGAATTAAAGAGTAAGGCTGACCAGCTTTTCTTCCTGCAGGAAGGGGTAAGGTTTTAGCATACCAATCTTTTCTCTCTTTTTGTATACACATCTTCCTCCCTTTCCAATCAAGGCAAGCCCAGCCTGGAGAAACTGGGTGGAGTTAGGGGAGGCTGAAGTTTCACTTCCCAGATTAATCTTGGTATTTGAATTATTGCATCTTCTGAAACCTAGAATCAGCATTCAAGAGGATTTTCAAGGAGTCATTGGGACTTCAAATGAAAGCACAGAGTTAGGCAAAGTGTGCCTTTTCCTACTTTTTTTTTCTTTGAAAAGGTATTTTTTTTTTTTTAGAAACATAACCCATGGTCATTTTGAAGAAGTTAAAATAGTACAGAAATATGGAAATTAAAAGCCCCCCATCCCCACCCCACAATAGTCTATGAGGCTTGTGGGGAATTAGGGGTAGCCTTGGTTGGGTGCCAGGCTCTGGACATTCAAAGGCAGCTTGAGGTACCTGGAGAGGGAGTCCCGGGAAGCATAGGGAACTGTGAAAAGGGGTAGAGTGGCTTTAGAGATAGAAGTGGGCCAGGCATGGTGGCTCATGCCTGTAATCCCAGCACTTTGGGAGGCTGAAGTGGGAGGATGGCTTGGGGCTAGGAATTTGAGAACAGCCTGGGTAACATACTGTGAACCATCTCTACAAAAAATTTGAAAAAATAAAAAAAGCATTAGCTGAGCGTGATGATATATGCTTGCGTTCCAAGCTACTTGGGAAGCTGAGGCAGGAGGATCACTTGAGTCCAGGAGGCTGAAGCATCAGTGAGCCAAGATCATGCTGTCAGAGGTGTTTGAACCAGAGCAACTCCATCTTGAATAGGGGCTAGCTAAAATAAGGCTAAGACCTATTGCACTGCATTCCCAGACACTTAAGGCATTCTAAGTCACAGGATGAGATAGGAGGTTGGCACAAGATACAGGTCATAAAGACCTTGCTGATAAAACAGTTTGCAGTAAAGAAGCTGGCTAAAACCCACCAAAACCAAAATGGCTGCGGGAGTGACCTCTGGTCATCCTTACTGCTACACTCTCACTAGCACCACAACAGTTTACAAATGCCATGACAATGTCAGGAAGTTACCCTATATGGTCTCCAAAGGGAAGGCATGAATAATCCACCCCTTGTTTAGCATATCACCAAGAAATAACCATAAAAATGGGCAGCCTTTGGGGCTGCTCTGTCTACGTAGTAGCCATTCTTTTATTCCTTTACTTTCTTAATTAACTTGCTTTCACTTTATGGACTCACCCTGAATTCTTTTTGCACGAGATACAAGAACCCTCTCTTGGGATCTGGATCGGGACCCCTTTCCTCTAACATCTTTCTGGAATGCAGATGAGACTATAGTGTGGAAACCCCAACCCAAAGGCTAACTTTGGGTAAGTGGTGAGGTCTGGTAACATCTTTCCGGTGGACCACAGAAGGGACAATACTGAGGAGACCTCTGACCCAAAGGAAATAAACTGTAGCACTGATTGGCTGACTTTGGGTAAGTGGTGGGATAAATAATGGGATTGGGTTAGAGACCCAACTTAGGGGAGTTAGAACTGCTCCTAAGACAGAGTGGGTTAGAGGCCCCTCTTAATAAAAGACAAGGATGCTTGACCGACCTTGGGTTAGAGGTCCAACTTAGGAGGGTTAGAATGCCTTCTAAGATTTAGGGGGTTAGAGGCCTCTCTTGGTAAAGTCCCTTTTGGCTAAGAATGGGTTTGGCACTATGGGACATTAACTGCTATTCTCTTTGGATTAGTCCGTCTTACATTCTTTGCCGATGGCTATGGGTGACAGGATTAGGCATGTACAGGATCATGGGACATGGGGAGCTTTTTCTTCCCTAAAAATGGAAACTTGAGAGCTGATGAAACTGCTGGAAAAAATCCCTTCAGCTGACAAGCGGCTGCCTGAACTTTTCAGTGTCAGCTGCAATGGGTGGCTCTTTCTCTGGCCTCCCTGAGCTCTTCGCTCTTCGCTTTCCCCATCCTACCTCAGGCAGTGCTCTCTCTCTCTCAACTGGATAAATGAACAGTAAAAATTACTGTTTATCTGCTCTGTAAAGTTTTGATTAATGGGGAAAAGGATTTGCAAGGTTAATCTTAAGCTTCAGTAAATCTAGTGTGCTTTGTGTGTCTTTCTGCATTCTATAATGGAGAGGAGTACTTTAGGATAGAATGTGGGCCTAGGATCCCTATGAGTCTGCTGTTCAAGACACCCCAGCAAACTTGTCTTTATGACCAAGTTATGTCCTTGGGAGCTTGACCTTATAACCATGTGGCCATGGTTTCTCTTTTCACAATGGTGGCCTGGGTTCAGAGTTCAACTCCCAGCTTAGGGAATAAGTCCTTTATCTTATTCTGTCTCTCTGTCTCTCTCTCTCTCTCTCTCTATATATATATATATAACATGTGATATAAAAGAGCTTTAATCATTTGGCTTAAAAATAAGTGCTTTAAATCAAATTTTTGTCAGAAGAGTAAAAAGTGTAATGACTTTTATTTAGTTCATGTAACTTAAGTAATCTTTGGGAAATAAAGGCAGTTTTAAAGATTATTGGTAAAATAAAAATATCTTCAAAAATATAAACATTTGGTCTAAATTATGCAGGTCAGATATTAAGTTTGCTAAATGCTTTAAGGTCATAAACTGCTTCTTTGACTTTTGAAAATTGTTCAATTTACCTACTTTGGAGCATTAGATTCTAGATAAGGCCTGGGGACATGTGGAAAGCCATGCCCCCTAGCTGTGCTGGAAAGAGTCAGCCCTTATCTGCACTTCTGCCTGGTGTGTCCTAGGCTAGGCTCCACACCTAGTGCATAATTAAAATAGCTTACTAACCAGGTTTTTCACCATAAGTGAATATTGCTAAAAGTTACATTTAATTTGTAATTAAGACTACTGAAGAAACAGTTCTACACACAAGGCATATAGAGAATAGTGAAATGCGTTTTTGGTTAAAAAAAAATTATAACAAGCCATGAGAATGTGGATTTTTTTTGCCTAGATTAGAAGTTTAAAGGATTGTTTTCAGTTAGATAGAGTAAAGCTGAAGGTTTAAGCAGGTTGTGGAAGGTTTGTGAAAAATTAATCTCGTAAAAGAAATTCTGTGTATGAACATATTGGCTAAAGTTAAAGGGGTATTATTCAGTTTTTCTGTAAACTAAACTTTGGAATAAAAGCACAACAGGTTTTTCTTAAAGCAAAAACTTGCTTATGATCTGCTCCTTAACAAAAATTTGTAAAAGCTTATAAAAGCTTTATGAAAATTTTACCTTATGGTCAAACTGATTGAGATTAAATACGTTTGTCTATAAGATTTTATTAAGAATTGAGATTGACATCAATAATGCACTAATGCAACGGTGACATTTGGCTTATTTGGTGTAAAAGTCATACAGGAAGCATTGTCAAATATGAAATGGTGTTTGGTTTTCTTTGGGCTGTATTTGTATAAATGTGTTATTGGTATATGTACCAAAATTATGGAAAACTCCTATACTTCTCATATGACTTAATGTATCTTATTAATAATTGTAATTGTCACATAAAATCATTTGTGCCACAGAGAAAACCAAATTTCTTTGTCAATCATGTTTCTGAATGTGGCTATCCTAAGATGTTTTGTCATCCACAAACAATTATTGTCTTGTTTTGGTCCTCTTTATAAGGTGGTTTATAATCAACTATAGAACTCTACCAGGTGTTCTTAAATGCAAGTTTCTGATAACTTTGGAAATTGTGACATTAAAATAGAGGAAGCAACTTTCAGAACTCTTATGGAGGGCCGAAATGTTCACTAATATCAAGCAGAGCAAGAGACAACTGCATGGACTAAACTAATGGAAGTCTAAAGTAATCTTTTAAACTTTTTGCTTAAAATGCTGCTAATCTTTTGTTTTGTTTATCAGAATCAAGGAAACTTTTCTTTTTAGTTATTTATACCTTTTAGCAATTAAGGAAAGTATATGCCTATGAACAAAAATTGAAGCATTTTATTTGTCTCTACCTAATTTCTCCAGAATTTGGAAGCTATTTGTGAGTATTCTTAATTTATGGCGATATAGTTATTTGCATAAGTGCAATAAAAATCTCTTTTCTTTTGCAACAGGCGATATTAGTTATTTTACCAAGGCTTTAACTAGAAAGGTGTGTTTTCCTTTAATGAATTAAACTTGACTTATGGAGCCAATAAAAGTCCCTTGGGAGAAATGGCCTTATACCTTGTCTACACAGGGTTTCTGACCTGTGGTAAGTAAAGAATGCCACTTTGTAACAGGCCCAGGAGCCTTTTTTTGGCTCCTGGCATTTTTGGCTGTAAGGCATTCTAAGTCACAGGATGAGATAGGAAGTTGGTACAAAGTACTACTGGTCATAAAGCCCTTGCTGATAAAACATATTGCAGTAAAGAAGCTGGCTAAAACTCACATTAGAGGAATTTACTCAACTCGTAGGTATTTGAGGGGACAAACCCATGGGAGGGCTCAGCTCTAAAAAAAGTCTTATCCAAAAATTTTTTTTTTTTTCATGATGGAATCTTGCTCTGTCTCCCAGGCTGGAGTGTAGCGGCATGATCTCAGCTCACTGCAACTTCCACCTTCTGGGTTTAAGTGATTCTCCTGCCTCAGCCTCCCCAGTAGCTGGGATTACAGGTGCCCATCACCACACCTGGCTATTTTTGTATTTTTAGTAGAGACGGGGTTTCACCATGTTGGCCAGGCTGGTCTTGAACTCCTGACCTCAAGGGAACCACCTGCCTCGGTCTCCCAAAGTGCTGGGATTACAGGTGTGAGCCACCACGCCTGGCCTAAGATTTTTTTTATGGAACAGAGTTCCATTAAAGCCAATTTAAAAAGAGCTTAGGTGAAAAATAATTATTCTTGCTGCACTTCATACGAATAATCAGGCCAAGTATAATAAAGCAAATTGGTCTTACTATAGTGTGTCTTCAGTAAAAATGGAAAACTGGAGAGGGAAATATTGTTTCAAGAACTATGGTACATGTGTTATTAAATTCTAGTCTCATCAGTTGTTTTTAAGTTTGTTTCTGCAATTTAGGCTATCCCTACTTATTCCTGTGAACCAACCAGTGATCTCTAACTGCTGCTCAGAAAAAACAAAAGCGATGGGCAATGTAAAAATCTGGATCACTATTTTAAATCTGGGTACATTGGAATCAGCTAGTGAACCCATATCAGCTTGGTTCCAACAGTTGCCCAGTTCATGGAAAGCCTTCTAATTCAGTTTACATGGGGTAATTTTACTTATTTTGCTTTACTCTTGTGAAATATATTGTTGTTGTACTCTGTGTGGGAATGCAGGACAAGCTTACTGAGTGTTTTCTTAAATTGAACACTTATTATTCTTCCAGGTATCACCTTCTGTCAGAACTCAAGAATCATGAATGACCCTCACTATACCAATGCTTTCTGACTGACCTCCTCTCTAGCCTGAATATAAGAGACCCTGATAATTAGGCAGGAATATCTTTGCCCCTATTCAGCCTGAAGAAGTTACAGAAGATGGATCTTCGTCCCTCTGCCACCCTTATGATTAAGGGTTCTCTTATAAAAGGGAGGGGGGACAGATCAGAGGCATTTGAACCAGAGCAACTCCATCTTGAATATAGGCTAGCTAAAATAAGGCTAAGACCTACTGGGCTGCATTCCCAGATGGTTAAGGCATTCTAAGTCACAGGAAGAGATAGGAGGTTGGTACAAAGTACTGGTCATAAAGCCCTTGCTGATAAAACATATTGCAGTAAAGAAGCTGGCTAAAACCCACCAAAACCAAAATGGCGACGAGAGTGACCTCTGGTCGTCCTCACTGCTATACTCCCACCGGCACCATGATAGTTTGTAAATGCCATGGCAATGCCAGGAAGTTACCCTATATGGTCTAAAAAGGGGAGGCATGAATAATCCACCCCTTGTTTAGCATATCATCAAAAACTAACCATAAAAATGGGCAACCAGCAGCCCTCAGGGTGCTCTGCTTATGGAGTAGTCATTCTTTAGTCCTTTACTTTCTTAATAAACTTGCTTTCACTTTACTCTATGGACTCGCCCTGAATTCTTTCTTGTGTGAGATCCAAATACCCTCTTGGGACCCCTTTCCTGTAACAATGCCACTGCACTCTAGCCTGGGTTACAGAGTGAGATCCTGTCTCAAAAAAAAGGGAGTGTCTTTATGGTATGAATGAGAGCTGATTTATTTTGCAGCATAGCAGCTGGCTCATTTTTAAAACAAGCACTTCTACACATTAACAGCTCACAAAATTAACGAAGAAAAAAAGTGAGGCTGAAAATATTACTATTTTGGAAGACAGAATGAAAAAAAGTTGACCTAGGCCTATCTGCTGCCTATTAGAATCATCTGAGGGGCTTAAAACACACACACACACACAGAACCTTGGCCTCCCATACACACAACCTCAGCCCTACCCCAGAAATTAACCCCTCGGCTCCACGTTCCAGCAATTGATCTGGAACAGCACCCTGATATCAGTGTCTTCTAAAATCTTCCCAGGTGATATTAACATGCAGCCATGATTGAGAACCATGGAGCTGGACAATGATGAACAACAGCTGCTAAAACTACTAATAGAGAGCTTGACAGTGGAAAGATCAGGTTGACAACACTAAACATTGAGCATCATTAAAAGGGGGATAACTAGACATGAGGGTCCCTCTGATGTGACACAATGGAAAGTATGCAGTATTGCCTGCAAAGAACTCTTGCCAACATAGTTAACTTGGAATTCAGTCAAACTTCTAGATACCGGTTTATAGAAAATACAGAAAACAAAGACACACTTCAGGGATGCATAGTAAAATCAGCAAAATTTGTAGGTAGAACTCAGCTGGCTTACTATTCACAATGGTCTGCAGATAAGCAAGGTAAGGATCACCTGAGAGGTTGTTTGAAATGCAGCACCTTAGCTGCCACCCAGACCTGCAGAATCTGAGTCTATATTTAATGAATTTATACGCATGTTTTTTTGAGAAGTGCTGTTCTCTGGGCCTAGTGACCAATACGTTTCAAAGGACTTTCTGCTTTTATATTTACATAATAAGTTTTTAAAAATTGAACGGAAAACAAAGAAGGAGGAGGAGGCTGTAGATTAAAGAGATTTAAGACATATTTCAAACAAATGCAAAATGAAGACATTTTTTATATTCTGATTCCAACATGATGACTATGAAAATATATAGACAAATGCTCCTCAACTTACAATGAGGTTATGTTACTGGAAAGGGGTTCAGATCCAGACCCCAAGAGAGGGTTCTTGGATCTTGCACAAGAAAGAATTCAGGGCAAGTCCACAGAGTAAAGTGAAAGCAAGTTTATTAAGAAAGTAAAGGAATAAAAGAATGGCTACTCCATAGACAGAGCAACCTGAGGGCTGCTGGTTGCCCATTTTATGGTTATTTCTTGATGATATGCTAAACGAGGGGTGGATTATTCATGTCTCCCCTTTTTAGACCATATAGGGTGAACAAAGAGGTGAGCATTCTCAGAGGTCTTCTGAGATCTAAAGAACAGGTAGGTGAGAGGCTGCCAGGCTCAGAGCAGCAAGGAAGATATGCCTCTGACAGAGAAGGTCTAGACATCTGAGATTGTGGCCTATCTCAACCAGATAGGGCTAGGCAGAGCGGCAAACTATGATGGCTAATTGTACATGTCCACTCAACTGGGCTAAGAGATGCTCAGATAGCTGGTAAGATAATATTTCTGGGTGTTTCTGTGAGGATGTCTCTGGAAGAGATTAGCATTTGAATCAGAAGACTGAGTAAGGAAAATTACCCCCACCAATTTGGGCCAGCATCATCCAATCAACTGAGGGCCCAAATAGAACAGAGGGGTAGAGGAAGGATGAATTTGCTCTTTTTGCCTGAGCTGAAACATCCATCTTCTTCTGACTTCAGACATCAATGCTCCTGTTTTTCAGGCTTTGGTACTTACACCATTTAGTCTCCTGATTCTCAGGCCTTAGTACTTGGACTGAATTACACCACCAGCTTCCCTGGTTCTCTAGCCTGCAGATGGTGGATCTTGGAACTTCTCAGCCTCCATAACTGCGTGAGCCAATTCCTGTAATACATCTCCAGTTATATGTGTATATGTATCCTGTTTGTTCTGTTTCTCTGGAGAACTCTGACTAATATACGAGCCATTGGATGGCATACAGAGCTGGGAACTGCTCTTCCTGTCTGTGGGAGGAGTTCATGGAGCTGTAGGTAGCTACAGCAGGACAAGAATGGGAGCTTTTGGGGTGCCTGTCAGGAAGAGGGGTAAATACAAGGGACCTCTGTGAGGTGAAGCTATAGCCAGAGAAATAGTATTGGGTTTGTGTTGTTGTCAACCAATTGTAGCCCATGCTGAATGGCCTGAAAAATACTGATTACATGTTAGAGGCCTATCCTTCCCACCTCCCCCCATGCCTAGAATAGAAGCATCTCAATGACCATGTTCTTTGGGATTTTTTCAGTTTCTAGAAATGCCTGGCTCACTGGAGGTTCTCCGTGGTTGAATGCTGTGTTTTCAGTTGGGTGAGTGAATAATGAACAATGTTGTTAATAACAAGGACTGTTTGGATAATAGATTTCATCAAACTTCCTGAGACCAGGGGTCTCCCTATGTAAGGAAAGAAGGGAGAAAAATAGGAGACATTAATAAAATGTGTCATTCACTCATTCAACAACAATTTGCTGTGTGCCACCAGGAACCAATGCTAGGCACTAGAGGTACAATAATAATCAAAACCAGAGTGATCCTTGCTCTCATGAAGTTGACAGCCTGGTGGCCTACTGTGTATCAGTCTGCAGTCACAAAATTGTATGATAACCAGGACCAGGGACTGGCCCCCCACAGAACTCTACCTATCTCTGTTCCTCATCTCTGCTCCTCTCTGTTCATTTCCTTGTACGTGGCAAGTGTACATTGGAAGCTCCTAAGTTTTACATATTAGAGCTACAGCAATTGGAGAGAGAACTTGTTGCATCTCTTGACCCCAATTCCAAAAATGCAGGACAAGTAGCTGATCACCTTAGCTGGGATCTAGAGCCTACTCCTTAGATACCCATTGCCTGTGAAGAGAGGGAGGAATAGTGTTGTAGTGGAACATTGCAATTCCTGCGAGAACTCCTAGGATGGCAAGGGAAGAGGCATAGTTACCAGTTATTTCTTTTTCAGGGAGGTGTGGACACAAGGGGAATCCTGGACAACATAACAAGTACCCTCTGCAGAGATGGAGAGAAAACATGGTGGGGTAGGCTACAGTGGCACACTGTGTCAGCTGGGGAAGAAAGGCTGAGAGGCACTGTGCCCTGAGGCTTCCAGAGGGCCATGGGCAGGCAGGGCCTTGTGCTTCCGGGCAAGTGTGTTGAGAAGTTCAACAGACAGATCTGGGTTTGAATCCTACCTGGCTCTTTATTTGCTAAGAAGTTGCTTCACCTTTGAACTTCACTTTCTCCATCTGGGAAATAGAAATGGTCATACTTACCACCATGGGATTAATGTGAGCATTCAAAGGAAGAATATTCTCAAAGGACCGATCAAGTGACAGGCAAAGAGTAAGCACCCAATATCTGCCAGCTGTTGTTCTGATTTAGGACAAAGTCTTCTCTCCAGGGATGTTTACGTCCCAAAATGATTACTTCTCCTGGTTGATAATTATGCTGGACCAGATGATTGCATTTATGAACATTCTAGAAGGTGGGTCAACCTTGATGATGTTCTGATAAAGACCCTGGGTTGGAGAGATCCTGTAGTGAGTCAGTCTGGGCATTGAGGAAATAAGTTCTTACATTTTTGCCCACATGAATGTCTTTGAGGTGCCCCCAGCCAAATGGAGACTTTTCAGGAAATTTACTAAGATCCATAGTACATGTTACCTAATGTCTTTCTCATAACAGATATGGTTTACTGAGTATTTGTTATGTAGAAGACACTGGACCAAGTAGACAACTTTGGAACCCCCGCCCTGTCCACAATGATGCCCCTTCTCTGAGAACTGCTCTGCCTGTCCCACCTCCTGCATAGGGGTGATGGGCTCCTGCCAGTCATAATTGTGATATATAAACCATACCCCAGCCAAGGTGGGCTTTCCAGGTCCATTGAGTCACCAATTGAAACCAAGTCCATCTTCATCCTAGGAAGTTGGCACTGAGTCTTCGAGCAGCTGCATGTGTGACTGGAACTGAAGCACAAAAGCTCAGCGACTGTGGGACAGACATATTGTGTCACATGAAGAGAGGAACAATTGATAAACAGAGTAAAACAAAACTAGTGGACAGGGAGAGGTGAGGAGATTGAAAGAGGGCACCAAGAAATGTAATTGCAGTGCATCATTGCATTAAACTGGGAAGAGCCTTATGAATCAACTCTTCCTTGGATCTGGAAAGCATGTTGTTCATTATCTGCCAGCACCTATAAAAGAGAAATGAGTAGAACCTGCTCATTCATCAGTTGAATTGCTGTGCTACTTTCTCCAAGGTTCCTTTACAAGCCTAGTACTTACTCCCTAAACAGTGTTTGACAAAAGTGGGTGTGCACACCATCTGAATTGATTCCCTCCCCGCCACCTGCCACTGCAGAGTTCTTATAGTCCCAGCATGCTCCAAACCCTGAGAATAGCTAAATTATGATAGTTATATTGCTTTTCATATCAGCCTTCTAATAATCTTTTTCTTTTCCTTTTTTTCTTTTCTTTTTTTTTTTTTTTTTGAGACAAAATTTTGCTCTGTCACCCAGGCTGGAATGCAGTGGTACGACTTCGGCTCACTGCAATCTCAGTCTCCTAGGATCAAGCGATTCTCATACGTCAGCCTCCCGAGTAGCTGGGATTACAGGCATGCGCCACCACGCCCAGCTAATTTTTTGTATTTTTAGTAGAGATGGGGTTTCGCCATTTTGGCCAAGCTGGTCTCGACCTCCTGACCTCAAGTGATCTGACCACCTTGGCCTCCCAAAGTGCTGGGATTACAGGCATGAGCTACCACACCCAGCCTTTTTCTATTTAAAGGATAAAAACCTATCCCTTTTTGTAGGAAACACAAAAAACACTTCACTCACATATAACATGTCACACATACCCTTGCAGTGGGAGAATGTCTAGAGGCAACCAAGGATTCCATCCACTGGAGCCCCACGCTATTCATCACATTTCCATCTACCCATTGTCTCTCCAAGTTAATTCTCCCAGTTAATAACTGATATTGTACAGATTGTTAAAATTGATTCTAAGCAATGTCCACTCTGGAAAGGAAATGTGTTATATATGGAGAAAGAGATGAATCAGTTTGCAAATTCCCAACTCATCGAGTATCAGATAAATGAAAATGCTGAGACTTTGGAGTTGCAAAAGCCTGGATTTTGAGCCTCAAAATGTGCAAAATATATTCCATGTTCTGATTATCTATTGCTGCATAAAACATTACACCAAAATTCAGTAGCTTAAAACAGTCATTTAAATTTGCTCACAATTTCGTGGTTTGGGAATTGGGAAGGGCTCGGCTGAGTGATTCTTGCCTCAGGTCTTTCATGAAGTGTCAGTCAGATGTTGACTGGAACAGGAACCAACCGAAGGCTTGTGTGTGCTGAGCATCTGAGAGGCTTCCTCATAGGCTGGCAATGGATGCTGCCTTTTGGCTAAGAGCTCAGCTGGAGCTCTTGACTAAAGTACTCATCTGTGGCCTCTGGACATTGCTTGGGCTTCTCACAGCCATGGTGGCTGGGTCCTGGAGGAAGCATGTGGAGAGTGAGTGTTTAGAGACCAAAGCAGAAACTGCAAGACTTCTTCTGATCTAGCTTCAAAAGTCACACGGTGGTATTGTCATCATACTGTTGGTACTGTTGGTTTTAAGTAAGTCACCAAGGTCAGCCCAGACCCAAGGGGAGGGAATTATACCCCACCTCTCTTTAGGAGAAAGGCCAAAGAATTTACTGCTATTTCCAATCAGCAAGTGCCAAAAACAAATGATTTAGAAGAATTGGTGAACAGTGTAGCTACCCTCTGGAAATGAGGTAGAGGAAGAGAGTTACAGGGGGAAGAAAGAGACTGTAGACACTCAAGTTGATAGGAAACCCTTCTCTTTTCTCACATCAGACTCATCAAATTTTGGAGGAGGCAGATAAGACATGCCAGGCTCCCAGTACAGTTTAGGGTATCTGAGACCATGGGAAACATTGTATTACTTCTTGAAAACTCAGATGACTCACTAGCATTAAGTAGAAATGCCTGGGTGCTGTGCCTAGGCTGATAGGCTTGAGACAGCCTCAGAGCTCTCCTTGTTCCAGCAATGTACAGTTCCAAATGAAACAGACCTGGTGGTGTTAATGAAGTGGGTATTGCAGTCATCTGCAAAGACTATCACCTAGAGACTAGATGGGAATGAGAATGTCTTGGCAGGCTCCTGTGTGGACAGATGTCTGTTGAGGACAGGATAGGAACTTAGATGGAACCCTAGAAAAAATTGAGCATGTGTGTTGGGGAAGAGACCCAACAGATTTAGTTGGGTTAAATTTGGTTTATGTTACCTGATGAAATGGGACTCAAAATAGAAATTAAACTCAGTTTTAGAAATATATTTGTGAACTGACTCATCTCTCTCTCCACATAGAACACAATGTTTCGCTTTCAGAGTGGACATTGCTTAGAATCAATTTTAATAATCTGTAAAATATCAATTAAAAAAAGAAAATAAGCCACACAACAAATGCATTTATATCATAGGGAGCAGAGGGAATATTGTCTTGTTTTGTATTCAAAAGTCTGTTCTTCACAACAAAACTCAGTTTTAGAAATATACAGTCTTGCACACTTGAATTTGTGAACCAATTCGTCTCTCTTTCCATTTATAACACAATGTTTCCTTTCCAGAGTGGACATTGCTTATAATCAATTTTAACAATCTGTACAATATCAATTATAAAAAAAAGTAAGCTGCACAACAAATGCATTTATATTACAAGGAGCAGAGGGAATATTATCTTGTTTTGTATTAAAAAGTCTGTTCTTCACAACGATATCTGAGGCTCTGAGAGATCTGAGTTTTAGAATCCCAGAAAGATGGCCTGAATAAGATTTATTCTGAAAAAGCAAGACTGACAATGTTTGAAGCTTTTCTAAATCTTAAATTCTAAATCCAAGTGTCTAGCTTTATTGCCTGGATTAAATATTTCAAGTCAAAATGTCCTGACTTTTAGGGGCTTTTATTGAGTGTTTCTCTCCTAAAATAAAATGAAGCTAGGTTATGAGTGGGTCATCTTCAAAAAGATGTATTATCATTCTGATAATTTGAAGAACATACAATTATATAAAAGTACAAATCAAAACTAAGTAATTTATATGAAACGACTTCAATTAACCATGTAACCAAAAAAGAGCTACAAAGAATTCAAATAAGCTAAGTGCAACGTCTCAGGCCTGTAATCCCAGCACTTTGGGAGACCAATGCGGGCAGATCACTTGAGCCCAGGACTTTGACACCAGCCTGGCCAACATGGTGAAACCCTGTCTCTACAGAAAAAATACAAAAATTGGCCAGGTGTGGTGGTGAGTGCCAGTAGTCCCAGCTACTAGGGAGGCTGAGGTGGATCACTTGAGCACAGGAGGATCTCTTACGGCAGAGGCTGCAGTAAGCCATAATCACACCACTGTACTCTAGCCTGAGTGTCAGAGTGAGACCCTATCCACTCCCCCCCAAAAAAATTCAAATAAACTCAAAATGAAAGTTTGAAACATGAGAAACAGACTGCTAATTTATTTAGAAATATATTTTTCATAGTGTGTGTTCATATGTCTATTATTCTAAAAATTATTTATACATCTAGAATAGAATGGCAAATCTCTAGCCTATTCATTCAAATTAGTATCTATTATTGATTTGAGGTGAGAGAATAATGAGAGTATTTAGCTATAACTGAATAAATCAGGTTAATTCATTTTAAATCATTTTAGTTGTGATTTTGGCTTTAATGTAAGCTCTCGCTTTATTTTAAGCTTAGGATAAATTGAAAATAATTCTCAGTATCTGTGACTTAAGTTTTAAGCATATAGTAAGCACATTCTAGAATATTTCCTGCATTTTTAACAACTGAACTTTTTGCTTGAGAGAAAGTGGTGACTTCCTCAGTCAAATGGCATCAAACAGAGCTCCAAGCAATCGGTATTAATAGAATATCATCTTGCACCAGCTTTCTCTAGCTCTTTCTTTCCTTTTGTAACTACTTCCAAATCTATCTTTTATTTGAGGGAAATTATTAAAAAAAAGACTCAATAGACTATGAACATCAATCATTTCCCTCTACCTATTTGCAAAAAAGGAGAGATGAGAAGTAATTACTCTGCATTTACCTTGTTCTAACCAGAAGAACTTTAGCAAGCAGGCAAAGCTGCTAAGTAGGTAATTTCACAGCTTTCAAGTGTGCCTCTAAAATAAAAAATCAAAGGCAATAATTCCATCTTTAACAGGTGTAAGAATAAAAGGAATTAAATAGACCAGTAATTACATGCCTTTTAAAATTATGTTTATCCTCAGCCTAGGATTCTGGAAATGTATCATCAGTCATCTTGGCATTATGCCTCCATTCTGCTTTCTACTCAAACTGGCTTTTAGTAATGAGGATTCTTGGGCAATTTCAGAGGAAGAATAAAGACTTTCCATTACATTAAAAAGTCAATCCAGTAAGCTAGCACACAGTACAAGCTCATGGTTCCTTGAATATTGAATACATATTTTCTGGTTTATAGAAAATCTTTATATCCTGCTTGTGATATAAAGTGGGATTTTTTTGCTCCCATGAAGATGGTGCCTCGGCACATACTGGTCTCACTTAGAAAGGTCTGCACTTCACTCTCCTTGCAGGACATTGCTTGGCACTAGTTACTAAATTGTTACCAACAGTGGAAAATAAAGCTTTGTAAAATAATCGGAGATAGCTAGATAAGCAAACAAGTTAGTTTATTTAAACTGTATTGAAAAAAAATTAAGCAAAATCAATTCTTTTTGTAAGAAGTCCCAATGACATGTTACATATTAATCCAATGTTTTAAAATTGTGAATCTTAAATCATGGAACTTCATAATTCAGTGCAATTCAGCCCTTAAACATTTGGTACACGTTTTCTTCATGTATGTGTATGTGTGTGGACCATATGTTTAAGTTCAAACAGGCATCCTTATACTGGAAGCTTCATTTTAAGAAAACTTAACATAAAAATACTAACTTATAAAACATGATATTAGAGGCAATTAACCACATTCACAGGTCTGCTTTTAGTTTTGAAATGATTTGGTGAGTTTAAGGGGGATGCTCTTGGAGTATATTTAAATTGTTCTGTTAAAATGTTTCGATTGACATTTACCTTCTCTGTGAGCTGTATCTGGCAAATAGCAGTCTCAGTTATAGTTATGAGTTAGTAGCTGCCCTGTTTGTGTCAGCATAATTCATTTATTTTAGAAATTTTACCAACATTCTTATTGCTATGGTCTGAATGTTTGTGTCCCCCTAAAATTCATATGTTGAAACCTAATCTCCAAGGTGATGCCATTAAGAAGTGGGGCCTTTGGGAGGTGCCTAGGTCATGAGGACAGAGCCTCATGAATGGAATTAGTGCCTTTAGGGCCATTATAAATGAGGCCCAAGGGAGTTTGCTGGCCCCTTCTACCATGTGAGGACTCAGTAAGAAGGCACTGTCTGATATGGTTTGGCTCTGTGTCCTCACCCAAATCTCATCTTGAATTGTAATCCCCATGTGTCAAGGGAGGGAAGTGATCTGATCATGGGAACAGTTTCCCCCATGCTATTCTCATGATAGTGAGTGAGTTCTCACGATATCTGATGGTTTTATGTGTTTGGTATTTCCTCCGCTTGCACTTCTGTCTCCTGCCACCATGTGAAGAAGGGCCTTGCTTCCCTTTTGCCTTCTGCTGTAATTGTAAGTTTCCTGAGGCCTCCCCAGCCTTGTGAAACTGTGAGTCAATTAAACCTCTTTCCTATATAAATTACCCAGTCTTGGGCAGTATTTTTATAGTGGTGTGAGAACGGACTAATACACCGTCTACGAAGAAACAGGCCCTCACCAGACACCTGCCTGAGCCTTGACCTCGGACTTCTCAGCATCCAGAACTGTGAGAAATTAATTTCTGTTGTTTATAAACACCTCAGTTTACGGCATTTTATTCCAGCCACTGAATGGACTAAGACACTTATCCACTAGACTCCAGAAAAGTAATTTAATTTAGTTTGGCAAATCCACACACTATGACTGATTTTCAGTTTTATCTTCATTCTTTTTTTGGTACAGAAGCAGATGGATTTTTCCTCATAAGTTTCAGTTATGCTTTCAAATAGCTGTAGTGTGGAACCATACCTCCCAAAATACTGTGTCTTCTGGGCAAAATCTGCATGGAAGAGGGCCAGCCTTTGGATTCCCATTTCACCTAGAATAAAATCCATACTCCTTGACGGGACTTACAGCAGTGAGTCATCTACCACCTCCCACCCCCCTCCTCAAGCCACACCTCTGCCCTCTACTCTTCAGCCAAGCTCCAGGGGCTTGGGGTACACAGAGACACTGAGTACTTTCTCTCTTCAAACCTGTGAAAATGCTGGTTCCTTTGCCCCAAAACCTCCCTTCCATCTCTTTGCATACTTAGTTTTCTCTCAATTTTTATGTTTCCCTCACCATCCATCTAAAGTAAAGCTCTCCCCAACTACTCTCTATTATAGTCTGATATGGTTTAGCTCTGTCCCCACCCAAATCTTAAATTGTAGCTCCCATAATTCCCACATGTTGTGGGAAGGACCCGCTGGGAGATAACTGAATCACGGGAGCATTTTTCTCATACTGTTCTCGTGGTAGTGAATACGTCTCACGAAATCTGATGGTTTTATAAAGGGAAACCCCTTTCACTTGGTTCCCATTCTCTCTTGACTGCTGCAGCGTAAGACATGCCTTTAGCCTTCCTCCCTGATTGTGAGGCCTTCCCAGGCATGTGGAACTGTGAGTCTATTAAACCTTTTTCCTCTATAAATTATCCAGGCTTGGGTGTGTCTTTTAATTAGCAGCCTGAGAACAGTCTAATACATAGTCCCTGCTTAATTTTCTTCACATCCCAATCATAGGCTATAATTATTGAGATATTTATCACTCTTTCTTTTTTGTTTGTAGTCTGTCTCCTCCCACTACAATGTGAATTCCTTGAGGTCAAAGGCCTTTGTCCCATCTTGTTCAGCACTGTATCTCTGTCCTAGTGCAACATTTTATAGATTAGAACTAAAAAAATTATTTGCTGAATCAATGGATAAATGGAAAAGGCTCTTGCTAGTGATTCTGAAGACCTGGGTTCTAGGCTGATTCTACCATTGATCAGCTTTGTGTCCTTAGATAAATCTCAACCTCTCTGAACCCCAGTGCTTTCATCTGTAAACTAAAGGGGAGAACTAGAGGTGTTGAGTTTTGATGCTTGATTCTTCCTTCTTTGTTTCCTTACAATACCAGAACAACCAGTATTGAGGGCAACCTTAGAAGAAAGCATGCATGGGTCTTGAGGTAGAACAATAGGCTGAGGATGTATAATAACAGAATTTTAACCAGCTTCAGTGCATCCTCATCTCAGATGCATGAGTCCTGGCTTTCACCTACAATACGTAATAGCCACCTTCCTACTGTGTGAGAGCTGCTTCTCCACCACTACTGCCATCCTCTTCCATATCTTCCCCAATATTAGAATGACAAAACTATCACTTGAGGACGTGGGAGCAGCATGGAAAGAAACACAGATCTACAAAGACCCCTTGTTGGAATGTCCAGTATTTGTGAAGGTGTCATGATGGAGAAGAAGTTGATACAGACTGGCAGAGAGCAGTGGGGAGAACATTTCAAGATAAGGAGTGGAGTGCAATGAGTGGAATAGTGGTCATGCCATTCTGGAGGCACATCCAAGTTGCCCTGCTAAATACTGTGTTCACTACCCAATGTCAGCCTCGGTAATCTTTTCATAGCTTTCTTCACAGGACTGTGCTATGGAGGCAGGAGGGCTGTCCTTAATAACTTGTTATTTATTTCAAGAAAATCCTGGCCTTTTGACATGAAGCAGGACTGGGTGGGATCCATGTGACAACATGTTGGCAAAGAAGATATATAAATCATGAAACTAAGAAAAAATGAGCCACAGGAAAATCTGAGCACTAGTGCTTGGTGAAGGGTGGGAGACTGCGGCAGAAAGTTGCTGATGGAAAGGGAGCTTGGCCTGGTATTTGCAGTATAAAAGTTAAAGATAGACTGAGAAAAGACCTTGAAACTCATAGAACTAAGATGATTAGTTCATTGATTAAGAAATTAAAATTTGGCCGGGCGTGGTGGCTCATGCTTACAATCCCAGTACTTTGGGAGGCTGAGGCTGGAGGATCACGAGGTCAGGAGATCGAGACCATCCTGGCTAACACGGTGAAACCCCGTCTCTACTAAAAATACAAAAAATTAGCCGGGCGTGGTAGCGGGCGCCTGTAGTCCCAGGTACCCGGGAGGCTGAGGCAGGAGAGTGGCGAGAACCTGGGAGGCGGAGCTTGCAGTGAGCCGAGATTGTGCCACTGCACTCCAGCCTGGGCGACAGAGCGAGACTCCATCTCAAAGGAAAAAAAAAAAAGAATTTAAAATTCAAGACTTTGAGAGAGGAAGTAGAGCTAGAATGCAGACTACTCAAGTTTTGGACGTGAAAAGAAAGAAGGAAATAGCAAAAGGGAAAACTAGCCAAGGATAAAGAACTTTAAAAATTTGTTGTGGAGTGTTTCTTGGTTTCTTCTGAGGAGTGTGGGTGCATGGCTAAGAAGGTTAGGACAGTGGAGGCCTGGGCCTGTTTCTAAGCAGAAGGAAGCCTTCCAAAGGACAGAGGCAGCTGAAGAGACCAGCTGGAGAGCAGAAGGATTGTACAGCTTGCTTATGTACATAATAGATTTGTGATTGTTTATTTGCATCTATTGGTTTTATTACTGTATTAGGGGATATAATTGATACTTTAAAATATATGTGTATTTTATATAATGTATTATATGCAATATATTATATATATATGAAATATTGAGACCAGCCTGGCCAACATGGCAAAACCCCATCTCTACTAAAAATACAAAAAATTAGCTGGGCGTGGTGGTGGGCGCCTGTAATCCCAGCTACTTGGGAGGCTGAGGCAGGAGAATCACTTGAACCTGGGAGAAGGAGGTTGCAGTGAGCTGAGATCAGGCCACTGCACTCCAGTCTGGGCGACAAGAGCGAGACACTGTCTCAAAAAAAAAACAAAGTGTACAGAGTTAAGTGTACAACTGGATAAGTTTTTCAGTTTTGTTTTTGTTTTTGAGACGAGACTCGCTCTGTTGCCTCCAGGCTGGAATGCAGTGGTGTGACCTCAGCTCACTACAACCTCCACCTCCTGAGTCCAAGTGATTCTCATGCCTCAGCCTCCCAAGTAGCTGGGACTACAGGAGTGTGCCACCACACCCAGCTAATTTTTGTATTTTTAGTAGAAATGGGGTTTTACCATGTTGGCCAGGCTGGTCTTGAACTCCTGGCCTCAAGTGATCCGTCTGCTTTGGCTTCCCAAAGTGCTAGGATTACAGGAGTGAGCCACCACACCCAGCCTCAATTGGATAAGTTTTAACACACATATACACCTATGAGACTATCATCATAATCATGATACTGAACTTATTCACATCCTCATGCCCTTTGGAAATCCCTTTCTTCTGCCTGGCCCCATACCACTCATCTGCTTTTTGTCACAATGAGTTAGTTTGCATTTTCTAGAAGTTTATATAATTAGAAGCATACAGCAGGTATTTTGTTTGTTTGGTGTCTTTCACACAGCACAATTATTTCAAAATTCATCTGTGCTTTTTTATGTATTCATTCCTTTTTTTATTGCAAAGTAGTTGAATTCTTTTCCTGTGGCCACTCTAACAAATTACCACAAACTAGGTGGCTTAGACAGCAGAAATTATTCTTGCACATGTCTAGAGGCTAGAAGTCCAGAATCCAGAGGTCAGCAAAGCTGGTTCTTTCTGGAAGCTCTAAGGGAGAATCTGTTCCCAGCCTCTCTCTTGGTTTCTGGTGGCTGCCAGCAATCTTTGGTGTTTCTTGGCTTGTAGCTGCATCGTTAGATTCTGCGTCATAGAAATGGACAGTGGAAAAGGAAATACAGAGAGACTCATGGATTAAGGTGAAGAGGATGAGGGAATAAGAAAGACAAAATGGAATAAATTGGAAGGGGTTAAAAGGAAGTGAGGAGAACTTTGCACCTCTGCCTTTCAGTCAGCATTTTTTAGTTGTTCTTTTGGCAATTTACTCCAACTTGGATTTAAAATTTATGAGAAAAAAAGTCTCTGTTCCAGCAAAGGGATTGCCCAACCTACTGTGTCAGTCTAACGCTGACTCCATGACTGAGCACCAGATGGCGCACTGCCCAGAGCCAAGGGACCTCCCTGGTGGCTGTAAAGAGTTCAGTGCACAGACTCAGCCACTCTTAGGTGACTTTCCACAATTGCAAATGAAACTGAGCTCAGCCTACTCAACCTTCCCTTCCTCTTTTAGATCACTGAGAAAGTCTACTGTCCCAACCATATGCCCTTTTTCGGAGCAAAATTTCTCAAAACGGCTGCCGGTAGCTGCTGTCTCCTCTACCTCACGTCCCATTTTCTCCTCAACCCACTCCAGTCAGGCTTGTGTCCCCATCTTCTCTCCTCGGGTCAGCAGTAGCCTCCGTGGTACCAAATTCAATGTCCACTCTTCCATCCTCTTGCCGGACTGTTGGCCTCATGATGCCACACTTTCTTGGACTTCCTTCTACTTCACTGACCCCTCCTCTTCAGACGCCTTCGCTGGCTCCACCCAGCCTTCTCTTCTCCAACTGCTATCTCCCCCGAGGCGATGTCCTCAGCCCTTCTCTATCATCAGAGGTGTAACTTCCAATACTAGGTCATAAAAGACATTGTAGTTTCCCTCTTGCTTACATACTCCAGGGGAAGTTAGCTGCCATGTCCTGAGGACACTCAAGCAGTCCTACACAGAAGCAGGCATGCCAAAGAAGTGAGATGTATTGCCAACTTTCAGAGAGGAACTGAGGCCTCTGCCAACAGCCATGTGAGTGAGCCATCATGGAAACAGATCCCAGTCAAGCCCTCAGCTGACACAGCCTGTTAGTGACTTGATTGCAGCGTCCTGAGAAATGCTGATTCAGAACCACCCGGCTAAGCTGCTCCCAGATTCCTGACCTTCAGAAATTGTGTGAGATAATAAATATTTATTGCTTTAAGTCCCTAAACTTCGGGGTGAGTTGGTATATAACAATTGATAACTAATACACCCATGCTGGCCTCATCTTTCAATACTTCCTCGCCTTGCTCCCACAACACTAGTGTACCTAAAACACACCCAACTTGTTCCTGACCAACACCCTGTCTCATTGTTCCCTCTGACTAAGACCCTCGCTCACTGGATCTTCTGGTTCCTGTCATTCAGGACTTAGTCTTTCCTGGCATTCTCTGTGCCTAAAACAATTCAGGGAACAAAGTAGGTGCTCTATAAACTTTTATTGAATAGAACTATGAATAAAATACTTTAAACAGTATTTATTGGAACCATAATCCTTGAGAAGATTTTGTCAATTTCTGAGGTTAAAGTCTAATTTTTCTGCTAGGTATACTTAGCTGCCCTGTTGACTTAGAATGTTGCAACTGTATTCAAAGTTTCAAAGGACAAATATATTGAAACAGCTGCTGTGTGCAGAGGGAAGGTGAGTAAAGATTGGAGAAAGGTAGGAGGCAAGGCAGAGCAAAGTCAACACAGATTAAATTTGTGCTGACTCACAGCTGCCTCATCTAAGCAGCTCTAATTGGCAGAATGTTGCTAAAACATATTTGTTCTTCAAGAATATCCCAGAAAACTGGCAAGTCAGTATACCTAATGGCTCAAATATTGACCCAATTCCCCCAGTGCAGAGAAATTAATATCCACTTCAGTTATACACACACACACACACATATATATATAAACTCACTATTAAAATGGCGGATGGTGTAAGTATTAAATACCAAATGTTAATTACTTCTTAACAAAAATCTTCATACTTTTATGTCACAGACTACCCAGGAGTGATAGTCAGAATGTTTAACATCTGGTATGGTAAATATAATATATAAATCTGTATATATACCCAAAATTAAAAATAAATTTCCCTTTATTTTCTAGCTATGCTAAACTATATATAGCATAAAATGGATAACACTTTATAGCAAATCAGTAATAAATTATTGTCATAATGTCCAGTCATTTATAAACTGACCGTGTCTTCAGGGCTACTTAGGTTGACAGTGGATCTCTCTCTATGAAAGCCATCAGCTCCTGTTGGTGCAGACTTTTCCTGCAGCTGTGACTCTCAGTGTTTTCCTAGATCCCTGAACTGCTTTCTGCTCTTGTCTCAATGAAGGCCAGGGAAAGGAGAGCCCCAGAGTGCTTCATCATCCGTTGTAGTAGTTTAACCCTTCCCCAGTTTGTAAATAGGTGATATGGTTTGGCTGTGTCCCCACCGAATTCTCAGCTTGACTTGTAGTTCTCATAATCCGCATGTGTCATGGGAGGGACCATGTGGAGATAATTGGATCATGGGGGCAGTTTCCCCCATTCTGTTATGATAGTGAGTTAGTTCTCACAAGACCTGATGGTTTTATAAGGGGCTTCCCCATTCTCTGGGCATTCATTCTCTCCCTTGCTGCCCGTAAAGAGGTGCCTTCTACCGTGATTGTAAGTTTCCTGAGGCCTGTCCAGCCATGTGAAACTGTGAGTCAATTAAACCTCTTTCCTTTATAAATTACCTAGTCTTGGGTATTTCTTCGTAGCAGCATGAGGTCAGACTAATACAATAGGTATTTCATTAAACTTTCTTCAGCCACTCTTTTTGTTTGTTTGGTTGGTTTTTTTTGAGATGGAGTCTCGCTCTGTCACCCACGCTGGAGTGCAGTGGCACAATCTTGGTTCATTGCAACCTCCACCTCCTGGCTCAAGCGATTCTCTTGCCTCCGCCTCCAGAATAGCTGAGACTAGAGGTGTGCGGCACCATGCCGGGTAATTTTTGTATTTTTAGTAGAGACAGGGTTTTGCCTCGTTGGTCAGGCTGATCTCAAACTCCTAACCTCAACTTATTCACTCGCCTCAGCCTCCCAAAGTGCTGGGATTACAGGCATGAGCGACTGCACCTGGCCTCTTCAGCCACTCTTTTTGAGTGGTCATTTTGCCACCTGCAGGAACTTCTTTAATACAAATTTACATATTGACTCGTAATTCTTTATATGCAAATCTTTTTCCTTGGGGTTAATTATGCACCCCTCAAAGGCTAGGATTATTATACCTTATTCATCTTGTATTCCCAGCAGCAACCATTGTGAGGTAAATCTTACAAGGTTCACTTCAGGATGATAATAATAATAATAAATTATAAAATATCTCTTGTAAACTGGGGAAGGCTGGGTATGATCAGGTTGAAAACTCTATTGCAGAGTGAGAGTATAAGAGTCTACCGTTGGGATATTTATCTGCTGAAGAGGGAGCAGGTAAATGTGCAAAGGGAACTGGGAAACTCTTAGGAAGATATCTTGGAATATCTTGGTTGGTCTGAATTGACCTAACCCTCAGTAGACGTAGAAGACATGAGCCATGAGTCCCATGTCTCTGTCTGTCCTAACACACCTAATTGTGGCAAAGCTCACATTATGAAAATGTGCAATCGGGACCAGTGCCCTGGGTCTAACCCCCTAGATCTTAGATTTTCTGGGGAAGCATAAGTTATGGGCTTAGTACATGGCTGAAGCTAGAAATTGCTCCATCCTCATCTCTCCTGGACAGTGGCATGCCAGAGAAAAATGACTCTATATATCCACCTACATTTTGAGATCCCAGGCCTGAGGGATAGCAGGGAGGGAGACTTCCTCTTTCTTCTTGTGAAGGGACAGAGAATGAAGATTCTGGGACTCATGTGGACAAATTGTGGCCAGTGTTTCAACCAAACCGCCTCAGATCATGAAGTCTATGGGACAACAGGAACTCCATGTGGCAGATAGCAGCAGAGACTGATAGAATTTTCTACTGGTGTCAGGGCTACTTGACTCCTTGAATGGAATAAGCCCCTAGGTTGTTGGATTTAATGTGGGTATTAATTAATTAGGAGGCCAGTAGGCTGAGATGTCCCCAGTGCCTTGAGTCTTATGTAAGCAAGCTAAAGCTCAACTCAGCATGAAGGTCATATCCTAGGAAAACAAGAAACTTAAACTTAACCTATCAGAAACTGCCAACTAACTTCTAACTAGTGACTTTTCACCTTAACCAAGCAAATATTTTCTTTGTTTTGCTTCCATAAACACGTTATCAAAGTTCTCCCCTCACACCCCCTCCATGAAGTCCAAATTGCTTGTGGTTTGGCACTGCCCGATTCATGAATGTCTGTCTGCTCAAAATAAACTCTTTAAAATTTTAATGTGCCTACGTTTATCTTTTAACATAGGAAAGAGACTCCCAGAGGGAAAGAATGTTCTTGCTATTCTGAGATGGATGCTTAAGTGACTGAAAATGAATATTTAAAAGCTGTGATTTTATTTTATTGATGCCAGTTTGGCAAAGCAAGTTGTATACTTCCACAGCTCCCTCTTTTCTCAGGACAAAATTCAAACTTCTTGTCATGGCCTTCAAAGTCCTTAGGCCTGCGGGCCTTGTTCCCGGATCCTACCTCATCATCACTCCTGCTACCTCGTGCTTTAATGCTTCACTCAGACTGTCTTCTCTTTCTTTGAATACACCTTGCTCAGTCTCTCTCTTTTACACCATTAACCGTGCTGAGCCTCCATCAGGATTCCACCCCTGCTGCCCAACTATAGCTCTACCTCATAACTGCAACTCGTCTTGCCTGCAAATCTCAAGTCAGATATGACTGCCCTCCCTGAGAATCCACCTCTGACCCATGGAGTCCAGCTGAGGTGGCCTGACCAGGTGCACCCCCAGCATTATCTCATCCCTTAGCATGGAGTTGTGAGTTAAATTTTGTTCCCCAAGAAGAGTATGTTGAGTATGTTCAAGTCCTAACCCCAGATACAAATAAGGTCTCTGGAGGTGTAATCTAGTTAAGATGAAGTCACACTGGATAAGGGTGGCTCCCAATCCAATTCCTGATGTCCTTATAAGGAGATCATTTCTTATTACTACTTATTTTTTCATCCCACCAAACTGAAGGCTGGACTACCCCAAAAGTGGCAGAGGTGAATTCCCACAATTTCATTCTGAGGTGGGCCAGTTGGGATTCCAAAGAAAGAAGCACTAAATGCTAAGTTGATCAGTCCACTGCATTTACTAGGGGAACTTACAGTACTGCAGCAGTCCTCATGACAGATGAAAGAAAAGGCATGTTCTACCTAGAAAAGTCCGCAGTGAGGGGGTCAGGGTATGGAATCCATGTGAAACTTTAAGGAGTTTGGCTCAGAACCAGGACCAGTTTCTTTTTGTATTTGGAGCAACAACCTAGATATCTTTATCAGTGTCTGCAAATGTTCAAGGCCCTGGTTTAGCTTTAAGCCTGCTGGGAAAAACCTGCAGCTGGTTGGGTCATGGAGTGGCCAAGGCACTCTGATTTGCAGTCAGGACACAGAAAGAAAGCAAGGGAACTGGAGGACCCTACAGTCTACCTCTCTGACTGGCTCTTACAATTTCACAGGGCCACCTTTTTTGTGATGTTTCCTAAGCAGGCAGAAAAGGGTGGGATCTCCTATAAGGTCCTTTGCCCCTAAGTTTATGAAACACTGCCAACAAAACCTACACCAACAGTAAATACAGATGCACATGACAAGACCTAAAATCACCAATTCCCAAAAGCCTTACTAAGAGAGCTTTCCACCAAGGACTGCATCCCCCAGACCATGATATAGACCACTAGGAGTCAACCACCCTGTGGCCAATTAGCTGTAATTGCTTTTGTAAATGAGAGAGGAATTTATTAACTTCAGCTTCTTTAGGATGCATACGCAACATTCAGTTTTTAAAAGGGCACAGGTTCTGTGGTCAGTAAAGAACGTCATGTTCTAACAGGTCTGGAAGCTCTGAGTTTATCTTGGGACTTCAAGTGGAGAGGATCACCCAACTCACAGGTATTTGAGGACACAAACCCATGACTGGGTTCGGCTTTAAAAGTCTTATCTCTTGGGAGGCCAAGGTGGGCGGATCATGAGGTCAGGAGATCGAGACCATCCTGGCTAACACGGTGAAACCCTGTCTCTACTAAAAATACAAAAAATTAGCCAGGCTTAGTGGTGGGCACCTGTAGTCCCAGCTACTTGGGTGGCTGAGGCAGGAGAATGGCGTGAACCCGGGAGGTGGAGGTTACAGTGAGTGGAGATCGTGCCACTGCACTCCAGCCTGGGTGACAGAGCAAGACTCCGTCTTAAAAAAAAAAAAAAAAAAAAAAAAAAGTCTTATCTGAAATTCCTTGTGGAACAGAATTTCATCAAAGCCAATCCAAAAGGCCTATGTAGAAATAACCATTCTTGCTGCACTTTATGCAAATCATTATGCCAAGTAGGAGACTAAAAGTTTATTCTACGAACAACACATACGGTCCTATCATAATTTGTTTTTACCAAAAATGAGGACTGGAGAGAAAAATTGTACTCCAAAGCTTATCATACATTTGTCATTAAATCCTAGTCTCATTAATTTTTTTAAGCCTTTTTCCTGCATTTTAGACTAACCCTGCTTATTCCTGTCAATCAAGTGGTGATTTCCTGCAGCTTGGAAGAAAGAAAAAGGGATGGGTAATGTAAAAAATCTGGATTAATATGCTAGTTCTGGGCAATTATCCTGCAAATTCTGCCAGGAAATGAAAGAGGAGGGTGCCCATAACCCAGAGGCTTCTTTGGGAAAATAAAACCAAGGAACTTCATAGACCCCCAAAGGGAAATTCTATATCTTGGATTAACACCTCTAGTAAAGTAGAGGACGATCTACAGGCACTTAAAGATCAAATCAAAATCATTGACAGGCTCAGGGAAAATGCAGGCTTCAGCCCTAGGTGGCTACAATCCCTCTTTAATGAATTCCAGTCTTCTTTACGGAATTGGTTAACCCCTTTATTAAGCCCTCTCTTGCTTATATGTCTCGTATTGATATTTGGACCCTGTATACTCAATACTGTAACTCGAATTTTTTCTTCTTGCCTGGGGGCAATCAAACTCCAAATGGTGCTGCAAACTGAACCACACATGAACATGGCATTCTTCTGAGGACTCTTAGATAGACCCCAGGAGGAGCCCTAGCTGCTGTTCCTTACTCGACACCCCTTTTCAGCAGGAAGTAGCCAGAAAGAGTCATCGCCCAAAACCCCCTAACAGCAGTTAGTGTGACATCTCCACAGAGGGGCATGTTGTAGGAGTTATTAAGAAATTATTTTAGGCAGATAGAAAGGAAAAGGGGTCCTTGAGAAGTGTTTATTTTTAAAGCTGCTCTGGAAATGTTTCTGGTAAAGCCCCGGCAGAGCCAGGCAGGCAACCTTTGATATGCAAATGCAGGCCATTAGAAACTAGGTCCGCTCAAACATGGCAATTCCTGCCTTCTTCTTGCCCTTGCCCCGCCATGTGCCTAGCAGCAAGGTCGCCCCCACATATCCCCATGTGTGTAGAACATTGTGGTGGTGCCCTGTATTTGCATATGAAAAGGCTAGGGTGGGAGGGCCAGCTTTTTCCGCAGGCTACGTGAATGACATGCCTGGTCAAAGCAATCCCCTGAGCCCTGTGCAAATCAGACACCACCTCCTCCAGCCTACTCATAAAACTGGCTGGTATCCATAGCACTTGGGGCCTCCTCTTTCAGCTTTGGAGACCGCCTCCCTCTGTCTCTGTACAGGGGAGCCTCTTCCTTCTGCCTTCTCTTTTCTTTCTTGCCTGTTAAACTCTCTGCTCCTTAAAACCAAAAAAAAAAAAAAAAAAAAAAAAAAAGGCACAGATGCCTCCTTGCACAGCTGTTAACATGTCTAGAGCTACTCCCCTCTGTAGACCACTTTCCTCATTGCAGCTGTCTCAATGTTCAAGGCCTCCTAACCACTCTCAGTGTCATTCAAAGCTATGGAGACAAATCTTTGAAGGGTTTCCATCTTCTGCATGATATCAGTAGAGCCTCTTGGAGGCACAAGAGGTACAGTCAATAAGTAATACCATAAAGAAAAAATAGACCTATTCCATTGAACCTTCCAGATGGGCTGACTGAGGGGGACGGGGATGGTGTGAATCTGGAGTGCAGCTATGGGAAGCCAAGGGTACACCATCCAAGCCATCCCCGGGGGAAGCCAGGACCAAAAGTGAGTAGCACAGAGCCACTGGGAGCCATTTGGGGCAATTCAATATATTCCCGGCCTACAAGACCAGTCTGTAACAGACCAATCAGTGTCTCTAAGTGTGAAGATCTGTTGGCATTGAGCAGTTGGGAGGAACACTAGGTACCTGGTGTCATTTACCTGTGTGTTCTTAGAGGAACTATGTTATTCCCAATAGAGCTCTGCCACCCAGGAGAGCATCCCCGTTGTAGGGGTGAGCCATACAAAGCCATTCCACACTTGTCAGCATGATCCCTATTGCTGGAGTGTGTGTTTTTCAGGGCAGTTCTGACTTTGGTGCTTGCCTCCCTGCAGGACACGTTTAGAGAAAACCTTACATTATGTCCAGGATTGCTCAGTGTCACATCCCATGTTTGAGTGTGTGATGTCAGAGGTATCTAGGATACCCCTTTCCCTACATTGTTCAGTTATCCACATTTGCAGAGATCCAGTTTTCACTCAGTAGCAGTTCAGTCCACCATGGAGTTTCTCCTTGGCTGCTTAGGGATATAAGACCACATACCCAGCAGTTAGATTGGGCTTGCATACAGGTTGGGTGATGGGCCTAGCCCAGGAAAATGTCCTCTGAGGATATCCAAGCTCTAGTGGGAATGATATAACAGAAAAGGAGAAGGCTGCTCAAGCTAACAGCAAAAAGATAAGGCTGCTGAGATTATTGCAGAGGGAAGGTCTGGTACTAGTTTTGTTATACAGGTGGGGCAGGAGGCTGTGGGAATCTCTCCTGGAGGCTGTACTAGACCTCTGTCCCAGTGTGGGAGGAGCTACTGACTCCACAGTGACAGGGCTGGGTGAGATCCACTGGACTAGTGCCCACCAGTATGGGGCACTGCCTGCCCACTGCCAGTGCATCTACCAGGGCCTGTATCAAAAAGGAAAGTGGGGGTCAGGTTTAGGGAAGGGGTGCTCCCTACCTCAAGGAAAGAAGGACACCAGTCTAGCCTGGTGGCACTTTCTACACTTGATCTTAGCCAAAAGGCCAAGAAGCGATGGCACTTTCTATCCCAGGTCTCATCTCAAAGTTCCCTGATCAGGTGTTATGGGACAAGAGGAGCACAAAATCAGGGCATTCTGTGTGGAACTGAGTTCTGTTCTGAAGACAGTGTCTGATTTTCTCCATACCTGCACGGCTAGCACCAGGTTCTTTACATCTTCCTGATGTTCATAAGTAGACATTTTTCCCACAATGGGGGCCACACTCAAGGCACGAACAGCTTCCATGAAAACTACAACCCAGCTTCTCAGTGAGGAGAGTCCTATCAAGAGCTTAAAATTTTTCCTTTAGGAGGCCATTTTTTTCTCTCTATAAATCCCACTCCCTGCTGGTGGTAGGGCAGATGAAATTGCCTCTTTTTCAGTTCCATCTTGGATTAGGGAGCCTGTGCAGTGTGTTATTTGATCACTGGTGATAGTTCTTGGGGTACCATACATGATTTGCAAGCATTGCAAACACTGTATAGTCCATGTCTGATTTACTTTTCCACAGGGGAATGCTTGCAAGAGGCCACTCACAGTGTCTACGCTTGTGAGTGCATATCGATATCCCTTACTTTTAGGGAATGAGCCAATATAATCTATTTGCCATGTGTCCATGGCTTTCTCCCCTCTTGTTATGTTTCTGGTGGCCCCTGGCACTTGCCAAAGTTGGGCTTGGCAACAGACAGGGCAATTTTGTCTTATCTTTTCTATTTCTTGTGTGGACACTGGCAAACCAGCTTGTTGGGCCAGTTTTCAAGTAGTATGCAGCCTGCTATGACCTCCCCTCCAATGTATCCAATGTGCTACATCTGCATCTTCAGAGGTGACCACTGACCTGGCTTGGGCGAGAGTATCTGCATCTATATTTCCACTGGGGGATGATTGTTGGTGAGATGCTATGTGGGACACTGTGACTTCAGCCCCTGGTTGGTATAATTGATCCCAAATGCTTGCCCATAGTTCTGCCTCCCACAACAGCTTTCCATGTATAGACCATTGATCCTTTTCCCATTGGTTATCCACAGTGTCAACCCCTTTGTGACTGCCTGGGAATCAACATACAGGGCTACTGGGTATGGCTATTTCTTTATAGCAATGCCATTCTTGCATTGCTATAAAGAAATACCTGAGACTGGGTAACTTATACAGAAAAGAGGTTTAATTTGCCCATGTTTCTGCAGACTGTACAGGAGGAGTAGCACCAACATCTGCTTCTGGGGAGGCCTCAGGAAGCTTTTACTCATGGCAGAGGGTAAAGGGGGAGCTTACCTGTCACATGGCGAAAGTAGGAGCAAGAGGCAGAGTTTGGTTATAGGGGATGGAGGTGTTATATACTTTTAAACAACCAGTTCTCATGTGAACTCAGAGTGAGAGCTCACTTATCACCAGGGGGATGGCCCAAGCCATTTGTGATTATGTCAAACTTGATTGGATTGAAGGATGCCTGGATAGCTGGGAAAGTATTATTTCTGGGTGTGTCTGTGAGGGTGTTGCCAGAGGAGATTCACATTTGAGTCAGTAGGACTGGCAGAGGAAGACCCACCTTCAATGTTGGGGGGGCACCATCACTTTGGCTGCCAGCATGGCTAGAACGAAGCCCGTAGAAGAAAGTGGGATAACCTTGCTTGCTAAGTCCTCTGGCTGCCTTCTTTCTCCCGTGCTGGATTCTTCCTCCCGCTCCTCTTGCCCTTGTCATTAGACTCCAGGTTCTTTGGCCTTTGGACTCTGGGGCTTGCACCAGCGGCTTGCTGGGAGCTCTCGGGCTTTTGGCCACAGACTGAAGGCTGCACTGTTGGCTTCCCTGGTGTGAGGCTTTCAGACTCAGACTGAGCCACTACTGGTTCTCTCTTCTCCAGCTTGCAGATGGTGTATTGTGGGACTTAGCCTTGTAATTATGTGAGCCAACTCTCTCTAATAGACTCATATATAGGAGATATATATCTGTCTCTCTACCTTACCAGTTCTGTCCCTCTAGTGAACCCCAACTAATACACCATTCATGAGGGATCTGCCCGCAAGATCCAGATACCTCCCACCAGGCTCTACTTCCAACATTGGGGATGACAGTTCAACATGAGTTTGGGCAGGGACAAATATCCAAACTATATCAGGCTTTTCCATAACCACTAACCGGGTATCTTGTAACTCTGCCCACCCAATTCCAGGTTCCACCCGCATCGTATCAGTGGCTAGTTGAATTGCCACTGTGGTCCACCTGGGTGGCTGACCCACACTGGAGCCATCTCTGTACCTAGCATCCTTGGGTGCTTTCCTATCTCTGTCCTTTATTTGATGGGGTTTCTCTGGGGGCAGTGTTGGGATTGATTTTAAATCTATCAGTATGTTGTGCAGGTCCCAGCAGGGCCTGTAGTTCTATAGACAGAGGGCTGGAGGGAAGGTGTCTTCTCTGCTCGAGATATGCATACCATCTAAACAGAATCCTGTTTTTCTATGGCTGATGTAGGTCTGGCAAATAGGCCATCAATCCAACCCCTAATAGGATAGTCTGTTTTTACTTCCACTGGCATATCTCCAGGTAGCGGCTCTGTTTGCAAGAGGACTTGGTAAACTGCAAGGAGTTTTCATTTTTTCCAACAGGGTATAGTATTGCTGGGCTCCTCTGAACAATCCTGACCAAAAGCCAATGGGCATTTGTTGGTTACCCTCTCTCTGCCAGAGGGTCCAACCCATTGTTTTCCTCAGTCACAGAAACATTGAATTCAAATGGTCTCTCAGGGATGACCATTTACAGGGTTTGTGCTTGCATCACTAAGGCCTTTGTCTGAGTAAATGAGGCTTCTTTAGTGCCCCAGACCCCATGGGCTCCCTTCTTTATCAGGAGCTATAATGGTCTGAGACATTGGGCCAAGTGGGGAACACAGGTCTGCCAATATTCCAACAGGCCTTCAAAGGGCTGTAATTCCATAATGGTGTGAGGCCATGGGTATACCTGTATCTTGTCAATCACGGCTGTTGGTCTTACCTGACCAGATCACATCCAGGAATTTTACAGTGCCCCCTGGCCCCTGGACTTTCTTTGGGTTGCTAGTCCATCCTCTTGATTGCAGGTACTCTAGAGTCTTTTGGGTACCTTCTGCAAAGGACTCAAATCTGTAGAAGTTAGCAAAATATCTCCACATAATGATTTCAGAGACTGCCAGACATACCACTCAAAATGGCCAGGTCTCTGGGTACCAAGCCATGGCAGATAGTGGGACTATACAAGTACCCCTGGGGGAGCACCTGAAAGGTCCTCCCCGGTGAAGAAAATCATGTTCTGGGACTTTGGGTATAAGGGTGCTAAAGAAAGCTTTTGCTAAATCCGAGACAGTATGCCGTATACCTAAACAAGTAGCCAGCCTTTCCAGTATTTGAGCCACATTTGGAACAGTGTCATGTCTGGCCAAAGTCAGCTTATTTAGTTCCCAGCAATCAGCCATCATCCTCCAGGTCCCATCAGGCTTTCCTGCCCACCATACAGGGCTGTTGTATGAGCTCTGTGTAGAATGCACAATCCCCATTCTCTCCAGTCCTTGAAGAGTAGGACTCTTGGACTTATATCAGTGGTCGCTGGCAAACCACTGAAGGCTGCACTGTCTGCTTCCCTACTTTTGAGGTTTTGGGACTCGGACTGAGCAACTACTGGCTTCCTAGCTCTTCAGCTTGCAGACAGCCTATAGTGGGACTTCACCTTATGATCATGTGAGTCCGTTCTCTTTAATAAATTCCCTTTCATGTGTACATCTATCCTATTAGTTCCTTCCCTCTGGAGAACTCTAATACACCAGGCCACTACTGTAGCCACTATCCACCCCTGGCCACTAGTGAGTGGGTCTTCTGGTGCCTCCTCTTTTCCCATTTTTTCTTTTATTTTCTTCTCTGACTCTCCACCACCTGCAGGTGGGACTCAGAGCTGCCACCACACCCAAAGCTCCCGTGGTAGCAAAATTGAGACTGCGGACTCCTCAGGCACCTCTCTGCAGAGTGCCCTTTCTCCATTTTTTCCCATTGGGTGTGTATGTAACTAACAGAGTGGTGGTGCTGTGCATGCCTCTTTCCAGCTGTAATTCCTCCTCTACCTTGGGCTCCTTGCTTGGCTGCCAGCTGAGCCTCTGTTGCCAGCCAGACTGCCCTATCCCCACCACTATGCCTGGATTTTTTTTTTTTTTTTTTTTTTTTTGGAGACGGAGTCTCGCTTTTTCACCCAGGCCAGAGTGCAGTGGCACAATCTCGGCTCATGGCAACCTCTACCTCCCAGGTTTAAGCGATTCCCCTGCCTCAGGCTCCTGAGCAGCTGGGATCACAGGCATTCACCATCACGCCTGGGTAATGTTTGTATTTTTGGTGCTAATGTTTGTATTTTTGCTAGGGACGAGGTTTTACCATGTTGGCCAGGCTGATCTCGAACTCCTGACCTCAAGTGATCTGCCTGCTTCAGCCTCCCAAAGTGCTGGAATTACAGGTGTGAGCCACCAGGCCCAGCCTATCACCGGACTTCTTTACCCCATATTTGCAATTTTAAACCTTCCATCAGCCTAGGAGGTGTGGGGTAAGCATTTAGCAAGCGGACCACAAAGCTCCACATAGAGCTCTGTGGCCATCCTGGGATTTCCCTAGTCAGTTCGTCTTCCTCAGCCCATTTCTTTTGAATCCTCCTGACGATGCCAATTTTTTCATTCCAATGAACGCTTGGCTTGGAAATTCCCACAAGGGAGTGCCCCAAATCTTCTCAAGATGGCACTGGTTGGGATTCTAAAGAACCAGCACTAAACACCAGAGTGATCAGTCCAAAGCATTTATGAGGGAAACATACAGTGGGCTGCAGTAATGCTCACGACAGACAGTGAGAGAAAAGGGCTATTCTACCTAGGTATGTGTGCAGCAAGGAGCTCAGGATATGAGGTTCAACATGAGGGTTTAAGGAGTCTGGCTCATGGCCAGGGCCAGTTTCTTTCAATGTTTTGGGCAACAACCAAGACACCTTTATCAGTGCCTGGAAATGTTCAAGGCCTCCGTTTGGGTTCAAGCCTGCTGGGAAAAACCTAAAGCTTGGCTGTTTCAGAGTGGTCAAGACACTATGATTTTCAGTCAGGACCCAGAAAGAAAACAGGAAAACTGGAGGACAAAATGCTGTTATTATTTATAATCCTATTACTAGTGTCCTTAGAGGAAAATTTGGATGGAGACACACACAGGGAGAATGGCCTGTGATGATGGAGGCAGAGATTAGAGTGATGCATGAAGCAAACCAAAGAATGGCAACGATGGCCAAGAACCATCAGAGGCAAGAAAAACAAAGGAGAATTCCCTAAGGCCTTCAGAGAGAACACCGCCCTGCTCACATCTCAATTTTGGATTCATAGCCTCCAGAACTGTGAAAGAATAAATTTCTATTGTTTTAAGTCACTAAGTTTGCGGTAATTTTTTGTAGCAGTCCTAGGAATGGGATACTTATGGTATACATGATTTTTTATTGGAGTTACCTATTTTTGTGTCTCTCTCACTAAAGTAACCCCATTATGGCTTGTTAATCATTATTTATCCAGCTCCTGGAACAGTGAGTATTTTATATTAGATAAAAATAGATATTGTTTCCTTAATTAAACAGGAAAAATATTGGGTGCCCGAAGGAAAATGGTTCTTAAAAAAAAGCTTTTCAAAACACAAAAGGAAAAGCCTATTTTTGTATAACCCAAATAGTCGTATGAAAATTTCTACATAATTCTTTGACAAGCTATGTAACAGTTGTTGTATGATGACTCTTTTTTTTTTAACAGGTCAGAGTCCAAGTAACTTTCTCACCTGTTATTTAAATCCAAAGTGACATTCTAGGCATGATTTTACATTTGGTCAATGCCAAGTAAGACTGCATTGCAACCACATCTGCATAGTTGAGCTTTAACTAAATTAGCATATACTTTGGAAAACTTTATTGGTCTCACAACAATCAGAATCAACACTTAGGTAAATCACTTCATTGTTGCAGAACTTTAGAAAATTGGTCTTGCATGTGCTTGGCCTCGATGGCTTCTTTTTCAAACCTTGAAAGTCTTCCTTGCTTCTTCTAAAGCTTTCACATCTACGGGAGGCCTCCTCTGGCTGCCAGGCTGCAGAAACTTCTTCACTGTGGGGAGGTTGCTGATTCTGGTTTTCAGGGCCTGCAATGCATGATAATGTAGCCTCAGAGTGAAGCCAAGGGCAGACACCATCATAAACACAACCCAGGAAATCTGAGTCCCTCCTACACAAAGACCAGCTGAGTCCCCTCCATCAACACCAGTGTAGAGGCAGGGAAACAGACACCCAGCCGGAAGCAAAGATAAGAGGAAGAACATGTAGCTCGCTAGCATTTTCCCCAAAGATGTCTTTAAGACTATTCAATTCAGTCTCCCTACACACTTCCTTACACATTAATCCTGTAAATTCATGGCTTTTGTATAAGACAAGAAAAAAGAATGTGCCTGTGAGATATGAGCACAGATCAGTCTCTAGGCAGAAGTGAAACTACAGGAAAATTGAGTCAGAAATGAAGATAGGAAATGTTAAAGGCAAATTATGGGGCTACTTTTTCCCACTGAGGGATACAAGGTTGGGGGCTGTGTGTTGTGAGAGCTGTGCAGGGAGAAACGCAATGTCTGACAGCAGGAGCTGGAGCCCAGGGAGAAAACCAGATGGAAAGAGCCCTGCTCAGACATACTTGGTGTGGGAAGACAAGGGCACATCTGGGATAAAGGGCATCACAGAGAACTCAGGAACAGAAACCACAGGGGAATAGAGGGATGGGGAGAGATGCTGGGCCCTGGGTCCTTTCCATGATAAAAGGCAAAATGCTCTTCCTGAGGTAGCAGAGATCCTGAACTTTGTTTATGGTCCCTGATTCAATGACAGAGTGAGAACGAGGGCTCTGCTCATTCCTTACTTGGACCCCAGGCTCCCATTTTCTCTTCTTATTTCACATCACTGTGGCATCCACACCACCCACCCAGCTTACATTTTCCACAAGGGCCAGGGGTCCGGCACCTGCTGCTGCATGTTCGGTTTGCCCCAGGCTCAACAGCATGCAGCCCTGACGTTCAGGACGTGGCTCTACGCTCTGCACTGTCCCTCTCCAATCTCTCTTGGGCAGTGACTCCACCTTCATGACAGCACTCCTCCCCCAGGAGTAGACTATTTCAGAGTCATTTCTTCTTGTCTGCTCTCCTCATTTCCTGCTCTCTCTGAGATCTGAAGTGAACCTGGGTGAACTTGAATTCATCATCTTTCTTGCATCGTCGGCTCTGACTCCTAACCTACAGTTATAATCTGCAAGTTGAAGTGTCTAGGGGTGGACTGCACTGATGTCTGCAACTTTGAAATGCATAAAAGTATCTTCCTCCCCATCCCACTGCCACCCTCCGTTTTTGGATATTTACCCCTGAAACGCCCCACAGTAACAAACACCCCACAATAACAAAACAATGGGCAGTTGGTCTCATGTCTTCCTACGCATGGTGCCAGAATATTTTCTGATGTATTCCATTCATCATGTTCCTTTTAAATCAAATCCAGTGTTGTTCTAAAGACTGTAGACCAAATTCTACTGTGGCTCAGAGCCTCTCACAGCCCATGTTCTAATTATGAACATGAAATTTTGTTAAATAAATAATTTATATTGGAGTCTAGTGAATTGTAATTTTGTGATAACAGCCTGGACAACATTGAGAGACCTCATCTCTTAAAAAATTCTAAAAATTAAACAGGCACAGTGGGTCATGCCTGTAATCTTAGCTACTCAGAAGGTGGCTAAGGTGGGAGGATCACATAAGCCCAGGAGGTCCAGGCTGCAGTGATCCACTGCACTGAAGCCTGGGAGACAGAAGAAGATATCATCTCCTAAAAAATAAAGAAAAATAAAACAAAACTTTGCTGGAAAATTATAGCTTGAGTGTAAGCGGTACAATTGTTTGTCAGTGCCCCAGGAATGCCAAGCCACTGTTTTTCTATTGTCCTCAAAATGCAGTGTTCCAAAACGCTGAATGACTTCACTTACTTTCTCAAAGGTAGGGAAATAGCAATTTTTCATTCTCTCTTCGATCAAGGCAAGTTTGACATCTTTTTCCTCAGGTTGACATATGGGCAGAAGAAGGATCATTTCATTCAAATCTGCCATACCTTCTATATACATATCAATCCTGAAAGACAAAAACAACCAAACTTTCTAATGCCTTTTGCCTTAGATTTTATAGTTTAAAAATCTAAGAGGATAGAGCATCAGGTGGTGGCAAAGCAATTTACCTCCAATGATTGCCTTTCATAGTCTAGTCATTATGCTCTGATTTTTACAGGTATATTAACATTTATTTTTTTAAAACAACCTATTGAGGTAGATAGATCTCTAAATTTTGTTACACACATGACCTAATACAGGTAAAAAGAGCATCGGTGGTCACAGTCATGACAGAAACTTGTGGAATCACTGCCAGTACCCACTGGTGCTGTGCCAGGACTGACCATCTCTATTGTGGTTTGTTCTGTGTGTGAACTTAGTGTGAGTCAAATTGCCAAAGTCCTGCCTCCTAAGTAATCCCAAGAGAGTCCCTGGCACAGCCATCTCAGTCATGTTCCTTGTTCTGTCTCATCATTTTACATCTCCCAGGCCCACTTCTATGCCCAATATTAGCAGTTTTTCCAGTTACTCCCATGAAACATAATTCTACAGCCCTCTCCATGTGCTGTTGTCCGACTCTAGCCACGTGTGCCTTACCTGAGACTCCACCTAAAAGATCCCCTTCCTTGGTGAAATTATTTATACAGTTACAACCAGTGCAAACTTTTTCTTTTGTGTCAAACTCAGGTTTCACAATACTTTTTAAAACAACAGCTTATTGACATACAGCCACATTCAGTGCTTTTTAGCACATTCACAGAACTCTGCAAAAATCATCACATTCTAATTCCAGAATATTTTTTATGACCCCGATAAGGACATCTGTACCATCAGCAGTATTCTTCATTTTACTCCAAGCCCCACTCCTTTAGCCCCAGGCAACACTAATCTACTTTCTGCCTCTATGGATTTGCATATTCTGGACGTTTCATACAAAAAGAATCCTATAATATGTGGCTTTCTGTGTCTTGTTTCTTTTATGTAACATGTCTTTATGGTTTAACCATCTTGTAGCATGCATCAGTACTTCATTCTGTTTCATGACAATATCGTTCCATCACATGGCTAAAGCACATTTTGCCCCTCCATTTATTGATTGATGGATATTTGCCTTGTTTCCACTTTTTGAATACTATGAATATTGTTATTTGCATTGTACATTTATCTTCAATATTTAGTGTGGTTGTATTTTTTATTCTTTTGGGAATATATCTAGTTGAGGAATTGCTTGGTCATTGGTAATACTGCAGGAAAATTTTGGAGGGGCTGCCAAAAGTTCCATTCAGGATTTATTTGGAATCATGTAGTTTTATCACAATAGTGAGGAAACCCTTTGGCTTTGCTGGTATTGAATCAATCTGGCTGTTTCAGCCTTGTAACCATGTGTCAAGATAACCCCAGCATCCTTGGTGCCAGCCTCTGCTAGCCCTGCTCAGGTGTTGCAGTCCATATAATTGGCTGGTAACTTAGGTCCCTGGTCATCATTCTTGGATTTACTGGAACCTGAGATTCAGCTCCTTTGTAACCTTTTCTCCCCAGGCCTTCACCTACAGACTCTCAAACGTTCTATGCCTTGTCCTAAGCTGTTGGCTCCAGTCCAGCCTCTGAAGGCCTGAGCACCTGGAATCATGATTCCCCATCCTCCTGAGTTCATGGTTCATCCGTGTTTGGAAACCTCTGTCAGGGTGCTGGATCCATGGACTGGATCCTCTTCTAGACTCCCCCTCGCCTGAGCCCACCCCATGTTCACTGTTCCCTCATCTCCATGAGTCTCTGCAATGCTAGACCCTAGCGTACATGCTGAAGGCCCCTACCATGTCCCACCCACTCAAGGAAGGACCTAAATCACTCCTGTGTTAAATCTGTTGATGGAAGAATAGAAACTATACCATACAGGGCTCTCTCCTTTGTGTCTTTCCCATAAAGGTTGTATTTGCTGGCAATGTAGTTGAGAATGGCTCTGGTCTGCACAGCTTCATCCTGTCAATCTCAACCATTGACACTAGCTGGAACATCAAACTCCCATCTTTACAAAGAAGGAAAAAAAAGGAGAGTGAAATGACTATGAATCCCACTCTTTCAGGATGAAAAAAATGGTTGTGAAAATGACTAAATTTGTACATGAAAAAGAAATTATTGCCTGGTAAGATTTCACCTGAAAGTGCGTTTTTAAAAAGCTTCCTGTAGTCCTTCTTTTTGTTAATCAGCTTCCTTTTACTTTTTATCATGTTGTTTCATTTTTGTTATTTATTTCTCCTCCAGATACATAGTAGAACTCTTGTCTTTTTTTGTGTTCATTTATGTTCATGGATACTTCAGGAAGATGTTGGGATAGGTTACAACAGGACTGCCAACACAATGCCATTTAGAATGAGAAGTTCCCAGAATAAGCCTCATATTTGTGACATTTAAGGCAGGTTCTGAGAGGTTTTTATGTAAGGGTCCCTTTCTGTGCTCTTCAAAGCCTGCAATACTGCTACAATATTACCTTTTCACACCCCCCATGAAAGAACAAAGACTCAAGACAATGGTCACATCTATTTCTCCTCCTTTCATCTAATCTATGTCCTTGAGTATCCTTGGATGGGGAGGCCTGTATGGGATCCTGAGCTGATCAACACAGCTCATTCATGGTGCCCAAAGCATGAAAATAAGGATAGGGCATTCTCAGGGCGCTGGGGATGGTTCCTCTAGCAAATACTCTGAGAAGTCTAGTTCTTTTAGCCTGGAGAGAGTTGCCAGACCTGATCAAGGAGCCACATCCCTTCCATTTTAACCACTTTCTCCCTCTCCACCTTGCCCAAATACCACCCCACACACACATGGGCATTGCCTGCTGTTCAAAATTCCTTGTGTGCCTTCTATTAGATACCCACATCAGAGGTACTTAGAGACTTCATCTTACCATTTCTTAACTTGTCCAATTCTTCTGCAGATTCTAGAAATTTCTGGTCAAACTGGAGACAGAAACAGTAAATGAGTTTTCGTTAGTTCATTCCATAGCATTATAAACTTCTGACTTTGAATAGCCCCTATCTGGTGCATCATTTGGAGAATATAAGATTTCTGAGTTTGGCAGTGCACACAGAGGGGCTGGTTGTGGCCATTTGTAAATTTAGACTAGATTCATTGGGGGAATGGCATGGGTCACAGCACATAGCTTCTCCGTCTTCCAGTTCACTGCATCTCCACCCCGATCTCATGACTATCTATGATTAAGTCATGTTTTGAGAGGGGATGTCAATGGAGAGATGGCACTGAGCAGTTCTTCTACTTATGGTGTTGTCATATCTTAGGAAAGCCTGTGTCTCCAAGTGAGATCAGACCACAACCTTGTGTGTCCCTAGCATGGGGTATGCCATGGGCTAATGGCCATCAAAGATTCTGCCACCAAGAGGCCTCTTCTGTAATTTACCTCACCCCACTTTTTAGGAATCTTGCTAAGTGTGAAATAGGTCATAGCTATTGCAAAGCTTTAACTCTTGCAACTATAATTTCCTTTTTCTGGAGTAAATGAGACACCATAGGGTAGAATCTCAATTTAAGAAAGGAATTAGAGTCCCCACACTAACATTATTTTTAACCAAAATCTCTGGTTTCTGAACCGGTTTTGTGGGTTCAATATCACCATTTTCATATATTGGCTTCTTGACTTTGGACACATTACTGAATCTCTCTGTGTCTGAGTATTCTAATCTATGAAATGGATATACTTGTGGTACCTATGGTACAGATTGGTAGGTTGGTATGAAGACTAAATTGCAAAGTCATACAAAGCACTTAGAAAAGTAGCAGGTCTCTAGTAAGTGCTCATTAAATATAACTAATTATTAGAAGTTTGAGAGATAGCTGCTATTTCAGCATGTCATCCTTTAAAAAAATCTAAATCAATCTAATATTGATGAAACTATTCTTTGTTATTGATCTACATCCAGTAACTTAAACCTTGGAGTAAATTACACCTTGTCCTGAGACAAGAGACATTGGTTGGAATGGCAGCCAGCAACAAGGCTGTCTCAATTTGATCAGAAGCTCAGAGTGGATGCAGGTATTTAATATAAATAGGAAAATCAGTTGTGACACAACTTTTCACAAAGGTCATCAAAACCTTTTACAAAAAATACTCCTGAAAAGGCATCTGTCCAGCAACTCCCTGTTCAAACTTGGCCTGGTGTCACCCTTGTTATTGATGTTTGCAGTGAATGATAAGTATTTCAAAACATTTACTTAATCCTTCTTATTCTTTTGCTTTAAAAATCTTTTTCTTCCTTTATCTCCCTAAGGACATACATGGTTTACTATGGTACACACGTACCCATTACAAAACTTTGTTCCCATATAAAGAGTCTCTTTCTGTTTATTAAGTTGACACAATATATCCAAAAGCAGCTGAATGCACAACTCAAACTGTCATCCAAGCACACAAAGAAGGCATTGATGTGAGTATTAAGCAGTTTTTTTTTATTGTACTAAGGACACATTTAAAAATATTTTTCTGGTGACCTAGATGAGATGGTGTGAGGCAGTGTAGAAAGATTTATAAGATCAGTACTTACTTTGTTAAAGGTTATCGCCCTCGTGGCTCAACAACTTAATTTGAGGTCCTAATGTGGTTGATAACCTACACGTTCATTTCAGTAGCTCCCTCCCATTGAAAGGAATAGATTCAAGTTAAAAACAGCCACTCCCACATGTTTCAGGGCCACAGGACTGCCTACTAGATTCTAAGAAAAATGGCAAGTCATCCTCTTATCACAAGGTAACTGGTTAATATGTTCCTTTTCAAGGTTGGCAATAAAAGTTTAACCAAAAATTTCAGCAGATTTTGCTCTCTTTATAAGTCAGTAGAAACTGGCTTTTTGAAGAAACTCACTTTTCGTGACTTGGATGTAAGGACTAAGGCAGATGAGAAATCTCTGCTGGGGGCATAGCTGGGAGGGCATGTCTGTGAAGGGCAGGCTGATGGCACTCTGGAAGACACTGGGTTGCCACATAAAATACAGGGCACCCAGGTAAATGTGAATTCCAGGCAAAGGATCAGTCACTTTTTAGTATAAGTATGTCCCAAACACTGTAGGAAACATGTTTATACTAAAAAAGTATTGCTTGTTTATCTAAAATTCTCATTTATTTTGCTGTTTTGTATCTTATCTGCCAAATCTGGCCACCCTATTTTTATGTTCTTTCCTCTCTGCATTGCTCAAATCACCCTTCCTGGCCTCTGGGCCTTTGCACATGGCATTTGTCCTGACTGGAATACTCTACTTTCACTTCCTGCTGTATTTTCTCTATTGTGTCTTTCCCTGCATTAATTTGACATGATGTATTCAATATCAGATTTCCCCTTAGACCTTGAGTTCTTGAGAGCGGAGCCTTCTTGTTTGAGTCCAGTCCTTATTGTCTGGGACAAAACATGGACATCATAGGAGCTCCTAAAATAAGATAGTTTAAAAATTTACATGGAAAAATTCTAGCAAATACAAAAGTAGAGGGAATAATATAACAAGCTTGAAGGTACCCATGACCTGCATTCATCAATTGCCAGCAACATTTTTTTATCTATGCCTGGCAGTGGATTAAGTTATGTTGGCTTCCAAGAAAGAGAGGTCCATGTCCAAATCCTTGAGTCCTGTAAATGTGACCTTATTTGGAAAAAGGCTCTTTGCAGATGAGGTTAAGGAATTTGAGATGAGATCATCCTGGTATATCCAGATAGGCCCTACATCCAATGACAAATGTCCCTGCAACGTAGAGAATAGAAGACACAGACACACAGAGGGTGAGGTGCTGGAAGCCCCAGGCAGAAAGTAGAGTGATGTGGCCATGATCCATGAAAGTCCAGAAATGCCAAGAGCCGCCAGAAGCTGTAAGAGGCAGGGAAGGATTGTTCTCTAGTACTTCCAGGGGAATGTGGCCCTACTCACACCCTGACTTCAGACTTCTCGCCTTCAGAATTGTAAGAAAATGCCTTTCTGATGTTTCAAGCCACCCAGTTTGTAGGAATCTGTGACAGGAGCCACAAGAAAATGATACAAACTCCCACATACTCCCTCCACTACCAGGGGATTCTTTTCAAGCAAATCCCAGACAGCATATCATTTCGTCTGTAAATACTAGTATTCATCTCTAGGAAGGAAGAACTTCTTTTCTAAACATAATCACACTATGATTGTGTTTAATATGATAATCTCTTATCATATTAAAATTCTATAATTCCCTAATTTCATCAAAGCTTCAGCATTCTAGTTCATGTAAGTGTCCCATAAAAATTTCTTAGCAGTTTGTTTATTTTGGTCAGCATGCAAGCAAAGTCCTTACAAAGCATTTGAGGGATATGAGTCCATTTTTTTTAGAAATTAATGAATGAATAGAGACAGGCAGAGTGTGTGGGGGTTTGTGAGTTCTCAAAGCCCAATCTCATATACCCAGGTTCTGGAGTTGCATAGAGCTGTGCATGGGTCTGTGCAGATGTCATTGTCCATTGGTGATGAAGCACTGGGGATCCAGCAGGCCAAGCCCCACACCACGAGCTCACAGTACAGGGGAGCAAACACAGTGGCCCTCAGGTGTTATTAGAGGTGAAGGGGTGGCCTGCCCCTCCACAGCTGTGGGTATTTCTAGTCAGGTGGGATGAGAGACTGAGAAAAGATATAAGACACAGAGACAAAGTATAGAGAAACGATAGTGGGCCCAGGGGACCAGCACTCAGGATACCAAGGACCTGCACCAGCACCGGCCTCTGAGTTCCCTCAGTTTTTATTGATTATTATTTTCATTACTTCAGCAAAAAGGAATGTAGTAGGAGAGCAGGGTGATAATAAGGAGAAGGTCAGCAAAAAACGTGAGCAAAAGAATCTGTGTCATAATTAGGTTCAAGGGAAGGTACTATGACTGGACGTGCACGTAAGCCAGATTTATGTTTCTCTCCACCCAAACATCTCAGTGGAGTAAAGAATAACAAAGCAGCATTACTGCAAACATGTCTTGCCTCCCACCATAGGGCGGTTTTTCTCCTATCTCAGAATTGAACAAATGTACAATAGGGTTTTGTACCGAGACATTCAGTTCCCGGGGCAGGCAGGAGACAGTGGCCTTCCTCTATCTCAACTGCAAGAGGCTTTCCTCTTCTACTAATCCACCTCAGCACAGACCCTTTACGGGTGTTGGGCTGGCGGATAGTCAGGTCTTTTTCATCCCATGAGGCCATATTTCAGACTATCACATGGGGAGAAACCTTAGACAATACCCCGCTTTCAAGGGCAGAGGTCCCTGTGGCTTTCCACAGTGCATTGAGCCCCTGGTTTATTGAGACTAGAGAATGGCAACGACTTTTACCAAGTATACTGCTTGTAAACATTTTGTTAACAAGGCACGTCCTGCACAGCCCTTGATCCCTTAAACCTTGTTTTCATACAACACATGTTTTTGTGAGCCCCAGGTTGGGTCAAAGTGGCTGGGTCAAAGTGGCTGGGGCAAAGCTACAAATTAACAACATCACAGCAAAGCAATTGTTTAAAGTACAGGTCTTTTTCAAAATGGAGTCTCTTATGTCTTCCCTTTCTACATAGACACAGTAACAGTCTGATCTCTCTTTCTTTTCCCTACAAGAGGCTCACTGGGGCTCTGTGGAGGGCAGAGGACAGCCCAGTGCTCCTGGGAAGCAATGAGGTAGTGTTAAGTGTGTCCACTGGGAAGGAGCTTGCCAGGTAGGGGTAGCAAATGCACCCAGGCAGGAAGGCAAGAGGCCTCACCATGTTCAGAGAGTTGACTGGGCTGAAGATCAAGGAGTGAGGACAGGTGTGAGGATGGATTTTATATGCAGTCAGGATTCCCTGAAGAATTCTGTGATTTTTTTTTTCCAATTTGCATTTTAGAAAAACTACTCTGGTTGTAAGTGGAGAAGAGACTAGAGCAAAGTGAAGCTGCAGGTAGGAAGCCTGTGTGTCTGTCTGCTCCCTCAACCACCTCTGCCAACTTGGGGAAGCTCCCTCTAAGAGGAGGAGAGCTCAAATTGCAGAAGCCCAGGTGTCCTGGGAGAGATTAGCATTACAGGACCAGTATGGGGGTGGAGCTAGAAAGCACTCCTAATCTAAGCACTCTGGCACAGTGACACACCAGGGAAAAATGATTTTGCATATAGTTATTTGTATGTAATTCACATATACCATCTGTATCTTGGCAGCCCAGGTCTGAGTGGCACTGAGGGAACTGAGAGAAGGCTTATGCCTGGGACCCCATGGAGGCTTAAGGAGCAGAGTGAGGATAAGCCAGGACCACATGCACTGTAAGAGACAACAAGGTGGCCTGAGAGCAGAGGGTGGGTCTGTTTGCTCTTCAATATTTCCTCACCTCCTAGAAAACGGAGGAATCCACAGCAGACAGAATCGTTGTTTTGCAAATGCATTAGAAAGAATGCTTTTATCAGAAATAAAATGACTGTTCAGGAAAAGAAGAAAATGTCTTTATGCCATTATCCAGGATGGTAACTCTTCTCCTGTGCATACCTGAAAATGTCAGAGGTGCATTTTTACATTGGCATTTTAATAGATTGTATGACAAATTGTATGTTACAGGGCAATTCTTGGAAAAGTCAAACAAACCACATAATTTATAGTTTCCATTTTTACTGAATTTGTAATTCCAAGAAAATTGTTGGCTAGGAGGAGATTGGAAAACTGAATTCACATCAGATCCTAATGAGAAGAAATCAATTTTAACTAAGTGGGTGAATAGGAGTTGTATTATTTAATTAGCATATAATTTGAAAGAGTTCATTAGCTTCACAACAGGCACAATCAACACTTAGGTAAAGCACTTAATTGTTGCAAAACTTTAGAATACTGGTCTTGCATGTTCTTGACCTCTATGGCTGGTTTATTAAAACCTGAAAATCTTCCTTGATTCTTCTAAAGATTTCTCATCCATGGGAGGCTTCCTTGGGCTGCCAGGCTGTAGAAACTTCTTCACTGTGGGCAGGTTACTGATTCTGGTTTTCAGGGCCTGTAATCCACAAAGCACAGCCTCACTAAAACAACAAGTCAAGGGCTGACACCCCCATTAACATGACCCAGGGAATCTGAGTCCCTCCTGCCAAAGACCAAGTGAGTCGCTTCCACTTGGGTGAAGGCAGAAACAGACACCCAGTGAGAAAGGAAGATAAGAGGAAGAACATGTAGCTCACTTTATTTTCCCCAAAGATGTCTTGAAATTTTAATCAGTTCAGTCATCCCTATCTTTCTTCTTACATATTAATCCTATAGATTAGTGACTCTTGTATAAGACAAGAAAAACTAATGTGCTTGTTTGATATCAGCACAGATCAGTCTCTAAGCAGAAGTGAAAATATGGGAAAATGAGTTGGAAAGGAAAATGTTATAGAAAATAGTAAAGACAAACCATGGGACCACCTTTTCTCAGTGAGAGATACATTGTCGGGGGCAGAGTGCTGGAGAGCTGGGCAGAGAGGAACAAAATGTCTGACAGCAGGAGCCGGAGCCCAGGGAGGAAACCAGATGGAAAGGGCTCTGCTCAGACTGACTCAATGTGGGCACATATGGGATAAAGGACATCACAGAGAACTCAGGAACAGAAACCACACTGAAATAGAGGGATGGGGAGACATGCTGGGCCCTGGGTCCTTTCCATAATAAAAGGCAAAATACTCTTTGCGGGGTAGCATGCACTACAAATTTCCTTTCCATAACAAAAGTGTTTTCATTCCTCAAAATTGGAGCCTGGAAGCTCATTTTGGAGACCTTGGGGCACCAAAGGCCTGGAGAAGGCTGGGGTCAAAACATGCTCAGTCCCAGGGCCCAGATACAAGATCCCAAGATGGGAGATGTGGGTCTGCCTCTCTGAAGACTGTGAAATGGGTCACCTTCAGCAGAGGGAAGCTGGAAATAAGGCTAGAGTCAAGCTCTTCCACGTAGTAGAGAAGTTCCACCAGGTGAATGTCAGCCCGGCTCAGCTTGTTGCCAACAAGGTAGTCTTGTCCGTGGCTCTTTAAGACCTGGAGAATGGGAGGAATCAGATCAGGAACACATGCCCACCCAGGCTGGGACCCCTGCTTCTTTCAGAGCCTCTCCACCCTGACTTTCCCCACCTCTGTTGCCTTACTGCATGGATGCAGAAATCCCGAGCTTTCTCCACATTATCTGAATGAATGAGATAGTAAGAAGTGTAACTGTACTCACTCCTCAGTTGGAGCTCAGCCTCCCATTTTCTCTTCTCATCCACATCACTGTGGCGTCTACACTACCCACCCAGCTTGCTTCTTCCACATGGGCCAAGGGCTTAGCACCTGCCGCCGCATGTTCTGTCTGCCCCAGGCCCTGCAGTGTGGAGCCCTCACATTCAGGATGTGGCTCTACATTCTGCTGTCTCCCGCTCCAATCTCCCTTGGGCAGTGACTCCACCATCGTGACAACACTCTTCCCCCAGAAGGAGACTATTTCAGAGTCCTCATTTCTCCTTGTCTGTTCTCCTCATTCCCTGCTCTATCTCCCTGAGATCTGTAGGAAACCTGGGTGAACCTGAATTCATCATCTTTTTTACAGCATCGACTCTGGTTCCTAAATGGCACTATGTTATAATCTGCAAGCTGAAGCGTTTAGGAGTGAACTGCTCTGATGTCTGCAACTTACTATAAAATGCATTTTACAGAATCTTCCTCTGCATCCCACAGTCACTCTCCTTTTAAAAAATACTGATCCCTGAAACACTGCAATATTCTCTGGTTGGGCAATTGGTCTCCTGTCTTCCTGCATATGGTGCCAGAATGTTTTCTGATGGATCACTTTCATCATGCCCCTGTTCAAAGTCCATGGGGTTCCATAGACTGAACAGCAACTCTAGTGTGGTCCAGAGCCTTCCACAGCCCACATTCTACTTATGAACACAAAATTCTGTTGAACAGATAATTCCATATTGGGGTTCAGTAAATTAAAATTTTACTGGAAGATTATAGCTTGGGTATAAGTGATACAATTGTTTCTCCAAGTCTATTTTCATAAAATGCCTTGAGAGTCAGAGTGCTGCATTGGTGTCCAGGAAGTATCACTGAAAGTGAAGATCAGTGCCCCAGGAATGCCCAGCCACTATTTTTCTACTGGCTTCTAAACTCAGTTCCCCAAAACACTGAACAGCTTCACTTACTTTTTCAAAGGCAGGGAAGTAGCGATTTTTTGTTTTCTCTTGGATCAAGGCAAGCTTGGCATCTTGTTCCTCAGGTTGACTAAAGGGCAGAAGAAGGATCATTTCACCCAAATCTGCTATACCTTCTATATACATATCAATCCTGAAAGACAAAAACAACCAAATGGTCAAATATCTTTTGCCTTAGATTTTATAGGTTTATAAAAACCTAAGAGAGTAGAGTATCAGGTGATGGCAAAATAATTCACCTCCAATGAGTGCCTTTTATAGTCTAGTCATTATGCTCTGAGTTTTACAGGTATATAGTCATTATGCTCTGAGTTTTACAGGTATATTAACATTTATTTCTTAAAACAGCCTATCAAGGTAGATAGCTCTCTAAATTTTGTTACACGCATGACCTAATACAGGAAGAAGATCATCGGTGGTCACAGTCATGAGAGAAATTGGTGGAATCACTGCCAGTACCCACTGATGCTGTGCCAGGATTTATCATCTCCATTGTGGTTTGTTCTGTGCATGAACTTAGTGTGAGTCAAATGGCCAAAGACCTGCTTCCTAAGTAATCCTAAGAGAGTCCCTGGCACAGCCATCTCAGCCATATTCCTTGTCCTCTCTCATCATTTTACAGCTCCCAGGGCTGCTTCTATGCCCCATATTTGCAGTTCTTCCAATTACACCCATGAAAAACGTTTCCACAGCCCTCTCCATGTGCTGTTGCCCAACTCTAGCCATGTGTGCCTTTCTTAAGAGCCAACCCCTTCCCTGGTGAAATTCTCTGTACAGTTACAACCGTGCAAACTTTTCTTCTTTTGTGTCAAACTGGAGTTTCACAATACTTTTTAAAACAAGAGCTTTACTGATGCATATTCACATACTATAATTGCCACCTCTTATGTTATACTATTGAGTGGTTTTCAGTGCATTCACAGAATTCTGTAAAAATAATCACAGTCTAATTGCAGAATTATTTTTGTCACCTTGATAAGGACATCTGTACCATTAGCGGTATTCTTCATTTTTCTCCAAGCCCCACTCCTTTAGCCCCAGGCAATCACTAATCTACTTTCTACCTCTATGGATTTGAATATCTGGACATTTCATATTAAAATAATCCTATAATATGTGGCCTTCTGTGTCTCGTGTATTTTATGTAACATGTCTTTATGGTTTAACCATCTTGTAGCATGCATTCGTACTTCATTCCTTTTCATGACCAAATATCTTTCCATTGCATGGCTAAGGCGCATTTTTCTCCTCCATTTATTGATTGATGGATATTTGGGTTGTTTCCACTTTTTGAATTCTATGAATATTGTTATTTGCATTATTCACTTATGTAAAATATATAGTGTGGATGTATTTTCGATTGTTTGGGGATATACTTGTTAGAGGAACTGCTGGGTCATCGGTAATACCATATTAAAGTTTTTGAGGAGCTGCCAGCAGTTTCATTCAGGATTTATTTGGAATCATGCAGTCTCATCACAACAACAAGGAGACCCCTTGGCTTTGCTGGTATTGAATCAATCTGGCTGTTTCGGCCTTCTATCCATGTGTCAAGGTAACTCCAGTATCCTTGGTGCCAGCCTCTACTAGCCCTGCTCAAGTATTCCAGTTGATATAATTGGTTGGTAATTTAGGTTCCTGTTCATCATACTTGGAATTACTGGGACCTTAGACTTGGTTTCTTTGCAGCTTTCCCTCCCCAGTCCTTCATCTACAGACTCTCACATATTCTATGCCTGTCCTAAGCCATTGGCCGGGGTCCAGCCTCTGAAGTCCTGAGCACCTGGAAACATGATTCCCCATCCTCCTCAGTTCATTGGGTTTATGAGAGTTTGGAAACCTTTGTCAGGGTGCTGTGTCCATGGACTGCATCCTCTTCTAGAATCACCCTCGCCTGAACCCTCCCCATGTTCACTGTTCCCTCATCTCCATGGGACTCTGCAATACTGGACCTCAGCGTGCATGCCCAAGGCCCAGCCTGCTGCTGGTCTTGATACCCTGCCATGGTCCCACCCACTCAAGGAAGGACCTAAATCACTCTATGTTCTCTGTGGATGGAAGAACAGAAAATATACCGTACAGGGCTTTCTCCTTTATGTCTTTCCCATAGAGGTTGTATTTGCTGGCAATGTAGTTGAGAATGGCTCTGGTCTGCACCAGCTTCATCCCATCAATCTCAACCATTGGCACTTGCTGGAACATCAAATATCCATCTTTAAGAGGAAGAAAAAAAAGGAGAGTGAAGTGTCTATGAAACCCACCATTTCAGGATGAAAAAAAATGGTTGTTGAAATGACTAAATTTGTAAAACGAAAAAGAAATTACTGCCTGGTAAGAGTTCACTTGAAACAACTTTTTTTTTTTTTTTTTGAGGCAGAGTATCATTCTGTTGTCCAGGCTGGAGTGGAGTGGTGTGATCTTGGCTCACTGTAACCTCTGCCTCCCAGGTTCAAGCGATTCTACTATCTCAGCCTCTCTATAGCTGAGATTACAGGCATGCACCACTGCACATGGCTAATTTTTGTATTTTTAGAAGAGATGGTGTCTCACCATGTTGGCCAAACTGGTCTCAAATTCCTGAACTGAAGTCATCCACCTGCCTCAGCCTCCCAAATTGGGATTACAGGTGTAAGCCACTGCACCCAGTCCAAACAATATGTTTATAAAGCTTCCTGTAGTTCTTCTTTTTCTTAAGAAGTTTCCTTTTAGTTTTTATCCATTTATTTCATATATGTTTTTGTTGCCCCTCCAGATACATAGTGGGACTCTTGAATTTTTTGTGTTGATTTATCTTCATGGATATTTTAGGAAGAGGTTGGGACAAGTTACAATAGTACTGGCAACAAGATGTCATTTAAAACAGGATGTTCCCAGAGTAAGTCTCATGGTGTTTATGATATTTAAGGCAGGTTCTGAGAGGTTTTTATATAAGGGTCCCTTTCTGTGCTCTTCAAAGTCTGCGATATTGCTACAGTGTTACCCAGTCCCACTCCCCCCATGAAAGAAAAAACTCAAGACAGTGGCCACATCTATTCCTCCTCCTTTTGTCTAATGCATGTTCTTGCATGTGCTTGGATGGAGAGGGCTGTATGGGATCCTGTGCTGATGACCACTGCTCACTCACAGTACCCCAAGCATGAAAACAAAGAAAGGGCTTTCTCAGGGGTGGGAGATTGTTCCTCTAGCAAATACTCTGAGAGGTCTGGTCCTTTAAGCCTGGAGAGAGTTGCCAGACTTGCTCAAGGAGCCACATCCCTTCCATTTTAACCACTTTCTCCCTCTGCACCATGTACAAATACCATGCCCCACACCCATAGACATTGCCGGCTGCGCAAACCTCCCCGTGTACCTTCTACTAGATACCCTCATTAGAGAAACTTAGAGGTTGATCTTACCATTTCTTAACTTGTCCAAATCTTCTGCAGATTTTATAAATTTCTCTTCAAACTGGAAGCAGAAACAGTAAATATGTTCTTGTTAGTTCATTCTATTATAGACCTGTGAAATTGAATGGCCTCTATCTGGTGCATCATTTGGAGAATATAAGATTTCTGAGTTTGGCAGGGTACACAGAGGGGGCTAGTCATGGCCATTTGGAAATTTAGACCTAATTCATTGAGAAAAGTGCATGGGTCACAGCACATAGCTGCTCAATCTTCTAGTTCACTTCACCTCCACCTTGATATGAATGTCTATGATTAGGTCATGTTTTGAGAGGGACATCACTGGAGAAAAGGCACTGAGCAGTTCTTCTAGTTATGGTGTTGTCATATCTTAGGAAAGCCTGTGTCTCCAAGTGAGATCAGACCACAACCTTGTGTGTCCCCAGCATGAGGCATGACATGGGCTAATGGCCATCAAATATTCTGCCACCAAGGAGCCTCTGCTGTAATTTGTATCGCCCCACTTCTCAGGAACCCTGCTAAGGGTGACATAGGTCGCCACTGTTGCACAGCTTTCACACTTGCAACTGTAATTTTCTCTTCTGAAGTACGTGAGACACAATAGGGTAAAATTCTCAATTTAATAAAGGAATTAGGGTCCCACACTAGCATTATTTTTAAGGAAAACCTCTGGTTTCTGATGTGGTTTTGTGGCATTGGGGAATGCTTGTGTGTTCTAGAAGCCTCCTCCCCTCATTTTAACCACGTGTTTATTTCTCTGCATCCTCATAGACACGTAGGCTGCCCCAGGGCAGGGACTGTGTCTGTCTTGTTCACTATCTCCATGACCGAGTACAGAACCTGGAATTAATAAGTGCTCAAGTAAATAATTGCTGTGAATGTAGTCAATCTTTAATAGGTAGTTTGTTACAATCCACTCCCTTCCATCTCTCATTTGTAGTTTGCATTTTACCTCTAATTACAATCATTTTTTAATATTATGCATTTTTATTTTTTTATTGTGGAAATTATGAACATGAATAAATATAAACAGAAAAGCATAATGATTCTCCTTATACTTCTCACCTAGAATCAATAATTATCAATCAAAACCAATATGGTTTCATCTATATGCCCACCTACTTCTCCTCTTGTAATAATTCCAAGGAAATCCCAGATCCATATGATTAATCCTTAAATACTTCAATGTGTTTTCCTAAAACACATTAACTATTCTAAAGACAGCCATAGTACATTATCACACATGAAATATTAACAATAATTATTTCATGTCCTCAAATATTCAATCGATATTTGTGTTTCTAATTGTTGTATAAATGCCATAAATTATTTTTTACAGTTTGTTTAAATTCTAATCCACTTAAGTTCTGCACTTTGTGATTAGTGTCTTAAATGTATTTTAATATGTATGCTTTTAGAGGAGAAGAAATTTTAAGAATTAATAGGTCAAATCTGTTCATCTTTTTCTTAATTACAGTCCCTTTTTATTTAAGGCACAATGCTTCAGTTAGTAATCATCTCATAGTTTCTGTGGGAAAAGTATGTGATAACGCAATCGTAAATCTGACTTAAGATGACCTAACTCAGAACCTACCTCTACTCCAGCTGCAGCCAGGAGCCACCGGATGGACTCCATTCTGCCCCGTATATTGGAGTAGTGGAGCTTGGGCTTCTCTGCCATGGTAGCAGTCTCCTGGAGGTTTCTCTAAGCCTGAGTGAATGAATGAATGAATGAATGAATAATTGAAACGATAGAATCAAAAATGTACTTTAGGATGTATGGTTGAAAACCACAAACAATGCTGAAGAAGAACCTGCCTTCTTCATGACGGTGTTGGAGGAGTTCCCGGAATGTTTTCTTGGCTCAAATTATTACCCAGCAGTGGCCACCCTCAGATTCCAGCAAACCAGTCTCAAGTTTTCACTGTTTAACTCTGAATTTTCTTGGCAGCCTAAGAGGTGAGAGTATGTGGTAATAATACATGTATAGGAGTTAATGGGAAGAGGAAGAATTCAAGAACTAATATTTACTGAAAACTTCCTAGTGATCCTTCCTCAATGCTAGTCCCTTTCAATATTTTATATCTTTAACCCTCCTTATAGTCCCATGAAATGATTATCTCCATTTTTTCGTTAATGAAATGGAACATCAGAGAAATACAATGTTCACAGTCACACTCCGGTTGGTGATGGACATGAATATCTACACCAAGGACTAAAATGAAATCATGCCTGGAAGCCAGCTGGGTGAAGGCCCTGGGAACCCATGAACTGGCCATGAAACCAGAGGATGTCACTGACAGGGAGGACCGGCTGGGAGCTAAATCACTCTTCAGCTCTTTGGCTGTGAGACTGCATTTGATCAAAACCAGAAATTAGGCCTCAGACTTGTTTAACTGTAGCTAGAAGATCCAAATTCTTTCAAGAGACAGAGATTGTTTATCCCTTGCTTCTTTTGGAATTCTGTATTCTAACTCTATGGGGTGCATTTTGTTTTATAAGCTGGAAGAAGAGATGTTGCTGCATTAATTTTGCAATATGGAAGGAGCTAGCATTTGTTCAACATCAGTCACACACTGATCATTCTTCTAAACTTCTCTTTGTTTTATCCTACAAAAATTACCTAAGGTTAATGTGGTTGTTATTCTCATTTTACATTTGAGGATACTGAGGTTTTTAAAGTAACTTGCTCAGAGTAAATGATAGATCTGGGATCCAGGGTCACTGCTATTAAAAACCAAATACTGAGTCTTATTTTCTATGTTAGTGTTTCTCAAATATGCATGGTAATCTCTCAGCAGATTGTGAAATCCCATTACTTTAAAAAATAAATAGAAAAGAAAAGAATAGAAAATATCAGTGAGCATGACATGTTGAAAGGTAAGTAATGTTTCATGAGTTGTTAGTTTCAGTTATTTGTATACTGTGTGTATGGATCTTTGCATGTGTGCATGCTCACTTGGTCATTGTAAATGGTTAGAGACTGGGCTTATCAGTGAAATTTGATAGCCCTTGCTCTATGCCAGGCTGTTTGGGTGGTGGAATGTAGCAGAGTATCAGAGAATGAAAACCAGTGGCTGCAGAGACAGATGCAACTAATTGTATCATGAATGTGAATGGAAAGACACAGGACTCATTGAAAGAAGGAGTTCCAGTGCCAGGACTTAGGAATAGTTGCGTTTTATCACCAAACCCCCAGCTCTGTTATTAAACATTAAGATTCTTCTTGCAAAGTTTTGTGGTTGTTGAGTGTGGAACAAAAATATACTTGCCTTTAACAACTAATGTATTTATTTGTTTTTTTTTTTTTTTTTTTTTTTTTTTTTTTTTTTTTTGAGACAGAGTTTTGCTGTTTTTGCCCAGGCTGCAGTGCAATGGCGCGATCTTGGCTCACTACAACCTCAGCTTCCCAGGTTCAAGTGATTCTCCTGCCTCAGCATCCTGAGTAGCTGGGATTACAGGCACATGCCAGCACACCTGGATAATTTTGCATTTTTAGTGAAGACAGGGTTTCAGCATGTTGGACAGTCTGGTCTCGAAAGTCTGACCCCAGGTGATCCACTCACTTCAGCCTCCCAAAGTGCTGGGATTACAGGCATGAGCCACTGCACCCAACCTCAACTAATGTATTTCTAAAAAAGTATGCATGATTAAAATTAGGCATCAAAATCTTTTAAATGTCTACATTTTAAAATATGGGAGTCAATAGTTTAACCTTTGGAAAGTAAAGAATTCTTTGAAATCATACTGAATCAACTCACCTGTTTTGTAATTAGATATTTTGACATTGTACTTTCTATGATAACTCCAGGAGTAAATTAAAGTAACTTGGGAAATGGAAATAGCATAATTCGACAGAATGAAAGGGAGAGTGAAGTTCACATGAAAGCGTAGGGTGTGCTTGTTTAATTGTTATGTACTAGAGTTCACAGTGTCATAATTCCAATCCCCAAAATAAACTCTCTTAGCCATTGATCGAGGATCATGTTTCAAAAGGAAGTGAAATTTTATCTTACATAATATTTTATCACAACACTCCAGCTGATAATTAACATATCACTTCCTCAATGTGAGGTTTCCAAGGGTCAGGCTAAGACTGAGACATAAGTTACCATTGAGCTTTGTTGGGTCAACAGAAAATGAGAACCAGAGAGCTCAAGGATTTGCCATGGGTCATACACACATGCTCCTCATTCATAGTCAATATCTAGGGAGTGTGTTTACCTTCTGCAACAACCCTGGGAAATGGCTCCTATTATCCTAATTAAAGATGGGTACACTGAATTTCAGAGAGCTAAAGCACCTGTCTCATGCTGCACACGTGGTGAGTGTTGGGTCAGCCTGAACTTCTGATTGCAGGTCCGGAGCTTTTCCACTCCACCTCATAACCTGGCTCTCAGCTCCTGTCTGAGAAGTTGTTTTGTATTTTCCTATTCAATGTATATTAGCCAAATAAATGTTGGAAGGAGAGGGCGAGAGGGGAACATCTAATTCCTGAGTTCCTCCTGTTAGCAACTTTTCAGGGGCTTGCTTGGAAGAAAAAACTAATAAAAGTGTGCCTTTCTCTACTTTGACAACCTAAAAACCAGAGTGAGTTGAGGACTAGTGTAATTACTTTACATCAATAATTAATTTACATCAATTAAAAAATGGGCTTGTTTTGAAAGGACTATAAGGTCTCATATTTCCAGGAGTAAATTAAAGGAGTTACGTCTCTGAGGTTGTCCCAGTGACACTGTTTCTTATCAGAGAGAAGGGAGAATGAGATAAACCATGACTCCTTCCATTATGAGATTCATAAATGCAGTAGGTTGTTTAATCTCTGAGCCTCAATTTTCTCTTCTTAGATTAGAGATAGTTATTTCTACTTTTGAGGGTTGTTGAGAAAGTTAAATGAGATAATGTAGAAAAAAATCATAGTAGGAACACAGGGTGTTTGCTCTTGTCCCAGTGCTTGGAAGATGGGTGAGGCTCTGGACACATTGAGTAGCCCATGGATCTTCTTTCTTTGATCTATCTATCCACCAATTATTTTACCAACCAACAATCTATGTACATGTATCTGTTTATAATCTCTGTCTACCCATCCATGTATGTATTATTTTATCTATCAATCGTTCTATGTATCTATCTCTCTGTAATCTGTCTCTTCATCATCTATTATCTATCTTGTATCCATTTCTCTGGTTCTCTATATTTTGTCCGTAGAACTCTAGTAGGAATAAGATTTTATATGAATCCAGACTTATATCAAATCTGTCATATGATGGCTCTCTGTTTCTCTCTCTCTTTGCTTTTTAGCTCCTGTACAGAGGTCAATGATATTCACTAATCAGCCCACCTGGATTAACAGGAAGTTTTCAGTGAATGTCCAAGCAGTGGGGCACATCGGTAACACAGCCTTGCTTAGCCCCATGAGGTCATGTAGTCCCATGGTTCTCAACCAGGGGGATTTTGTTCCTCTGCTCCAGAGGACATTGAGCAAGGTCTAGAGACATTTTGGGTTGCTATATCTGCAGAGAGGGAGGGGGGCTACAAATCAGATAGGTAGAGGGCAGGGATGTGTGGGGAAAAGAAAGAGAGATCAGACTGTTACTATGTCTATGTAGAAAGAAGTAGACATAAGAGACTCCATTTTGTTCTGTACTAAGAGAAATTCTTCTGCCTTGAGATGCTGTTAATCTGTAACCCTACCCCCAGCCCTGTGCTCACAGAAACATGTACTGTGTGGACTCAAGGTTTAATGGATTTAGGGCTATGGAGGATGTGCTTTGTAAACAAATGCCTGAAGGCAGTATGCTTGTTAAAAGTCATCACTATTCAGTAATGTCAAGTACCCAGGGACACAAAACACTGCGGAAGGCCGCAGGGACCTCTGCCTAGGAAAGCCAGGTATTGTCCAAGGTTTCTCCCCATGTGATAGTCTGAAATATGGCCTCGTGGGAAGGGAAAGACCTGATAGTCCCCCAGCCCGACACCCATAAACGGTCTGTGCTGAGGAGGATTAGTAAAAGAGGAAGGCCTCTTTGCAGTTGAGATAAGAGGAAGGCATCTGTCTCCCGCTTATCCCTGGGCAATGGAATGTCTTGGTGTAAAACCCAATTGTATGTTCCATCTACTGACATAGGAGAAAACTGCCTTAAGGCTGGAGGTGAGACATGCTGGCGGCAATACTGCTCTTTAATGCACCAGATATGTTTATGTATGTGCACATCAAAACACAGCACATTTTCTAACCTTGTTTATGACACAGAGACGTGAGTTTGTTCACGTTTTCCTGCTGACCCTCTCCCCACTATTATCCTATTGTCCTGCCACATCCCCCTCTCTGAGATGGTAGAGATAATGATCAATAAATACTGAGGGAACTCAGAGACTGGCGCCAGCGCAGGTCCTCCATATGCTGAGCCCCGGTCCCCTGGACCCACTTTTCTTTCTCTATACTTTGTCTCTGTGTCTCTTTCTTTTCTCAGTCTCTCATCCCACCCAACAAGAAACACCCACAGGTGTGGAGGGGCAGGCCACCCCTTCAGGGATGCTTAGAAATATCCTAGAGTGGGCAGGACAGATCTCCGTTCAAAGAATTACACAGTTCGCAGCAACAGTCAGAGCCTCTTTCTTAGCTATTCTCTATATTGGCCATGAGTTGGTAGTACTCCAGAGACAGAATATGACTTGTCGTCGAGCTAATTAGTGGCAGAGGCTCAACTAGAATCTAGTCCTCCTAACATTCAAACTAATTTTTTCTAATTATAATAAACCTTAGTTTTGAATTTTCACAGCCAATATAGAATTACAGTGTCACAATTTACAATTGTGTGTTGACTATATATATAAAGAAATTTTTGCATACATTGCCACTTCTTCCAGCACTGATTATTCTCAGATTGTTTAAAATGCTACCATTTCTTTTTTCTCCTCATGTCATTGTTTCCCATACCTTTAAATGCTGAGGCCCTGGTTTTCTAAACTCTTCATTTTTACATTTCTGTAAAGATGTATCCAACAGAAAAGAAATAAACAGTTCTTGAACTGTCACCCAAACACACCAAGATGGCATGATATGAGTAAAAACAAACTTTTTCTTGTGCTAAGGACACATATTAGTGTATTTTTCTAGGAGGCTAGAGAGGAGGGTGTGAGGCAATGTAGAGAGATTTATAAGATCAGTACTTACTTTGTTAAATGCTGTCACCTTTGTGGCTGGACAACCGAATTCCAGGTCCTAATGTATTTATAAGCTCTTTGTTCCTCTCAATAGTTCCCTCCCACTGAAAGAAGGGTCAAGTTAGGGAAAAGCCACTCCCACACATTTCATGGCCAAGGGGCCACCTACTGGATTCTAAGACATGAGGCAAGTGATCTGCTTATCAGAAGACACTGGTTAATATGTTCCTTTTCAAGGTTGGTAATCAAAGTTTAAACAATACATTTCACCTAGATTTTGCTCTTTTTGCAAGTCAGCAGAAACTGGCTTTTTAAAGATACTTTTTTTCATGAGTTGGATGCAAAGACTAGGGCAACTGAAAAAACCCTATTGTGAGCATAGCTGGGAGAGGATGTCTGTGAAGGGCAAGCTGATGCCACCGTTTTCTTACTGGGTTGCCAAATAAAATATAGGACATCCATGTAAATGTGAATTTCAGGCAAACAATCAACAATTTTTTAGTTATAGCTATGTTCCAAACACGGTATGAAACCAGATTATACTGAAATATTATTTATCGTTTACCTGAAATTCACATTTAGGTGGGTATCCTGCATTTTATCTGACAAATCCGGGAACCCTATTTGCATATGCTATCCTCTTTGCGTCACTCAAATTGCCCATAATATAACAAATATGAAAGTATCCATCACCTGGATTCATCAATTGCAAATATTCTTTCTTCATCTACACCATGTAGGGGGTTATGTTGGACCCCAAGAAAGACAGGTCCATATATAAATCCCTAGATCCTGTGAACTTGATCTTATTTGGAAAAAGGCTCTTTGCAGATGTAATGAAGTAAAAGAATTTGAGATGAGATCATCTTGGTATATCTGGATAGGCCCCAAATCCAATGACAATTGTCCTCACAGCAGAGAGAAGAGAAGACACAACACACAGGGGGTGAGGTGCAGGAAGACAGAGGCAGAAATTAGAGTGATGTGGTCATGATCCATGAAAGTCCAGAAAGGCCAAGAGCCCCCCGAAACTAGAAGACGCAGGGAAGGATTCCTGGAAATCACTTCTAATCCAAACACGCTGGCACAATGACACACCAGGGAAAAATAATTTTAAATATAGTTACTTATACGTAATTCACATATACCATCTGTATCTTCGCAGCCAGGCCTGAGTGGCACTGAACGAACTGAGGGAAGGCTTATGCCCGGGTCCCCACAGAGCCTTAAGGAGGAGAGTGAGGATGAGCCAGGAGCACATGCACTGTAAGGGATGACAAGTTGGCCTGAGAGCAGAGGGTGGGTCTGTTTGCTCTTCAATATTTCCTCACCTCCTAGAAAACTGAGGGATCCATAGCAGACAGAAAGGTTGTTTGAAAATGCATAAGAAAAAGTGTTTTCATGAGAAATAAAATGGATGTCAAGGAAAAAAGAAAATTTCATTTTGCCATTCCCCAGAATGATAACTGTTTTCTTGTGCAGAATGTCAGAAGTAAATTTCTATACATGAGTTTTTGATAGGCAATTTCACAAATGTTGCAGGACAATTCTTGAAAAAGTCAAACAAACCACATAGTCTACATTGTACTTTTTACTAAATTTTTAATTCCAAGAAAATTTATGGGCAGTTCGGAAATCTGATTTCATATCAGATACTAATGAAAAGAAATCAATTTTAACTAAATCTGGTCATAGGCATTTTACTATGTAATTAGCATACAATTTTTAAAAAGTTTATTAACTTCACAATAGCCACAACCAACATTTAGATAAAGCAATTTATTGTTGCAAAACTTTAGAATATTGGTATTGCATGTTCTTGGCATCCATGCCTGCTTTATCAAACCTTGAAAATCTTTGTTGCTTCTTGTAAACCTTTTGCATCTATGGGAAGCTTCCTCAGGCTGCCAGGCTGCAAAAACTTCTTCACTGTGGGGAGTTTGCTGATTCTGATTTTCAGGGCCCGCAATGCACAAAGCACAGCCTCAGAGTGAAGCCAAGGACTGACACCACCATTAACACAACCCAGGGAATCTGCGCCCCTCCTACACAAAGACCAACTAAGTTCCCTCTATCAGCACCAGTAGGGAGGCAGAAAGAGACACTACGTGAGAAATGAAGATAAGAGGAAGAACATGCAGCTCACTAGCATTTTCCCAAAAAATGTCTTTAAGACTTTATTCAGTTCAGTCTTCCTACCCTCTTCCTTACACATGAATCTTGTAGATTCATGGCTCTTGTAGAAGATGAGAAAGAACAATGTGCCTGTGAGATATCAGCACAGATCAGTCTCTAAGCAGAAGAAGTGAAGATATGGGAAAATTGAGTTAGAAATGAAAATAGAAAATGTTAAAGTCAAACCATGGGGCCACTTTTTCCCATAGAGAGATATAGCTTTCGGGGACAGCGTGTTGGGAGAGCTGTGCACAAGGAACTCAGTTATCTGACAGCAGGAGCCAGAGCATAAGGAAGGAACCAGATGGAAAGGGCCCTGCTCAGACACACTTGGTGTGGGAAGATAAGGGCATATTGGGATAAAGGGCATCACAGAGAACTCAGGAACAGAAACCACAGTGAAATAAAGGGATGAGGAGAGATGCTGGGCCCTGGGTCCTTGGCATTATAAAAAGCGAAATATTCTTGGGGTAGCATGCACATCAGATTTCCTTGGCATAACAAGAAGGCATTTCCATGCCTCAGAATCAGGACTTGGAAGCTCATTTTGGAGACCTGGGGGGCCCTGAAGACCTGGAGAAGGCTGAGGTCAGAATGTGGCCAGTCCAAGGGCCCAGATACTAGATCCCAAGATGGGAGATGAGGAGCTGCCTCTTGAGGACTGGGAAATGGGTCACCTTTAGCACAGGGAAGTTGGAGATGAGGCTGGAGTCAGGCTCTTCCACGTGGTAGAGAAGTTTGACCAGGTGAATGTCAGCCTGGCTCAGCTTGTTGCCAATGAAGTAGTCTTGTTCATGGCTCTTCAACACCTGGAGAATCAGAGGAATCAGATCAGGAACACATGTGCAATGAGGCTGGGGCCTCTGCTTCTCCCTGAGTTTGTCCAGGCTGACTCTCCCTCTCCCACCTCTGCTTCCTTACTGGGCAGGTGCAGAGATCCAGACCTTTCTCCATGTTACCTGATTCAGTGAGAGAGTAAGAAGTGTGGCTCTGCTCACTCCTTGTTTGGAGCCCAGGCTCCCATTTTCTCTTCTCATTCCACATCACTATGGCATCCACAGCACCCACCCAGCTTGCAACTTCCACATGGGCCAGGGGCTTATCCCCTGCTGCAGCCTGTTCTGTCTGCCCCAGGCCCTACAGTGTGCATCCCTGATGTTCAATGGCTCTACACACTCTCTCTCCAGTCTCTCTTGGGCAGCGACTCCACCTTCATGACAGCACTCTTCTCCCACGAGTAGACTATTTCAGAATCCTCATTTCTCCTCATCTGCCCTCCTCATTTCCTGCTCTGGGATCTGAAATAAGCCTGGGTGAACTTTAATTCATCCTCTTTCTTGCAATGGTGGTTCTTACTGCTTTGACTATGTTATAATCTGCATGCCACTGTGTCCCAGGGTGAACTGCAAAGATGTCTGCAACTTACTTTGAAATGCACAATAATAATAATAATAATAATAATAATAATAATAATAATGTGTTTGAGTGAGGCAAACAGGGGTGGAGTGACTGACACGTGATAAATCAAAGATAAAAGGTTAACTTTGCTCTTTAGATCCTTGGTGTATATATGTTCATAAAACATTTCTTTGGACTACACTAGGTGTATTCATTTTTAATAATACAATTTTTGACTGATATATGATATTTATTAAAATATCTCAGCACATTGACATCATAAATAATAAAAAGAGAAAACATGGCAACATTGATTTAAGATAATATTTTGGCAAATACATTTTCACACTATGTATACATACAAACGTATAGATAATGACTTGGTACACAAACAAAACAACTTCAATGCTATATTGTAATATACATTGTTCAAATGCACATATCACAGGCTATTTGGTAGAACTCGTAGTATTCTTATTCACAGTCTATTTTTATACCATGCCTTGAGAGTCAGGTGCTCCATTAACATCAAGGAAAGCTTTTTGGAAGTGAAGGTCAATGCCCCAAAAATACACAGGTACTATTTTATTTTTCTGTTGCCTTGTGTTATGGACTGAATGTTTATGTTTCCCAAAAATTCATATGTTGAGATCCTGACCCCCAAATCTTTAGAAAAGATCCCTAAAAAATATATTCTTTCAAGCCATTAGTAGGTGGGGGTTTCAGGAGATGATCAAGTCATGGGGGTGGAGCTCTTATGAATGACATTAGTTCCCTTATAAAAGGGATCTTAGAGAACTCCCTTGGCATGTTTGCCATGTGAGGACATAGCCAGAGATTGGCTGTCTATGAACCAAGGAACAGGTGCTCCCCAGATGTAAAATCTGCTGGCACATTGATCTTGTACTTCCCAGCCTACAGAGCTGTGAGATAGAAACATCTGTTCTTTAAGCTACCCAGTCTATGGTATTTTGTTATTGCAGCCAAACTGCTAAGAAATCCTCTAACCTCTTAGTGCCCTTATAGACTAAACAGCTTCTATCATGACCCTTACAACAGTCAAATACACCAGCATTGGTCAATAACTGCCAGCTTCCCTAATTTTTGCCTCTATTTTCAATTTATGACCAACCACAGAAAGCAAAATATGGATCTCTGACTAATCCCATAGAAATCCACACTTCTAGTTAGCCAGCTTACAGCATCCCTAGGCCAGCAACCTGCAATCAGGACATAACTTTTTCTACCATGAATCTCTCAGACTTTCCTGCCTACCTCTGAATCTCTGACAAATGCAAGTGATGGTGGCTGACTTCCTTTCTATAGCAAGCTCTGTATAAACACCTTTTGCTTATTCTCATTTGGATTGTCTTCACTTCCACAGTTTTTCTGGAGGTTTCAACAAGACATGGTCTATGTTGCCCATTGCCATGGACCCCAGCCGTCAACCAGGTTCAGTATTCACAAATGCTCCTTATCCCTTGTGGTAAGCCCACACCTGGGCTGAACTCTTTTCTCTTTGCACTGAGCTCTTTGACTTTATTCTCAGGTTGGTCCTTGGTTTTGGTATTGGTTCTCATCTGCTTAGCATCCTTTGTAGAATCAGGATTTTCTTTTCATTTCTTTTGTAGTCTTTTGTGTTACTGTTTTTTGTCATGTGATCTAAAGGTGTTGTTTGTCATAAAAGAAGCAGCATAAGAGCAGAGGCCCAGGAGCCTGTTTTTCAAGATAGCCTCACAGTACATTAAGTTCGAGGTTCTCATTGGACCCCTTTCCATTTGTACAAACTTTGCTGTGGGTCATCCTTAAAACCAAATGAAGTTCTTCTCTCTTGATTTTTGGTTCTTGTTCTGCAAACTTGGCAGTGATCCAGACAGAAACATCACAGTTTCCACTTGAGGCAGAGTATTGACTGTGACTTTAGATTTACTTTATCCTTGTTAAGTGGTAATCCATATATCAGACTGAATAATTCTCTATTGTAGTTTTGAAGCTCAAATCACGTAGCCACTAAGAAGCTGAAGAAATGCCTAGGGCGAGATCTGGGGAAGGCCTGGACAGGCCACCCTCCAAGAAGCTCCATGTGTTTAGTTATCCAGAAGCTCCCAGGTACGGTTTCAAAGACAGGGAAATAATGGCTTGTTGTTCCCTCTTTGATCAGGGCAAGCTTTGCATCTTTTTCCTCAGGTGGATGCAATGAGCAATGAAGAAGCTTTTCACTCAAACCTGCCCTACCTTCTATATACATATCGACCCTGTAAGACAAAAATAACCAAACTGCTGAGTGCCTTCTGCCTTAGATTTTATGTTTAAACACTTGAGACCGTGAAGCTTTAGGTGACAGGAAATTAATTCAGCTCCACTGCGTGCCTTTTATATGCTAGTCATTAGGCTATGATTTTTATAAATATATTTACATTTATTTCTCAGAACACTCTACTGTGATAGATTTATATCTAAAATGTTTGTTTTACACATGACCAAATACAGGTACAAGAAACATCGGTGACCTGTCCAGTGTCACAGTCATGAGAGAAATTAGTGGAATCACTGCAAGTAACCACTGATGCTACAAATAGGGTTTGCTCACTCTGCTGTGGTTTGTTTTACACATAAGCTTAGCGTGATTCATATGGCTAAAGCCCTGCCATTTACATAATCCCAAGACAGCCTCCCCAGCACAGTGATCTCGAACGTGTCTGTTTTCCTCTCTCATCATACTACAAATCCCAGGCTCACTTTTATGCCCAATATTAGAAGTTCTTAAAAAAGAAAAAATTAAAATAAATAAAGGAAAAACTAGGAAATAAGGTATGTTTTTAAAAGATATCCCTAAAAATATATTTTTTCAAGCAAGCTACTAATTTTCAAAAAAAAAAAGGAGTTCTCTCAATTGTTTTCCACAAAACATTGTTCCATTACCTTCTCCACATGATATTGGCCAATTCTAGTCATGATTGTGTTTCAAGACCTCACCTAATATTCCCATAGTAACATGGGAAAATTGTTTACATGGGAAAATTGGTAAACATGGTAAAATTATTCATATAGTTAAAGCCAGTGCATAGCATAGGACATCTTCTTTCTTCTCATTTCAAACTGTGTTTCCTACAAAACTTTTGTTTGTTTGTTTGTTTTGAGACAGTCTCTTTCTGTCATCAGGCCAGAGTGCAGTGGTGTGATCTCGTCTCACTGCAACCTCCGCCTCCCAGATTCAAGCGATTCTCCTGCCTCAGCCTCCCGAGTAGCTGGGATTACAGACACCTGCCACTACGCCCGGCTAATTTTTGTATTTTGAGTAGAGATGGGGTTTCGCCATGTTGGCCAGGCTGGTCTTGAACTCCCAACCTCAGGTGATCTGTCTACTTTGGCCTCCCAATGTGCTGGGTTTACAGGCGTGAGCCACCGTACCTGGCGAATACTTTTAAAATAACAGCTGTATTGACAAGTATTCACATACCATAATTGCCACCCCTTTATAGAATATTATTCAGTAATTTGTAGTACATTTACAGAATTCTGCAAATACTATCTCCGTCTAATTCCAGAACATTTTTATCATCTGGGAAAGCAGTAGCACGTGCTTTGACAGCCATTTCCCATTGCCCCCTTTCTCCATCCCCTGTCAACAACTGATTTGCTTTCTGGACTCAAATGGTCTGGATGGTTCATACAAAAGAATTCATGTCACATGTGGCCTTTGGTGTCTGGTTTCTTTTACAGCACATGTTTTCAAGGCTCACCAATGTTGGAGCATGCATCAGTACTTCATCCCTTTTTTTTAAATTTTATTATTATTATACTTTGAGATTTAGGGTACATGTGCACAATGTGCAGGTTTGTTACATATGTATACATGTGCCATGTTGATGTGCTGCACCCACAACCTCGTCATTTAGCATTAGGTATATCTCCTAATGCTATCCCTCCCCCCTCCCCCCACCCCACAACAGGCCCCGGTGTGTGATGTTCCCCTTCCTGTGTCCATGCGTTCTCATTGTTCAATTCCCACCTATGAGTGAGAACATGCAGTGTTTGGTTTTTTGTCCTTGCGATAGTTTGCTGAGAATGATGGTTTCCAGCTTCATCCATGTTCCTAGAAAGGAAATGAACTCATCATTTTTTATGGCTGCATAGTATTCCATGGTGTATATGTGCCACATTTTCTTTTTTTTTTTCCTTTTTTTTTACTTCAAGAAATATTTTATTTATGAACTTTTTTTTCTTTTTTTTAATTATACTTTAAGTTTTAGGGTACATGTGCACATTGTGCAGGTTAGTTACATATGTATACATGTGCCATGCTGGTGCACTGCACCCACTAACTCGTCATCTAGCATTAGGTATATCTCCCAATGCTATCCCTTCCCCCTCCCCCCACCCCACCACAGTCCCCAGAGTGTGATATTCCCCTTCCTGTGTCCATGTGATCTCATTGTTCAATTCCCACCTATGAGTGAGAATATGCGGTGTTTGGTTTTTTGTTCTTGTGATAGTTTACTGAAAATGATGATTTCCAATTTCATCCATGTCCCTACAAAGGACATGAATTCATCATTTTTTATGGCTGCATAGTATTCCATGGTGTATATGTGCCACATTTTCTTAATCCAGTCTATCATTGTTGGACATTTGGGTTGGTTCCAAGTCTTTGCTATTGTGAATAATGCCGCAATAAACATACGTGTGCATGTGTCTTTATAGCAGCATGATTTATAGTCCTTTGGGTATATACCCAGTAATGGGATGGCTGGGTCAAATGGTATTTCTAGGTCTAGATCCCTGAGGAATCTCCACACTGAATTCCACAACGGTTGAACTAGTTTACAGTCCCACCAACAGTGTAAAAGTGTTCCTATTTCTCCACATCCCCTCCAGCACCTGTTGTTTCCTGACTTTTTAATGATTGCCATTCTAACTGGTGTGAAATGGTATGTCATTGTGGTTTTGATTTGCATTTCTCTGATGGCCAGTGATGATGAGCATTTTTTCATGTGTTTTTTGGCTGCATAAATGTCTTCTTTTGAGAAGTGTCTGTTCATATCCTTCACCCACTTTTTGATGCAATTGTTTGTTTTTTTCTTGTAAATTTGTTTGAGTTCATTGTAGATTCTGGATATTAGCCCTTTGTCAGATGAGTAGGTTGCAAAAATTTTCTCCCATTCTGTAGGTTGCTTGTTCACTCTGATGGCAGTTTCTTTTGCTGTGCAGAAGCTCTTTAGTTTAATTAGATCCCATTTGTCAATTTTGGCTTTTGTTGCCATTGCTTTTGGTGTTTTAGACATGAAGTCCTTGCCCATGCCTATGTCCTGAATGGTATTGCCTAGGTTTTCTTCTAGGGTTTTTGTGGTTTTAGGTCTAACATGTAAGTCTTTAATCCATCTTGAATTAATTTTTGTATAAGGTGTAAGGAAGGGATCCAGTTTCAGCTTTCTACATATGGCTAGTCAGTTTTCCCAGCACCATTTATTAAATAGGGAATCCTTTCCCCATTTCTTGTTTTTGTCAGGTTTGTCAAAGATCAGATAGTTGTAGATATGCAGCATTATTTCTGACGGCTCTGTTCTATTCCATTGGTCTATATCTCTGTTTTGGTACCAGTACCATGCTGTTTTGGTTACTGCAGCCTTGTAGTATACTTTGAAGTCAGGTAGCGTGATGCCTTCAGTTTTGTTCTTTTGGTTTAGATTTGACTTGGCAATGTGGGCTCTTTTTTGGTGCCATAGGAACTTTAAAGTAGTTTTTTCCAATTCTGTGAAGAAAGGCATTGGTAGCTTGATGGGGATGGCATTGAATCTATAAATTACGTTGGGCAGTATGGCCATTTTCACAATATTGATTCTTCCTGCCCATGAGCACGGAATGTTCTTCCATTTGCTTGTATCCTCTTTTATTTCCTTGAGCGGTGGTTTGTAGTTCTCCTTGAAGAGGTCCTTCACATCCCTTGTAAGTTGGATTCCTAGGTATTTTATTCTCTTTGAAGTAATTGTGAATGGGAGTTCACTCATGATTTGGCTCTCTGTTTGTCTGTTATTGATTTATAAGAATGCTTGTGATTTTTGCACATTGATTTTGTATCCTGAGACTGCTGAAGTTGCTTATCAGCTTAAGGAGATTTTGGGCTGAGACGACGGGGTTTTCTAGGTATACAATCATGTCATCTGCAAACAGGGACAATTTGACTTCCTCTTTTCCTAATTGAATGCCCTTTATTTCTTTCTCCTGCCTGATTGCCCTGGCCAGAACTTCCAACACTATGTTGAATAGTAGTGGTAAGAGAGGGCATCCCTGTCTTGTGCCAGTTTTCAAAGGGAATGCTTCCAGTTTTTGTCCATTCAGTATGATATTGGCTGTGGGTTTTGTCATAGATAGCTCTTATTATTTTGAGATATGCCCATCAATACCTAATTTATTGAGAGTTTTTAGCATGAAGCATTGTTGAATTTTGTCAAAGGCCTTTTCTGCATCTATTGAGATAATCATGTGGTTTTTGTCTTTGGTTCTGTTTATATGCTGGATTATGTTTATTGATTTGTGTATGTTGAACCAGCCTTGCATCCCAGGGATGAAGCCCACTTGTTCATGGTGGATAAGCTTTTTGATGTGCTGCTGGATTTGGTTTGCCAGTATTTTATTGAGGATTTTTGCATCAATATTCATCAAGGATATTAGTCTAAAATTCTCTTTTTTTGTTGTGTCTCTGCCAGGCTTTGGTATCAGGATGATGCTGGCCTCATAAAATGAGTTAGGGAGGATTCCCTCTTTTTCTGTTGATTGGAATAGTTTCAGAAGGATTGGTACCAGCTCCTCCTTGTACCTCTGGTAGAATTCGGCTGTGAATCCATCTGGTGCTGGACTTTTTTTGGTTGGTAAGCTATTAATTATTGCCTCAATTTCAGAGCCTGTTATTGGTCTATTCAGAGATTCAACTTCTTCCTGGTTTAGTCTTGGGAGGGTGTATGTGCCAAGGAATTTATCCATTTCTTCTAGATTTTCCAGTTTATTTGTGTAGAGGTGTTTATAGTATTCTTTGATGGTAGGTTGTATTTCTGTGGGATTGGTGGTGATATCCCCTTTATCATTTTTTATTGCATCTTTTTGATTCTTCTCTCTTTTCTTCTTTATTAGTCTTGCTAGCAGTCTATCAATTTTGTTGATCTTTTCAAAAAACCAGCTCCTGGATTCACTGATTTTTTGAAGGGATTTTTGTGTCTCTATTTCCTTCAGTTCTGCTCTGATCTTAGTTATTTCTTGCCTTCTGCTAGCTTTTGAATGTGTTTGCTCTTGCTTCTCTAGTTCTTTTAATTGTGATGTTAGGGTGTCAATTTTAGATCATTCCTGCTTTCTCTTGTGGGCATTTAGTGCTATAAATTTCCCTCTGCACACTGCTTTGAATGTGTCCCAGAGATTCTGGTATGTTGTGTCTTTGTTCTCGTTGGTTTCAAAGAACATCTTTATTTCTGCCTTCTTTTTGTTATGTACCCAGTAGTCACTCAGGAGCAGGTTGTTCAGTTTCCATGTAGTTGAGTGGTTTTGAGTGAGTTTCTTAATCCTGAGTTCTAGTTTGATTGCACTGTCGTCTGAGAGACAGTTTGTTATAATTTTTATTCTTTTACATTTGCTGAGGAGAGCTTTACTTCCAACTATGTGGTCAATTTTGGAATAGGTGTAGTGTGGTGCTGAAAAGAATTTATATTCTGTTGATTTGGGGTGGAGAGTTCTGTAGATGTCTATTAGGTCCGCTTGGTGCAGAGCTGAGTTCAATTCCTGGATATCCTTGTTAACTTTCTGTCTCATTGATCTGTCTAATGTTGACAGTGGGGTGTTAAAGTCTCCTATTATTATTGTATGGGAGTCTAAGTCTCTTTGTAGGTCACTAAGGACTTGCTTTATGAATCTGGGTGCGCCTGTATTGGGTGCATATATATTTAGGATAGTTAGTTCTTCTTGTTGAATTGATCCCTTTACCATTATGTAATGGCCTTCTTTGTCTCTTTTGATCTTTTTTGGTTTAAAGTCTGTTTTATCAGAGACTAGGATTGCAACCCCTGCCTTTTTTTGTTTCTCATTTGCTTGGTAGATCTTCCTCCATCCCTTTATTTTGAGCTTATGTGTGTCTCTGCACATGAGATGGGTTTCCTGAATACAGCACACTGATGGGTCTTCAGTCTTTATCCAATTTGCCAGTCTGTGTCTTTTAACTGGAGCATTTAGCCCATTTACATTTAAGGTTAATATTTTTATGTGTGGATTTGATCCTGTCATTATGATGTTAGCTGGTTATTTTGCTCGTTAGTTGGTGCAGTTTATTCCTGGCCTTGATGGTCTTCACGATTTGGCATGTTTTTGCAGTGGCTGGTACTGGTTGTTCCTTTCCACATTTAGTGCTTCCTTCAGGAGCTCTTGTATGGCAGGCCTGGTGGTGACAAAATCTCTCAGCACTTCCTTGTCTGTGAAGGATTTTATTTCTCCTTCACTTATGAAGCTTAGTTTGGCTGGATATGAAATTCTGGGTTGAAAATTCTTTTCCTTAAGAATGTTGAATATTGGCCCCCACTCTTTTCTGGCTTGTAGAGTTTCTGCCAAGGCATCAGCAGTTAGTCTGATGGGCTTCCCTTTGTGGGTAACCCGACCTTTCTCTCTGGCTGCCCTTAACATTTTTTCCTTTGTTTCAACTTTGGTGAATCTGACAATTATGCGTCTTGGAGTTGCTCTTCTCGAGGAGTATCTTTGTGGCATTCTCTGTATTTCCTGAATTTGAATGTTGGCCTGCCTTGCTAGATTGGGGAAGTTCTCCTGGATAATATCCTGCAGAGTGTTTTCCAACTTGGTTCCATTCTCTCCGTCACTTTCAGGTACACCAATCAGATGTAGATTTGGTCTTTTCACATAGTCCCATATTTCTGGAAAGCTTTGTTCATTACTTTTTATTCCTTTTTCTCTAAACTTCTCTTCTCACTTCATTTCATTCATTTCATCTTCCATCGCTGATACCCTTGCTTCCAGTTGATTACATTGGCTACTGAGGCTTGTGCATTCGTCATGTATTTCTCGTGCCACAGTTTTCAGCTCCATCAGGTCTTTTAAGGACTTCTCTGCATTGGTTATTCTAGTTAGCCATTCGTCTAATTTTTTTCAAGGTTTTTAACTTCTTTGCCATTGGTTCAAATTTCCTCCTTTAGCTCGGAGTAGTTTGATCTTCTGAAGCCTTCTTCTCTCAACTCATCAAAGTCATTCTCCATCCAGCTTTGTTCTGTTGCGGGTGAGGAGGTGCATTCCTTTGGAGGAGTAGAGGCACTCTGATTTTTAGAGTTTCTGGTTTTTCGGCACTGTTTATTCCCCATCTTTGTGGTTTTATCTACCTTTGGTCTTTGATGATGGTGACATACAGATGGGTTTTTGGTGTGGATGTCCTGTTTGTTAGTTTTCCTTCTAACAGTCAGGACCCTCAGCTGCGGGCTGTTGGAGTTTGCTGGAGGTCCACTCCAGACCCTGTTTGCCTGGGTATCAGCAGCGGTGGCTGCAGAACAGTGGATGTTGGTGAACTGCAAATTCTGCTGCCTGATTGTTCCTCTGGAAGTTTTGTCTCAGAGGAGTACCCGGCTGTGTGAGGTGTCAGACCGCCCCTACTAGGGGGTGCCTCCCAGTTAGGCTCCTCGGGGGTCAGGGACCCACTTGAGGAGGCAGTCTGCCTGTTCTCAGATCTCAAGCTGCATGCTGGGAGAACCACTACTCTCTTTAAAGCTGTCAGACAGGGACATTTAAGTCTGCAGAGGTTACTGCTGCCTTTTGTTTGTCTGTGCCCTGCCCCCAGAGGTGGAGTCTATAGAGGCAGGCAGGCCTCCTTGAGCTGCGGTGGGTTCCACCCTGTTTGAGCTTCTGGGCCGCTTTGTTTACCTACTCAATCCTGGGCAATGGCGGGCGCCCCTCCCCCAGCCTCGCTGCCACCTTGCAGTTTGATCTCAGACTGCTGTGCTAGCAATGAGTGAGGTTCCATGGGTGTAGGACCATCTGAGCCAGGTGTGGGATATAATCTCCTAGTGTGCCATTTGTTAAGCCTGTTGGAAAAGCACAGTATTAAGGTGGGAGTGACCCGATTTTCCAGGTGCCATTTGTCACCCCTTTCTTTGACTAGGAAAGGGAATTCCCTGACCCCTTGCACTTCCTAGGTGAGGCAATGCCTCGCCCTGCTTCAGCTCATGCACGGTGCACTGCACCCACTGTCCTGCACCCACTGTCCCACACTCCCTAGTGAGATGAACCCGGTACCTCAGTTGGAAATGCAGAAATCACCTGTCTTCTGTGCCACTGACTCTGGGAGCTGTAGACTGGAGCTGTTCCTATTCAGCCATCTTGGCTCCACCCCTTCATCCCTTTTCATACCCCAAGAATATTCCATTGTCTCCTACAGCACATCTTGTTCCTCCATTCATCCATGGGTGGACATTTGGGTTGTTTCCACCTTTTGCATATCATGAATAATTCTCCTATGAACACTTCTGTGCATGGATTAGTAAGGATGTGTTTTCCTTTCTCCTGGATGTAGACCTGGTAGTGGAATTGCTAGGTCATTGGTAACTCTATATTGGACTTTTCAAGGAATGGCCATCAAGGGAGGAGACCCCTCCTCCCAGCTTTGCTGATGCAAAATCAGTCTGGCTGCTTAGGTCTGTATCAAATGCTGCACTTAGGTAAGCCTAGTATCTTGGGCACCAGCCTCTCAAACCTTAGTCAAGTTGACCAGTTAATACAACTGGCTGGAAACTTAGGTTCCTGGTCACCATTCTTGGAATTACTGGAACCTGAGATTCAGCTCCTTTGCAGCATTCTCTCCCCAGGCCTTCATCTACCGACTCTCAAACATTCTATGCCTTGTCCTAAGCTGTTGGCTGGAGTCCAGCCTCTGAAGTCCTGAGCACCTGGAATCATGATTCCCCATCCTCCTGAGTTCATGGTTCATCAGCGTTTGGAAACCTCTGTCAGGGTGCTGGATCCATAGGCTGCATTGTCTTCTAGAATCACACTCGCCTGAACCCTCCCCATATTCACTCTTTTCTCATCTCCATGGGACTCTGCAATACTGGACACAAGCATATATGCCCAAGGCCCAGCCTGCTGCTAGTTATGATGCTCCTTCAACAGTCCTGCCCACTCACAGAAGGACCTAAATCACTCTGTGTTCTCTGTTGATTGAAGAACAGAAAATATACTATATGGGGCTCTCTCCTTTATGTCTTTCCCACACAGGTTGTATTTGCTGGCAATGTAGTTGAGAATGGCTCTGGTCTGCACCAGCTTCATCCCGTCAATCTCAACCATTGGCACTTGTTGGAACATGAAACTCTCATCTTTAGAAAATAGAAAAAAAAAAGGCAGAGTGAAATTTCTATGAATCCCACCCTTTCAGGATGAAAAAGTGGTTGTGGAAATGACTAAATGTATAAAATGAAAAAAAAATTGCCTGGCAACTGTTCAAATGAAATAGGAATTTGTTTTTAGCTTCTGGAAGTGCTTTTTTTCATTTATAAATGTTTATTAAATGTCAGTAATTTTTACAAAGCAAATATTTATAGCAAGAGGCAAGTGTTTTGCAAAATATGTACAAAAGTAAAAAGCTGTAATGAACTAGCAATTCATTTTATAAAATCAAACCATTCTCTCCACTTTTAGACCTCCTTTAGAAAAAATTTGTTGTCCATCCTGAACTAAAGCACTGACAAAAAAATTTACAATTATCAGATAATGTGCTTAGTTCCTGGAAAGTTATAAAAAGATATATGTAAAAAAAAAACCCTAAACCACAAGTATTTTATAGAGCTAATACAAATCATGTTTTGTTAAGTACAGTATCTATGGGATTATTACAAAATATACTTTTCTATAAGGCTTCTTGTGGTAAATGTGCTCTCACCAGAGTAGTATAGAAAAGCCATTTCAAATGTTTTGCGATTCTGCCTTCAAGTAAGAGGTAAAAGGTAAATGCCATAGTTTGTTGCGCTGTTGCATATACTTTGCAAGAATTAATCTCTACCCCTTTCTTTCCTAGTACCATCAAATAGGCATGATTAAGTACAAATGTATCACTTACTATGGCAAGAAATATTATAAACAAACCAAATATTATAAAACAAGCCAAAGTCACATACCAAGTAAGTTGTACATGACTTTCAGTGATATTCACCGACTGAAACATTTATGCATAGTGAGTTCCAGCATACTCTGATCCATCTGTAAACTTTCATCAACAGCAGATTTGTATAGGTCACAAAACTCTCCTCATCAAGACATAAAATATTGCCATATCATTCATGCTTTCAAAACAATGATCCATATAAGCTCTTGCATTTGAAACCAGGTATTTAGACCTGAATGCTGCAAGAGTGAACATAACTTAAATGCTAACTATACATTCAAGTACAGACATAAGAGTGCTAGTGGTACAAACACTGTACTTCAAATAATGTTGTTAATCACCTACCAGCCTAAGGCTAGTATCTACTTGATGGAACTTGAAAAAGCCACAAAGTCCAACTTGTTTAAAATGTTCAGACATAGACTTATACTTAAAGCTCTAGTATACATTTATTAAGCCCTAACCTCGTACCATAAAAAAATGGGCATGTGCTATATTTGGGACATGCAGACACACCCACGCCCACCCACAATCTCTCCCCTCCTCCTGTTTACTAGACTGAAAAGCCACCCTGTATCCTATCATTAAAAAAAAAAAAAAACAGTGCTTTTAGTCAAGCAGCACAACACAAGGACGGATCATCTGTGATTAACAGAAGAGAACACCTTAAAATAATGGGGGAGAGACAAATTAACTAGGTACTAAGTCAGATTTCCAAGTGAAAAAGACATGAGCAAAACTTCTGGTCTTAATTCCTCAAATAAAATGAAAATAAATAAAATGGTAACAGAGTGACTTTCTCTAAATTTTTTAGGGAGTTTGTTACAAACCTTTGGGCTTTACAGGCATGATTTCATGGATTCAAACACGAAATTAACACTGATATTTAGCCTTCTCATGACACACACAGAAATACCATTGCTGCAAATTGCAATGGAGCGAATCTTGTTTCAAATGGCTTAGTTTGGGGTTTTGTCTAAATGTATCATTATATAATGAAAGCACCAATTAGAGGGTTTCTCAAATAGTGATTTGAATTTTAGGACATAACAGTATAACATGGTAGCTTTATTCTTCATATATAAACAAGGCATAATTGGATGTGTAATATGCTGAAAATACATTTTATCAAAAGCATAAATACAAGTATTTGGGTACACATTGATCCTGTTATTTCATTTATGTTTTTATCCCCCATCCAGCTACAAAATAGGTCCCTTGTATTGTCTGTGTTGATTTATCTTCATGATATCTTAGAAAGAAGTTGGGAGAGACTGCAACAGGCCACCAGCCAGATGCCATTTAACATGGGAATTTCTCAAAGTAAGTCTCATGCTGTTGAAGACATTAAATACAGTTCTGAGAGAAGTTTCTATGTAGGCTCTTTGTGTGCTCTTCAATACCCCCATTAGACAGTGTGTGCAGGGCAGGCTCTGTGTTTCTTACCCCATAGCTGCTACCCTGACTCATGTCCCTCCTCACCCTCTGACCTGCACATCCAACCAATTCAACACTGTCTCATTATCTAAGTCTACATCATTGAAAAAATATCACCTTGTCAAACTTATAAGAGAAACAAATTCAAAATGGACCTATTTCAACTCCTTTTGTCTAAAATCTGTCCTTGAATGGGGTGGGCTATATGGCATCCTGAGCTGATGACCACAGCTCACTCATGGTGCCAAAAGCAGGAAAGTAAGAAAAGGGCATCTGCAGGGCGCTGCATATGGTTCTCCAGCAAATACAAAGAGAAGTCTGGCCCTTTTTAGCCTGGAAAGAGTTGCCAGACCGGCTCTAAGAGCCCACCCTTTCCATTTTATCGATTTTCTCCTTCTCCACCATCAACAACTACAACCTTACATACACAAAGCATTGCTTGGCTGTTCAAACCTCCCTGTGTATCTTCTACTAGATACCCTCCTCAGAGGCACTTAGAGGCTTGATCTTACCATTTCTTAACTTTTCCAAATCTTTTGCAGATTCCAGAAATTTCCTTTCAGACTGGAAGCAGAAACAGTAAATGGGCTCTTGTTAATTCATTCCATAGCATTGCAGACCTTTAACCTTGAATGGCTTCTGTCTGGTACATAATTTGGAAAATATAAGACTTCTGATCTTGGCAGAGCATGCAGAGGAGGCTGGTGGTGGCCATTTTGAAATTTACACTAGATCATCAAGAAAAGGGCATGGATCACAGCACATAGTCGCTCAATCTTCTAGTTCACTTTACTTCCACCTTGATCACTCCCATGTCCCTGATTAGGGCATCATTTGACAGGGGATGTCACTGGAGTTAAGGGATCAGGCAGTTCTTCTAATTATGGAGTTGTCATATCTTAGGAAAGCATATGTCTCTGAGTGAGATCAGACCACAGCCTTTGTGTCCCCAGCATGGGTATGCCATGGGCCAGTGACCACCAAAGATTCTGCCACCAAGGGCCCTCTGCTGTAATTTACATCAGCTCAGTTTGTAGGAGCCCTGCTAAGGGTGAAATAGGTCATAGCTGTTGCATAGTTATAACTCTGGCAATTATAATTTCCCCTCCTGGAGTATATGGGACACAATAGGATAGAATTCTCAATTTTAGGAAGGAATTAAAGTCCCCACTGTAACATTATTTTTAATGAAAATCTCTGGCTTGTGACATGGCTGTGTGGGTTTAATATCCTGTCATGTCCTGGCTTCTTGACTTCGGACACATTGTAGACTCCCTCTGTGTCTTAGTATCCTAACCTATGAAGTGGGTATACTTATGGTACCTATGTTATAGGTTGGTATGAAGATTAAATTACAAAGTCATGCAAAGCACTCAGAAAAGTAGCAAGTGTATAATAAGTGCTCATTAAATAGACACTATTAGGATTCTGAGAGATGGCTGCTGTTTCATATCATCATTAAAAAATTAAATCAATCTAATATTGATGATAATATACTATATTGCTGATCTATATCCAGTGATTTAAACTTTGAAATAAATCACACCTTGTCCTGAGTGTAGTCACTTTGGTTGGAATGGCAGCCAGCAATAAGGCTGTCTCAATCTGATCAGAAGCTCTGAGTGGATGCAAGTATTTAATACAAATATGAAAACCAGTTATTGCATAAAAATACAGTTGACTTAATAGGCAGAATCTATAAAAATAAAAATCAAAGTAGACACTTATCAAGATTTTCTGTATTTCACTGTTGATATGATCTGGTACCAATCTTGACTCTGCCTCAAAATAGCTGTGTGATCTGGGAATCATCACTTAACATCTTCAAGCCTTAGTTTCCTCATCTGCAAAATGGGGATAGAACATTTTCTTAAACAGAATATTGTAATGTTTTCAAAATGCATGATACAGGGCCTGACCCACATACATCAAGGAATAAATGGTAGTTGTGTTTGCAGTGGTTACTTATAGTTTAATGGAGATCTTTATGGTGAAAGTTCAGGAATTTGGGGGTTTCTAGCTTGCTCCATGGAAAAGAGTTTGTTGTGGATCTATGATTGCACAGTAGCAGGATCTGGAGATCATGGGGGGTGTGTGCCAGCAATTAATAAAGCGTCCAATTCAGGACAAACCTAAGGAATGGTGGGTGGTCCTGGCAGGAGGGTGACCGAGGTGGGGTGGGATTGGCAAGTGGGATGTGCTTGTGAGGCTGAGGACTGGGTTGTGATCATCAGCCTTAGGGCACTGAGACCCCAGAAGCCTGAGTAAGGTCTGCAGTCAGCCCTTCCACTGCCTTCAGTCAAGCTGGATGGATGCCAGGGAACCTGGGTTCCTCCCAGCCTTGCCCCTCCCTCCCTCCTGCTGAACTCTTCCTACCCGGGCTCTGAACACATCCCTGAGCTGCAGAGCTGATGTCTGGGTGACAGTGAAACAGGGTATTCATTTGTACAAAGAAAACAACCTGGAATGGCAGTGTTTGGATTTCTTGTGTGCTTACTTCCTCATAGGATTGAGAAAGGGTGAGGCTAAAGGGTTTGGCCCACAAAACCATTTTTCTCTCTAGGCCTCTAGGCCTGTGATGGGAGGGGCGGTAACAAAGCCCTGGGCATGCCCTGGAGACATTTTCCCCATTGTCTTTGCTGTTAACATTTGGCTACTTTTGCAAATTTCCAAACTTTTGCAAAAGGAGCAGTATGTTCATAACTGAGACTTTTGCAAATTTCTGCCACTGGCTTGATTTCATCCCCTGAAAGTGGGGTTTTCTTTTCTACCATATGATCAGGCTGCAATTTTTCCAAACTTTTATGCTCTGCTTCCCTTTTAAATATAAGTTTCAATTGCAGATTGATTCATTCAGATTCAATGACAGATTTCAGATCATGTCTTTGGGAACACATATGAACATATGCTGTTAGAAAGAGCCAGGCTAAATCTTGAATGCTTTGCAGCTTAGAAACTTCTTCTACCACATACCCTAAATCATCTCTCAAGTTAAAAGTCTCACAGATCTCTAGAGCAGAGGCACAATGCCACGAGTCTCTTCGCTAAGGCATAGCAAGAGTGACTTTCACTCCCATTCCCAAAAGGTTTCTCATCTCCATCTGAGACCTCAGCCTGGACTTCATGGTCCATATCACTGTCAACATTTTGGACAGAACCATTCAACTAGTTTCCAGGAAGTTCCAAACTTACCCTCATTTTTCTGCCTTCTTCTGAGCCCTCCAAACTGTTCCAGCCTCTGCTCCTTACCCAATTTTAAAGCAGCTTCCACATTTTCAGGTATCTTCATAGGAATGTCCCACTTTTCTGGTACCAATTTCTTGTATTAGTCCATTCTCACACTTCTATAAAGACGTATCTGAAACTGGGTAATTGATAAAGAAAAGAGGTTTAATCAGCTCACAGTTCTGCAGGCTGTACAGGCGTCTGCTTCTGTGGAGGCCTAAGGAAACTTACAATCATGGTGGAAAGTGAAGGGGAAGCAAGCACATATTCACATGGCTGTCAGGAGAGAGAGAATGAATGGGAAGGTGCTACACACTTTCAAACAACCAGATCTCATGAGAACTCTATAAGAAGAAAGCACTAGGGGGATGATGTGAAACCATTCGAAAACACCCCATGGTCCAATCACCTCCCACCAGGCCCCACCTCCAACACTGGGGATGATGTGAAACCATTAGAAAACACCACATCGTCCAATCACCTCCCACCAAGCCCCACCTCCAACACTGGGGATGACAATACAACATGAGATTTGGGTGGGGACACAGAGCCAAACTATATCAGGTGTCATATTTTTTTCCTGTGAATTATTTTATAGCCTGGACAGGTCTCACATCTGGATCCAAAAGGAGGACATCACTGAAGCTCCTAATCTTTCCTTTATATTTTTCCCCACTATTAAACATTTATTCCAGGACATTGTTGACTTATATTCTAATGGCACCATACATATTAGCTGGGTTCCTTTAGGTGCATTTTAAAAACTAGCTATAAGGCTGGGTATGGTCACTCACACCTGTAAACCCAGCACTTTGGGAGACAGCAGCGGGAGGATCACTTGAGCCAGGAGCTTGAGTGCAGCATGAGCAACATAGCAGACCATGTCTCTACAAAAATAAACAAATTACATCAGGTGCAATAGCGTGCACCTGTGGTCCCAGCTACTCAGTAGACTGAGCTGGGAGGATTGATTGAGCCCAGGAGGTGGTGATTGCAGTGAGCCATGATTGTGCCACTGCTCTCCAGCCTGGGCCATGGAGAAAGACCCTGTCTCTGAAACAAAGCAAAACAAAGCCAGTTATATGCTGCAGTAATTATTTAGTTATTCTATCAGCTTCTGAATTTTAATACTTGAGAAGTCATGTAGTCTGCAGATTCCAAACCACAAAATATTTTGCTCCCATACCCCAGAGGACATTCAGAGTATCTGGAGACATTCTTGGTTGTCACATCAAGGCAGAAGGTGGTGGGTAGTGCTTCAACATAGGTAGGTGGAGGCCGGTGATGCCTTGGAACATCCTATCATGAACAGGACAGCCCCTGAACCCAAAGAATTACCCATCCCAAGGGGTGCCAAGGGTAAGATGAGAGACTTTTCCTTAGCCATTTTCAAGGTTTGCTGTGAGTTGGTTGAACCCTAGATAGAGAATGTAACTTGTCATCTAGCTAATTAGTGGGAAAGACTGAATCAGATTCTAGTTTTCCTGACATTCAGAAACTAATTTATTCCTATTATAAATCAACCTTAATTTTGAATTTTCACAGCTATAAAGTATTACAGTTACTTATATACACATTGTGTCCCTACTAAATTGTGAGGTTCCGAAAGAGCAGAGAGGTCTCACAGTATGTTTAACACAGTGTATTGCACATGGTAGTATTACAATATCACTGATACTTGGATAGATCACACAGCAATGCTAGACATTTTAGCAGTCACAGAGAGTTCTATAATTTCATCTTTTGAACTTCCTTGATGAGAAAATCAAATGATATAGAAAAAATTAAATAGAAAAATTAAATAATAGATTCCAGATAATGGATCAACCAATCCTGATTATCAGACTCAATTTTCTACAATTTCACAGAATAAATAAAGATATGGGTGTGGCTCACTGAGTAGACCCAGAAGGACTAAGAAAAGAGGAATTTGGAAAGAGCAAGGTTATCAGGCAAGTGTTTAATTGGGCAAAGGACAAGGATTAACAGATATTTGTTGAATCAGGAATCTGAAAATTCACAAGAAGGGCATTATTGTTTTTAATTTTGTTAATCATTAATCTAGGTCATCTTGCTTTATAGAACTAAAAGTTCTAAAGACTTAAATTCACCTGTAAGTTCTAGAAAACTGCTCTCAAAACATTCTGCCTCCCTTTGGAGCATTACAATCTTAAAGAAATATTGAAAAGCCAATGGCATCAACACTTGACAACAAATCACAAAGCACTTCCTGAAAGAAGCATTAATGTGTGATATCTACCATCAAGTTGCAAATTAGACTTGTGCTTGGCAGGTGTTGGTGGCTCTTTTCTCAGCAGGAGATGGAGGTTTGGAGAAGCAACTGCAGACATGGAACTGTCTAGTTGTATGTCCCTTTTACCAGTCATTGGGAATTCCCAAGTCTGTGATCTTGCCAAATGTAAGTTCACAATAATTGTGTGTTGATTACTTGTCTAGAAAATGTAACTTTAGCATAAACACCTACTTTTGCTCTGGCAATGATCATATTCTCAGATGACCTAAAATGACATTGACAGGTGACAGTGTGCTGGCAGCCCTCGCAGCCCTCGCTCGCTCTCGGCGCCTCCTCAGCCTTGGCGCCCACTCTGGCCACGCTTCAGGAGCCCCTTCAGCCCGCCGCTGCACTGTGGGAGTCCCTTTCTGGGCTGGCCAAGGCTGGAACCAGCTCCCTTAGATTGTGGGGAGGTGTGGAGGGAGAGGCATGGGTGAGAACCTGGGCTACGCCAGGCACTTGCAGGCCAGTGCGAGTTCCAGGTGGGTGTGGACTCGCCAGGCCCCACACTCAGAGTGGCTGGCCGGCCCCGCCGGCCCCAGGCAGTGAGGGGCTTAGCATCTGGTCCAACAGCTGCTGTGCTCAACTTCTCGCTGGGCCTTAGCTGCCTCCCCGCCAGGCAGGGCTCAGGACCTGCAGCCCGCCATGCCTGAGCCTCTCCCCCTACCCCGCCCCCTGACTGTGGGCTTTTGCATGGCCTGAGCCTCCCCAACGAGCGCTGCCCCCTGCTCCAGGGTGCCCAGTCCTATCAGCGGCCCAAGGACTGAGGAATGTGGGCACATGGCACGGGACTAGCAGGCAGCTCCACCTGCAGCCCCGGTGTGGGATCCACTGGGTGAAGCCAGCTGGGCTCCTGAGTCTGGTGGGGACTTGGAGATCTTTATGTCTAGCTAAGGGATCGTAAATACACAAATCAGCACTCTGTATCCAGCTCAAGGTTTGTAAATGCACCAATCAGCACCCTGTGTCTAGCTCAGGGTTTGTAAATGCACAAATGGGCACTCTGTATCTGGTTACTCTGGTGGGGAGGTGGAGAACCTTTATGTCTAGCTAAGGGATCGTAAATACACCAATCAGCACTCTCTATCTAGCTCAAGGTTTGTAAACACACCAATCAGCACCCTGTGTCTAGCTCAGGGTTTGTAAATACACCAATCAACACTCTGTATCTAGCTAATCTAGTGGGGACCTGGAGAACTTTTGTGTCTAGCTCAGGGATTGTAAATGCACCAATCAGCTCTCTGTAAAACAGACCAATTGGCTCTCTGTAAAATGGACCAATCAGCAGGATGTGGGTGGGGCCAGATAAGAGAATAAAAGCAGGCTGCCCCAGCCAGCAGTGGCAACCAGCTCAGTTCCCTTCGACACTGTGGAAGCTTTGTTCTTTCACTCTTTGCAATAAATCTTGCTGCTGCTCACCGTTTGGGTCCACACTGCTTTTATGAGCTGTAACACGCACTGCAAAGGTCTGCAGCTTCACTCCTGAAGCCTGAGAGACCACGAACCCACTGGGAGGAACTAACAACTCCAGAGGTGCCACATTAAGAGCTGTAACACTCACGCGAAAGTCTGCAGCTTCACTCCTGAGCCAGTGAGACCACGAACCCACCAGAAGGAAGAAACTCTGAACACATCTGAACATCAGAAGGAACAAACTCTGGACACGCCGCCTTTAAGAACTGTGACACCGCAAGGGTCTGCGGCTTCATTCTTGAAGTCAGTGAGACCAAGAACCCACCAATTCCGGACAAAACATCGTGACTATTTTTTCCCCTCATGGTATTAATTTTTCTACTATAATTAAATTCTCATAGTCTAGTTTTCTAAATTCTTCATTTTTGCGTTTCTTTAATGATTGTGAGAGTTGTCAGAGTCAAAAGGAGTCACAATGTTAGGAAAACTCTGACAACAGAGCTGAAAAAGGCCATAAAGAGAATGTTCTTACTGTTTATCTGATAACAAAACAAACTAGGAAAAACACAACCTTGAACAAAGGCCATCGCAATCTTAATAAAAGAATCTGTTAGGACACTTGCTCAGCAACTGCCTGTTGAAACTTGGCCTGGCATTACCCTTGTTATTGACATTTGTAGTGACTGATAAGTATTTCAAAACGTTTATTTAATCCTCATTTTATTCCTATAAAAATCTTTGTCTTCCTTAACTTCCCTGAATACATACATAGTTTACTGTGATAAACATATACCCATTACAACACTTAATTCTCAAATAAATATCTTTTATTTGAAAGGGTCTCTTTATTATTTAAGTTGAAACAATGTATCCAAAAGCAGGTGAATGCAGAACTTTTAAACTGTCATCCAAGCACACAGAAAAGGCACTAATATAAGTATAAAACAGATTTTTCTTGTGCCAAGGACACATTTTAAAGTATTTTTCTAGTGACCTAGATGGGAGGTCATGAGGTAATGTAGGGAGACTTCTAAGATCAGTATTTACTTTGTTAAAGGCTGTCACCCTTGTGGCTCAACAACTTAATTTGAGGTCCTAATGTGGTGTATAAACTACATGTTCGCTTCAATAGCTCCCTCCCACTGAAAGGAATAGAGTCAAGTTAAAAACAGCCACTCCCACACATTTCAGGGCTGCAGAACTGCCTACCAGATTCTAAGAAAAATCGCAAGTCATCCTCTTATCACAAGGTAACTAGTTAATATGTTCCTTTTCAAGGTTGGCAATAAAAGTCTAACCAAAAATTTCAGCAGATTTTGCTCTCTTTACAGTAAGTCAGTAGAAACTGGCTTTTTGAAGACGCTCATTTTTAATGACTTGGATGTAAGGACTAAGGCAGATGAGAAATCTCTGCTGGGAGCATAGCTGGCAGGGGATGTCTGTGAAGGGCAGGCTGATGGCACTCTGGAAGTCTTCTCTTACTGGGTTGCCACACAAAATACAGGGCACCCAGGTAAATATGAATTCCAGGCAAAGGATCAGTCATTTGTTAGTATAAGTATGTCCCAAACACTGTAGGAAACATGTTTATACTAAAAAAGTATTGCTTGTTTGTCTAAAAATTCACATTTATTTGGGTGTCCTGTATCTTATCCGCCAAATCTGGCCACCCTATTTTTACAGTGTTACCTCTCTGCATTGCACAAATCACCCTTCCTGGCCTCTGGGCCTTTGCACATGGCATTTGTCCTGACTGGAATACTCCACTTTCACCTCCTACTGTATTTTCTCTATTGTGTCTTTCCCTACATTAATTTACATGATGTATTCAATATCTGATTTCTCCCTAGACCTTGAGCTCCTGAGAACAGAGCCTTCTTATGTCAGTCCAGTCCTTATTGTCTGGGACAAAACCTGGACATTGTAGGAGCTCCTAAAATAAGATAGTTTTAAAATTTACATGGAAAAATTCTGGCAAATACAAAAGTAGAGGGAATAATATAACAAGCTTGAAGGTACCCATGACCTGCATTCATCAATTGCCAGCAACATTTCTTCATCTATACCTGGCAGTGGATTAAGTTATGTTGGCTCCCAAGAAAGACAGGTCCATGTCCAAATCCTTGAGTCCTGTAAATGTGACCTTATTTGGAAAAAGGCTCTTTGCAGATGAGGTTAAGGAACTTGAGATGAGATCATCCTGGTATATCCAGATAGGCCCTACATCCAATGACAAATGTCCCTGCAATGTAGCGAATAGAAGACACAGACACACAGAGGGTGAGGTGCTGGAAGCCCCAGGCAGAAAGTAGAGTGATGTGGCCATGATCCATGAAAGTCCAGAAATGCCAAGAGCCCCCAGAAGCTGTAGGAGGCAGGGAAGGATTGTTCTCTAGTACTTCCAGGGGAATGTGGCCCTACTCACATCCTGACTTCAGGCTTCTGGCCTTCAGAATTGTAAGCAAATGCCTTTCTGATGTTTCAAGCCACCCAGTTTGTAGGAATCTGTGACAGGAGCCACAAGAAAATGATACAAACTCCCACATACTCCCACCACTACCAGGGGATTCTTTTCAAGCAAATCCCAGACAGCATATCATTTCATCTGTAAATACTAGTATTCATCTCTAGAAAGGAAGAACTTCTTTTCTAAACATAATCACACTATGATTGTGTTTAATATGATAATCTCTTATCATATTAAAATTCTATAATTCTTTAATTTCATCAAAGCTCCAGCGTTCTAGTTCATGTAAGTGTCCCATAAAAATTTCTTAGCAGTTTGTTTATTTTGGTCAGCATGCAAGCAAGGTCCTTACAAAGCATTTGAGGGATATGAGTCAATTTTTTTTTTTTTTTTTTAGAAATTAATGAATGAATAGAGACAGGTAGAGAGTGTGGGGGTTTGTGAGTTCTCAAAGCCCAATCTCATATACCCAGGTTCTGGAGTTGCATAGAGCTGTGCATGGGTCTGTGCAGATGTCATTGTCCATTAGTGATGAAGCACTGGGGACCCAGCAGGCCAAGCCTCACACCACAGGCTCACAGTACAGGGGAGCAGACACAGTGGCCCTCAGGTGTTATTAGAGGCTCACTGGGACTCTGTGGAGGGCAGAGGACAGCCCAGTGCTCCTGGGAAGCAATGAGGTAGTGTTAAGTGTGTCCACTGGGAAGGAGCTTGCCAGGCAGGGCTAGCAAACGCACCCAGGCAGGAAGGCAAGAGGCCCCACCATGCTCGGAGAGTTGACTGGGCTGAAGATCACGGAGTGAAGACAGGTGTGAGGATGCATTGTATATGCAGTCAGGACTCACTGAAGAATTCTGTGAGTATTTTTCCAATTTGTATTTTGGAAAAACTACTCTGGTTGTAAGTGGAGAAGAGACTAGAGCAAAGTGAAGCTGCAGGTAGGAAGCCTGTGTGTTTGTCTGCTCCCTCAACCACCTCTGCCAACTGTGGGGAAGCTCCCTCTAAGAGGAGGAGAGTGCAAATTGCAGAAGCCCAGGTGTCCTGGGAGAGATTAGCACTATGGGACCAGTATGGGGGTGGAGCTAGAAAGCACTCCTAATCTAAGCATTCTGGCACAGTGACACACCAGGGAAAAATGATTTTGCATATAGTTATTTGTATTTCACATATACCATCTGTATCGTGGCAGCCAGGCCTGAGTGGCACTGAAGGAACTGAGAGAAGGCTTATGCCTGGGACCCCACAGAGCCTTAAGGAGCAGAGTGAGGATGAGCCAGGAGCACACACACTGTAAGGGACAATAGGGTGGCCTGAGAGCAGAGGGTGGGTCTGTTTGCTCTTCAGTATTTCCTCACCTCCTAGAAAACTGAGGAATCCACAGCAGACAGAATCATTGTTTTGCAAATGCATAAGAAAGAACGCTTTTATCAGAAATAAAATGACTGTCCAGGAAAAGAAGAAAATGTCTTTATGCCATTATCCAGGATGGTAACTCTTCTCCTGTGCATACCTGAAAATGTCAGAAGTGCATTTCTACATTGACATTTTAATAGATTGTATGACAAATTGTATGTTACGGGACAATTCTTGGAAAAGTCAAACAAACCACATAATCTATAGTTTCCTTTTTTACTGAATTTTTAATTCCAGGAAAATGGTTGGCTAGGAGAAGATTGGAAATCTGAATTCACATCAGATCCTAATGAAAACAAATCAATTTTAACTAAGTCAGCGAATAGGAGTTGTATTATTTAATTAGCATATAATTTGAAAGAGTTCATTAGCTTCACAACAGGCACAATCAACACTTAGGTAAAGTACTTTATTGTTGCAAAACTTTAGAACATTGGTATTGCAAGTTCTTGGCCTCCATGACTGCGTTATTAAAACCTGAAAATCTTCCTTGCTTCTTCTAAAGATTTCTCATCCATGGGAGGCTTCCTTGGGCTGCCAGGCTGTAGAAACTTCTTCACTGTGGGCAGGTTGCTGATTCTGGTTTTCAGGGCCTGTAATTCATAAAGCACAGCCTCAGAGTGAAGCCAAGGGCTGACACCACCATTAACATGACCCAGGGAATCTGAGCCCCTCCTGCAAAGACCAAGTGAGTCTGCTCCATCAGCACAAGCATGGAGGCAGAAACAGACACCCAGTGAGAAATGAAGATAAGGGGAAGGACATGTAGCTCACTTTATTTTCCCCAAAGATGTCTTGAAGTTTTAATCAGTTCAGTCATCTCTATCTTTCTCCTTACACACTAATCCTATAGATTAGTGACTCTTGTATAAGACAAGAAAAAATAATGTGCCTGTGAGATATCAACACAGATGAGTCTCTAAGCAGAAGTGAAAACATGGGGAAATTATTTGGGAAGGGAATAGTTATAGAAAATATTAAAGACAAACCATGGGACCACCTTTTCTCAGTGAGAGATACAGTGTGGGGGGCCAGTGTTCTGGAGAGCTGTGCAGAGAGGAACACAATGTCAGACAGCAGGAGCCGGAGCCCAGGGAGGAAACCAGATGGAAAGGGCTCTGCTCAGACCGGCTCATTGTGGGCACATATGGGATAAAGGACATCACAGAGAACTCAGGAACAGAAACCACATTGAAATAGAGGGATGGGGAGAGATGCTGGGCCCTGGGTTCTTTCCATAATAAAGGGCAAAATACTCTTTGTGGGGTAGCATGCAGCACAGATTTCCTTTCCATAACAAAAGTGTTTTCATTCCTCAAAATTGGAGCCTGGAAGCTCATTTTGGAGACCTTGGGGCACTGAAGGCCTGGAGAAGACTGGGGCAAAACTTGGTCAGTCGCAGGGCCCAGATACAAGATCCCAAGATGGGAGATGTGGGGCTGCCTCTCTGGGCTGTGAAATGGGTCACCTTCAGCAGAGGGAAGCTGGAGATAAGACTGGAGTCAAGCTCCTCGACGTAGTAGAGAAGTTCCACCAGATGAATGTCAGCCCGGCTCAGCTTGTTGCCAACAAGGTAGTCTTGTCCATGGCTCTTTAAGACCTGGAGAATGGGAGGAATCAGATCAGGAACACATGCACACCCAGGCTAGGACCCCTGCTTCTTTCGGAGCCTCTCCACCCTGACTTTCCCCACCTCTGTTGCCTTACTGCATGGGTGCAGAAATCCAGAGCTTTCTCCACATTATCTGAATGAATGAGAGAGTAAGAACTGTAACTCTACTCACTCCTCAGTTGTAGCTCAGGCTCCCATTTTCTCTTCTCATTCTACATCACTGTGGCATCTACACCACCCACGCAGCTTGCTTCTTCCACATGGGCCAGGGGCTTAGCACCTGCCTCCATGTGTTCTGTCTGCCCCAGGCCCTACAGCGTGGAGCCCTCACATTCAGGATGTGGCTCTACATTCTGCTCTCTCCCTCTCCAATCTCCCTTGGGCAGTGACTCCACCTTCATGACAACACTCTTCCCCAGGAGGAGACTATTTCAGAGTCCTCATTTCTCTTTGTCTGCTCTCCTCATTCCCTGCTCTATCTCCCTGGGATCTGTAGGAAACCTGGGTGAACCTGAATTCATCTTTCTTACAGCATTGACTCTCACTCCCAACTGGCACTATGTTATAATCTGCAAGCTGAAGCGTTTACGGGTGAACTGCACTGATGTCTGCAACTTACTCTAAAATCCATTTTAAAAAATCTTCCTCTGCATCCCACAATCACTCTCCTTTTAAAAAATACCCATCCCTGAAACGCTACAGTATTCTCTGGTTGGGCAATTGGTCTCCTATCTTCCTGCATATGGTGCCAGAATATTTTCTGATGGATCGCTTTCATCATGCCCCTGTTCAGTCAAAGTCCATGGGGTTCCATAGACTCAACAGCAACCTCTAGTGTGGTCCAGAGCCCACATTCTACTTATGAACATGAAATCTTGTTGAACAGGTAATTCCATGTTGGGGTCCAGTAAATTAAAATTTTACTGGAAAAGTATAGCTTGGGTATAAATGATACAATTGTTTCTCCAAGTCTATTTTCATAAAATGCCTTGAGAGTCAGAGTGCTGCATTGGTGTTCAGGAAGTCTCACTGAAAGTGAAGATCAGTGACCCAGGAATGCCCAGCCACTATTTTTCTATTGGCCTCTAAACTCAGTTCCCCAAAACACTGAACTGCTTCACTTACTTTTTCAAAGGCAGGGAAGTAGCGATTTTTTATTTTCTCTTTGATCAAGGCAAGCTTGGCATCTTTTTCCTCAGGTGGACATACGGGCAGAAGGAGGATCATTTCACCCAAATCTGCTATACCTTCTATATACATATCAATCCTGAAAGACAGAAACAACCAAATGGTCAAATACCTTTTGCCTTAGATTTTATAGGTTTATAAAAACCTAAGGGAGTAGAGTATCAGGTGATGGCAAAATAATTCACCTCCAGTGGGTGCCTTTTATAGTCTAGTCATTATGCTCTGAGTTTTACAGGTATATTAACATTTATCTCTTAACCTATCAAGGTAGATAGATCTCTAAATTTTGTTACACACATGACCTAATACAGGTAAAAAGAACGTCGGTGGTCACAGTCATGAGAGAAATTGGCAGAATCACTGCCAGTACCCACTGATGCTGTGCCAAGATTTATCATCTCCATTGTGGTTTGTTCTGTGCATGAACTTAGTGTGAGTCAAATGGCCAAAGACCTGCTTCCTAAGTAATCCTAAGAGAGTCCCTGGCACAGCCATGTCAGCCATATTCCTTGTCCTCTCTCATCATTTTACAGCTCCCAGGGCTGCTTCTATGCCCCATATTTGCAGTTCTTTCAATTACACCCATGAAACACATTTCCACAGCCCTTTCCATGTGCTGTTGCGCAACTCTAGCCATGTGTGCCTTTCCTGAGACCCCACCTAAGAATCCCCTTCCCTGGTGAAATTCTCTATACAGTTACAACCAGTGCAAACTTTTCTTCTTTTGTGTCAAACTGGAGTTTCACAATACTTTTTAAAACAAGAACTTTATTGATGCATATTCACATACTATAATTGCCACCAGGTATATTATACTATTGAGTGGTTTTTAGTGCACTCACAGAAATCTGTAAAAATAACCACAGTCTAATTGCAGAATTATTTTTGTCGCCCTGATAAGGACACCTGTACCATTAGCAGTATTCTTTTTTCTCCAAGCCCCACTCCTTTAGCTCCAGGCAAGCACTAATCTACTTTCTACCTCTATGGATTTGACTATCTGGACATTTCATACAAAAAGAATCCTATAATATGTGGCCTTCTGTGTCTTGTTTCTTTTATGTAACATGTCTTATGGCTTAACTGTCTTATAGCATGCATTAGTACTTCATTCCTTTTCATGACCAAATATCTTTCCATTGCATGGCTAAGGCACATTTTTCTCCTTCATTTATTGATTGATGGATATTTGAGTTGTTTCCACTTTTTGAATTCTATGAATATTGTTATTCGCATTATTTATTTATGTAAAATATATAGTGTGGATGTATTTTCGATTATTTGGGGATATACCTGTTAGAGGAACTGCTGGGTCATTGGTAATACTATATTAAAGTTTTTGAGGAGCTGCCAGCAGTTTCATTCAGGATTTATTTGGAATCATGCAGTCTCATCACAACAGCAAGGAGACCCCTTGGTTTTGCTGGTATTGAATCAATCTGGCTGTTTTGTGCTTCTATCCATGTGTCAAGGTAACCCCAGCATCCTTGGTGCCAGCCTCTACTAGCCCTGCTCAAGTATTCCAGTTGATATACTTGGTTGGTAATTTAGGTTCCCGGTCATCATTCTTGGAATTACTGGGACCTTAGCTTTGGCGTCTTTGCAACTTTCCCTCCCCAGTCCTTCATCTACAGACTCTCACATATTCTATGCCTGTCCTAAACTGTTGGCCAGAGTCGAGCCTCTGAAGTCCTGAGCACCTGGAATCATGATTCCCCATCCTCCTCAGTTCATGGTTCATCCGTGTTTGGAAATTACCGTGAGGTGCTGGATCCATGGACTGCATCCTCTTCTAGAATCACCCTTGCCTGAACCCTCCCCATGTTCACTGTTCCCTCATCTCCATGGGACTCTGCAATACTGGACCTCAGCGTACATGCCCAAGGCCCAGCCTGCTGCTGGTCATGATGCCCTGCCATCGTCCCACCCACTCAAGGAAGGACCTAAATCACTCTGTGTTCTCTGTGGATGGAAGAACAGAAAATATACCGTACAGGGCTCTCTCCTTTATGTCTTTCCCATAGAGGTTGTATTTGCTGGCAATGTAGTTGAGAATGGCTCTGGTCTGCACCAGCTTCATCCCATCAATCTCAACCATTGGCACTTGCTGGAACATCAAATATCCATCTTTAGAAGGAAGAAAAAAAAGGAGAGTGAAGTGTCTATGAAACCCACCCTTTTGGGATGAACAAATGGTTGTGGAAATGACTAAATTTGTAAAATGGCAAAGAAATTACTGCCTGGTAAGATTTCACTTGAAACAAAAACTATATATATATATATATATATATATATATATATATGTGTGTGTGTGTGTGTGTGTGTGTGTGTGTGTGTGTGTGTATATATATATATATTTTTTTTTTTTTTTTTTTTGGCAGAGTATCATTCTGTCACCCAGGCTGGAGTGGAGTGGCATGATCTTGGCTCACTGTAACTTCTGCCTCCCAGGTTCAAGTGACTCTCCTACCTCAGCCTCCCAATAGCTGGGATTACAGCCATGCACCAGTGCACATGGCTAATTTTTGTATTTTTACAAGCAATAGGGTCTCACCATGTTGGCCAAACTGGTCTCAAATTCCTGAACTGAAATGATCTACCCACCTCAGCCTCCCAAACTGGGATTACAGGCATGAGCCACTGCACCCAGTCCAAACAACATTTTTAAAAAGCTTCCTGTAGTTCTTCTTTTTCTTAAGAAGTTTCCTTTTACTTTTTATCCATTTATTTCATATATGTTTTTATTGCCCCTCCAGATACATAGTGGGACTCTTGTATTTTTTGTGTTGATTTATCTTCATGGATATTTTAGGAAGAGGTTGGGACAAGTTACAATAGGACTGGCAACAAGATGCCATTTAAAACAGGAAGTTCCCAGAGTAAGTCTCATGGTGTTGTGACATTTAAGGCAGGTTCTGAGAGGTTTTTATGTAAGGGTCCCTTTCTGTGCTCTTCAAAGTCTGCGATATTGCTACAGTGTTACCCAGTCCCACTCCCCCCATGAAAGAAAAAACTCAAGACAGTGGCCACATCTATTCCTCCTCCTTTTGTCTAATGCATGTTCTTGCATGTGCTTGGATGGGGAGGGCTGTATGGGATCCTGTGCTGATGACCACCACTCATTCATGGTGCCCCAAGCATGAAAACAAAGAAAGGGCTTTCTCAGCGGTGGGAGATTGTTCCTCTAGCAAATACTCTGAGAGGTCTGGTCCTTTTAACCTGGAGAGAGTTGCCAGACTTGCTCAAGGAGCCACATCCCTTCCATTTTAACCACTTTCTCCCTCTGCACCATGTACAAATACCATGCCCCACACCCATAGACATTGCCGGCTGCGCAAACCTCCCCGTGTACCTTCTACTAGATACCCTCATCAGAGGAACTTAGAGATTGATCTTACCATTTCTTAACTTGTCCAAATCTTCTGCAGATTTTATAAATTTCTCTTCAAACTGGAAGCAGAAACAGTAAATACGTTCTTGTTAGTTCATTCTATTATAGACTGTGGCCTTGAATGGCCCCATCTGGTGCATCATTTGGAGAATACAAGATTTCTGAGTTTGGCAGGGTACACAGAGGGGGCTGGTCATGGCCATTTGGAAATTTAGACCTAATTCATTGAGAAAAGTGCATGGGTCACAGCACATAGCTGCTAAATCTTTTAGTTCACTTCAACTCCACCCTGATATGAATGTCTATGATTAGGTCATATTTTGAGGGGGACATCACTGGAGAAAAGGCACTGAGCAGTTCTTCTAGTTATGGTGTTGTCATATCTTAGGAAAGCCTGTGTCTCCAAGTGAGATCAGACCACAACCTTGTGTGTCCCCAGCATGAGGCATGCCATGGGCTAATGGCTATCAAACATTTTGCCACCAAGGAGCCTCTGCTGTAATTTGTATCGCCCCACTTCTCAGGAACCCTGCTAAGTGTGAAATAGGTCGCCACTGTTGCACAGCTTTCACACTTGCAACTGTAATTTTCTCTTCTGAAGTACGAGGCACAATAGGGTAAAATTCTCAATTTAATAAAGGAATTAGGGTCCCACACTAGCATTATTTTTAAGGAAAACCTCTGGTTTCTGATGTGGTTTTGTGGCATTGGGGAATGCTTGTGTGTTCTAGAAGCCTCCTCCCCTCATTTTAACCACGTGTTTATTTCTCTGCATCCTCATAGACACGTAGGCTGCCCCAGGGCAGGGACTGTGTCTGTCTTGTTCACTATCTCCATGACCGAGTACAGAACCTGGAATTAATAAGTGCTCAAGTAAATAATTGCTGTGAATGTAGTCAATCTTTAATAGGTAGTTTGTTACAATCCACTCCCTTCCATCTCTCATTTGTAGTTTGCATTTTACCTCTAATTACAATCATTTTTTAATATTATGCATTTTTATTTTTTTATTGTGGAAATTATGAACATGAATAAATATAAACAGAAAAGCATAATGATTCTCCTTATACTTCTCACCTAGAATCAATAATTATCAATCAAAACCAATATGGTTTCATCTATATGCCCACCTACTTCTCCTCTTGTAATAATTCCAAGGAAATCCCAGATCCATATGATTAATCCTTAAATACTTCAATGTGTTTTCCTAAAACACATTAACTATTCTAAAGACAGCCATAGTACATTATCACACATGAAATATTAACAATAATTATTTCATGTCTTCATATATTCAATCGATATTCATGTTTCTAATTGTATAAATGCTATAAATTATTCTTTACAGTTTGTTTAAATTCTAATCCACTTAAGTTCTGCACTTTGTGATTAGTGTCTTAATTGTATTTTAATATGTTTGCTTTTAGATGAGAAGAAATTTTAAGAATTAATAGGTCAAATCTGTTCATCTTTTTCTTAATTACAGTCCATTTTTATTTAAGGCACAATGCTTCAGTAAGCAACATCTCATAGTTTCTGTGGGAAAAGTATGTGATAACACAATTTTAAATCCAACTTAAGATGACCTAACTCAGAACCTACCTCTACTCCAGCTGCAGCCAGGAGCCACCGGGTGGACTCCATTCTGCCCCGTGCATTGAAGTAGTGGAGCTTGGGCTTCTCTGCCATGATAGCAGTCTCCTGGAGGTTTCTCTAAGCCTGAATGAATGAATGAATGAATGAATAATTGAAACGATAGAATCAAAAATGTACTTTAGGATATGTAGTTGAAAACCACCAACAATACTGAAGAAGAACCTTCCTTCTTCATGACTGTGTTGGAGGAGTTCCTGGAATGTTTTCTTGGCTCAAATTGTTACCCAGCAGTGGCCACCCTCAGATTCCAGCAAACCAGTCTCAAGTCTTCATTGGCTAACTGTGACTTTTCTTGGCAGCATAAGAGGTGAGAGTATGTGGTAAAAATACATGTATAGGAGTTATTGGAAGAGGAAGAATTCAAGAACTAATATTTATTGAAAACTTCCTAGTGATCCTTCCTCAATGCTAGTCCCTTTCAATATTTTATATCTTTAACCCTCCTTATAGTCCCGTGAAATGATTGTTATCTCAATTTTTTAGTTAATGAAATGGAACATCAGAGAAATACAATGTTCACAGTCACACTCCGGTTGGTGATGGACATGAATATCTACACCAAGGACTAAAATGAAGTCACTCCTGGAAGCCAGCTGGGTGAAGGCCCTGGGAACCCATGAACTGGCCATGAAACCAGAGGATGTCACTGACAGGGAGGACCGGCAGGGAGCTAAGTCACTCTTCACCTCTTTGACTGTGAGACTACATTTGATCAAAACCAGAAATTAGGCCTCAGACTTGTTTAACTGTAGCTAGAAGATCCAAAATCTATCAACAGACAGAGATTGTTAATCCCTGCAGCTTTTGTAATTCTGTATTCTAACTCTATGGGGTGCATTTTGTTTTATAAGCTGGAAGAAGAGATGTTGCTGCATTAATTTTGCAATATGGAAGGAGCTAGCATTTGTTCAACATCAGTTACACACTGGTCATTCTTCTAAACTTCTCTTCGTTTTATCCTACAAAAATCACCTAAGATGAATGCAGTTGTTATTCTCATTTTACATTTGAGGATACTGAGGTTTTTAAAGTAACTTTCTCAGAGTAAATGATGGATCGGGATGCAGACTCACTGCTGTTAAAAACCAAGGACTGAGTCTTATTTTCTATGTTAGTGTTTCTGAAATATGCATGGTAATCTTTCAGTAGATTGTGAAAGCCCATTACTTTTAAAAATAAAATAGAAAAGAATAGAAAATGTCAGTGAGCATGACATGTTGAAAGGTAAGTAATGTTTGATGAGTTGTTAGTTTCAGTTATTTGTATATTGTGTGTACGGATGTTTGCACGTGTGCATGCTCACTTGCTCATTGTAAATGGTTAGAGAGAAATTGACTGGGCTCATCAGTGAAGTTTGATAGCCCTTGCTCTATCCCAGGCTGTTTGGGAGGTGGAACATAGCAGAGTATCAGAGAATGAAAACCAGTGGCTGCAGGGACAGATGCAACTAATTGTATCATGAATGTGAATGGAAGGGCACAGGACTCATTGAAAGCAGGAGTTCCAGTGCCAAGACTTAGGAACAGTTGCGTTTTCTCTCCAAACCCCCAGCTCTGATATTTAACATTAAGATTCTTCTTGCAAAGTTTTGTGGTTGTTGAGTGTGGAACAAAAATATACTTGCCTTTAACAACTAATGTATTTATTTATTTATTATTAATTTTGAGATGGAGTTTCACTGTTTTTGCCCAGGCTGGAGAGCAATGGCGTGATCTTGGCTCACTGCAAACTCAGCTTCCCAGGTTCTAGTGATTCTCCTCCCTCAGCCTCCTGAGTAGCTGGGATTACAGGCATGTGCCACCACACCCGGATAATTTTGTATTTTTAGTGGAGACAGGGTTTCAGCATGTTGGACAGTCTGGTCTGGAACGCCTGACCTCAGGTGATCCACTCGCCTCAGCCTCCCGAAGTGCTGGGATTACAGGAGTGAGCCACTGCACCCGGCCTCAACTAATGTATTTCTAAAAAGGTATGTATGACTAAAATTAGGCATCAAAATCTTTTAAATGTCTCATTTTAAAATATGGGAGTCAATAATTAACCTTTGGAAAGTAAAGAATTCTTTGAAATCATACTGAATCAACTCACCTGTTTTGTCATGAGATATTTTGACATTGTACTTTCTATGATAACTCCAGGAGCAATTTAAAGTAACTTGGGAAATGGAAATAGCATAATTTGACAGAGTGAAAGGGAGAGTGAAGTTCAGATGAAAGCATGGGGTATGCTTGTTTAATTGTTATCGACTAGAGTTCACAGTGTTGTAATTCCAATCCCCAAACTAAACTCTCTTAGCCATTGATTGAGGATCATGTTTCAAAAGGAAGTGAAATTTTATCTTACATAATATTTTATCACAACACTCCTGCTGATAACTAGCATATCACTTTCTCAATGTGAGGTTTCCAAGGGTCAGGCTAAGACTGAGACATAGGTTACCATTGAGCTTTGTTGGGTCAACAGAAAATGAGAACCAGAGAGCTCAAGGATTTGCCATGGGTCACACACACATGCTCCTCATTCATAGTCAATATCTAGGGAGTGTGTTTACCTTCCGCAACAACCCTGGGAAATGGCTCCTATTATCCAAATTAAAGATGGGCACACTGAGTTTCAGAGAGCTAAAGCACCTGTCTCATGCTGCACACTTGGTGAGTGTTGGGTCAGCCTTAACTTCTGATTGCAGGTCCAGAGCTTTTCCACTCCACCTCATAACCTGGCTCTCAGCTCCTGTCTGAGAAGTTGTTTTGTATTTTCCTATTAAATATATATTAGCCAAATAAATGTTGGAAGGAGAGGACGAGAGGGGAACATCTAATTCCTGAGTTCCTCCTGTTAGCAACTTTTCAGGGGCTTGCTTGGAAGAAAAAATTGATAAAACTGTGACTTTCTCTGATTTGACAACCTAAAAATCAGAGTGAGTTGAGGACTAGTATAATTACTTTACATCAATAATTAACTTACATCAATTAAAAAATGGGCTTGTTTTGAAAGGAATATAAGCTCTCATAATTCCAGGAGTAAATTAAAGGAGTTACATTTACATCTCTGAGGTGGTCCCAATGACACTGTTTCTTATCAGAGAGAAGGGAGAATGAGATAAACTATGACTCCTTCCATTATGAGATTCATAAATGCAGTAGGTTGTTTAATCTCTGAGCCTCAATTTTCTCTTCTTAGAATAGAGATAGTTATTTCTACTTTTGAGGGTTGTTGAGAAAGTTAAATGAGATAATGTACAAAAAATTCATAGTAGGAACACAGCAATGGGTGTTTGCTCTTGTCCCAGTGCTTGGAAGATGGGTGAGTCTCTGGACATATTGAGTAGCCCATGGATCCTCTTTCTTTGATCTATCTATCCATCAATTATTTTACTGACCAACAATCTATGTATATGTATCTATTTATAATCTCTGTCTACCCATCCATGTATGTATTATTTTATCTATCAATCGTTCTATGTATCTATCTCTTTGTAATCTGTCTCTTCATCATCTATTATCTGTCTTGTATCCATTTCTCTGGTTCTCTATATTTTGTTCATAGAACTCGAGTAGGAATAAGATTTTATATGAATCCAGACTTATATCAAATCTGTCATATGATGGCTCTCTGTTTCTCTCTCTCTTTCCTTTTTAGCTCCTGTACAGAAGATATTGATATTCACTAATCAGTCCACCTGGATTAACAGGAAATTTTCAGTGAATGTCCAAGCAGTGGGGCACATCAGTAACACAGCCTTGCTTAGCCCCATGAGGTCATGTAGTCCCATGGTTCTCAACCAGGGGGATTTTGCTCCTCTGCTCCAGAGGACATTGAGCAAGGTCTAGAGACATTTTGGGTTGTCATATCTGCGGGGAGGGAAAGGGGGTTACAAATCAGATAGGTAGAGGCCAGGGATGCCTAGAAACATCCTAGAGTGAGCAGGACAGATCTCCATTCAAAGAATTACACAGTTTAAAGGGCAGCAACAGTCGGAGCCTCTTTCTTAGCTATCCTCTATATTGGCCATGAGTTGGTAGAACTCCAGAGACAGAATATGACTTGTCTTTGAGCTAATTAGTGGCAAAGGCTCAACTAGAATCTAGTTCTCCTGACATTCAAACTAATTTATTCTAATTATACTAAACCTGAGTTTTGTATTTTCACAGCCAATATAGAATTACAGTGTCACAATTTACAATTGTGTGTTGACTACTTACACAGAGAAATAAATTTTTGCATACATTGCCACTTCTTCCAGCACTGATTATTCTCAGATTGTTTAAAATGCTACCATTTCTTTTTTCTCTTCATGTCATTGTTTCCCATACCATTAAATGCTGAAGCCCTGGTTTTCTAAATTCTTCATTTTTACAATTCTGTAAAGATGTATCCAACAGAAAAGAAATAAACAATTCTTGAACTGTCACCCAAGCACACCAAGACGGCACAATATGAGTAAAAACAGACTTTTCCTTGTGCTAAGGACACATATTAGCATATTTTTCTAGGAGGCTAGAGAGGAGGGTGTGAGGCAATGTAGAGAAATTTATAAGATCAGTACTTACTTTGTTAAACGCTGTCACCGTCCTGGCTCGACAACTGAATTCCAGGTCCTAATGTATTTATAAGCTCTTTGTTCCTCTCAATAGTTCTCTCCCACTGAAAGAAGAGTCAAGTTAGGGAAAAGCCACTCCCACACATTTCATGGCCAAGGGGCCACCTACTGGATTCTAAGACATGAGGCAAGTGATCTGCTTATCAGAAGACACTGGTTAATGTGTTCCTTTTCAAGGTTGGCAATCAAAGTTTACACAATACATTTCACCGAGATTTTGCTCTTTTTGCAAGTCAGCAGAAACTGGCTTTTTAAAGATGCTTTTTTTCATGAGTTGGGTGCAAAGACTAGGGCAACTGAAAAATCTCTATTGTGAGCATAGCTGGGAGAGGATGTCTGTGAAGGGCAAGCTGATGCCACCGTTTTCTTACTGGGTTGCCAAATAAAATATAGGACATCCATGTAAATGTGAATTTCAGGCAAACAATCAACAATTTTTTAGTTATAGCTATGTTCCAAACACGGTATGAAACCAGATTATACTGAAATATTATTTATTGTTTATCTGAAATTCACATTTAGGTGGGTATCCTGTATTTTATCTGACAAATCCAGAGACCCTATTTGCATATGCTATCCTCTTTGCGTCACTCAAATTGCCCATAATATAACAAATCTGAAAGTATTCATCACCTGGATTCATCAATTGCAAATAATCTTATTTCACCTATACCATGTAGGGGGTTATGTTGGCCCCCAAGAAAGATAGGTCCATATAGAAATCCCTAGATCCTGTGAACTTGATCTTATTTGGAAAAAGGCTCTTTGCAGATGTAATGAAGTAAAAGAATTTGAGATGAGATCATCTTGGTATATCTGGATAGGCCCCAAATCCAATGACAATTGTCCTCACAGCAGAGAGAAGAGAAGACACAACACACAGGGGGTGAGGTGCTGGAACACAGAGGCAGAAATTAGAGTGATGTGGTCATGATCCATGAAAGTCCAGAAAGGCCAAGAGCCCCCAGAAGCTAGAAGACGCAGGGAAGGATTCCTGGAAATCACTTCTAATCCAAACACGCTGGCACAATGACACACCAGGGAAAAATAATTTTGCATATAGTTACTTATATGTAATTCGCATATACCATCTGTATCTTCGCAGCCAGGCCTGAGTGGCACTGAAGGAACTGAGGGAAGGCTTATGCCCGGGTCCCCACAGAGCCTTGAGGAGAGTGAGGATGAGCCAGGAGCACATGCACTGTAAGGGATGACAAGTTGGCCTGAGAGCAGAGGGTGGGTCTGTTTGCTCTTCAATATTTCCTCACCCCTTACAAAACTGAGGGATCCATAGCAGACAGAAAGGTTGTTTGAAAATGCATAAGAAAAAGTGTTTTCATGAGAAATAAAATGGATGTCAAGGAAAAAAGAAAATTTCATTTTGCCATTCCCCAGAATGATAACTGTTTTCTTGTGCAGAATGTCAGAAGTAAATTTCTATACATGACTTTCTGATAGGCCATTTGACAAATGTTGCAGGACAATTCTTGAAAAAGTCAAACAAACCACATAGTCTACATTTTACTTTTTTACTAAATTTTTAATTCCAAGAAAATTTATGGGGAGTTTGGAAATCTGATTTCATATCAGATACTAATGAAAAGAAATCAATTTTAACTAAATCTGGTCATAGGCATTTTACTATGTAATTAGCACATAATTTTTAAAAAGTTTATTAACTTCACAATAGCCACAACCAACATTTAGATAAAGCAATTTATTGTTGCAAAACTTTAGAATATTGGTATTGCATGTTCTTGGCATCCATGCCTGTTTTATCAAACCTTGAAAATCTTTGTTGCTTCTTCTAAACCTTTCGCATTTATGGGAAGCTCCCTCAGGCTGCCAGGCTGCAAAAACTTCTTCACTGTGGGGAGTTTGCTGATTCTGATTTTCAGGGCCCGCAATGCACAAAGCACAGCCTCAGAGTGAAGCCAAGGGCTAACACCACCATTAACACAACCCAGGGAATCTGCGCCCCTCCTACACAAAGACCAACTAAGTTCCCTCTATCAGCACCAGTAGGGAGGCAGAAAGAGACACTACGTGAGAAATGAAGATAAGAGGAAGAACATGCAGCTCACTAGCATTTTCCCAAAAAATGTCTTTAAGACTTTATTCAGTTCAGTCTTCCTACCCTCTTCCTTACACATGAATCTTGTAGATTCATGGCTCTTGTAGAAGATGAGAAAGAACAATGTGCCTGTGAGATAGCACAGATCAGTCTCTAAGCAGAAGAAGTGAAGATATGGGAAAATTGAGCTAGAAATGAAAATAGAAAATGTTAAAGTCAAACCATGGGACCACTTTTTCCCATAGAGAGATATAGCTTTCAGGGGCAGCGTGTTGGGAGAGCTGTGCACAAGGAACTCAGTTATCTGACAGCAAGAGCCAGAGCATAAGGAAGGAACCAGATGGAAAGGGCCCTGCTCAGACACACTTGGTGTGGGAAGATAAGGGCATATTGGGATAAAGGGCATCACAGAGAACTCAGGAACAGAAACCACAGTGAAATAAAGGGATGAGGAGAGATGCTGAGTCCTGGGTCCTTGGCATTATAAAAAGCGAAATATTCTTGGGGTAGCATGCACATGTAATTTCCTTGGCATAACAAGAAGGCATTTCCATGCCTCAGAATCAGGACCTGGAAGCTCATTTTGGAGACCTGGGGGGCCCTGAAGACCTGGAGAAGGCTGAGGTCAGAATGTGGCCAGTTCAAGGACCCAGATACTAGATCCCAAGATGGGAGATGAGGAGCTGCCTCTTGAGGACTGGGAAATGGGTCACCTTCAGCAGAGGGAAGTTGGAGATGAGGCTGGTGTCAAGCTCTTCCACGTGGTAGAGAAGTTTGACCAGGTGAATGTCAGCCCGGCTCAGCTTGTGGCCAACGAGGTAGTCTTGTCCATGGCTCTTCAACACCTGGAGAATCAGAGGAAACAGATCAGGAACACATGTGCAGTGAGGCTGGGGCCTCTGCTTCTCCCTGAGTTTGTCCAGGCTGACTCTCCCTCTCCCACCTCTGCTTCCTTACTGGGCAGGTGCAAAGATCCAGATCTTTCTCCATGTTACCTGATTCAGTGAGAGAGTAAGAAGTGTGGCTCTGCTTACTCCTTGTTTGGAGCCCAGGCTCCCATTTTCTCCTCTCATTCCACATCACTATGGCATCCACAGCACCCACCCAGCTTGCATCTTCCACATGGGCCAGGGGCTTTTCCCCTGCTGCAGCATGTCCTGTCTGCCCCAGGCCCTACAGTGTGCAGCCCTGATGTTCAGTGGCTCTACACACTCTCTCTCCAGTCTCTCTTGGGCAGCGACTCCACCTTCATGACAGCACTCTTCTCCCACGAGTAGACTATTTCAGAATCCTCATTTCTCCTCATCTGCCCTCCTCATTTCCTGCTCTGGGATCTGAAATAAGCCTGGGTGAACTTTAATTCATCCTCTTTCTTGCAATGGTGGTTCTTACTGCTTTGACTATGTTATAATCTGCATGCCACTGTGTCCCAGGGTGAACTGCAAAGATGTCTGCAACTTACTTTGAAATGCACAATAATAATAATAATAATAATAATAATAATAATAATAATAATGTGTTTGAGTGAGGCAAACAGGGGTGGAGTGACTGACACGTGATAAATCAAAGATAAAAGGTTAACTTTGCTCTTTAGATCCTTGGTGTATATATGTTCATAAAACATTTCTTTGGACTACACCAGATCTATACATTTTTAATAATAAAGTTTTTGAGTGATATATGATATTTATTAAAATATCTCAGCACATTGACATCATAAATAATAAAAAGAGAAAACATATGGCAACACTGATTTAAGATAATAGTTTGACAATACATTTTCAGACTATGTATACATACAAACGTATGGATAATGACTTGGTACACAAACAAAACAACTTCAATGCTATATTGTAATATACATTGTTCAAATGCACATATCACAGGCTATTTGGTAGAACTCGTAGAATTCTTATTCACAGTCTATTTTTATACCATGCCTTGGGAGTCAGGTGCTCCATTAACATCAAGGAAAGCTTCTTGGAAGTGAAGGTCAATGCCCCAAAAATACACAGGTACTATTTTATTTTTCTGTTGCCTTGTGTTATGGACTGAATGTTTATGTTTCCCAAAAATTCATATGTTGAGATCCTGACCCCCAAATCTTTAGAAGAGATCCCTAAAAAATATATTCTTTCAAGCCATTAGTAGGTGGGGGTTTCAGGAGATGATCAAGTCATGGGGGTGGAGCTTTCATGAATGACATTAGTCCCCTTATAAAAGGGTTCTCAGAGAACTCCCTTGGCATGTTTGCCATGTGAGGACATAGCCAGAGATTGGCTGTCTATGATCCAAGGAACAGGTGCTCCCTAGATGTGAAATCTGCTGGCACATTGATCTTGTACTTCCCAGCCTGCAGAGCTGTGAGATAGAAACATCTGTTCTTTAAGCTACCCAGTCTATGGTATTTTGTTATTGCAGCCAAACTGCTAAGAAACCCTCTAAACTCTTAGTGCCCTTATAGACTAAACAGCTTCTATCATGACCCTTACAACAGTCAAATACACCAGCATTGGCCAATAACTGCCAGCTTCCCTAATTTTTGCCTCTATTTTCAATTTATGACCAACCACAGAAAGCAAAATATGGATCTCTGACTAATCCCATAGAAATCCACACTTCTAGTTAGCCAGCTTACAGCATCCCTAGGCCAGCAATCAGGACATAACTTTTTCTACCATGAATCTCTCAGACTTTCCTGCCTACCTCTGAATCTCTGATAAATGCAAAAGATGGCGGCTGACTTCCTTTCTATAGCAAGCTCTGTATAAACACCTTTTGCTTATTCTCATTTGGACTGTCTTCACTTCCACAGTTTTTCTGGAAGTTGCAACAAGACATGGTCTATGTTGCCCGTTGCCATGGACCCCATCCGTCAACCAGGTGCTGTATCCACAAAGGCTCCTTGTGCCTTGTGGCAAGTCAGCACCTGGGCTGAACTCTTTTCTCTTTGCATTGAACTCTTTCACTTTTTATTCTCAGGTTGGTCCTTGGTTTTGGTATTGGTTCTCATCTGCTTAGCATCCTTTGTAGAATCAGGACTTTCTTTTCATTTCTTTTGTAGTCTTTCGTGTTACTTTTTTTTGTCGTGCGATCTAAAGGTGTTATTTGTCATAAAAGAAGCAGCATAAGAGCAGAGGCCCAGGAGCCTGTTTTTCAAGATAGCCTCACAGTACATTAAGTTTGAGGTTCTCACTGGACCTCTTTCCATTTGTCACACTTTGCTGTGGGTCACCCCTAAAACCGAATGAAGTTCTTCTCTCTTGATTTTTGGTTCTTGTTGTTCTGCAAACTTGGCAGTGCCAGACAGAAACATCACAGTTTCCACTTGAGGCAGAGTATTGACTGTGACTTTAGATTTACTTTATCCTTGTTAGGTGGTAATCCATATATCTGACTGAATAATTCTCTATTGTAGTTTTGAGGCTTAAATCATGTAGCCACTAAAAAGCTGAAGAAATGCCTAGGGCGAGATCTGGGGAAGGGGCATGGACCTTCCATGCCTTCCCTGGACAGGCCACCCTCCAAGAAGCTCCACGTGTTCAGCTATCCAGAAGCTCCCAGGTACAGTTTCAAAGACAGGAAAATAATGGCTTGTTGTTCCCTCTGATCAGGGCAAGCTTTGCATCTTTTTCCTCAGGTGGATGCAATGAGCAATGAAGAAGCTTTTCACTCAAACCTGCCCTACCTTCTGTATACATTTCGACCCCGTAAGACAAAAATAACCAAACTGCTGAGTGCCTTCTGCCTTAGATTTTATGTTTAAACACTTGAGACCGTGAAGCATTAGGTGACAGGAAAGTAATTCAGCTCCACTGCGTGCCTTTTATATGCTAGTCATTAGGCTATGATTTTTATAAATATATTTACATTTATTTCTCAGAACACTCTACTGTGATAGATTTATATCTAAAATGTTTGTTATACACATGACCAAATACAGGTACAAGAAACATCGGTGACCTGTCCAGCGTCACAGTCATGAGAGAAATTAGTGGAATCACTGCAAGTAACCACTGATGCTACAAATAGGGTTTGCTCACTCTGCTGTGGTTTGTTTTACACATAAGCCCTGCCATTTACATAATCCCAAGACAGCCTCCCCAGCACAGTGATCTCGAACGTGTCTGTTTTCCTCTCTCATCATACTACAAATCCCAGGCTCACTTTTATGCCCAATATTAGAAGTTCTTAAAAAAGAAAAAAATAAAATTAATAAAGGAAAAACTAGGAAATAAGGTATGTCTTTAAAAGATACCCCTAAAAAATATATTTTTTCAAGCAAGCTACTAATTTTCAAAAAACAAAAAAAAAAGAAGCTCTCTCAATTATTTTCCATAAAACATTGTTCCATTACCTTTTCCATATGATGTTGTCCAATTCTAGTCATGATTGTGTTTCAAGACCTCACCTAATATTCCCATGGTAATGTGGGAAAATTGTTTACATAGTAAAATTGGTAAACATGGTAAAATTATTCATATAGTTAAAACCAGTGCATAGCATAGGACATCTTCTTTCTTCTCATTTCAAACTGTGTTTCCTACAAAACTTTTATTTATTTATTTATTTTGTTTATTTGTTTGTTTGTTTTTTTTGAGACAGAGCCTCGCTCTGTCACCAGGCTGGAGTGCAGTGGGGGCAATCTCAGCTCACTGCAACCTCTGCTTCCTGGGTTCAGGTGATTCTCCTGCCTCAGCCTCCTGAGTAGCTGGGACCTTAGGTGCACGCCACCACCCCCGGCTAATTTTTGTACTTTTAGTAGGGACTGGGTTTCACCATGATGGCCAGGAGGGTCTTGATCTCTTGAACTCGTGATCCACCCACCTCAGCCTCCCAAAGTGCTGGGATTACAGGCATGAGCCACTGTGCCTGGCCCTGTATTTTATTTTTCTTTGAGACAGAGTCTTGCTCTGTCACCCAGGCTGCAGTGCAGTGGTACAATCCTGGCTCACTGCAACCTCCGCCTCCTGTATTCAAACGATTCTCCTGCCTCAGCCTCCCGAGTAACTGGGATTACAGACACCTGCCACTACGCCTGGCTGATTTTTGTATTTTGAGTAGAGATGGGGTTTTGCCATGTTGGCCAGGCTGATCTTGAACTCCCGACCTCAGGTGATCTGCCTGCCTCGGCCTCCCAAAGTGCTGGGATTACAGGCGTGAGCCACCATACCTGGCGAATACTTTTAAATAACAGCTTTATTGACATGTATTCACATACTATAATTGCCACCCCTTAACAGAATATTATTCAGTAATTTTTAGTACATTTACAGAATTCTGCAAATACTGTCACTGTCTAATTCCAGAACATTTTTATCACCTGGGAAAGCAGTAGCACATGCTTTGGCAGCCATTCCCCATTGTCCCCTTTCTCCAGCCCCTGTCAACAACTGATTTCCTTTCTGGACTCAAATGGTCTGGATGGTTCATACAAAAGAATTCATGTTACATGTGGCCTTTGGTGTCTGGTTTCTTTTATGGAACATGTTTTCAAGGCTCACCCATGTTGTAGCATGCATCAGTACTTCATCCCTTTTCATAGCCCAAGAATATTCCATTGTCTGCTACAGCACAACTTGTTCCTCCATTCATCCATGGGTGGACATTTGGGTTGTTTCCACCTTTTGCATAGCATGAATAATTCTCCTATGAACATTTCTGTGCATGGATTAGTGAGGATGTGTTTTCCTTTCTCCTGGATGTAGACCTGGTAGTGGAATTGCTAGGTCATTGGTAACTCTATATTGGACTTCTCAAGGAACTGCCAGCAAAGGAGGAGACCCCTCCTCCCAGCTTTGCTGATGCAAAATCAGTCTGGCTGCTTAGGTCTGTATCAAATGCTGCACTTTAGGTAATCCTGGTATCTTGGGCACCAGCCTCTCAAACCTTAGTCAAGTGGACCAGTTCATACAACTGGCTGGAAACTTAGGTTCCTGGTCACCATTCTTGGAATTACTGGAACCTGAGATTCAGCTCCTTTGCAGCATTCTCTCCCCAGGCCTTCATCTACCGACTCTCAAACATTCTATGCCTTGTCCTAAGCTGTTGGCTGGAGTCCAGCCTCTGAAGTCCCGAGCACCTGGAATCATGATTCCCCATCCTCCTGAGTTCATGGTTCATCAGCGTTTGGAAACCTTTGTCAGGGTGCTGGATCCATAGGCTGCATTGTCTTCTAGAATCACACTTGCCTGAACCCTCCCCATATTCACTCTTTTCTCATCTCCATGGGACTCTGCAATACTGGACACCAGCGTATATGCCCAAGGCCCAGCCTGCTGCTAGTCGTGATGCTCCTTCCACGGTCCTGCCCACTCACAGAAGGACCGAAATCACTCTGTGTTCTCTGTTGATGGAAGAACAAAAAATATACTATATGGGGCTCTCTCCTTTATGTCTTTCCCACACAGGTTGTATTTGCTGGCAATGTAGTTGAGAATGGCTCTGGTCTGCATCAGCTTCATCCCGTCAATCTCAACCATTGGCACTTGCTGGAAGAACAAACTCCCATCTTTAGAAAATAGAAAAAAAAAAAAAGGCAGAGTGAAATTTCTATGAATCCCACCCTTTCAGGATGAAAAAGTGGTTGTGGAAATGACTAAATGTATAAAATGAAAAAAAAATTGCCTGGCAACTGTTCAAATGAAATAGGAACTTATTTTTAGCTTCTGGAAGTGCTTTTTCTTATCAAGCGTTCTTTTACTTTTTATACTGTTACTTCATTTATGTTTTTATTTCCCATCCAGCTACAGAATAGGTCGCTTGTATTGTCTGTGTTGATTTATTTTCATGATATCTTAGGAAGAAGTTGGGAGAGACTGCAACAGGTCACCAGCCAGATGCCATTTAACATGGGAATTTCTCAAAGTAAGTCTCATGCTGTTGAAGACATTAAACACAGTTCTGAGAGAAGCTTCTATGTAGGCTCTTTGTGTGCCCTTCAATACCCCCATTAGACAGTGTGTGCAGGGCAGGCTCTGTGTTTCTTACCCCATGGCTTCTACCCTGGCTCATGTCCCTCCTCACCCTGTGACCTGGACTTCCAACCAAGTCAACACTGTCTCATTATCTAAGCAGACAATATTGCAAAGATATCACCTTGTCAAACTTATAATAGAAACAATTCAAAATGGACCTATTTCAACTCCTTTTGTCTAAAACATGTCCTTGCGTGTCTTTGGATGGGGTGGGCTATATGAGATCCTGAGTTGATGACCACAGCTCACTCATGGTGCCAAAAGCAGGAAAGCAAGAAAAGGGATCCTCAGAGTGCTGGAGATGGTTCTCCAGCAAATACAAAGAGAAGTCTGGCCCTTTTTAGCCTGGAAAGAGTTGCCAGACCTGCTCTAGGAGCCCATCCTTTCCATTTTATGATTTTCTCCCTCTCCACCATCACCAACTACAACCCTACACACATGTAAGCATTGCTGGCTGTTCAAACCTCCCTGTGTACCTTCTACTAGATACCCTCCTCAGAGGCACTTAGAGACTTGATCTTACTATTTCTTAACTTTTCCAAATCTTTTGCAGATTCCAGAAATTTCTCTTCAAACTGGAAGCAGAAACAGTAAATGGGCTCTTATTAATTCATTCCATAGCACTGTAGACCTTTAACCTTGAATGGCTTCTGGCTGGTACATAATTTGGAAAATATAAGATTTCTGAGCTTGGCAGAGCACACAGAGGAGGCTGGTGGTGGCCATTTTGAAATTTACACTAGATCATCGAGAAAAGGGCATGGATCACAGCACATAGTCGCTCAATCTTCTAGTTCACTTTACTTCCACCTTGATCGCTCCCATGTCCATGATTAGGTCATGATTTGAGAGGGGATGTCACTGCAGTTAAAGGATCATGCAGTTCTTCTAATTATGATGTTGTCATATCTTAGGAAAGCATATGTCTCTGAGTGAGATCAGACCACAACCTTTGTGACCCCAGCATGGGTATGCCATAGGCCAGTGGCCACCAAAGATTCTGCCACCAAGGGCCCTCTGCTATAATTTACATCAGCTTAGTTTGTAGGAGCCCTGCTAAAGTTGAAATAGGTCATAGCTGTTGCACAGTTATAACTCTTGCAATTATAATTTTCCCTCCTGGAGAATATGGGACACAATAGAATAGAATTCTCAATTTCAGGAAGGAATTAAAGTCCCCACAGTAACATTATTTTTAATGAAAATCTCTGGCTTGTGACATGGCTGTGTGGGTTTAATATCACTGTTGTCATGTCCTGGCTTCTTGACTTTGGACACATTGTTAAATCTCTCTGTGTCTCAGTATCCTAATCTATGAAATGGGAATACTTATGGTACCTATGTTATAGGTTGGTATGAAGATTAAATTTCAAAGTCATGCAAAGCACTCAGAAAAGTAGCAAGTGTGTAAGTGCTCATTAAACATACACTATTAGGATTCTGAAGTATGGCTGCTATTTCATATCATCCTTAAAAAAATTAAATCAATCTAATATTGATGAAAATATACTCTATTGCTGATCTATATCAGTGATTTAAACTTTGAAATAAATCACACCTTGTCCTGAGTGTAGTCACTTTGGTTGGAATGGCAGCCAGCAATAAGGCTGTCTCAATCTGATCAGAAGCTCTGAGTGGATGCAGGTATTTAATACAACTATGAAAACCAGTTATTGCATAACAATGCAGTTGACTTAATAGGCAGAATCTATAAAAATAAAAGTCAAAGTAGACACTTACCAAGATTTCCTGTATTTCACTGTTGATATGATCTGGTACCAATCTTGACTCTGCCTCAAAATAGCTGTGTGATCTGGGAATCATCACTTAACATCTTCAAGCCTTAGTTTCCTCATCTGCAAAATGGGGATAGAATATTTTCTTAAACAGAATATTGTAATGTTTTCAAAATGCATGATACAGGGCCTGACCCGCGTGCATCAACATCAAGTAATAAATGGTAGTTGTGTTTGCAGTGGTTACTTATAGTTTAATGGAGTTCTTTACGGTGAAAGTTCAGGAATTTGGGGGTTTCTAGCTTGCTCCATGGAACAGTTTGTTGTGGATCTATGATCGCACAGGACCAGGATGTGGAGATCATGGGGGGTGTGTGCCAGCAATTAATAAAGCGTCCAATTCAGGACAAACCTAAGGAACGGTGGGTGGTCCTGGCAGGAGGGTGACCGAGGTGGGGTGGGATTGGCAAGTGGGATGTGCTTGTGAGGCTGAGGACTGGGTTGTGATCATCAGCCTTAGGGCACTGAGACCCCAGAAGCCTGAGCAAGGTCTGCAGTCAGCCCTGCCCCCGCCTTCAGTCAAGCTGGTTGGAGGCCAGGGAGTCTGGGTTCCTCCCAGCCTTGCCCCTCCCTCCCTCCTGCTGAACTCTTCCTACCCGGGCTCTGAACACATCCCTGAGCTGTAGAGCTGATGTCTGGGTGACAGGGTATTCATTCATACAAAGAAAACAACCTGGAATGGCAGTGTTTGGATTTCTTGTGTGCTTATTTCTTCATAGGATTGAGAAAGGGTGAGGCTAAAGTCCCAGGCCCTCGTGAAGCAATGAAGAAAGTGCCTTCCCAAGGTTCAGGCCCACACGGCGCTGTGAGGCTGAAGGGGCGCGCTAGAACTTCCTTTCACAGGATGCCACCTCACCTGAAACCCTCCTTTTCGGCTGCCACCCGAGGGACAAGATCTCCTGAGTCTGTCCATGAGTTACCCCGAGGAAAACCCTCAGGCAGCCCCTGAGGGACTCTGTTCTGGACTTGGAAGTGTTTTTCTCAGTGACACCTCTAGAGGGCAGCACTCAACGGAGTCCCACAGACACCTCCCAGCATTTCCTGCTCAAACACTGGAAGGATGACCTGGTAACGCTGGGGACTGCTTGGGTGTTCTCCTGGAAGCTCCTGATTTTAATCACCTGTTTACTTGTCTCCATTCTTATAGGTATGTAGGCTACTCGAGAGCAGGAACTGAGTCTGTCTCGTTCACTGTCTATCATCAGAACCTCACACAGCACCTGGCACTTAGTAGGTGCACAACAAAATAATCATCGAATTAATATACTCAGTCTTTAACAGGTTATTTGTTATAATCCACTGCCTTCCACCTCTCATGTGTGGTATGCATTTTAACTTTACATTCACTTCCTGATATACATTTTATCCCCTTATTACATAAATTTCTAACATGTATAAAAATAACACAAAAGTATCACGACCTTCCTTGTATTCCTCTCATAGAATCAGTAACTACCAATGTTATTGAAAAGAGTCAAACTCTGTAAAATATTTGGAGATTTATTCTGAGCCAAATATGAGTATCTAGTGCCTGAGATACAGCCCTCAGGAGATTCAGAGACCGTGTGGTCGAGGTGGTGAGGGTACAGCTTAATTTTACACATTTTCAGGAGACATGAGACATCAATCAAATATATATAGATGTACATTGGTTTGGTATGGAAAGGAGGGATACTGGAAGTGTGGGTTTCCAGGTTGTGTGTAGATTTAAAATTTGTCTGATTGGCAGTTGGTTGAAAGGGTTAAGTTACTATCTAACCACCTGGAATCAATAGAAAGGAATGTCTAGTTTAGGATAATAAGGGGTTGTAGAGAACAAAGTTTTACCCTGCAGATGAAGCCACCTGGTAGCAAGTTTCAGAGAAAATGATTGTACTTGTTTCTTATCAGACTAAAAAAGTTTGTTCTGTTAGTAATTCCAAAAGAGATGAGGTATAATGAGGCTTGTCCAACCCCCTCCACTTCCCATCATGGCCTAAATTCATTTTTCAGGTTAGCTTTGGAATGGCCTTGCTGAAAAGAGAGATCCATTCAGATGGTCAGAGTGAGGGAGGGAGCTTAGAATTTTATATTTGGTTTACACCAACTAAAGCCAATGTGTTTTCATATACATGCCCACCCACTTCCCCCATCTTGTAATAATGTAAGGAAATCCCAAATACCGTATATTCCATCCTTAGATACTTCAAAGTGTTTCCCTAAAACATAAAAACTATGATTCCAGCAAACCAGTCTCAGATTCCAGCAAACCAGTCTCATGTGCCCATTGGTTAAATGTGACCATTCTCGCCATGCTAAGAGGTGCGAGTATGTGGTAATAATGAATGTAGGGAAGTTAGTGGGAAGAGGAAGAATTCAAGAACTAATATTTATTGAAAACTTTCGACTGATCCTTCCTTCCCCAATGCTAGTCTCTTTCAATATGTTATATCTTGACTCCTCCTTATAGTCCCATGAAATGCTTGTTATTATCTCCATTCCTTAGTTAGTGAAATGGAACATCAGAAAAGTTAAATGCAATGTCCGCTATCACACTCCACGTGGTGATGAACTTGAAAATCCACACCCAGGACGAAAATGAAGGTAGGCCTAGAACCCACCCAGGTGAAGGCCCTGAGAACCCATGAAGTGGCTGTGAAACCAGAGGATGTCACTGACAAGGAGGACCACCTCTTTGGCTGTTAGGCTGAATTTGATGAAAAGCAGAAATTAGGCCTCAGGCTTGCTTAACTGTAGCTCGAAGAACCAAATTCTTTCAACAGACAGAGGACCCTAATTTCTTGCTTCTTTTGGTTTTCTGTATTCCACCTCTTTGGGGTGCATTTTGTTTTATAACCTGGAAAAACATGTTGCCTCATCAACTTTGCAGGCTTGAATAGGAGATAGTATCTATTCAGCATCAGTCACACACTGGCCATTCCTCCAAATTTATCTTCATTTTATCTTACAAAAATCACCTAAGTTGAATGTTATTATTATTCTCATTTTACAACTGGTGATACTGAGATTTTTAAAGCAACTCGTCCAGAGTAAGTGGTGAATCTGGGATTCAAACCCATTGCTATTCAAAACCAATGACTGAGCCTTATTTTCTGTTAGTGTTTCTCAAATATGTATGCTAATTTTCCAGAAAATTGTGAAAGCTACATATTTTTTAAAGAAAATAGGAAAGAATAAAAAAATACCAGAGAGCATGACATGCTGGAGAGTAAGTAATGTTTCATGAGTTTTTAGTTTCAGTTACATGTATGTTATGTGTATGGATATTTGCATGTGTGCACGTTCATTTGGCCATTGCAAATGGTTAGAGATAAATTCACTAGGGATCATCAAGGAAGTTTGTTGGCCCTTGCTCTATCCCAGCCTGCTTGGGAGGTGGAGCATAGCAGAGAACCAGCAAATGAAAACCAAGTGTACAGGGACAGGCCATAAATAATTGGATCATGAATGTGAGTGGAAACACACAGGACTCATTGAAAGCATGAGTTCCAAGACTTAGGAACAGTGGCATTTTCTCTCCAAACCCCCAACTCTGTTATAACATATTAAGATTCTTCTTGCAAAGTTTTGTGGTCATCGAGGTTGATACATTTGTACAAAAATATACTTGTCTTTACCAACAGATGTATTTCTAAAAAAGTACGTATGACTTGAATTTAGACATTAAAATCTTTTAAATGTCTACATTTTAAAATGTGGAACTCAACAGTCTAACTTTTAGAAAGTAAATAATTATTTGAAACATACTTAATCAACTCATCTGTCTTGTAATTAGAGACTTTACACATTGCACTTTCCTCTCATTGGAAATGGAAATAGCATGATTCAGCAGAAGGAAAGGGAGAGTGAACCTCACAGAGAGTGGGGTGTGCTTCTTTAATTGTTATGGGCTAGAGTGCACAGAGTGATTCAAATCGCACACTGGCACCCTTAGCCATTACTGAGGATCATGTTTCAAAGGGAAATGAATTATTATTATCTCACATAACATTTTATAATAATGCTCTCGCTTACATGTAACATATCACCTTCACTATATGAGGTTTCCAAAGGCCAGGCCAACACTGAGGCAAAGGTTACCACTGAGCTTTGTTGGGTCAACAGAAAATGAGAACCAGAGAGGCTCGAAGATTTGCCATGGGTCACACACACATTCTCCTCATTCATGGTCAATATCTAGGGAGTGTGTCTACCTTCTGCAACAACCCTGGGAAACGGCTCCTAATATCCTAATTAAAGATGGGCACACTGAGGTTCAGAGAGCTAAAGCGACTGGCCCACGCTGCACACTTGGTGAGTGTTGGGTCAGCTTGAACTCCTTCTGATTGCAGGTCCATAGCTTTTCTACTCCACCCTGTAAGCTGGCTCTGCTTCTATCTGAGAAATTGTTTCATATTTTCCCATACAGACTCCATTAACCAACTAAAGATTGGAAGGGAAGGGCGAGAGGGGGACACCTGAATCTCGAGTTCCTTTCTGTTAGCAACTTTTCAGGAGCTTGATTGGAGAAAATAATAATAATAAAAATGTTTCTTTCTCTACTTTGGCAACCCTAAAAACTTAAATGAGTTGAGAACTAGTATAACTGTATTTTCCTCAACTAGAAAATGGGCTTGTTTTGAAAGGAATATAAGTGGTGAAATTCCAGTAGTAAATTAGAGTTAATTTACTCTTGGTCCCTGGGTGGTCCTAATTATTGCTTCATATCAGAGAGAAGGGAGACTGAGATAAATCACAACTCCTTCCATTATGAGGTTCATAAACTCAGTAGGCTCTTCAAATTCTGAGCTCAAGTTTCTCCTTTCAAAATAGGGATAGTTATATCTATCTTTGAGGGCTGTTGAGAAAGTTCAATGAAATATTGTATATAAAATTTATAATAGGAACTGAATAATGAGAGTGACCTCCTGCCCCCACTTCTTGGGATGTGGATGAGTCTCTCGGAACACACTGGGTAGCACATGAGTCTCCTCTCTCTTTCTCTCTTAACCCATCAAGCTCTGGTAAAAATAAGATTTTATATATATCTAGATTTCTTTTCGAATAAGTCATATAATGAGTCTCTTTTTTTAAAGCTCCTATACAGAGATTAATGATAGTCACTGATACAGTCAACCTGGGTTAACAAAGTTTTCAGTGAAGTTTCAGGGAGGCCTGACCCATCGTTAACACAGACTTACTTAACTCCTAGACTGCAGCAGACCTGGTTCCCAGGTTGTTTTATAACCTGGAAAAACAGACGTTTTATAATCTGGAAAAAGGCTCCCATACCCTGCACCTGGTGGGCCTCTCTCCTCAGGCCAGGCCTAGCTACCACCCACTCCCTGCTCTGAGCACTGTGAACCTGTCCTGTTCCCAGGCCCTCTTTGCATAAACTCCAGTGGAGTGAGAGTGAGCCTCACTGCTTCTCTCTCCAGCTATTCATAGCTCTTGGGCAGGGTCTCACTCTCAATACTTGATGAAAATGGTTGCTCCTCTACAGCATCCTGTTCCTTACCTGAAAATGCAGACATTTTGCTAACCTTTCTTCTATTTCTTGTTTTCAGCATATTTCCTTCTTTTAAAAAGTTTCATTCAAACTGACTAACATTGATTGAGCTGTTTCGGTGTCTCAAGCAATAGTGATGGCTTGTAGCAGAAAAATATTTGGTTGGATTTGGTCTCTGCCCTAAAGTGGTTTAGATCTAGTCAGAATAACAGGCTTCTGGCCAACTGACAGAACAGAATGTGCTCAGCAGTGATTTCACTTTAAAGGATTCCTAGAAATTTCAACCCGGGAATCATGATTCTGTTAACCAAGGAAATCAGAGAAAGGGGAGAAGGCTGCCAGGCTGAGAAAACTGAGGACTCTTGCCCTTCTGCCCAGGTGGGCTCCTTCTTTCCAGGGTAGCATCTCAATCTGCAGGTTCAGTAGATTTTGTACCTCCCAAATGTCTGCCTTCCTACCCTTCAAATTAGTATCAATCCTCATTCTTGTGCAAACATTGCCTTGCAACATGCATTTCTTGTCATTTCAGTATCTTCTCACATGGGTGTTGTATTAGTCCATTTTCACACTGCTATAGGGACCTACCTGAGACTCGTAATTGATAAAGAAAAGAGGTTTAGTCCACTCATAGTTCTGCAGGCTGTACAGGCTTCTGCTTCTGGGGAGGCTTCAGGAAAATGACAATCATGGCGGAAGGTGAAGGGGAAAAAAGCACATCTTCACATGGCTGGCAGGAGAGAGAGAATGAGGGGGTGGGTGCTACATGCTTTCAAACAACCAGATCTCATGAGAATGCTATCACAGGACAGCAGTAGGAGAATGGTGCTAAAACACTGAAAACCACCCTCATGATACAATCACCTCCCACCAGGCCCCACCTCCAACACTGGTGATCATAATTCAACATGAGATTTGGGTAGGGACATAGAGTTACACAATATCATTCCACCCCCTGGCCCCTAACATTTCAAAACACAATCATGCCTTCCCAATAGTCCTCCAAAGACTTAACTCATTCCAGTATTAACTCAAAAGCCCAAGTCCAGAGTGTCTTCTGAGACTAGGCAAGTCCCTTCTGCCTACAAGCCTGTAAAATCAAGAACAAGTTAGTTACTTCCAAGATATAATAGGAGTACAGGCATTGGGTAAATGGTCTCATTTCAAAAGGGAGAAGTCAGTCAAAACAAAAGAGCTGCCGGCCTCATGCAAGTCCAAAACCCAGCAGGGAAGTCATTACCTCTTAAAGCTTCACAATAGTCTTCTTTGACTTCTTTGACTCTTTGTCTCACATCCAGGCCATACTGATGCAAGGGTGGGCTCCCAAGGTCTTGGGCAGCTCTGCACCTGTGGCTCTAGACAGTACATTCCTTAGGCTGCTTTGACTGGCTGGTGTTGAGCACCTGCAGCTTTTCCAGATGCATTTTGCGAGCTGTTGGTGGATGTATCATTCGGGGGTCTGGGGTACAATGGCCCTCTTCTCATAGCTCCACTAGGCAGTGCCCCAGTGGAGACTCTGTGTGGGGGCTCCAACTTTTCCCTTCCCCACTGCCCTAGTAGAAGTTCTACATGAGGGCTCCACTCCTGCAGCAGGCATCTGCCTGGCCATCCAGGTGTTTCATTAAATCTTATGAAATCTAGGCAAAGGCTCCCAAGCCTCAACTCCTGCTCTCTGTGCACATGCAGGGTTAACACACATGGAAGCTGCCAAGGCTTCTTACAGCTTGCACCTTCTGGACCAGTGGCCTCAGATGTATCTGGGGCCCTTTATAGCCATGGTTGGAGGTGAAGCAGCTGGGACACAGGATGCCATGTCTCGAGGCTGCACAGAGCAGCAGGGCCCTGGGTTTGGCTCACAAAACCAGTTTTCTCTCCTAGGCCTCTAGGCCTGTGATGGGAGGGGCTGTCACAAAGCCCTGGACATGCCCTGGAGACATTTTCCCCATTGTCTTTGCTGTTAACATTTAGCTACTTTTGCAAATTTCCAAACTTTTGCAAAAGGAACAGTATGTTAATAACTAAGACTTTTGCAAATTTCTGCCACTGGCTTGATTTCATCCCCTGAAAGTGGGATTTTCTTTTCTATCACATGATGAGACTGCAAATTTTCCAAACTTTTATGCTCTGCTTCCCTTTTAAATATAAGTTTCAATTGCAGATTGATTCATTCAGATTCAATGACAGATTTCAGATCATGTCTTTGTGAACACATATGAACATGTGTTGTTAGAAACAGCCAGGCTAAATCTTGAATGCTTTGCAGCTTAGAAATTTCTTCTACCAGATACTCTAAATCATTTCTCAAGTTAAAAGTCTCACAGATCTCTAGAACAGAGGCACAATGCCACCAGTCTCTTTGCTAAGGCATAGCAAGAGTGACTTTCACTCCCATTCCCAAAAAGTTTCTCATCTCCATCTGAGACCTCCGCTGGACTTCACTGTCCAAATCACTATCAGCATTTTGATAACAACCATTCAACTAGTTTCTAGGAAGTTCCAAACTTACCCTCATTTTCCTGCCTTCTTCTGAGCCCTCCAAACTGTTCCAGCCTCTGCTCCTTACCCAATTTTAAAGCTGCTTCCACATTTTCAGGTATCTTCATAGGAATGTCCCACTTTTCTGGTACCAGTTTCTTGTAGTAGTCCATTTTCACACTGCTATAAAGACATACCTGAAACTGGGTAATTGATAAAGAAAAGAGGTTTAATCAGCTCACAGTTCTGCAGGCTGTACAGGCGTCTGCTTCTGTGGAGGCCTTAGGAAACTTATATTTATGGTGGAAGGCGAAGGGGAAGCAAGCACGTATTTACATGGCTGGCAGGGGAGAAAGAGAGTGAACAGGAAGGTGCTACACACTCTCAAACAACTATATCTCATGAAAACTCTATGAGAAGACAGCACTAGGGTGATGATGAGAAACCATTAGAAAACACCCCATGGTCCAATCACCTCCCACCAGGCCCCACCTCCAACACTGGGGATGACAATTCAGCATGAGATTTGGGTGGGGACACAGAGCCAAACTATATCAGGTGTCATATTTTTTTCCTGTGAATTATTTTATAGCCTGGACAGGTCTTACATCTGGATCCAAAAGGAGGACATCACTGAAGCTCCTAATCTTTCCTTTACATTTTTCCCCACTATTAAACATTTATTCCAGGACATTGTTGACTTATATTCTAATGGCACCATATATATTAACTGGGTTCCTTTAGGTGCATTTTAAAAACTGGTTATAAGGGCTGGGTATGGTCACTCACACCTGTAATCCCAGCACTTTGGGAGACAGCGGTGGGAGGACTACTTGAGCCAGGAGCTTAAGTGCAGCATGAGCAACATAGCAGACCATGTCTCTACAAAAAAAAAACAAATTACATCAGGTGCAATAGCGTGCACCTGTGGTCCCAGCTACTCAGTAGACTGAGCTGGGAGGATTGATTGAGCCCAGGAGGTGGTGATTGCAGTGAGCCATGATTGTGCCACTGCCCTCCAGCCTGGGCCATGGAGAAAGACCCTGTCTCTAAATCAAAGCAAAACAAAGCTAGTTATATGCTGCAGTAATTATTTAGTTATTCTATCAGCTTCTGAATTTTAATACTTGAGAAGTCATGTAGTCTGCAGATTCCAAACCACAAAATATTTTGCTCCCATAACCCAGAGGACATTCAGAATATCTGGAGTCATTCTTGGTTGTCACATCAAGGCAGAAGGTGGTGGGTAGTGCTTCAACATAGGTAGGTGGAGGCCGGTGATGCCTTGGAACATCCTATCATGAACAGGACAGCCCCTGCACCCAAAGAATTACCCATCCCAAGGAGTGCCAAGGGTAAGATGAGAGACTTTTCCTTAGCCATTTTCAAGGTTTGCTGTGAGTTGGTTGAACCCTAGAGAATGTGACTTGTCATCTAGCTAATTAGTGGGAAAGAATGAATCAGAGTCTAGTTTTCCTGACATTCAGAAACTAATTTATTCCTATTATAAATCAACCTTAATTTTGAATTTTCACAGCTATAAAGTATTACAGTTACTTATATACACATTGTGTCCCTACTAAATTGTGAGGTTCCGAAAGAGCAGAGAGGTCTCACAGTATGTTTAACACAGTGTATTGCACATGGTAGTATTACAATATCACTGATACTTGGATAGATCACACAGCAATGCTAGACATTTTAGCAGTCACAGAGATTTCTATAATTTCATCTTTTGAACTTACTTGAGAAAATCAAATGATATAGAAAAAATTAAATACAAAAATTAAATAATAGATTCAAGATAATGGATCAGCCAATCCTGATTATCAGACTCAATTTTCTACAATTTCACAGAATAAATAAAGATATGGGTGTGGCTCACTGAGTAGACCCAGAAGGACTAAGGAAGGAGGAATTTGGAAAAAGCAAGGTTATCAGGCAAGTGTTCAACTGGGCAAAGGACAAGGATTAACAGATATTTGTTGAATCAGGAAACTGAAAATTCACAATAAGGGCCATTATTGTTTTTGATTTTGTTAGTCACTAATCTAGGTCATCTTGCTTTGTAGAACTAATAGTTCCTCTCCCTCTCCCTCTCCCTCTCTTTGGTCTCCCTCTGTTGCCAATACTGCCGTGATCTCAGCTTGCTGCAACCTCCCTGCCTTGGGGTCCTGTGATTCTCCTGCCTTGGTCTGCCGAGTGCCTGGGATTGCAGGCGCGCACCGCCACGCCTGACTGGTTTTTGTATTTTTGGTGGAGACGGGGTTTTTCCGTGTTGACTGGGCTGGTCTCCAGCTCTTGACCTTGAGTGATCTGCCCACCTCGGCCTCCCAAGGTGCTGGGATTGCAGACAGAGTCTCGCTCACTCAATGCTCAATGTTGCCCAGGCTGGAGTGCAGTGGCGTGATCTCGGCTCGCTACAACCTCCACCTCCCAGCTGCCTGCCTTGGCCTCCAAAAGTGCTAAGATTACAGCCTCTGCCTGGCTGCCACCTCGTCCAGGAAGTGAGGAGTGTCTCTGCCTGGCCACTCATCGTCTGGGATGTGAGGAGCGCCTATGCCTGGCCACCCCGTCTGGGAAGAAGTGAGGAGTGCCTCTGCCCGGCTGCCACCCCGTCTGGGAGATGAGGAGCGCCTCTGCCCGGCCGCCCATCATCTGGGAAGTGAGGAGCGCCTCTGCCCGGCCGCCCATCGTCTGGGAAGTGAGGAGTGCCTCTGCCCGGCTGCCCTGTCTGGGAAGTGAGGAGTGCCTCTACCTGGCCGTCCCATCTGGGAAGTGAGGAGTGCCTCTGCCCGGCCGCCACCCCATCTGGGAAGTGGGGAGCGCCTCTGCCAAGCTGCCCCATCTGGGATGTGAGGAGCACCTCTGCCCAGCCACCCCGTCTGGGAACTGAGGAGCGCCTCTGCCCGGCTGCCCCATCTGAGAAGTGAGAAGTGCCTCTGCCTGGCAGCTGCCCCATCTGGGAAGTGACGAGCATCTCTGCCCAGCCGCCCCATCTGGGAAGTGGGGAGCACCTCTGCCCGGCCATCCCGTCTGGGAAGTGGGGAGCTCCTCTGCCCGGTTGCCCCATCTGGGAAGTGAGGAGTGCCTCTGCCCGGCCACCCCATCTGGGAGGTGAGGAGCGCCTCTGCCCGGCCGCCCATCGTCTGGGATGTGAGGAGTGCCTTTGCCCAGCTGCCTCGTCTGGGAGGTGTACCCAACATCTCCAAAGAGACAGAGACCATCGAGAACAGGCCATGATGACGATGGTGGTTTTGTCAAAAAGAAAAGGGGGAAATGTGGGGAAAAGAAAGAGAGATCAGATTGTTACTGTGTCTGTGTAGAAAGAAGTAGACATAGGAGACTCCATTTTGTTCTGTACTAAGAAAAATTCTTCTGCCTTGGGATGCTGTTAATCTATAACCTTACCCCCAACCCCGTGCTCTCTGAAACATGTTCTGTGTCAACTCAGGGTTAAATGGATTAAGGGCGGTGCAAGATGTGCTTTGTTAAACAGATGCTTGAAGGCAGCATGCTCATTAAGAGTCATCACCACTCCCTAATCTCAAGTACCCAGGGACACAAACACTGCGGAAGGCCACAGGGACCTCTGCCTAGGAAAACCAGAGACCTTTGTTCTCCTGTTTATCTGCTGACCTTCTCTCCACTATTATCCTATGACCCTGTCACATCCCCCTCTCCGAGAAACACCCAAGAATGGTCAATAAATACTAAAAAAAAAAAAAAAAAAAAAAAGAACTAAAAGTTCTAAAGACTTAGATTCACCTGTAAGTTCTAGGAAATTGCTCTCAAAACATTCTGCCTAGCTTTGGAGCATAACAACCTTAAAGAAATATTGAAAAGCCAATGGCATCAACACTTGACAACAAATCAGAAAGCACTTCCTGAAGGAAGCATTAATGTGTGATATCTACCATCAAGTTGTAAATCAGAATTGTGTTTGGCAGGTGTTGGTATCTCTTTGCTCAGCAGGAGATGGAGGTTTGGAGAAGCAACTGCAGACATGGAACTGTCTGCAACCTTGAACAAAGGCCATTGCAATCTTAGAATACTTCTGTTAGGGCATTTGCCCATCAACTGCCTGTTTAAACTTGGCCTGGCATTACCCTTGTTATTAATATTTGTAGTGAAAGATAAGTATTTCAAAACGTTTATTTAATCCTTATTTTTTCCTATAAAAACCTTTGTCTTCCTTAACTTCCCTGAATACATACATAATTTACTATGACAAACATATACCCATTACAACACTTAATTCTCAAATAAATATCTTTTATTTGAAAGGGTCTCTGTTTATTATTTAAGTTGAAACAATGTATCCAAAAGCAGGTGAATGCAGAACTTTTAAACTGTCATCCAAGCACACAGAGAAGGCATTAATATGAGTATAAAACAGATTTTTCTTGTGCCAAGGACATATTTTAAAGTATTTTTCTAGTGACCTAGATGGGAGGTCATGAGGTAATACAGGGAGATTTCTAACATTGGTATTTACTTTGTTAAAGGCTGTCACCCTTGGGGCTCAACAACTTAAGGTCCTAATGTGGTTTATAAACTACATGTTCATTTCAATAACTCCCTCCCATTGAAAGGAATAGAGTCAAGTTAAAAACAGCCACTCCCACATGTTTCAGGGCCACAGGACTGCCTACTAGATCCTAAGAAAAATGGCAAGTCATCATCTTATCACAAGGTAACTGGTTAATATGTTCCTTTTCAAGGTTGGCAATAAAAGTCTAACCAAAAATTTCAACAGATTTTGCTCTCTTTACAGCAAGTCAGTAGAAACTGGCTTTTTGAAGACGCTCATTTTTAATGACTTGGATGTAAGGACTAAGGCAGATGAGAAATCTCTGCTGGGAGCATAGCTGGCAGGGGATGTCTGTGAAGGGCAGGCTGATGGCACTCTGGAAGTCTTCTCTTACTGGGTTGCCACACAAAATACAGGGCACCAAGGTAAATATGAATTCCAGGCAAAGGATCAGTCATTTGTTAGTGTAAGTATGTCCCAAACACTGTAGGAAACATGTTTATACTAATACAGTATTGATTACCTATCTAAAAATTTACATTTATTTGGGTGTCCTGTATCTTATCCACCAAATCTGGCCACCCTGTTTTTATAGTGTTTCCTCTCTGCATTGCTCAAATCACCCTTCCTGGCCTCTGGGCCTTTGCACATGGTATTTGTCCTGACTGGAATATTCTACTTTCAGCTCCTACTGTATTTTCTCTATTGCGTCTTTCCCTACGTTAATTTGACATGAAGTATTCTATATCACATTTCTCCCTAGACCTTGAGCTCCTGAGAGCAGAGCCGCCTTCTTATTTGAGTCCAGTCCTTATTGTCTGGGACAAAACCTGGACATTGTAAGAACTCCTAGAATAAGATAGTTTTAAAATTTACATGGAAAAATTCTAGCAAATACTAAAGTAGAGAAAGTAATATAACAAGCCTGAAGGTACCCATGACCTGGATTCATCAATTGCCAGCAATATTTCTTCATCTATACAAGGTAGTGGATTAAGTTATGTTGGCTCCCAAGCAAGGTATGTTCATGTCCAAATCCTTGAGTCCTTTAAATGCGACCTTATTTGGAAAAAGGTTCTTTGCAGATGAAGTTAAGGAACTTGAGATGAGATAATCCCAATATATCCAGATATGCCCTACGTCCAATGACAAGTATCCCTGTGTGTCCGGAATTGGTGGGTTCATGGTGTCGCTGACTTCAATAATGAAGCCGCAGACCATCGTGGGAGAGTGTTACAGCTCTTAAAGATGGTGTGTCTGGGATTTACTCCTTCAGATGTTCAGATGTGTCCAGAGTTTCTTCCTTCTGGTGGGTTCGTGGTCTCACTGGCTTCAGGAGTGAAGCTGCATACCTCCTCGTTGAGTGTCACAAGACAGCATGTCTGGAGTTGTTTGTTCCTCTCGGTGGGTTCAAGGTCTCACTAGCTTCAGGAATGAAGCTGCAGATCTTCATAGTGAGTGTTACAGCTCATGAAGGCAGTGCAGACCCAAAGAATAATCAGCAACATTTACTGCAAGCAGCTAAAAAAACGAAGCTTTCAAACCATGGAAAGAAACCCCAGCTGGCTTGCAGTTCCCGGCTGGGCAGCCTGCTTTTATTCCCTTCTCTGACCCCACCCACATCCTGCTGATTGGTCCATTTTACAGAGAGCTGATTGGTCCGTTTTGACAGAGTGCTGATTGGTGCGTTTACAAACCTTGAGCTAGAGACAGAATGCTGATTGGTGCATTTACAATCCTTTAGCTAGACATAAAACTTCTCCAAGTCCCCACCAGATTAGCTAAATACAGAGTGCTGATGGGTGCATCCACAAACCTTGAGCTAGACAGTGCTGATTGGTGCATATACAATCCTCCAGCTAGACATAGAAGTTCTCCAAGTCCCCTAGCTAGACATAAAAGTTCTCCAAGTCCCCACACGACTCAGGAGCCCAGCTGGCTTCCCCTAGTGAATCCTGCGCTGGGGCCATGGGCAGAGCTGCCCGCCAGTCCCGCGCCCCATGCCCGCACTCCTCAGCCCTTGGGCAGTCGATGTGACTGGGAGCCACGGAGCAGGGGGCGGTGCCCATCAGGGAGGCTCCGGTGGGTGGGAGCCCGTGGGGGCAGGGGGCCGGGGGAGGGGGGTTCAGAAATGGCGGGCTGCACGTCCCGAGCCCTGCCCTGCAGGGAGGTGGCTGAGGCCCGGCCAGAAATCGAGCGCGGCACGGGCGGGCCGGCACTGTTGGGGGACCTGGCGCACCCTCTGCAGCTGCTGGCCAAGGTGCTGTGCCCCTCACTGCCCAGGGCCAGGCGGCCCACTCTGAGTGTGGGGCCTGCCGAGCCTGCCCCCACCCAGAACTCGGGTTGGCCTGTGAGCGTTATGTGCAGCCCTGGTTTCCACCTGCGCCTCCCCCTCCACACCTCCCCTCAAGCAGAGGGAGCCGGCTCCGGCCTTGGCCAGCCCAGGGAGGGGCTCCTACAGTACAGCGGTAGGCTGAAGAGCTCCTCAAGGGTGGCCAGAGTGGACGCCGAGGCCGAAGAGGCACTGAGAGCAAGCGAGGGCTGCTAGCACGTTGTCACCTCTCACCTGCAACATAGAGAACAGAAGACACAGACACGCAGAGGGTGAGGTGCTGGAAGCCCTAGGCAGAAAGTAGAGTGATGTGGCCACGATCCATGAAAGTCCAGAAATGCCAAGAGCCCCCGGAAGTTATAGGAGGCAGGGAAGGATTGTTCCCTAGAACTTTCAAGGCAATGCGGCCCTACTCTCACCCTGACTTCAGACTTCTGGACTTCAGAATTGTAAGAAAATGCATTTCTGTTGTTTCAAGCCACCCAGTTTGTAGCTTGTAGGAATCTGCGAGAAGAGCCACAAGAAAATGATGCAAACTCCCATGTACTCCCTCCACTACCAGGGGATTCTTTTCAAGCAAATCCCAGATAGCATATCATTTCATCTGTAAATACTAGTATTCTTCTCTAGCAAGGAAGAATTTCCTTTCTAAACACAAGCGCACTATGATTATGTTTATTATGATAATCTTTTATCAAATTAAAATTCTATAATTTCTTAATTTCATCAAAGTTTCAGCATTCTAGTTCATGTGTCCCATAAAAATTTCTTAGCACTTTGTTTATTTTGGTCAGCATCCAAGCAAGGTCCTTACAAAGCATTTGAGGGATATGAGTCCAGTTTTTTAGAAATTAATGAAAGAATAGAGACAGTCAGGTAGAGTGTGTGGAGGTTTGTGAGTTCTCAAAGCCCAGTCTCATATACCCAGGTTCTGGAGGTGCATAGAGCTGTGTATGGGTCTGTGCAGATGTCATTGTCCATTGGTGATGAAGCACTGGGGACCCAGCAGGCCAAGCCCCACACCACCAGCTCACAGTACAGGGGAGCAGACACAGTGGCCCTCAGGTGTTATTAGAGGCTCACTGGGGCCCGGTGGAGGGCAGAGGACAGCCCGGCGTTCCTGGGAAGCAATGAGGTAGTGTTAAGTGTGTCCACGGGGAAGGAGCTTGCCAGGCAGGGCTAGCAAATGCATCTAGGCAGGAAGGCAAGAGGCCCCACCATGCTCAGAGGGTGGATTGGGCTGGAGATCAAGGAGTGAGGACGGGTGTGAGGATACCTTATATATGCAGTCAGGACTCACTGCAGAATTCTGTGATTTTTTTTTCCAATTTGTATTTTAGAAAAGCTACGCTGGGTGTAAGTGGAGAAGAGACTAGAGCAAAGTGAAGCTGCAGGTAGGAAGCCTGTGTCTGTCTGCTCCCTCAACCACCTCTGCCAGTTGTGGGGAAGCTCATTCTAACAGGAGAGCTGAAATTGCAGAAGCCCAGGTGTCCTAGGGGAGATTAACATTATAGGCCCAGTATGTGGGTGGAGCTAGAAAGCACTCCTCATCTAAGCACTCTGGCACAATGACACACCACGGAAAAATGATTTTGCATATAGTAGTTATTTATACGTAATTCACATATACCATCTGTATCTTGGCAGCCCAGGCCTGAGTGGCACTGAGGGAACTGAGGGAATGTTCATGACGGTGGCCCCCACAGAGCCTTAAGGAGCAGAGTGAGGATGAGCCAGGAGCACACGCACTGTAAGGGACAACAGGGTGGCCTGAGAGCAGAGGGTGGGTCTGTTTGCTCTTCAATATTTCCTCACCTCCTAGAAAACTGAGGAATCCACAGCACACAGAATCGTTGTTTTGTAAATGGATAAGGAAGAACGCTTTTATCAGAAATAAAATGACTGTCCAGGAAAAGAAGAAAATGTCTTTATGCCATTACCCAGGATGGTAACTCTTCTCCTGTGCATACCTGAGAATGTCAGAGTGCATTTCTACATTGACATTTTAATAGATTGTATGACAAATGTTACAGGACAATTCTTGGAAAAGTCAAACAAACCACATAATCTATAGTTTCTTCTTTTTTACCAAATTTTTAATTCCAAGAAAGTGGTAGGTTAGGAGGAGATTAGAAATCTGAATTCATATCAGATACTAATGAAAACAAATCAATTTTAGCTAAGTTGACAGATAAGAGTTATTTATTATTTAATTAGCATGTAATTGGAAAGAGTTTATTAGCTTTACAAGAGGCACAATCCACACTTAGGTAAAGCACTTCATTGTTGCAAACTGTAGAATATTGGTCTGGCATGTTCTTGGCCTCCATAGCTGCTTTATTAAAACCTGAAAATCTTCCTTGCTTCTTCTAAAGATTTCTCATCCATGGGAGGCTTTCTCTGGCTGCCAGGCTGCAGAAACTTCTTCACCGTGGGCAGGTTGCTGATTCTGGTTTTCAGGGCCTGTAATCCACAAAGCACAGCCTCAGAGTGAAGCCAAGGCCGGCCACCATCATTAAGATGACCCAGGGAATGTGAGCCCCTCATGCCAAAGACCAAGCGAGTCCCCTCCATGAGTACCAGCATGGAGGCAGAAACAGACACCCAGTGAGAAATGAAGATAAGAGGAATAACATGTAGCTCACTTTATTTTCCCCAAAGATGTCTTGAAGTTTTAATCAGTTCAGTCATCCCTATCTTTCTCCTTACATATTAATCCTGTAGATTTGTGGCTCTTGTATAAGACAAGAAAAATCAATATGCCTGTGAGATATCAACACAGATCAGTCTCTAAGCAGAAGTAAAACTATGGGGAAATGAGTTGGAAAGGAAAATGTTATAGAAAACATTAAACACAAACCATGGGACCACCTTTTCTCAGTGACAGATACAGTGTCAGGGGCAGAGTGCTGGGAGAGCTGTGCAGAGAGGACCACAATGTCTGACAAAAGGAGCCAGAGCCCAGGGAGGAAACCAGATGGAAAGGGCTCTGCTCAGACCAATTCAATGCGGGAAGACAAGGGCACATGTGGGATAAAGGACATCACAGAGAACTCAGGAACAGAAACCACATTGAAATAGAGGGATGGGAAGAGCTGCTGGGCACTGGGTCCTTTCCATGATAAAAGGCAAAATACTCTTCATGGGTTAGCATGCACCACAAATTTCCTTTCCAGAACAAAAGTGTTTTCATTCTTCAAAATTGGAGCCTGGAAGCTCATTTTGGAGACCTTGGGGGCACTGAAGGGCTGGAGAAGGGTGGGGTCAAAACATGGTCAGTCCCGGGGCCCAGATATGAGATCCCAATATAAGAGATGTGGGGCTGTCTCTCTGGGCTGTGAAATGGGTCACCTTCAGCAGAGGGAAGCTGGAGATAAGACTCGAGTCAAGCTCTTCCACGTAGTAGAAAAGTTCCACCAGGTGAATGTCAGCCCAGCTCAGCTTGTTGCCAACAAGGTAGTCTTGTCTGTGGCTCTTTAAGACCTGGAGAATTGGAGGAATCAGATCAGGAACACATGCACACCCAGGCTGGGACCCCTGCTTCTTTCAGAGCCTCTCCACCCTGACTTTTCCCACCTCTGTTGCCTTATTGCATGGGTGCAGAAATCCCAAGCTTTCTCCACATTATCTGAATGAATGAGAGAGTAAGAACTATAACTCTGCTCACTGCTTGGTTGGAGGCCAGGCTACCATTTTCTCTTCTCATCCACATCACTGTGGTGTCTACACAACCCACCCAGCTTGCTTCTTCCACATGCGCCAAGGACTTAGCACCTGCCTCCATGTGTTCTGTCTGCCCCAGGCCCTACAGCGTGGAGCCCTCACATTCAGGATGTGGCTCTACATTCTGCTCCCTCCCTCTCCAATCTCCCTTGGGCAGTGACTCCACCTTCATGACAACACTTTTCCCCTAGAAGGAGACTATTTCAGAGTCCTCATTTGTCCTTGTCTGCCCTCCTCATTCCCTGCTCTATCTCCCTGGGTTCTGAAGTAAACCTGGGTGAACCTGAATTCATCATGTTTCTTACAGCATCGACTCTGGTTCCTAACCGGCACTCTGTTATAATTTGCAAGCTGAAGTGTTTAGGGGTGGACTGCACTGATGTCTGCAACTTACTATAAAATGCATTTTAAAGAATCTTCCTCTGCATCCCACAGTCACTCTCCTTTTAAAAAATACTGATCCCTGAAACACTGCAATATTCTCTGGTTGGGCAATTGGTTTCCTGTCTTCCTACACAGGATGCCAGAATATTTTCTGATGGATCACTTTCATCATGTTCTTCTTCCATCAAAGTCCATGGGGTTCCATAGACTCAACAGCAACCTCCAGTGTGATCCAGAGCCCTCCACAGCCCACGTTCTACTTATGAATATGAAATTTTGTTGAACAGAGAATTTAATGTTGGGGTCTGTAAATTAAAATTTTACTGGAAAATCATAGCTTGGGTATAAGTGGTACAATTGTTCCTCCAAGTCTATTTGCATAAGAGGCCTTGAGAGTCAGAGTGCTGCCTTGGTGTTCATGAAGTCTCACTGAAAGTGAAGGTCAGTGGCCCCAGGAATGCCCAGCCACTATTTTTCTACTGGTGTCTAAACTCAGTTCCCCTAAACATTGAACAGCTTCACTTACTTTTTCAAAGGCAGGGAAGTAGCGATTTTTTATTTTCTCTTTGACCAAGGCAGTCTTGGCATCTCTTTCCTCTGGTTGACATATGAGCAGAAGAAGGATCATTTCAGTCAAATCTACTATACCTTCTGTGTACATATCAATCCTGAAAGACAAAAACAACCAAACCATCAAATGCCTTTTGCCTTAGATTTTATAGGTTTATAAAAACCTAAGAAAATAGAGGGTCAGATGGTGGCAAAGTAATTCACCTCCAGTTAGTGCCTTTTATACGCTAGTCATTATGCTCTGAGTTTTACAGGTATATAGTCATTATGTTCTGATTTTTACAGGTATATTAACATTTATTTCCTAAAACAACCTATCAAGGTAGATAGATCTCAAAATTTTGTTACACACATGACCTAATACAGGAAAAAGAGCATCGGTGGTCACAGTCATGAGAGAAATTGGTGGAATCACTGCCAATACCCACTGATGCTGTGCCAGGATTTATCATCTCAATTGTGGCTTGTTCTGTGCATGAACTTAGTGTGAGTCAAATGGCCAAAGAGCTGCCCTCTAAGTAATCCTAAAAGAATCCCTGGCACAGCCATCTCAGCCATATTTCTTGTCCTCTCTCATCATTTTACAGCTCCCAGGGCTCCTGTGCCCCATATTAGCAGTTCTTCCAATTACACCCATGAAACACATTTCCACAGCCCTCTCCATGTGCTGTTGCCTAACTCTAGCCATGTGTGCCTTTCCTGAGACCCCACCTAAGAATCCCCTTCCCCGGTGAAATTCTCTATACAATTACAACCAGTGCAAACTTTTCTTCTTTTGTGTCAAACTAGAGTTTCACAATACTTTTTAAAACAAGACCTTTATTGACGTATGTTCACGTACTGTAATTGCAACCTGTTAAATTACACTATTGAGTGGTTTTTGGTGGATTCACAGAATTCTGTAAAAATCATCACAGTCTAATTCCAGAATTATTCTTATCACCCTGATAAGGACATCTGTACCATTAGCGGTATTCTTCATTTATCTCCAAGCCCCACTCCTTTACCTCCAGGCAACCACTAATCTACTTGCTACCTCTATGGATTTGAATATCTGGACATTTCATACAAAAAGAATCCTATAATACTTGGCCTTCTGTGTCTTGTGTATTTTATGTAACATGTCTTTATTGTTTAACCATCTTGTAGCATGCATTGGTACTTCATTCCTTTTCATGACCAAATATCTTTCCATTGCATGGCTAAGGCATTTTTTCTCCTCCATTTATTGATTGATGGATATTTGGGTTGTTTCCACTTTTTGAATACTATGAATATTGTTATTTGCATTGTTCATTTCTGTAAAAAATTTAGTGTGGATGTATTTTTGATTGTTTGGGGATATGCCTACTAGAGCAACTGCTGGGTCATTGGTAATACTATGTTAAAGTTTTTGTGGAGCTGCCAACAGTTCCATTCAGGATTTATTTGTAATTATGCAGTCTCATCACAACAGAGAGGAGACCCCTTGGCTTTGTTGGTATTGAATCAATCTGGCTGTTTCAGCCTTCTATCCATGTGTCAAGGTAACCCCAGCATCCTGGGCACCAGCCTCTACTAGCCCTGCTCAAGTGTTCTGGCCCATATAATTGGTTGGTAATTTAGGTTCCTGGTCATGATTCTTGGAATTACTGGGACCTGAGATTCAGCTTGTTTACAGCCTTCCCTCCCCAGGCCTTCATCTACAGACTCTCAGACATTCTATGCCTTGCCCTACGCTGTTGGCTGGAGTCTAGCCTCTGAAGTTCTGAGTACCTGAATCATGATTCCCCATCCTCCTCAGTTCATAGGGTTTATGAGTGTCTGGAAACCTCAGTCAGGTTGCAGGATCCATGGACTGCATCCTCTTTTAGAATCACCCTTGCCTGAACCCTCCCCATGTTCACTGTTCCCTCATCTCCATGGGACTCTGCAATACTGGACCTCAGCGTGCATCCTCAAGACCCAGCCTGCTGCTGGTCATGATGCCCTGCCATGGTCCCACCCACTCAAAGAAGGACTTAAATCACTCTGTGTTCTCTGTGGATGGAAGAACAGAAAATATACCATACAGGGCTCTCTCCTTCATGTCTTTCCCATAAAGGTTGTATTTGCTGGCAATGTAGTTAAGAATGGCTCTGGTCTGCACCAGCTTCATCCCGTCAATCTCAACCATTGGTACTTGCTGGAACAGCAAACTCCCATCTTAGAAAGAAGAAAAAAAAAGGAGTATGAAGTGTCTATGAAACCCACCCTTTTGGGATGAAAAAAATGGTTATGGAAATGACTAAATTTGTGAAATGAAAAAGAAATTATTGCCTGTTAAGTTTTCACTTGAAACAACTTTTTTCCTTGTTTTGTTTTTTGAGACAGAGTCTCACTCTGTCACCCAGGCTGGAGTGCAGTGGGACGATCTCAGCTCACTGTAACCTCTGCCTCCTGGGTTCAAGCAATTCTCCTACCTCAGCCTCCTGAGTAGCTGGGATTACAGGCATGTGCCAACATACCCAGCTAATTTTTGTATTTTTAGTAGAGACGTGATCTCATCATGTTGGCCAAACTGGTCTCGAACTCCTGACCTCAAATGATCCACCCGCCTCAGCCTCTCGAAGAGCTGGGATTACAGGTGTGAGCCACCATACCCGGCCCAAACAACATTTTTTAAAAGTTTCCTGTAGTTCTTCTTTTTCTTAAGCAGCTTCCTTCTACTTTTTATCCTGTTACTTCATTTTTGTTTTTATTTCCCCTCCAGATACATAGCAGGACTCTTGTATTTTTTGTGTTGATTTATCTTCATGGATGTTTTAGGAAGAGGTTGGGACAAGTTACAATAGGACTGGCAACAGGTGCCATTTAAAATGGGAAGTTCTCAGGGTAAGTCTCATGGTGTTTGCGACATCTAAGGCAGGTTCTGAGAGGTTTTTAATATAAGGGTCCCCTTTTCTGCTCTTCAAAGCCTGCAATAGTGCCACAGTGTTACTTTGTCACGCCCCCCCATGAAAGAAAAACCTCAAGGCAATGGCCACGTCGATTTTTCCTCCTTTCATCTAGCGCATGTTCTTGCGTGTGCTTGGATGGGGAGGGCTCTATGGGATCCTGTGCTGATAACCACAGCTCACTGACGGTCCCCCAAGCATGAAAACAGAAAAAGGGCTTTCCCCGGGGGCGGGATATCATTCCTCTAACAAATACTCTGAGAGGTCTGGTCCTTTTAGCTTGGAGAGAGTTGCCAGACCTGATCAAGGAGCCACATCCCTTCCATTTTAACCACTTTCTCCCTCTCCACCGTGACTAAATATCACCCCCCACACACATAGGTATTCCTGGCTGCTCAACGTTCCTCTGTACCTTCTACTAGAAACTCTCATCAGAGTTACTTAGAGATTGATCTTACCATTTCTTAACTTGTCCAAATCTTCTGCAGATTCTAGAAATTTCTCTTCCAACTGGAAGCAGAAACAGTAAATGGGTTCTTCTTAGTTAATTCTATTATAGACTTGTGATGTTGAATGGCCCCTATCTGGTGCATGATTTGGAGAATATAAGATTTCTGAGTTTCGCAGGATATACAGAGGGGGCTGGTAATGGCCATTTGGAAGTTTAGACCTAATTCATTGAGAAAAGTGCATGGGTCACAGCACATAGCTGCTCAATCTTTTAGTTCACTGCCACCCTGTTCTGATGAATGTCTATGATTAGGTCATATTTTGAGAGGGGACATCACTGGAAAGAAGGCACTGAGCAGTTCTCCTAGTTATGGTGTTGTCATATCTTAGTAAAGCCCGTGTCTCCAGGAGAGATCAGACCACAACCTTGTGTGTCCCCAGTGTGGGGTATGCCATGGGCTAATGGCCATCAAATATTCTGCCACCAAGGAGCCTCTGCTATAATTTATATCACCCCACTTTTCAGGAACCCTGCTAAGGGTGAAATAAGTTGCAGCTGTTGCACAGCTTTCACACTTGCAACTATAATTTTCTCTTCTGAAGTACATGGGACCCAATAGGGTAAAATTCTCAATTTAATAAAGGAATTAGAGTCCCACACTAACATTATTTTTCATGAAAACCTCTGGTTTCTGATGTGGTTTTGTGGGTTCAATATCACCATTTTCATGTACTGTCTTCTTGACTTTGGACATGTTACCGAAACTCTCTGTGTCTGAGTATGCTAATCTATGAAATGGGTATACTTACGGCACCTATGGTATAGGCTGATATCAAGATTAAATTACAAGGTCATGCAAAGCACTTAGAAAAGTAGCAGGTGTATAGTAACTGCTCGTTAAATATAAGTTATGTTTAGAATTTTGAAACTATACTTAGTTCTTGATCTACATCCAGTAACTTAAACATTGGAGTAAATTCCACCTCATCCTGAGACAAGTCACTTTGGTGGAAATAGCAGCCAGCAACAAGGCTGTCTCAATCTGACCAGAAGCTATGAGTGGTTGCAGGTATTTAATACAGATATGAAATTCAGTTATTACATAATGATGCAGTTGACTTAAATAGGCAGAATCTATCAAACCAAAAGTCTAAGCAAAAGTTATCAAGGTTTTCTGGATTTCAATGTTGTTATGATCTGGTTCCAATCTTGACTCTGCCTCAAAATAGCTGTGTGATCTAGGAATTATTGCTTAAAATCTTCAAGCCTTAGATTCTTAATCTGCAAAATGGGAATATAATATTTTCTTAAATGGAATTTTGTAATGTTTCAAAATGCATGATACAGGGCCTGACCCACATACATCAAGTAATAAATAGTAGCGGTGTTTCCAGTGGCTAATTATACTTTAATGGAGTTCTTTATGGTGAAAGATCAGGAATTTGGGGGTTTCTGGCTTGCTCCATGGAACAGAATTTGTTGTGGATCTATGATCACACAGGACCAGGATCTAGAGGTCATGGGGGTGTGTGCCAGCAATTAATAAGGCATCCAGTTCAGGACAAACCTAAGGAACGGTGGGTGGTCCAGGAAGGAGGGTAGACAAGGTGGGGTGGGGTTGGCAAGTGGGATGTGAGGACTGGGTTGTGATCATCAGCCTTAGGGCGCTGAGACCCCAGAAGCCTGAGCAAGGTCTGCAGTCAGCCCTGCCCCCGCCTTCAGTCAGGCTGGATGGAGACCTGGGAACCTGGGTTCCTCCCAGCCTTGCCCCTCCCTCCCTCCTGCTGAACTCTTCCTACCCGGGCTCTGAACACATCCCTGAGCTGCAGAGCTGATGTCTGCGTGACAGTGAAACAGGGTATTCATTTGTACAAAGGAAACAACCTAGAATGATAGTGTTTGGATTTCTTATGTGCTTATTTCTTCATAGAACTGAGAAAGGGTGAGGCTAAAGTCCCAAGCCTTCGTGAAGCAACGCACAAAGTACCGTTCCGAGGCTCAGGTCCACACGGCGCTGTGAGGCTGAAGGGGCGCGCTAGAAGTTCCCTTCACAGGACGCCACCTCACCTGAAACCCCCCTTTTCTGCTGCCACCCGAGGGACAAGATCTCCTGAGTTTGTCCATGACTCACTTCCCAGGAAAACCCTCAGGCAGTCGCTGAAGGACTCTGGTCTGGACTGGGAAGTGTTTTTCTCAGTGACACCTCTAGAGGGCAGCACTCAGCGGAGTCCCACAGACACCTCCAGGCATTTCCTACTCAAACACTGGGAGGATGACCTGGTAACACTGGGGAATGCTTGGGTGTTCTAGAAGCCTCCACGCCTCATTTTAACCACGTGTTTACTTGTCTGCATCCTCATAGACATGTAGGCCGCCCCAGGGCAGGGACTGTGTCTGTCTTGTTCACTGTCTATCTCCATGACCTAGTACAGAACCTGGAATTAATAAGTGCTCAACAAATAATTGCTGTGAATGTAGTCAATCTTTAATAGGTAGTTTGTTACAATCCACTCCCTTACACCTCTCATTTATAGTTTGCATTTTACCTCTAACTACAGCCATTTTTAAATATTACGTATTTTCATTTTTTTGTTGTGGAAATTATGAACATGAATAAAAATAAACAGAAAAGCATAAAAATTCTCCTTATATTTCTCACCTAGAATCAATAATTATCAACCAAAACCAATGTGAAGTTATATTTATGCCCACCTACTTCTCCTTTTGTAATAATTCCAAAGAAATCCCAGATCCATATGATTAATCCTTAAATACTTCAATGTGTTTTCCTAAAACACATAAACTGTTCTAAAGATAACCATAGTACATTATCACACATGAAATATTAACAATAATTATTTCATGTCATCAAATATTCAGTCAATATCCAAGTTTCTAATGCCATAAATTATTTTTTACAGTTTGTTTAAATTCTAATCCACTTAAGTTCTACACTTTTTGATTAGTTTCTTAATTGTATTTTAATATGTATGCTCTTAGATAAGAAGAAATTTTAACAATTTTTAGGTCAAATCTATTCATCTTTTTCTTAATTACAGTCCATTTTTATTTAAGGCACAATGCTTCAGTAAGTAATCATTGCATAGTTTCTGTGGGAAAAGTATGTGATAACGCAATTTTAAATCCAACTTAAGATGACCTTACTCAGAACCTACCTCTACTCCAGCTGCAGCCAGGAGCCACCGAATGGACTCCATACTGCCCCGTGCATTGGAGTAGTGGAGCTTGGGCTTCTCTGCCATGATAGCAGTCTCCTGGAGGTTTCTCTAAGCCTGAATGAATGAATGAATAATTGAAACGATAGAATCAAAAATGTACTTTAGGATGTGTGGTTGAAAACCACAAACAATGCTGAAGAAGAACCTGCCTTCTTCATGACTGGGTTGAAGGAGTTCCTGGAATGTTTTCTTGGCTCAAATTGTTACCCAGCAGTGGCCACCCTCAAACCAGTCTCAAGTCTTCATTGTTTACCTGTGACTTTTCTTGGCAGCCTAAGAGGTGAGAGTATGTGGTAATAATACATGTACAGGAGTTAATGGAAGGGGAAGAATTCAAGAACTAATATTTATTGAAAACTTCCTCATGATCCTTCCTCAATGCTAGTCCCTTTCAATATTTTATATCTTTAACCCTCCTTATAGTCTCATTAAATGGTTGTTTTCTCCAATTTTTAGTTAATGAAATCGAACATCAGAGAAATACAATGTTCACAGTCACACTCTGGTTGGTGATGGACATGAATATCTACACCAAGGACTAAAATGAAGTCACGCCTGGAAGACATCTGGGTGAAGGCCCTGGGAACCCATGAACTGGTTGTGAAACCAGAGGATGTCACTGACAGGGAGGACCGGCAGGGAGCTAAGTCACTCTTCAGCTCTCTGGCTGTGAGACTGCATTTGATCAAAACCAGAAATTAGGCTTCAGACTTGTTTTACTGTAGCTAGAAGATCCAAAGTCTTTCAACAGAGAATGCTAATACCTTGCTTCTTTTGGTGTTCTATATTTTAACTCTGTGGGGGGCATTTTGTTTTATAACCTGGCAAAAGAGATGTTGCTGCATTAACTTTGCAGGATATGGAAGGAGCTAGCATTTGTTCAACGTCAGTCATACACTGGCCATTCTTCTAAACTTCTCTCATTTTGTCCTACAAAAATCACCTAAGGTGAAAGGCTGTTGCTATTCTCATTTTACAGTTGAGGATACTGAGGTTTTTAAAGTAACTTACCCAGATTAAGTGGTGGATCTGGGATGCAGACTCACTGCTATTAAAAACTAAAGACTGAGTCTTATTTTCTATGTTAATGTTTCTCAAATATGCATGGTAATCTTTCAGTAGATTGTGAAACCCCAGTACTTTTTAAAATAAAATAGAAAAGAATAAAAATATCAGTGAGCATGACATGTTGAAGGGTAAGTAATGTTTCATGAGTTGTTAGTTTCAGTTATTTGTATATTGTGTGTATGGATGTTTGCATGTGTGCACGCTCACCTGCTTGTTGTAAATGGTTAGAGAGAAATTGACTGGGCTCATCAGTGAAGTTTGATAGCCCTTGCTCTATCCCAGGCTGTTTGGGAGGTGGAACATAGCAGAGTATCAGAGAATGAAAACCAATGGCTGCAAGGACAGATGCAACTAATTGTATCATGAATGTGAATGGAAGGACACAGGACTCATTGAAAGCAGGAGTTCCAGTGCCAGGACTTAGGAACAGTTGCATATTCTCTCCAAACCCCCAGCTCTGTGATTAAACATTAAGATTCTTCTTGCAAAGTTTTGTGGTTGTTGAGTTTAGAAGAAAAATATACTTGCCTTTAACAACTAATGTATTTCTTTTTTTTTTTTTTTTGAGATGGAGTTTTACTGTTTTTTTCCCAGGCTAGAGTGCTATGGTGCAATCTCAGCTCATGCAACTTTAGCCTCCCAGTTTCAAGTGATTCTCCTGCCTCAGCCTCCCAAGTAGCTTGGATTACCAGCACATGCCACCACACCTGGCTAATTTTGTATTTTTTGTAGAGACAGGGCTTCAGCATGTTGGCCAGGCTGGTCTCAAACACCTGACCTCAGGAGATCCACTTGCCTCAGCCTTCCAAAGTGCTGGAATTACAGGCGTGAGCCACTGCACCCGCCGTCAACTAATGTACTTCTACAAAAGTATGTATGACTTAAATTTAGACATCAAAATCTTTTTTTTATACTTTAAATTCTGGGGTACATGTGCAAAACATGCAGGTTTGTTACATAGGTATGCACATGCCATGCTGGTTTGCTGCACCTTTCAACCCGTCATCTATATTAGGTATTTCTCCTAATGCTATCCCTTCCCTAGGCCCCCACCCCACTATAGGTCCCGGTGTGTGATGTTACCCTCCCTGTGACCATGTGTTCTCCTTGGTCAACTCCCACTTATGAGTGAGAACATGTGGTGTTTTGTTTTCTGTTCTTGTGATAGCTTACTGAGAATGATGGTTTCCAGCATCATCCATGTCCCTGCAAAGGACATGAACTCATCCTTTTTTATGGCAGCATAGTATTCCATGGTGTATATGTGGCACATTTTCTTTATCCAGTCTATCATTGATGGGCATTTGGGTTGGTTCCAAGTCTTTGCTATTGTGAACAGGGCCGCAGTAAACATACATGTGCATGTGTCTTTGTGGTAGAATGATTTATAATCCTTTGGGTATATACCCAGTAATGGGATTGCTGGGTCAAATAGTATTTCTAGTTCTAGATCCTTGAGGAATTGCCATACTGTCTTCCACAATGGTTGAACTAATTTACACTCCCACCAACAGTGTAAAAGTGTTGCTATTTCTCCACATCCTCTCCAGCATCTGTTGTTTCTGACTTTTTAATGATCGCCATTCTAACTGGCATGAGATGGTATCTCATTGTGATTTTGATTTGCATTTCTCTAATGACCAGTGATGATGAGCTTTTTTTATATGTTTGTTGGCTGCATAAATAGACATCAAAATCTTTTAAATGTCTACATTTTAAAATGTGGGAGTCAATAGTTTAGCCTTTGGAAAGTAAAGAATTCTTTGAAATCATACTGAATCAACTTACCTGTTCTGTGATTAGATATTTTGATGTTGTACTTTCCTAACTTGGGAAATGCAAATAGCATTATTCAGCAGAAAGAAAGGGAGAGTGAAGTTCACACAAAAGTGTGGGGCGCGGTTGTTTAATTGTTATGGACTAGAGTTCACAGTGTCATGATTCCAATCCCCACACTAAGCTCCCTTAGCCATTGATTGAGAATCATGTTTCAAAAGGAAATGAATTTTTATCTTATATAATATTTTATCACAACACTCCTGCTGATAACTAACATATCGCCTCTCAATATGAGGTTTCCAAGGGTCAGGCTAAGACTGGGGCAGAGGTTACCGTTGAGCTTTGTTCAGTCAACACAAAATGAGAACCTGAGAGCTCAAGGATTTGCCATGGGTCACACACACATGCTCCTCATTCATGGTCAATATCTAGGGAGTGTGTCTACCTTCTGCAACAACCCTGGGAAATGGCTCCTAATAGCCATTCAATGGGTACATTGAGTTTCAGAAAGCTAAAGCACCTATCTCATGCTGCACACTTGGTGAGTGTTGGGTCAGCCTGAACTCCTTCTGATTGCAGGACCAGAGCTTTTCCACTCCACCTCATAATCTGGCTCTCTGCTCCTGTCTGATTATGTTGTTTTATATTTTTCTATTCATAGTATATTAGCCAACTAAATGTTGGAAGGAGAGGGTGAGAGGGGAACATCTAATTCATGAGTTCTTACTCTTAGCAACTTTTCAGGGGCTTGCTTGGAAGGAAAAAGTAATGAAAGTGTGTCTTTCTCTACTTTGACAACCTAAAATCCAGAGTGAGTTGAAGACTAGTATAACTGTATTTACATCAATTAAAAATGGGCTTAATTTGAAAGGAATATAAGCTATGGTAATTCCAGGAGTAAATTAAAAGAATTACATCTCTGAGGTGGTCCCAATGACACTGTTTCTTATCGGAGAGAAGGGAGAATGAGATAAACCATGACTCCTCCCATTACAAGGTTCATAAAAGCTGTAGGTTGTTTAGTCTCTGAGCCTCAATTTTCTCTTCTTAGAGTAGAGGTAGTTATTTCTACTTTTGAGGGTTGTTGAGAAAGTTAAATGAGATAACGTACAAAAAATTCATAGTAGGAACTCAGCAATGGGTGTTTGCTCTTGTCCCAGTGCTTGGAAGATGGGTGAGTCTCTGGACACATTGAGTAGCCCATGGATCTTCTTTCTTTGATCTATCTATCCATTAATTATTTTACCTACCAACAATCTATGTATATGTATCTATTTATAATCCTTATCTGTCTACCCATCCAAGTATGTATTATTTTATCTATCAATCGTTCTATGCATTTGTCTGTAATCTGTCTGTCTCTTCATCATCTATTATCTATCTATCCATATCTCTAGATCTCTATATTTTGTCCATGGAACTCTAGTAGGAATAAATTTTTATATGAATCCAGACATATCAAATCTGTCATATGGTGGCTCTCTGTTTCTCTCTCTCTTTCCTTTTTAGCTTCTGTACAGAGGTTAATGATATTCACTAATCAGTCCACCTGGATTAACAGGAAGTTTCCAGTGAATGTCCAAGCAGTGGGGCACATTGGTAACATAGCCTTGCTTAGCCCCATGAATTCATGTAGTCCCATGGTTCTCAACTGGGGAGATTTTGCTCCTCTGCTCCAGAGGACATTGAGCAAGGTCTAGAGACATTTTGGGTTGTCACATCTGCGGGGAGGGAGAGGGCGCTACAAATCAGATAGGTAAAGGGCAGGGACGCTTAGAAACCTCCTAGAGTGGGCCGGACAGATCTCCATTCAAAGAATTACACAGTTCAAAGGGCATCAACAGTCAGAGCCTCTTTCTTAGCTATCCTGTAGATTGGCCGTGAGTTGGTAGTACTCCAGAGACAGAATATGACTTGTCGTCAAGCTAATTAGTGGCAGAGGCTCAACTAGAATCTAGTCCTCCTGACATTCAAACTAATTTATTCTAATTATAATAAACCTTAGTTTTGAATTTTCACAGCCAATATAGTATTACAGGATCACAACTTACAACAATTATGTTTTGACTACTTATATAGAGAAAGAAATTTTTGCATACATTGCCACTTCTTCCAGCACTGATTATTCTCAGATTGTTTAAAATGCTACCATTTCTTTTTTCTCCTCATGTCATTGTTTCCCATACCATTAAATGCTGAGGCCCTGGTTTTCTAAATTCTTCATTTTTACATTTCTGTAAAGATGTATCCAACAGAAAAGAAATAAACAATTCTTGAACTGTCACCCAAACACACCAAGATGGCACGATATGAGTAAAAACAGACTTTTCCTTGTGCTAAGGACACATATTAGCATATTTTTCTGGGAGGCTAGAGAGGAGCATGTGAGGCAATGTAGAGGGATTTATAAGATCAGTACTTAGTTTGTTAAACTCTGTCACTGTCGTGGCTGGGCAACTGAATTCCAGGTCTTAATGTATTTATAAGCTCTTTGTTCCTTTCAATAGTTCCCTCCCACTGAAAGGAGAAAGGTCAAGTTAGGGAAAACCCACTCCCACACATTTCATGGCCAAGGGGCCACCTACTGGATTCTAAGACATGAGGCAAGTGATCTGCTTATCAGAAGACACTGGTTAATATGTTCCTTTTCAAGGTTGGCAATTAGTTTAAACAATACATTTCACCTAGATTTTGCTCTCTTTTCAAGTCAGCAGAAACTGGCTTTTTAAAGATGCTTTTTTTTGTGAGTTGGATGCAAGGACTAGGGCAACTGAAAAATCTCTATTGTGAGCATAGCTGGGAAGGGATGTCTGTGAAGGGCAAGTTGATGGCACCCTTTTCTTACTGGGTTGCCAAATAAAATATAAGACATCCATGTAAATGTGAATTTCAGGCAAACAATCAATAATTTTTTAGTTATACCTATGTTCCAAACACGGTATGAAACCAGATTATACTGAAATATTATTTACTGTTTATCTGAAATTCACATTTAGGTGGGTGTCCTGTATTTTATCTGACAAATCCGGGAACCCTATCTGCATATGCTTTCCTCTTTGCGTCACTCAAATTGCCCATAATATAACAAATCTGAAAGCATCCATCACCTGGATTCATCAATTGCAAATAATCTTTCTTCATCTATACCATATAGGGGGTTATGTTGGCCCCCTAGAAAGACAGGTCCATATAGAAATCCCTAGATCCTGTGAACGTGATCTTATTTGGAAAAAGGCTCTTTGCAGATGTAATGAAGTAAAAGAATTTGAGATGAGATCATCTTGGTATATCTGGAAAGGCCCTGAATCCAATGACAATTGTCCTCACTGCAGAGAGAAGAGAAGTCACAACACACAGAGGGTGAGGTGCAGGAAGACAGAGGCAGAAATTAGAGTGGTGTGGTCACGATCCATGAAAGTCCAGAAAGGCCAAGAGCCCCCAGAAGCTAGAAGATGCAGGGAAGGATTCCTGGAAATCACTCCTAATCCAAGCACAATGGCACAATGACACACCAGGGAAAAATAATTTTGCATATACTTACTTATATGTAATTCGCATATACCATTTGTATCTTGGCAGCCCAGGCCTGAGTGGCACTGAAGGAACTGAGGGAAGGCTCATGCCTGGGGCCTCACAGAGCCTTAAGGAGGCAGAGTGAGGATGAGCCAGGAGCACACACACTGTAAGGGAAAACAGGGTGGCCTGAGAGCAGAGGATGGGTCTGTTTGCTCTTCAATATTTCCTCACCTCCTAGAAAACTGAGGAATCCACAGCAGAAAGAATGGTTGTCTTGTAAATGGATAAGGAAGAATGCTTTTATCAGAAATAAAATGATGGTCCAAGAAAAGAAGAAAATGTCTTTATGTCATTACCCAGAATGGTAACTCTTCTCCTGTGCATACCTGAAAATGTCAGAAGTATATTTCTACACTGACATTTTAATAGATTGTATGACAAATTGAATGTTGCAGGGCAATTCTTGGAAAAGTCAAACAAACCACATAATCTACATTATTTTTTTACTAAGCTTTTAATTCCAAGAAAGTGGTAGGTTAGGAGGAGATTGGAAATCTGAATTCATATCAGATCCTAAGGAAAAGAAATTAATTTTAACCAAGTCGACAAATAGGAGATTTATTATTTAATTAGTATGTAATTGGAAAGAGTTCATTAGCTTCACAACAGGCACAATCAACACTTAGGTAAAGTACTTTATTGTTGCAAAACTTTAGAATATTGGTCTTGCATGTTCTTGGCCTCCATGGCTGCTTTATTAAAATCTGAAAATCTTCCTTGCTTCTTCTAAAGATTTCTCATCCATGAGAGACTTCCTTGGGCTGCCAGGCTGTAGAAATTTCTTCACCATGGGCAGGTTGCTGATTCTGGTTTTCAGGGCCTGTAATTCACAATGCACAGCCTCAGAGTGAAGCCAAGGCCTGCCACCACCGTTTATACCACCCAGAAAATCTGAGACCCTTCTACACAAAGACCAAGCAAGTCTGTGCCATCAGCACCAGCATGGAGGCAGAAACAGACACTGAGCGAGAAATGAAGATGAGAGGAATAACATGTAGCTCACTTATATTTTCCCCAAAGATGTCTTTCAGATTTTAATCAGTTCAGCCATCCCTTTCTTCTTACATATTAATCCTGTAGATTAGTGACTCTTGTATAAGACAAGAAAAAACAATGTGCCGTGAGATTTCAACACAGATCAGTCTCTAAGCAGAAGTGAAAATATGGGGAAATGAGTTGGAAAGGAAAATGTTATAGAAAATATTAAACACAAATAATGGGACCACTTTTGTCAGTGAGAGATACAGTGTAGGGGGCCAGTGTGCTGGAGAGCTGTGCAGAGAGGAACACAGTGTCAGACAGCAGGAGTCAGAGCCTAGGGAGGAAACCAGATGGAGAGGGCTCTGCTCAGACTGACTCAATGCGGGAAGACAAGGGCACATATGGGATAAAGGACATCCCAGAGAACTCAGGAACAGAAACCACATTGAAATAGAGTGATGGGGAGACATGCTGGGCCCTGGGTCCTTTCCATGATAAAAGGCAAAATACTCTTCATGGGGTAGCATGCACCACAAATTTCCTTTCCATAACAAAAGTGTTTTCATTCCTCAAAATTGGAGCCTGGAAGCTCATTTTGGAGACTTTGGGGCACTGAAGGCCTGGTGAACATTGGGGTCAAAACATACTCAGTCCCAGGTCCCAGATACAAGATCCCAAGATGGGAGATATGGGTCTGCCTCTCTGAGAACTGTGAAATGGGTCACCTTCAGCAGAGGGAAGCTGAAGATAAGGCTAGAGTCAAGCTCTTCCATGTAGTAGAGAAGTTCCACCAAGTGAATGTCAGCCCAGCTCAGCTTGTTGCCAACAAGGTAGTCTTGTCCATTGCTCTTTAAGACGTCGAGAATTGGAGGAATCAAATCAGGATCACATGGGCAGTAAGGCTGGGACCCCTGGTTCTCCATCACATGTGCAGTAAGGCTGGGACCCCTGCTTCTCCCTGAGTCTCTCCAGTCTGACTCTCCCATTTCTGCTGCCTCACTGCATAGGTGCAGAGATCCAGACCTTTCTCCACATTCCCTGTTTCACTGAGGGAGTAAGAAGTGTAGCCCTGCTCACTCCTTGGTTGGAGCTCAAGCTCTCATTTTCTCTTCTCATCCACATCACTGTGGCATCTACACCACCCGCCCAGCTTGCTTCTTCCACATGGGCCAGGGGCTTAGCACCTGCTGCCACATGTTCTGTCTGCCCCAGGCCCTACAGCATGGAGCCTTCACATTTAGGACGTGGCTCTACATTCTTCTCTCTCCGTCTCCAATCTCCCTTGGGCAGCGACTCCACCTTCATGACAACACTCTTCCCCCAGGAGGAGACTATTTCAGAGTCCTCATTTCTCCTTCTCTGCTCTCCTCATTCCCTGCTCTATCTCCCTCGGATCTGAAGTAAACCTGGGTGAACCTGAATTCATCATCTTTCTTACAACATTGACTCTGACTCCTAACCAGCACTATGTTATAATTTGCAAGCTGAAGCGTTTAAGGGTGAACTGCACTGATGTCTGCAACTTATTATAAAATACAAAATCTTCCTCTGCATCCCACAGTCACTCTCCTTTTAATAAATACCCATCCCTGAAACACTACAATATTCTCTGGTTGGGCAATTGGTCTTGTGTCTTCCTACACAGGGTGCCAGAATATTTTCTGATGGGTCACTTTCATCATGTTCATCTTCAATAAAAGTCCATGGGGTTCCGTAGACTCAACAGCAACCTCTAGTGTGGTCCAGAGCCTTCCACAGCCCACGTTCTACTTATGAACATGAAATTTTGTTCAACAGAGAATTTAATGTTGGGGTCTAGTAAGTTAAAATTTTATTGGAAAATTATAACTTGTGTATAAGTGTTACAATTGTTCCTCCAAGTCTATTTGCATAAAATGCCTTGAGAGTCAGAGTGCTGCCTTGGTGTTCATGAAGTCTCACTGAAAGTGAAGGTCAGTGCCCCAGGAATGCCCAGCCACTGTTTTTCTACTGGTCTCTAAACTGAGTGATGCAAAACGCTGAACAGCTTCACTTATTTTTCAAAGGCAGGGAAATAGCGATTTTTTGTTCTCTGTTGGTTCAAGGCAAGCTTGGTGTCTTTATCCTCAGGTTGTCATATGGGCAGAGGAAGGATCATTTCACCCAAATCTGCTATACCTTCTGTGTACATATCAATCCTGAAAGACAAAAACAACCAAACCGTCAAATGTCTTTTGCCTTAGATTTTATAGGTTTATAAAAACCTAAGAGAATAGAGTGTCAGGTGGTGGCAAAGTAATTCACCTCCAGTGGGTGCCTTTTATATTCTAGTCATTATGCTCTGATTTTTACAGGTATATTAACATTTATTTCTTAAAACAACCTATCAAGGTAGATAGATCTCTAAATTTTGTTACACACATGACCAATACAGGTACCAAGAGCATCGGTGGTCACAGTCATGAGAGAAATTGGTGGAATCACTGCCAGTACCCAATGGTGCTGTGCCAGGACTGATCATCTCTATTGTGGTTTGCTCTGTGCATGAACTTAGTGTGAGTCAAATGGCCAAAGACCTACCTCCTACAATTTTAAAAGAGTCGCTGCTATAGCCATCTCAGCCATGTTCCTCATCCTCTCTCATCATTTTAAAGCTCCCAGGGCTGCTTCTATGCCTCATATTAGCAGTTCCTCCAATTACATCCATGAAACACGTTTCCACAGCCCTCTCCATGTGCTGTTACCCAACTCTAGCCATGTGTGACTTTCTTGAGACCCCACCTAAAAGATTGTCTTCCTTGGTGAAATTCTCTACATAGTTACAACCAACGCAAACTTTTCCTCTTTTGTGTCAAACTGGGGTTTCACAATCCTTTACTTTTTATTGTACTTTAAGTCCTAGGGTACATGTGCAGAAAGTGCAGTTTTGTTACATAGGTATACACGTGCCATGGTGGTTTGCTGCACCCATCAACCTGTCATCTACATTAGGTATTTCTCCTAATGCTATCCCTCCCCTAGCCCCCCACCCCCTGACAGGCCCTGGTGTGCGATGTTCCCCTCCCTGTGTCCATGTGTTCTCCTTGTTCAGCTCCCAGTTATGAATGAGAACATGTGGTGTTTGGTTTTCTGTTCTTGCATTAGTTTGCTGAGAATGATGGTTTCCGGCTTCATCCATGTCCCTGCAAAGGACATGAACTCATATTTTATGGCTGCATAGTATTCCATGGTGTATATGTGCCACATTTTCTTTATCCAGTCTATCATTGTTGGACATTTGGGTTGGTTCCAAGTCTTTGCTATTGTGAACAGTGCCACAATAAACATACGTGTGCATGAGTCTTCATAGTAGAATAATTTATAATCCTTTGGGTATATACCCAGTAATGGGATTGCCGGGTCAAATGATATTTCTAGTTCTAGATCCTTGAGGAATCACCACACTGTCTTCCACAATGGTTGAACTAATTTACACTCCCACCAACAGTGTATAAGCATTCCTATTTCTCCACATCCTCTCCAGCATCTATTGTTTCCTGACTTTTTAATGATCACCATTCTAACTGGCTTGAGATGGTATCTCAATGTGGTTTTGATTTGCATTTCTCTAATGGCCAGTGATGATAAGGTTTTTTTCATATGTTTTTTGGCTGTATAAATGTCTTCTTTTGAGAAGTGTCTGTTCATATCCTTCACTCACTTTTTGATGGGTTTTTTTTTCTTGTAAATTTGTTTAAGTTCTTTGTAGATTCTGGATATTAGCCCTTTGTCAGCTGGATAGATTGCAAAAATTTTCTCCCATTCTGTAGGTTGCCTGTTCACTCTGATGACAGTTTCTTCTGCTGTGCAGAAGCTCTTTATTTTAATTAGATCCCATTTGTCAATTTTAACTTCTGTTGCCATTGCTTTTGGTGTTTTAGTCATGAAGTCTTTGTCCATACCTATGTCCTGAATGGTATTGCCAAGGTTTCCTTCTAGGGTTTTTACGGTTTTAGGTCTTACATTTAAGTCTTTAATCCATCTTGAGTTAATTTTTGTAGAAAGTGTAAGGAAGGGATCCAGTTTCAGCTTTCTGCATATGGCTAGCCAGTTTTCCCAACACCATTTATTAAATAGGGAATCGTTTCCCCATTGCTTGTTTTTGTTGGGTTTACCAAAGATCAGATGGTGTAGATGTGTGGTGTTATTTCTGAGGCCTCTGTTCTGTTCCATTGGTCTTTATATCTGTTTTGGTACCAGTAACATGCTGTTTTGGTTACTGTAGACTTGTAGTATATTTTGAAGTCAGGTAGCGTGATGCCTCCAGTTTTGTTCTTTTTGCTTAGGATTGTCTTGGCTATGCAGGCTCTTTATTGGTTCCATATAAAATGTAAAGTAGTTTTCTCCAATTCTGTGAAGAAAGTCAGTGGTAGCTTGATGGGGATAGCATTGAATCTATAAATTACTTTGGGCAGTATGGCCATTTTTATGATATTGATTCTTCCTATCCATGAGCGTGGAATGTTTTTCCATTTGTTTGTGTCCTCTCTTATTTCCTTAAGCAGTGGTTTGTAGTTCTCCTTGAAGAGGTCTTTCACATCCCTTGTAAGTTGTATTCCTATTTATTTTATGCTCTTTGTAGCAATTGTGAATGGTAGCTCACTCATGATTTGGCTCTCTGTTTGTCTGTTACTGGTATATAGGAATGCTTGTGATTTCTGCACATCAGTTTTGTATCCTGAGGCTGCTGAAGCTGCTTATCAGCTTAAGGAGATTTGGGGCTGAAACGATGGGGTTTTCTAAATATACAACCATGTCATCTGCAAACAGACAATTTGACTTCCTCTTTTCCTAATTGAACATTCTTTATTTCTTTCTCTTGCCTTATTGCCCTGGCCAGAACCCCCAATACTATGGGAGTGGTGAGCAAGGGCATCCATGTCTTGTGCTGATTTTCCAAGGGAATGCTTCCAGTTTTGCCCATTCAGTATGATATTGGCTATGAGTATGCCATAAATTGCTTATTATTTTGAGATAGGTCTCATCAATACCTAGTTTATTTAATTAAGAGTTTTTATCACGAAGGGGTGTTGAATTTAGTCAAAGGCCTTTTCTGCATCTATTGAGATAATCACGTGGTTTTTTCATTGGTTCTGTTTATGTGATGGATTACATTTATTGATTTGCATGGGTTGAACCAGCCTTGCATCCCAGGGATGAAAGCCACTTGATTGTGGTGGATAAGCTTTTTGATGTGCTGCTGGATTCGGTTTACTAGTATTTTATTGAGTATTTTTGCATTGATGTTCATCAGGGCTATTGGTTTGAAATTTTCTTTTTTTGTTGTGTCTCTGCCAGACTTTAGTATCAGGATGATATTGGCCTCATAAAATGAGTTAGGGAGTATTCCCTCTTTTTCTATTGATTGGAATAGTTTCAGAAGGAATGGTACCGGCTCCTCTTTGTACCTCTGGTAGAATTTGGCTGTGAATCCATCTGGTCCTGGACTTTTTTTGGTTGGTAGGCTATTAATTATTGCCTCAATTTCAGAACTTGTTCTTAGTCTATTTGGGGATTCGACTTTTTCCTGTTTTGGTTTTGGAAGGGTGTATGTGTCCAGGAATTTATCCATTTCTTCCAGATTTTCTAGTTTATTTGTGTAGAGATGTTTATAGTATTCTCTGATGGTAGATGGTATTTCTGTGGGATTGGTAGTGATATCCCCTTTATCATATTTTATTGCATCTTTTTTATTCTTCTCTCTTTTCTTCTTTATTCGTCTGGCTAGTGGTCTATCCATTTTGTTGATCTTTCCCAAAAAAACCAGCTCCTGGATTCATTGATTTTTTGAAGGGTTTTTCGTGTCTCTATCTCCTTCAGATCTGCTCTGATCTTAGTTATTTCTTGTCTTCAGCTCGCTTTTGAGTTTGTTTCCTCTTGCTTCTCTAGTTCTTTGAATTGTGATATCAAGGTGTCGATTTTAGATCTTTCCTGCTTTCTCTTGTGGGCATTTAGTGCTATAAATTTCCCTCTACACACTGCTTTAAATGTGTTGTAGAGATTCTGGTACATTGTGTCTTTGTTCTTATTGGTTTCAAAGAGCATCTTTATTTCTGCCTTCATTTCATTACTTACCCAGTTGTCATTCAGGAGCAGGTTGTCCAGTTTCCATGTAGTTGTGCAGTTTTTGCGTGAGTTTCTTAATTCTGAGTTCTAATTTGATTGCACTGTGGTCTAACAGACTGTTTCTTATGATTTCTGTTCTTTTGCATTTGCTGAGGAGTGTTTTACTTCCAATTATGTGGTCAATTTTAGAATAAGTGTGATGTGGTGCTGAGAAGAATGTATATTCTGTTGATTTGGGGTGGAGAGTTCTGTAAATGTCTATTAGGTCCACTTGGTACAGAGCTGAGTTCAAGTCCTGGATATCCTTGTTAATTTTCTGTCTTGTTGATCTGTCTAATATTGACAATGGGGTTTTAAAGTCTCCCACTATTATTGTATGGGAGTCTAAGTCTCTTTGTAGGTCTCTAAGAACTTGCTTTATGAATCTGGGTGCTCCTGTGTTGGGTGCATATATATTTAGGATAGTTAGGTCTTATTGCATTGATCCCTTTACCATTATGTAATGGCCTTCTTTGTCTCTTTTGATCTTTGTTGGTTTAAAGTCTGTTTTATCAGAAACTGGGATTGCAACCCCTGCTTTTTTTTGCTTTCCATTTTGCTTGGTAAATATTCCTCCATGCCTTTATTTTGAGCCTATGTGTGTCTTTGCATGTGAGATGGGACTTCTGAATACAGCACAGCAATGGGTCTTGACTCTTTATCCAATTTGCCAGTCTGTGTCTTTTAATTGGGGCATTTAGCCCATTTACATTTAAGGTTAATATTGTTATGTGTGAATTTGATCCTGTCATTATGATGCTAGCTGGTTATTTTGCCCATTAGTTGAGGCAGTTTCTTCATAGCATCGATGGTCTTTGCAATTTGGTATGTTTTTGCAGTGGCTGGTACCAGTCACTTTCAAATACACCAATCAAATGCAGATTTGGTCTTTTCACATAGTCCCATATGTCTTGGAGGCTTTGTTCATTTCTTTTCACTCTTATTTCCCTAATCTTGTCTTCTCACTTTATTTCATTGAGTTGATCTTCAATCTCTGATGTCCTTTAATCTGCTTGATTGATTCGGCTATTGTTAATTGTATATGCTTCATGAAGTTCTCATTCTGTTTTTCAGCTCCATCAGGTCATTTATGTTCTTCTTTAAACTGGTTATTCTAGTTAACAATTCGTCTAACCTTTTTTCAAGGTTCTTAGCTTCCTTGCATTGGGTTAGAACATGCTCCTTTAGCTCAGAGGAGTTTGTTATTACCCACCTTCTGAACCCTACTTCTGTCAATTTGTCAAACTCATTCTCTGTCCGGTTTTGTTTGCTTGCTGGTGAGGAGTTGTGATCCTTTGGAGGAGAGGAGGTGCTCTGGTTTTTGGAATTTTCAGCCTTTTTCACTGTGTTCTTTCCATCTTCGTGGATTTATCTATCTTTCGTCTTTGATGTTGGTGACCTTCTGATAGGGTCTCTGAGTGGACATCCTTTTCGTTGATGCTGATACTACTCCTTTCTGTTTGTTAGTTTTCCTTCTATCAATCAGGCCCCTCTGCTGCAGGTCTGCTGGAGTTTGCTGGAGGTCCACTCCAGAACCTCTTTGCCTGGGTATCACCAGTGGAGGCTGCAGAACAGCAAAGATTGCTGCCTGTTCCTTCCTCTGGAAGCTTCATCCCAGAGGGACCCCCAATGGATGCCAGCCAGAGCTCTCCTGTATAAGGTGTCTGTCGGCCCCTACTGGGAGGTGTCTCCCAGTCAGGATACATGGGGATCATGGACCCACTTGAGGAGGCAGTCTGTCCCTTATCAGAGCTTGAACGCTGTGCTGGGAGAACCACTGCTCTCTTCAGAGCTGTCAGGCTGGGACATTTAAGTCTGCTGAAGCTGTGCCCATAGCCACTCCTTCCCCCAGGTGCTCTGTCTCAGGAAGATGGGGGTTTTATCTATAAGTCCCTGGCTGAGGCTGCTGCCTTTTTTTTCAGAGATGCCCTGCCCAGAGAGGAGGAGTCTAGAAAGGCAGTCTGGCCACAGAGGCCTTGCTGAGCTGCAGTGGGCTCTGCCCAGTTCGAACTTCCTGGTGGCTTTGTTTACACTGTGAGGGGAAAACCGCCTACTCAAGCCTCAGCAATGGCAGATGCCCCTCCCCCCACCAAACCCAAGCATCCCAGGTCGAGCTCAGACTGCTGTGCTGGCAGCAAGAATTTCAAGCCAGTGGATCTTAGCTTGCTGGGCTCCATGGGGGTGGGACCTGCCAAGCCAGACTACTTGGCTCCCTGGCTTCAGGCCCCTTTCCAGGGGAGTGAACAATTCTGTCTCGCTGGCATTCCAGGTGCCACTAGGGTATGAAAAAAAAAAAAACTCCTGTAGCTAGTTCAGTGTCTGCCCAAATGGGTGCCAAGGTTTGTGCTTGAAACACAGGGCCCTGGTGGGGTAGGCACCGGAGGGAATCTCCTGGTCTGCCGGTTGCGAAGACCATGGGAAAAGTGCAGTATCTGGGCCAGTGTGCACCGTTCCTCCCAATACAGTCTGTCATGGCTTCCCTTGGCTAGGGGAGATAATTCCCTGACCCCCTGTGCTTCCCGGGTGAGGTGACACCCCACCCTGCTTCGGCTCACCCTCCAAGGGCTGCACCCACTGTCCAACCAGTCCCAATGAGATGAACTGGGTACCTCTGTTGGAAATGCAGAAATCACCCACATTCTGCGTCAACCTCGCTGAGAGCTGCAGACTGGAGCTGTTCCTATTTGGCCATCTTGCAAGTCTCCCCACAATACTTTTTAAAACAACAGCTTTATTGACATATAGTCACATACTATAATTGTGACTTGTTAAATTATACTATTGAGTGGTTTTTAGTGCATTCAAAGATTTCTGCAAAAATCATGGCAGTCTAATTCCAGAATATTTTTTATCACTCTGATAAGGACATCTGTACCTTTAGTGGTATTCCTCATTTTTCCACAAGCCCCACTCCTTTACCTCCAGGCAACCTCTAATCTACTCTCTGCCTCTATAGATTTGCATGTTCTGGACATTTCATATGGAAAGGATCCTATAATACGTGGCTTTCTGTGTCTTGTTTCTTTTATGTAACATGTCTTTATGGTTTAACCATCTTGTAGCATGCATCAGTACTTCATTCCTTTTCATGACCAAATATCATTCCATTGCATGGCTAAGGTGCATTTTTCTCCTCCATTTATTGACTGATGGATATTTGGGTTGCTTCCACTTTTTGAATACTATGAATATTGTTATTTGCATGGTTCATTTATGTAAAAGATTTAGTGTGGATATATTTTTGATTATTTGGGGATACAGCTATTAGAGGAACTGTGGGGTCATTGGTAATACTATATTAAACTTTTTGAGGAGTTGCCAACAGTTCCATTCAGGATTTATTTGGAATCATGCAGTCTCATCACAACAGCAAGGAGACCCCTTGGCTTTGCTGGTATTGAATAAATCTGGCTGCTTCAGCCTTGTATCCATGTGTCAAGGTAACCCCAGCATCCTTGGTGCCAGCCTCTACAGGCACTGCTCAGGTGTTCCAGTCCATATAATTGGTTGGTAATTTAGGTTTCTGGTCATCATTCTTGGAATTACTGGGACCTGAGATTCAGCTTCTTTGCCACCTTCCGTCCCAAGTCCTTCATCTGCAGACTCTCAAACATTCTATGCCTGTCCTAAGCTATAGGCTGGAATCCAGTGTCTGAAATCCTTAGCACCTGGAATCATGATTCGCCATCATCCTGAGTTCATGGTTCATCAGTGTTTGGAAACCTCTGTCAGGGTGCTGAATCCATGGACTGCATCGTCTTCTAGAATCACCCTCGCCTGAACCCTCCCCATGGTCACTATTCCTTCATCTATGTGGAATTCTGCAATGCTGGACCTCAGCGTACATGCCCAAGGCCCAGCCTGCTGCTGGTCATGATGTTCCTGCCATGGTCCCACCCACTCAAGGAGGGACCTAAATCACTCCGTGTTATCTGTTGATGGAAGAACAGAAAATATACTGTACAGGACTCTCTCCTTTATGTCTTTCCGATAGAGATTGTATTTGCTGGCAACGTAGTTGAGAATGGCTCTGGTCTGAACCAGCTTCATCCCATCAATCTCAACCATTGGCACTTGTTGGAACATAAAACTCCCATCTTTAGAAAGAAGGAAAAAAGGAGAGTGAAATGTCTATGGAACCCACTCTTTCCGTATGAAAAAAATGGTATGGAAATTACTAAATTTGTGAAATGAAAAAGAAATTATGGCCTGGTAAGATTTCACTTGAAACAACTTTTTGTTTTGTTTTGTTTTGTTTTTGAGACAGAGTTGCACTTTGTCACCCAGGCTGGAGTTCAGTGGCGTGATTTCGGCTCACTGTAACCTCTGCCTCCTGGGTTGAAGCAATTCTTGTACCTCAACCTCCTGAGTAGCTGGGATTACAGGTGTGCACCAACATGCCTGGCTAATTTTTATATTTTTAGTAGAGATGGGGTCTCACCATGTTGCCCTAACTGGTCTCATACTCCCGATCTCAAATGATCCACCCACCTCAGCCTCCCAAAGTGCTGGGATTAGGCGTAAGCGACTGCACCTGGCCCAAACAAGATTTTTAAAAAGCTTCCCGTAGTTCTTCTTTTTCTTAAGAAGCTTCCTTTTACTTTTTATCGATTTATTTCATTCATGTTTTTATTTCCCCTCCAGATACATAGTAGGACTCTTGTATTTTTGTGTTGATTTATCTTCATGGATATTTTAGGAAGAGGTTGGGACAAGTTACAATAGGACTGGCAACAAGATGCCATTTAAAATGGGAAGTTCCCAAAGTAAGTCTCATGGTGTTTGTGACATTTAAGGCAATTTCTGAGAGGTTTTTATGTAAGGGTCCCTTTCTCTGCTCTTCAAAGCCTACAATGTTTGTGCAGTGCTGCAGTGTTACCTTGTCATGCCCCCGCATGAAAGAAAAAACTCAAGACTGTGGCCACATCGATTTCTCCTCCTTTAGTCTAATGCATGTTCTTGCGTGTCCTTGGATGGGGAGAGCTGTGTGGGATCCTGAGCTGATGACCACAGCTCATTCACGGAGCCCCAATCATGAAAACAAAGAAAGGGTTTTCTCAGGGCATGGGAGATGATTCCTCTAGCAAATAGTCTGAGAGGTCTGGTCCTTTTAGTCTGGAGAGAGTTGCCAGACTTGATCACGGAGCCACATCCCTTCCATTTTAACCACTTTCTCCCTCTGCACCATGTACAAATACCACGCCCCACACACATAGGCATTGCCGGCTGGTCAAACCTCCCCGTGTACCTTCTACTCGATACTATCATCAGAGGCACTTAGAGATTGATCTTACCTTTTTTTTTTTTTTTTTTGAGACTGAGTCTTGCTCTGTCACCCAGGCTGGAGTGCAGTGGTGCGATCTTGGCTCACTGCAACATCCGCCTCTAGGGCTCAAGCGATTCTACCGCCTCAGCCTACTGAGTAGCTGGGATTACAGGCACACACCATCATGCCTGGCTAATTTTTTTATTTTTAGTAGAGAAGGGTTTTCACCACATTGGTCAGGCTGGTCTCGAACTCCTGACCTCATGATCAGCCCGCCTTGGCTTCCCAAAGTGCTGGGATTACAGGCAGGAGCCACTTCACCTGGCCGATCTTACCATTTCTTAACTTTTCCAAATCTTCTGCAGATTCTAGAAATTTCTCTTCAAAATGCAAGCAGAAACAGTATATGAGTTCTTGTTAGTTTATTCTATTATAGACTTGTGATGTGGAATGGCCCCTATCTGGTGCATGGTTTGGAGAATATAAGATTTCTGAGTTTGGCAGGGTACACAGAGGGGGCTGGTCATGGCCATTTGTAAATTTAGACCTAATTTATTGAGAAAAGTGCGTGGGTCACAGCACATAGCTGCTCAATCTTCTAGTTCACTTCACCTCCAGCCTGATCTCATGAATGTCTATGATTAGGTCATATTTTGAGAGCAGACATCACTGGAGAAAAGGCACTGAGCAGTTCTTCTACTTATGGTGTTGTCATATCTTAGGAAAGCCTGTGTCTCCAGGTGAGATCAGACCACAACCTTGTGTGTCCCCAGTGTGGGGTATGCCATGGGCTAATGGCCATCAAATATTCTGCCACCAAGGAGTCTCTGCTATAATTTATATCACCCCACTTCTCAGAAACTCTGCTAAGGGTGAAATAGGTTGCAGCTGTTGCACAGCTTTCACACTTGCAACTGTAATTTTCTCTTCTGAAGTACATGGGACCAATAGGGTAAAATTCTCAATTTAATAAAGGAATTAGAGCCCCACGCTAACATTATTTTTCATGAAAACCTCTGGTTTCTGATGTGGTTTTGTGGGTTCATTATCACCATTTTCATGTACTGGCTTCTTGACTTTGGACATGTTACCGAAACTCTCTGTGTCTGAGTATGCTAATCTATGAAATGGGTAAACTTATGGAACTTATGGTATAGGTTGATATCAAGATTTAATTACAAGGTCACACAAAGCACTTAGAAAAGTAGCAAGTGATAGTAACTGCTCATTAAATATAAATTTTGGGGGGTGGAGCCAAGATGGCCAAATAGGAACAACTCCAGTCTAGAGCTCCCAGCGTGAGCGACGCAGAAGACAGGTGATTTCTGCATTTCCAACTGAGGTACCGGGTTCATCTCACTGGGGAGTGTCAGATACTGGGTGCAGGACAGTGGGTGCAGCACACCGAGTGTGAGCCAAAGCAGGGCGAGGCATTGCCTCACCTGGGAAGCACAAGGGGTCAGGTAATTCCCTTTCCTAGTCAAAGAAGGGGGTGACAGACGGCACCTGGAAAATCGGGTCACTCCCACCCTAATACTGTGCTTTTCCAACAGTCTTAGCAAACAGCACACCAGGAGATTATAACCCGGGCCTGCCTCAGAGGGTCCTACGCCCACAGAGCCTCTCGCTCATTGCTAGCACAGCAGTCTGAGATCAAACTGCAAGGCGGCAGCGAGGCTTGGGGAGGGGCGCCCACCATTGCCAAGGCTTGAGTAGGTAAACAAACTGGCCTGGAAGCTCAAACTGGGTGGAGCCTACCTCAGTTCAAGGAGGCCTGCCTGCCTCTATAGTCTCCACCTCTGGGGGCAGGTCATAACGGAACAAAAGGCAGCAGAAACCTCTGCAGACTTAAATGTCCCTGTCTGACAGCTTTGAAGAGAGTAGTGGTTCTCCCAGCATGTAGCTTGAGATCTGAGAACAGACAGACTGCCTCCTCAAGTGGGTCCCTTACCCCTGAGTAGCCTAACTGGGAGGCAGCCCACCATAGGGGCAGTCTGACACCTCACACGGCTGGGTACTACTCTGAGACAAAACTTCCAGAGGAACAATCAGACAGCAACATTTGCTGTTCACCAATATCCACTGTTCTGCAGCCTCCGCTGCTGATACTCAGGCAAACAGGGTCTGGAGTAGACCTCTAGCAAACTCCAACAGACCTGCAGCTGAGGGCCCTGACTGTTAGAAGGTAAACTAACAAACAGAAAGGACATCCACACCAAAACCCCATCTGTACGTCACCATCATCAAAGACCAAAGGTAGATAAAACCACAAAGATGGGGAAAAAACAGAGCAGAAAAACTGGAAACTCTAAAAATCAGAGCGCCTCTCCTCCTCCAAAGGGGCGCAGCTCTGCACCAGCAACAAAGCTGGACAGAAAACGACTTTGACGAGTTGAGAGAAGAAGGCTTCAGATGATCAAACTACTCTGAGCTAAAGGAGGAAGTTTGAACCCATGGCAAAGAAGTTAAACACCTTGAAAAAATATTAGACGAATGGCTAACTAGAATAACCATGCACAGAAGTCCTTAAAGGACCTGATGGAGCTGAAAACCACGGCACAAGAACTACATGACAAATGCACAAGCCTCAGTAGTCGATTTGATCAACTGGAAGAAAGGGTATCAGTGATGGAAGATGAAATGAATGAAATGAAGTGAGAAGAAAGTTTAGAGAAAAAAGAATAAAAAGAAATGAACAAAGCCTCCAAGAAATATGGGACTATGTGAAAAGACCAAATCTACATCTGATTGGTGTGCCTGAAAGTGACGGGGAGAATGGAACCAAGTTGGAAAACACTCTGCAGGATATTATCCAGGAGAACTTCCCCAATCTAGCAAGGCAGGCCAACATTCAGATTCAGGAAATACAGAGAACGCCACAAAGATACTCCTTGAGAAGAGCAACTCCAAGACACATAATTGTCAGATTCACCAAAGTTGAAATGAAGGAAAAAATATTAAGGGCAGCCAGAGAGAAAGGTTGGGTTATCCACAAAGGGAAGCCCATCAGACTAACAGCTGATCTCTCTGCAGAAACTCTACAAGCCAGAAGAGAGTGGGGGCCAATATTCAACATTTTTTTTTTTTTTTTTGAGACGGAGTCTCGCTCTGTCACCCAGGCTGGACTGCAGTGGTGGGATCTCGGCTCACTGCAAGCTCCTCCTCCTGGGTTCACGCCATTCTCCTGCCTCAGCCTCCCAAGTAGCTGGGACTACAGGCGCCCGCCACTACGCCCGGCTAATTTTTTGTATTTTTAGTAGAGATGGGGTTTCACCGTTTTAGCCGGGATGGTCTCTATCTCCTGACCTCGTGATCCGCCCCCCAAGGCCTCCCAAAGTGCTGGGATTACAGGCGTGAGCCACCGCGCCCGGCTAATATTCAACATTCTTAAAGAAAAGAACTTTCAACCCAGAATTTCATATCCAGCCACACTAAGCTTCATAAGTGAAGGAGAAATAAAATCCTTCACAGAAAAACATATGCTGAGAGATTTTGTCACCACCAGGCCTGCCCTACAAGAGCTCCTGAAGGAAGCACTAAACATGGAAAGGAACAACCGGTACCAGCCACTGCAAAATCATGCCAAATTATAAAGATCATCGAGGCTAGGAAGAAAATGCATCAACTAATGAGCAAAATAACCAGCTAACATAATGACAGGATCAAATTCACACATAATAATATTAACCTTAAATGTAAATGGGCTAAATGCTCCAATTAAAAGACACAGACTGGCAAACTGGATAGAGTCAAGACCCATCAGTGTGCTGTATTCAGGAAACCCATCTCATCTGCAGAGACACACATAGGCTCAAAATAAAGGAATGGAGGAAGATCTACCAAGCAAATAGAAAACAAAAAAGGCAGGAGTTGCAATCCTAGTCTCTGATAAAACAGATTTTAAACCAACAAAGATCAAAAGAGACAAAGAAGGCCATTACATAGTGGTAAAGGAATCAATTCAACAAGAAGAGCTAACTATCCTAAATATATATGCACCTAATTCAGGAGCACCCAGATTCATAAAGCAAGTCCTTAGAGACCTACAAAGAGACTTAGACTCCCATACAATAATAATGGGAGACTTTAACACCCCACTGTCAACATTAGACAGATCAGTGAGACAGAAAGTTAATGAGGATATCCAGGAATTGAACTCAGCTCTGCACCAAGCAGACCTAATAGACATTTACAGAACTCTCCACCCCAAATCAACAGAATATACATTCTTTTCAGCACCACACCACACTTATTCCAAAATTGACCACATAGTTGGAAGTAAAGCACTCCTCAGCAAATGTAAAAGAACAGAAATTATAACAAACTGTCTCTCAGACCACAGTGCAATCAAACTAGAACTCAGGATTAAGAAACTCACTCAAAACCGCTTAACTACATGGAAACTGAACAACCTGCTCCTGAATGACTACTGGGTACATAATGAAATGAAGGCAGAAATAAAGATGTTCTTTGAAACCAATGAGAACAAAGACACAACATACCAGAATCTCTGGGACACATTCAAAGCAGTGTGTAGAGGGAAATTTATAGCACTAAATGCCCACAAGAGAAAGCAGGAAAGATCTAAAATTGACACCCTATTATCACAATTAAAAGAACTAGAGAAGCAAGAGCAAACACATTCAAAAGCTAGCAGAAGGCAAGAAATAACTAAGATCAGAGCAGAACTGAAGGAAATAGAGACACAAAAATCCCTTCAAAAAATCAATGAATCCAGGAGCTGGTTTTTTGAAAAGATCAACAAAATTGATAGACTGCCACCAAGACTAATAAAGAAGAAAAGAGAGAAGAATCAAATAGATGCAATAAAAAATGATAAAGGGGATATCAACACCAATCCCACAGAAATACAAACTACCATCAGAGAATACTATAAACACCTCTATGTAAATAAACTAGAAAATCTAGAAGAAATGGATATATTCCTTGACACATACACTCTCCCAAGACTAAACCAGGAAGAAGTTGAATATCTGAATAGTCCAATAACAGGCTCTGAAATTGAGGCAATAATTAATAGCTTACCAACCAAAAAAAGTCCAAGACCAGATGAATTTACAGCCGAATTCTACCAGAGGTACAAGGAGGAGCTGGTACCATTCCTTCTGAAACTATTCCAATCAATAGAAAAAGAGGGAATCCTCCCTAACTCATTTTATGAGGCCAGCATCATCCTGATACCAAAGCCTGGCAGAGACACAACCAAAAAAGAGAATTTTAGACCAATATCCTTGATGAACATCAATGCAAAAATCCTCAATAAAATACTGGCAAACCAAATCCAACAGCACATCAAAAAACTTATCCACGATGATCAAGTGGGCTTCATCCCATGCAAGGCTGGTTCAACATATGCAAATCAATAAACGTAATCCAGCATATAAACAGAACCAATGACAAAAACCACATGATTTTCTCAATAGATGCAGAAAAGGCCTTTGACAAAATTCAACAACACTTCATGCTAAAAACTCTCAGTAAATTAGGTATTGATGGGACATATCTCAAAATAATAAGAGCTATCTATGACAAACCCACAGCCAATATCATACAGAATGGGCAAATACTGGAAGCATTCCCTTTGAAAACCTGCACAAGACAGGGATGCCCTCTCTCACCACTCCTATTCAACATAGTGTTGGAAGTTCTGGCCAGGACAATCAAGCAGGAGAAGGAAATAAAGGGCATTCAATTAGGAAAAGAGGAAGTCAAATTGTCCCTGTTTGCAGATGACATGATTGTATATCCAGAAAACCCCGTCGCCTCAGCCCAAAATCTCCTTAAGCTGATAAGGAACTTCAGCAGTCTCAGGATACAAAATCAATGTGCAAAAATCACAAGCATTCTTATACACCAATAACAGACAAACAGAGAGCCAAATCATGAGTGAATTCCCATTCACAATTGCTTCAAAGAGAATAAAAGACCTACGAATCCAACTTACAAGGGATATGAAGGACCTCTTCAAGGAGAACTACAAATCGCTACTCAATGAAATAAAAGAGGATACAAACAAATGGAAGAATATTCCATGCTCATGGTTAGGAAGAATCAATATCGTGAAAATGGCCATACTGCCCAAGGTAATTTATAGATTCAATGCCATCCCCATCAAGCTACCAATGACTTTCTTCACAGAATGGGAAAAAACTACCTTAAAGTTCATATGGAAGCAAAAAAGAGCCCACAATGCCAAGTCAATCCTAAGCCAAAAGAACAAAGCTGGAGGCATCACGCTACCTGACTTCAAACTATACTACAAGGCTACAGTAACCAAAATAGTATGGTACTGGTACCAAAACAGAGATATAGACCAATGGAACAGAACAGAGCCCTCAGAAATAATGCCGCATATCTACAATTATCTGATCTTTGACAAACCTGAAAAAAATAAGCAATGGGGAAAGGATTCCCTATTTAATAAATGGTGCTGGGAAAACTGGCTAGCCATATGTAGAAAGCTGAAACTGGATCCCTTCCTTACACCTTATACAAAAATCAATTCAAGATGGATTAAAGACTTAAACGTTAGACCTAAAACCATAAAAACCCTAGAAGAAAACCTAGGCAATACCATTCAGGACATAGGCATGGGCAAGGACTTCATGTTTAAAACACCAAAAGCAATGGCAACAAAAGCCAAAATTGACAAATGGGATCTAATTAAACTAAAGAGCTTCTGCACAGCAAAAGAAACTACCATCAGAGTGAACAGGCAACCTACAAAATGGGAGAAAATTTTCGCAACCTACTCATCTGACAAAGGGCTAATATCCAGAATCTACAATGAACTCAAACAAATTTACAAGAAAAAAACAAACAACCCCATCAAAAAGTGGGCAAAGGATATGAACAGACACTTCTCAAAAGAAGACATTTATGCAGCCAAAAGACACATGAAAAAATGTTCATCATCACTGGCCATTAGAGAAATGCAAATCAAAACCACAATGAGATACCATCTCACACTGGTTAGAATGGCAATCATTAAAAAGTCAGGAAACAACAGGTGCTGGAGAGGATGTGGAGAAATAGGAAGACTTTTACACTGTTGGTGGGACTGTAAACTAGTTCATCCATTGTGGAAGTCAGTGTGGTGATTCCTCAGGGATCTAGAACTAGAAATACCATTTGACCCAGCCATCCTATTACTGGGTATATACCCAAAGGACTATAAATCATGCTGCTATAAAGACACATGCACACGTATGTTTATTGTGGCACTATTCACAATAGCAAAGACTTGGAACCAACCCAAATGTCCAACAGTGATAGACTGGATTAAGAAAATGTGGCACATATACACCATGGAATACTATGCAGCCATAAAAAATGACGAGTTCATGTCCTTTGTAGTGACATGGGTGAAATTGGAAATCATCATTCTCAGTAAACTATCGCAAGGACAAAAAACCAAACACCATATGTTCTCACTCATAGATGGGAATTGAACAGTGAGAACACATGGACACAGGAAGGGGAACATCACACTCTGGGGACTGTTGTGGGGTGGGGGGAGGGCGGGAAGGATAGCATTAGGAGATATACCTAATGCTAAATGATGAGTTAATGGGTGCAGCACACCAGCATGGCACATGTATACATATGTAACTAACCTGCACATTGTGCACATGTACCCTAAAACTTAAAGTATAATAATAATAAAAAAAAAAGAAAAAAGAAAGAAAATGTGGCACATATACACCATGGAATGCTATGCCACCATAAAAAAATGATGAGTTCATGTCCTTTGTAGGGACATGAATGAAGCTGGAAATCATCATTCTCAGCAAACTATCACAAGGACAAAAAACCAAACACCGCATGTTCTCACTCATAGGTGGGAACTGAACAATGAGAACACATGGACACAGGAAGGAGAACATCACTCACCGGGGACTGTTGTGGGGTGGGGGTAAGGGGGAGGGATAGCATTAGGAGTTATACCCAATGCTAAATGACGAGTTAATGGGTGCAGCACACCAACATGGCACATGTATACATATGTGACAAACCTGCATGTTGTGCACATGTACCCTAAAACTTAAAGTATAATTTTAAAAAATCAAATATATAGAAAAAAATACACACCAGATTTTGAATACTTAGTATGAAAAACAATAATTTTAATATATTGACTACATAGTAAAATAACATTTTAGATATAATGAGTTAAATATATTATTAAAGTTAATTTCATCTGTTTCTTTTTACTTTTTAAAATGTGGCTACTTAGAAACTTTAAAATTACATACAGGGTTGTGGCCCCCAGCATATCTCTGTCAGGTACCCTGGGCTATTAAACTCCAAATTACCTAACTGCCTTTGTTCTAATTCAGTGCTTACCAACGAACCTTCTGATTACTTATCTAAGCTTATAAGTATACCTCAGTAACAAAAAAAGGAGTATCATACGTAAGAGACTTATGTATTCTGGACCCTTTAAGATATCTCCTCTACCAAATGTAAAATAATAAATACCATTCTGGTTTCCCTTAAAAAAAAGATATCCAACCAAATGATTTTTATTAAATATGCATTAAAACTCAAAATAAATAAATAAATAAATAAATATAAATTATCTTTAGAATTTTGAGATATAGCTGGCTATTTCATCATATCATCCTTTAAAAAATTTAAATCAATCTAAAATTGATGAAAATATACTTTGATCTTGATCTACAACCAGTAATTTAAACCTTGGAGTAAATTACACCTTGTCCTGAGACAAGTCACTTTGGTGGAAATGGCAGCCAGCAACAAAGCTGTCTCAGTCTGATCAGAAGCTATGAGTGGTTGCAGGTATTTAATACTGATATGAAATTCAGTTATTACGTAATGATGAAGTTGACTTACATAGGCAGAATCTGTCAAACCAAAAGTCTAAGCAAAAGTTATCAAGATTCTCTGGATTTCACTGTTGATATGATCTGGTTCCAATCTTGACTCTGCCTCATAATAGCTGTGTGATCTGGGAATCATCACTTAACATCTTCAAGCCTTAGTTTCCTCATCTGCAAAATGGGGAAAGAATATTTCCTTAATCAGAATTTTGTAATGTTTCAAAATGCATGATACAGGGCCTGACCCACATACATCAAGTAATAAATGGTAGTTGTGTTTCCAGTGGCTAATTACACTTTAATGGAGTTCTTTATGGTGAAAATTCAGGAATTTAGGGATTTCTAGCTTGCTCCGTGGAACAGAGTTTGTTGTGGATCTATGATCACATAGGACCAGGATCTAGAGGTTACGGGGGGTGTGTGCCAGCAATTAATATAGCATCCAGTTCAGGACAAACCTAAGGAACGATGTGTGGTCCTGGCAGGAGGGTGACCGAGATGGGGTGGGATTGGCAAGTGGGATGTTGCTTGTGAGGCTGAGGACTGGGTTGTGATCATCAGCCTTAGGGCACTGAGACCCCAGAAGCCTGAGCAAGGTCTGCAGTCAGCCCTGCCCCCGCCTTCAGTCAGGCTAGATGGAGACCAGGGAGCCTGTGTTCCTCCCAGCCTTGCCCCTCCCCTCCCTCCTGCTGAACTCTTCCTACCCGGGCTCTGAACACATCCCTGAGCTGCAGAGCTGATGTCTGGGTGACAGGGTATTCATTTGTACAAAGAAAACAACCTGGAATGGCAGTGTTTGGATTTCTTATGTGCTTGTTTCCTCGTAGGATTGAGAAAGGATGAGGCTAAGGTCCCAAGCCCTCGTGAAACAATGCACAAAGTACCGTTCCGAGGTTCAGGTCCACGCGGCGCTGTGAGGCTGAAGGGGCGCGCTAGAAGTTCCCTTCACAGGACGCCACCTCACCTGAAATCCTCCTTTTCTGCTGCCACCCGAGGGACAAGATATGTCCACCTACTTGTAATAATTCCAAGGAAATCCCAGATCCATAAGATTAATCCTTAAATACTTCAATGTGTTTTCCTAAAACATACTATTCTAAAGATAGAACTAGTACATTATCACACATGAAATATTAACAATAATTCTTTCATGTCATCAAATATTCAGTCAATATTCATGTTTCTAATTGTATAAATACCAAAATAATTATTATTATCATTTTATTTTTATTTTTTGAGACAGAGTTTCACTCTTGTTGCCCAGGCTGGAGTGCAATGGCATGATCTCAGCTCACTGCAACCTCCGCCTCCCAGGTTTGAGTGATTCTCCTGCCTCGGCCTCCTGAGTAGCTGGGATCACAGGCATGCACCACCACACCTGGCTAATTTTGTATTTCTAATAGAGACGGCTTTTCCCCATGTTGGTTAGGCTGGTGTCGAACTCCTGATCTCAGGTGATCCGCCCGCCTCGACCCCCCAAAGTGCTGGGATTACAGGCGTGAGCCACTACACCTGGTCAATGCCATAATTATTGTTTACAGTTTGTTTAAATTCTAATCCACTTAAGTTCTACACTTTGTGATTAGTTTTTTAAATATATTTTAATATTGAGGCTCTTAGATGATAAGAAATTTTAACAATTATTAGGTCAAATCTGTTCATCTTTTTCTTAATTATAGTCCATTTTTATTTAAGGCACAATGCTTCAGTTAGTAATCATCTCATAGTTTCTGTGGGAAAAGTATGTGATAACACAATTTTAAATCCAACTTAAGATGACCTAACTCAGAACCTACCTCTACTCCGGCTGCAGCCAGGAGCCACCAGGTGGACTCCATTCTGCCCTGTGCATTGGAGTAGTGGAGCTTGGGCTTCTCTGCCATGGTAGCAGTCTCCTGGAGGTTTCTCTAAGCCTGAATGAATGAATGAAAGAATGAATGAATGAATGAATAATTTAAGCCATAGAATCAAAAATGTACTTTAGGATGTATGGTTGAAAACCACAAACAATGCTGAAGAAGAACCTGCATTCTTCATGACGGTGTTGGAGGAGTTCCCAGAATGTTTTCTTGGCCCAAATTGTTACCCATCAGTGGGCACCCTCAGATTCCAGCAAACCAGTCTCAAGTCTTCATTGGCTAACTGTGACTTTTCTTGGCAGCCTAAGAAGTGAGAGTATGTGGTAATAATACATGTATAGGAGTTAATGGGAAGAGGAAGAATTCAAGAACTAATATTTATTGAAAACTTCCTAATGATCCTTCTTCAGTCTAGTCCCTTTCAATATTTTATATCTTTAACCCTCCTTATAGTCCCATGAAATGGTTTTTTCCTCCATTTTTTAGTTAATGAAATGGAACATCAGAAAAATGCAGGGTTCACAGTCACACCCTGGCTGGTGACAGACATGAATATCTACACCAAGGACTAAAATGAAGTCATGCCTGGAAGCCACCCAGTGAAGGCCCTGGGAACCCATGAACTGGCCATGAAACCAGAGGATGTCACTGACAGGGAGGACCGGCAGGGAGCTAAGTCACTCTTCAAAACAAAAAGCAAAAATCAGGCCTCAGAGTTGTATAACTGTAGTTAGAAGACCAAATTCTTTCAAAGACAGAGAATGCTAATCCCTTGCTTCTTTCGGCATTCTATATTCTAACTCTATGGGGTGCATTTTATTTCATAACCTGGAAAAAAAGATGTTGTTGCATTAACTTTGCAAGATATGGAAGGAGCTAGCATTTGTTCAACGTCAGTTACACAACTGGTTATTTTTCTAAACTTCTCCTCATTTTATCCTACAAAAATCACCTAAGGTGAATGAGGTTGTTATTCTTATTTTTTACAGTTGGGGATACGAGGTTTTTTAAAGTAACTTGCCCAGATTAAGTGGTGGATCTGGGATTCAGACTCACTGCTATTAAAAACTAAAGACTGAGTCTTATTTTCTATGTTAGTGTTTCTCAAATATGCATGGTAAGAGTTCAGCAGATTGTGAAACCTCACTACTTTTTAAAATAAAATAGAAAAGAAGAGAAAATATCAGCAAGCATGACATGTTGAAGGGTAAGTAATGTTTCATGAGTTGTTAGTTTCAGTTATTTGTATATTGTGTGTATGGATGTTTGCATGTGTGCACGCGCACTTGCTCATTGTAAATGGTTAGAGATAAATTGACTGGGCTCATCAGTGAAGTTTGATAGCCCTTGCTCTATCCCAGGCTGTTTGGGAGATGGAACATAGCAGAGTATCAGAGAATGAAAACCAATGGCTGCAGGGACAGATGCAACTAATCGTATCATGAATGTGAATGGAAGGACACAGGACTCATTGAAAGCAGGAGTTCCAGTGCCAGGATTTAGGGACAGTTGCATTTTCTCTCCAAACACTCAGCTCTGTCATTAAACATTAAGATTCTTCTTGGAAAGTTTTGTGGTTGTTGAGTTTGGAACAAAAATGTACTTGTCTTTGCCAACTAATGTATTTCTTAAAAAGTTTGTATGCTTGAATTTAGACGTCAAAATCTTTTAAATGTCTACGTTTTAAAATGTGGGAGTCAAGAGTTTAACCTTTGGAAAGTAAAGAATTTTTAGAAACCATACTGAATCAACTCACCTGTTTTGTAATTAGAAATTTTGACACTGCACTTTTCTGTCTTGGGAAATGGAAATAGCATTATTCAGCAGAAAGAAAGGGAGAGTGAAGTTCACACGAAAGTGTGGGGTGTGGTTGTTTAATTGCTATGGATTAGAGTTCACAGTGTCATAATTCTAATCCCCACACTAAGCTCCCTTAGCCATTGATTGAGGATCATGTTTCAACAGGAAAGAAATGTTTATCTTACATAACGTTTTATCACAACACTACTGCTGGTAACTAACATGTCAGCTTCTCAATATGAGGTTTCCTAAGGTCCAGCTAAGACTGGGACGAAGGTTACCGTTGAGCTTTATTGGGTCAACAGAAAATGAGAACCAGAGAGCTCAAGGATTTGCCATGGGTCGCACATATATGCTCCTCATTCATGATCAATATCTAGGGAGTGTGTCTACCTTCTGCAACAACCGTGGGAAATGGCTTCTAATATCCTAATTATAGATGGGCACACTGAGGTTCAGAGAGCTAAAGTGACTGGCCCACGCTGCACACTTGGTGAGTGTTGGGTCAGCCTGAACTCCTTCTGATTGCAGGTCCAGAGCTGTCCAGAGCTTTTCCCCTCCACCCTGTAACCTGGCTCTCAGCTCCTGTCTGAGAAGTTGTTTTATATTTTCCTATTCAGAGTCCATTAGCCAACTAAATGGTGGAAGGCAAGGGCAAGAGGGGAACATCTAATCCTTGAGTTCTTTCTGTTAGCAACTTTTCAGGGGACTTTCAGAAAGTCTGCCTTTCTCTACTTTGACAAACTAAAAACCAGAGTGAGTTGAGGACTAGTATAACTGTATTTATATCAATTAAAAAAATGGGTTTAACATCACAAAAGCCACAATTAACATTTAGGTAAAGCACTTCATTGTGTAAAACGTTAGAATATTGGTCTTGCAAGTTCTTGGCCTCCATGGCTGCTTTATCAAATCTTCAAAATCTCTCTTGCTTCTTCTAAAAGTTTTGCCTTTTTGGGAGGCTTCCTCTGGCTGCCAGGCTGCAGAAACTTCTTCACCGTGGGCAGTTTGCTGATTCTGGTTTTCAGGACCTGCAATGCACAAAGCACAGCCTCAGAGTGAAGCCAAGGACTGACACCACCATTAATACCACCCAGGGAATCTGAGCCTCTCCTACACAAAGACCAAATGAGGCCCCTCCATCAGCACCAGTATGAAGGCTGGGAAACAGACTCTGAGCGAGAAATAAGAGATAAGAGGAATATGAGAGAAAGAAGAGAAAAAAGATAAGAGAAAGAATATAAGAGGGAGAACAAGAAGCTCACTAGCATTCTCCCAAAGATGTATTTTAGATTTTATTTAGTTCAGTCTCCCTACTCTCTTCTTTATACATCAATCCTGAGGATTCGTGGCTTTTGTGTAAGTCAAGAAAAAATAATGTGCCTGTGAGATATCAACACAGATCAGCCTCTAGGCAGAAATGAAAATATGGGAAAATTGAGTTAGAAATGAAAATAGAAAATGTTAAAGACAAACCATGGGGCCACTCCCACTGAGGTATACAGGGCTGGGGGCAGTGTACTCGGAGAGCTGTGCAGAGAGAAACGCAATCAATGTCTGACAGCAGGAGCCAGAGCCCAGGGAAGGAAACCAGACAGAAAGGGCCCTGCTCAGACAGACTTGGTGTGGGAAGACAAGGGCACATATGGGATAAAGGACATCACAGAGAATTCAGGAACAGAAACCACGTTGAAATAGAAGGATGGGGAGAGATGCTGGGCCCTGGATCCTTTCCATGATAAAAGGCAAATGCTCTTCATGAGGTAGCCACACATTTCACTGACATAACAAGAATCTTTCCCTGATTGTGAGGAATCAGGGCCTGGAAGCTCACTTTGGAGACCTGAGGGCACTGAAGGCCTGGAGAAGGCTGGTGTCAGAACATGGCTAGTCCCAGGACCCAGATCCGAGATCCCAAGATGGGAGATGTGGGGCTGCCTCTCCGGGCTACGAAATGGGTCACCTTCAGCAGAGGGAAGCTGGAGATAAGGCTGGAGTCAAGCTCTTCCACATAGTAGAGAATTTCCACCAGGTGAATGTCAGCCCGGCTCAGCTTGTTGCCAACAAGGTAATCTTGTCCGCGGCTCTTTCACACCTGGATAATTGGGGGAATCGGACCAGGAACACATGTGCAATCAGGCTGGGGCCCCTGCTTCTTCCTGAGTTTCTCCAGCCTGACATTCCCACCTCTGCTGCCTCACTGCATGGGTGCAGAGACCCGGATCTTTCTCCATGTTCCCTGACTCATTGAGAGAGTAAGAAGTGTGGCTCTTCTAATTCCTTGGTTGGAGCCCAGGCTCTCATTTTCTCTTCTCATTCCACCTCACTGCGGTGTCCACACCACCCACTCGGCTTGCATCTTCCACATGGGCCAGGGGCTTAGCACCTGCTACAACATGTTCTGTCTTCCCCAGACCCTACAGCGTGCAGCCCTGATGTTCAGGGCATGATTCTACACTCTGCTATCTCTCTCCAATCTCTCTTGGGAAGTGACTCCACCTTCATGACAGCACTCTTCTCCCAGGAGGAGACTATATCAGAGTCCTCATTTCTCCTTGTATGCACTCCTTATTTCCTGCTCTAGGATCTGAAGTAAACCTGGGTGAACTTGAATTCATCCCCTTTCTTGCAACGTTGGCGCTTACTGATTTCACTGTGTTATAATCTGCATGCCACAGTATCCAGGGTGAGCTGCACTGATGTCTGCAATTTACTTTGAAATGCAAAAAAAAAAAAAAAAAAAAAAAATGTGTTTGACTGAGGGAGACAGGAGTGGAGTGACTGACACGTGTGGTAAAGCCCAGATGAGGAGATGTTAATTTTGCTGTCTAGGTGGTTGGTGTATATATGTTCATAAAATATTTCTTTCAACTATTGTGAATGTATAAAATGTTTCATAACAAAATTTTTAGTGATATGTGGTATTTATTAAAATATTATAGCACATTCACACCATAAATAATAAAATGAGAAAACACACAGCATCACTGATTTAAGGTAATATTTTGGCAAATACCCTTTCAGACTGTGTATACATATGTAAGTGTAAATAATTACTTGGTACATAAAGAAAATGCAACATTGAATGCTATATTGTAGCATACATAGTTCAAATTCATGTATCATGGGACTCTTTGGTAGAACTGGTGAAATTCTTCCTCACAGTCTATTTTTATACCATGCCTTGAGAGTCAAGAGCTCAATTAACATCAAGGAAGCCTTTTTGGACCTGAAGGTCAATGCCCCAAAAATGCACAGGCACTATTTTTCTGTTGCCTTATGTTATGGATTGAATGTTTAAGTTTCCCCAAAATTCATATGTTGGGATCCTGACCCCCATGTGATGCTGTTAGTAGGTGAGGCTTCCAGGAGACGATCAAGTCATGGGGGTGGATATCTCATGAATGACATTAGTCCCCTTATAAAAGGAACCTTAGAGAACTCCCTTGGCATGTTTGCCATGTGAGGACACAGCCAGAGATTGGCTGTCTATGAATCAAGGAACAGGAGCTCCCCAGATATGAAATCTGCTGGCACATTGATCTTGTACTTCCCAGCCTACAGAGCTGTGAGATAGAAACATCTGTTCTTTAAGCTACCCAGTCTATGGTATTTTTGTTATAGCAGCCAAACTACAAAGAAACCCTCTAAACTCTTAGTGTCCTTATAGACTAAACAGCTTCTATCATGACCTTTACAACAGTGAAATATGCCAGCATTTGGTCAATAACTGCCAGCTTTCCTAATTTTTGCCTCCACTTTCAGTTTATGACCAAACACAGAAAGTAAAATATTGATCTCTGAACAATCACATAGAAATTCACACTTCCAGCTAGCCAGCTTACAGCATCTTCATGCCAACAACATGCAATCAGGGCATAACTTTTTCCACCATAAATCTCTCAGACTTTCCCGCCTGCCTCTGAATCTCTGGCAAACGCAAGTGATGGTGCCTGACTTCCTTACTATAGCAAGCTCGAAATAAACACCTTTTGCTTATTCTCATTTGGGTTGTCTTCATTCACTTTCACAGTTTTTCCAGAGGTTGCAACAAGACATGGTCTATGTTGCCCATTGCCGTGGACCCCAGCCGTCAGCCAGGTGCAGTATCCACAAAGGTTCCTTGTGCCTTGTGGCAAGTCCGCACCTGGGCTGAACTCTTTTCTCTTTGCTTTGAGCTCTTTCACTTTTTATTCTCAGTTTGGACCTCGGTTTTGTATTGGTTCCCATCTGCTTAGCATCCTTAATAGAACCAGGCCTTTTTTGCCTGTTTGTTTCTTTTCAGTCTTTTGTGGTACTGCTTTGTGCCATGCTATCGAGAAGTGTTTGTCATTAAAAAAAAAAAAAAAAAAAAAGAGGCAGCATATAGGCATAGGCCCAAAAGCCTGTTTTTCAAGACAGCCTCACAGTACACTGAGTTTGAGGTTATCATGGGATCTCTGTCCATGTTTACAAACTTTGCTGTGGGTCATCCCTGAAACTAAATGAAATCCTTCACTCTTGGTTTTTGTTCTTGTTGTTCTTTAAACTTGGCAGTGATCCAGGCAGATTACAGCTTCCACCTGGGGCACAGCAGTGACTGTGACTTTAGGTTTTCTTTATCCCATTAGGTGGTAATCCATATAGTTGGGTGAAAAAAATCTCTTTCGTAGTTTGGAGGCTCAAATCATGTAGCCACTGAAAAGATAAAGACATGCCTAGGGCAAGATATGGGGAAGGGGCATGGCGCTTCCATGCCTTCCCTGGACGTGCCACCCTCCAAGAAGCTCCATGCATGTGTTCAGGTATACAGAAGCTCCCAGGTACAGTTTCAAAGACAGGAAAATAATGGCTTCTTGTTCCCCCTTTGATCAGGGCAAGCTTTGCATCTTTTTCCTTAGGTGGAGGTAGTGCATAATGAAGAATCTTTTCACTCAAAATTTCCTACCTTCTACATATATCCTTCTACATTCATCCTGAAAGACAAAAAGAACCAAACTGTCAAAATGCCTTCTGCCTTAGATTTTATGGTTTAAACACCTGAGACAGTAGAGCCTCAGATGGTGACAAAGTAATTCAGCTCCAGTGGGTGCCTTTTATATGCCAGTCATGCTCTTAGTTATACATACATATTACATTTATTTCTCAGAACATGCTACAGGGGTAGATATATGTCCAAAATGTTTGTCCTACACGTGACCAAATACAGGTACAGAGAATATCAACATCTGTGACCTGTCTAGAGTCACAGTCATGAGAGGAATTAGTGGAATCACTGCAAGTAACCACTGATGCTAAAAATAGGGTTTGCTATCTCAGCTGTGGTTTGCTTTGTGGATGAGCTTAGCATGATTCATATAGCCAAAGACCTACCATTTAAGTAATCCCAAGGCAGAGTCCCTGGAACAGCCATCTCGAACATTTCTGTCTCCTTTTCTCACCATACTACATATCTCAGGCTCATTTTTATGCTCAATGTTCGAAGTTCTAAAAAAATTAAAAATAACAATAAATAAATAGGAAATAAAGCATATCTCTAAAAGCTATCTCTAAAGATATATACTTTCAAGCAAGCTAGTAATTTTCAACAACAACAAAAAAAGAAGATCTCCCAATTATTTTCTAATCACCTGGGAAAGCAGTAGCACTTTGGCAGCCACTCCCCTTAGCCCCCTCCATCCAGCCCCTTGCAACAACTGATTTACTTTCTAGATTCGAATGGTCTGGATAGTTCATACAAAAGAAATCATGTAACATGTGGCCTTTGGTGTCTGGTTTCTTTTATGGAACATGTTTTCAAGGTTCACCCATGTTGTAGCATGCATCAGTACTTTGACCCTTTTCATAGTCCAAGAATATTCCATTGTCTGCCACAGCACGTCTTGTTCCTCCATTCATCCATGGGTGGACATTTGGGTAGTTTCCACCTTTTGCATATCATGAATAGTTCTCCTATGAACATTTCTGTGCATGGATTAGTGAGGCTGTGTTTTCCTTTATCCTGGTTGTAGACCTGGTAGTGGAATTGTTAGGTCATTGGTAACTCTATATTGGACTTTTCAAGGAACTGCCAACAGGGGAGGAGACCCCTCCTCCCAGCTTTGCTGGTGCAAAATCAGTGTGGCTGCTTAGGTCTGTATCAAATGCTTCACTTTAGGTAATCCTGGTATCTTGGGCACCAGCCTCTGCTAACCTGAGTCAAGTTGACCAGTTCATATAATTAGTTGCTAACGTAGGTTCCTGGTCATCATTCTTGGAGTTATTGGAACCTGAGATTCAGCTTCTTTAGAGCCTTCTCTCCCCAGGCCTTCATCTACCGACTCTCAAACATTCTATGACTTGTCCTAAGCTGTTGTTGGCGCCCAGTCTCTGAAGGCCTGAGCACCTGGAATCATGATTTGCCATCCTCCTGAGTTCATGGTTCATCAGTGTTTGGAAACCTCTGTCAGGGTGCTCGATCCATGGACTGCATCCTTTTCTAGAATCACCCTCACCTGAACCCACCCCATGTTCACTGTTTCCTCATCTCCATGGGACTCTGCAATACTGCAACTCAGCATACACACCCAAGGTCCAGCCTGATGCTGACGATAATGCCCCTGCCACGGTCCCGCCCACTCAAGGAAGGACCTAAATCACTCTGTATTCTCTGTTAATGGAAGAACAGAAAATATACCATACAGGACTCTCTCCTTTATGTCTTTCTCATAGAGACTGTATTTGCTGGCAATGTAGTTGAGAACGGCTCTGGTCTGCACCAGCTTCATCCCATCAATCTCAACTATTGGCACTTGCTGGAACATCAAACTCCCATCTTTAGAAAGAAGGAAAAAAAGGAGAGTCAGATGTCTATGAATCCCAGTCTTTCAGCATGAAAAAATGTTTGCTGAAATGACTAAATTTATAAAATAGAAAAGAAATTATTGCCTGGTATAACCTCTCAAAGGAAATAGAAATTTGTTTTTAGCTTCCTTAGTCCTTCTTTTTCCTATCAAGCTTCCTCTTACCTTGTAGCCTCTTATTTCATTTATGTTTTTGTTCCTCATCCAGATACATAATAGGTCCCTTGTATTTTTTGTGTTGATATATCTTCATGGATATTTTAGGAAGAAGTTGGGAGAGGCTGCTGCAGGCCCACTAGCCACATGCCAATTAACATGGGAATATCTCAAAGTAAATCTCATGGTGTGAAGACATTAAAGACAGTTCTGAGAAAAGTTTCTATGTAGGTCCTTTGTATAGTCTTCAATACCCCCACTGGACAGTGTGTGCAGGGTGGGTGCTGTGTTCCTCACTCTACTGCTGCTACCCTGGCTCATGTCCCTCCTCACCCTCTGACCTGGACTTCCAACCAATTCAACACTATCTCATTATCTAAGCCTACAGTTGCAAGAATATCACCTTGTCAAATTCATAAGAGAAATGAATTCAAGATGGACCTATTTCAACTCCTTCCCTCTGATGAATGTCCGCGCGTGTCCTTGGATGGGGAGGGCTGTATGGGATCCCGAACCAACCACAGCTTATTCACAGTGTTGAAAGAATGAAAGCAAGGAAAGGCCATTCTCAGGGTGCTGGGGATGGCTCCTCTAGCAAATACTCTAAGAGGTCTGGCCCTTTTAGCCTGGAGAGAGTTGACAGAACTGCTCAAGGAGCCCCACCCTTTCTACTTTAACCACTTTTTTCCCTCTCCACCACCCCAACTACCACCCTTCGCACACATAGACACGGCCTGGTATTAAAACCTGCAAGTGTACCTTCTACTAGATACCTTCCTCAGAGACACGTAGAGACTCGATCTTACCATTTCTTAACTTTTCCAAATCTTCTGCAGATTCTAGAAATTTCTCTTCAAACCGAAAGCAGAATCAGTGAATGGGCTCCTGATAGGTCATTCCATAGCATTATAGACTTTTAACCTTGAATGGCTACTGTCTGATACATAATTTGGAGAATATAAGATTTCTGAGTTTGGCAGTGCACACAGAGGGGTCTGGTCATGGCCACTTGGAAATTTAGACTAGATTCATCAAGAGAAAAGCATGGATCACAGCACATAGCACTCAATCTTTTAGTTCACTTCATCCACACCCTGATCTCTCCCATGTCCATGATTAGGTCATGATTTGGGAGGGGATGTCACTGGCGTTAAGGTATCAAGCAGTTCTTCTAGTTATGTTGTTGTCGTATCATAGGAAAGCATGTGTCTCCAGGTGAGATCAGACCGCAGGCTTTGTGTCCCTAGTGTGGGGTATGCAATGGGCTAATGACCAAAAAAGATTCTTCCACCGAGGAACCTCTGCTGTAATTTATATCACCCCACTTGTTAGGAGCCCTACTGTGCATGAGATAGGTCCTGCTATTGCACAGCTTTAACTCTTGCAACGATAATTTCCCCTCCTGGAGTAAATGGAACATGACAGAGTAGAATTCTCAATTTGAGGAAGGAATTAGGGTCCCCAGACTAATGTTATTTTTAATAAAAATCTGTGGTTTATGATATGGCTGTGTGGGTTTAATATCACTATTTTCAAGTCCTGGCTTCTTGATTTTGGACACATTGTTGAATCTCTCTGTGTCTCAGTATCCTAACCTGTGAAATGGATATACTTATGAAGCTTTTTTTAAAGATTGGTATGAAAGGCCGGGCGCAGTGGCTCACGCCTGTAATCCCAGCACTTTGGTAGGCCGAGGCAGGCGGATCCTCTAAGGTCGGGAGTTCAAGACCAGCCTGTCCAACATGGAGAAACCCCATCTCTACTAAAAATACAAAAATTAGCCAGGTGTGGTGGCGCATGCCTGTAATCCCAGCTACTCAGGAAGCTGAGACAGGAGAATGGCTTGAACCTGGGAGGTGGAGGTTGCGGTGAGCCAAGATTGCACCACTACACTCCAGCCTGGGAGACAGGGTGAGACTCTGCCTCAACAAAAAAAAAAAAAAAAAAAAAAAAAAAAAAAGATTGGTATGAAAATTAAATTTCAAAGTCATGCAAAGCACTTGGAAAAGTAGCAGGTATATAATAAATGCTCGTTAAATATATGTTTTGGGACTCTGAGAGATGGCTGCTATTTCATAGCATCCTTTTCAAAAAATTTAAATCAATCTAAAATCACTGAATGTATAGTCTCTTGTTGACCTATATCCAGTAATTTAAACTTTGAAATAAATTACACCTTGTCCTGAGAGTAGTTGGAATGGCAGCCAGCAAGGTTGTCTAAATCTGATCAGAAACTCTGAGTAGATGCAGGTATTTAATATAAATATGAAAATCAGTTATTACATAATGATGCAGTTGACTTAATAGGCAGAATCTATAAAAATAAAAGTTAAAGCAGACTCTTACAAAGATTTTCAGGATTTCACTGTTAATATGATCTGGTTCCAATCTTGGCTCTGCCTCATAATAGCTGTGTGATCTGGGAATCATCACTTAACGTCTTTAAGCATTAGTTCCCTCATCTGCAAAATGGGCATAGAACATTTTCTTAACAGAATGTTTTAATGTTTTCAAAATGCATCATACAGGGCCTGACCCACATAAATCAAGTAATAAACAGTAGCGGTGTTTGCAGTGGCTAAGTATACTTTAATAGAGTTCTTTATAGTCAAATGTCAGGAATTTGGGGGTTTCTAGCTTGCTCCATGGAACAGAGTTTGTTGTGGATCTATGATCACACAGGACCAGGATCTAGAGATCATGGTTGGGGGGTGGGGGAGGCGGGGGCAGGAAGGGTGTGCCAGAAATTAATACTGTGTCCGGTTCAGGACAAACCTAAGGAACGGTGTGTGGTCCTGGCAGGAGGGTGACCGAGGTGGTGGGACTGGCAAGTGGGATGTGCTTGTGAGGCTGAGGACTTGGTTGTGATCATCAGCCTTAGGGCACTGAGACCCCAGAAGCCTGAGCAAGGTCTGCAGTCAGCCCTGCCCCCGCCTTCAGTCAGGCTGGATGGAGGCCAGGGAGCCTGGGTTCCTCCCAGCCTTGCCCCTCCCTCCCTCCTGCTGAACTCTTCCTACCCGGGCTCTGAACACATCCCTGAGCTGCAGAGCTGACGTCTGGGTGACAGTGAAACGGGGTATTCATTTGTACCAAAACAAACAAACAAACAAACAAAACCTGGAATGACGGTGTGTGGATTTCTTGTGTGCTTATTCGTAGGATTGAGAAAGGGTGAGGCTAAGGTCCCGAGCCTTCGTGAAGCAATGGAGAAAGTGCCGTCCCAAGGCTCAGTTCCACACGGCGCTGTGAGGCTGAAGGGGCTCACTGGAAGTTCCCCTCACAGGACGCCACCTCACCTGAAACCCTCTTTTTCTGCTACCATCCAAGGGACAAGATCTCCTGAGTTGTCGAAGACTCACTCCGGAAGAAAACCCTCTCAGGCAGTTACTGAGGGACTGTGGTCTGGACTAGAACGTGTTTTTCTCAGTGACACCTCTAGAGGGCAGCACTCAACGGAGTCCCACAGACACCTCCCTGCATTTCCTCCTCAGACACTGGGTGGATGATATGGTAACACTGGGGAATGCTTGGGTGTTCTCCTGGAAGCTCCTTATTTTAATCACCTGTTTACTTGTCTCCATTCTTATAGATATGTAGGCTACCCGAGGGCAGAGACTGAGTCTGTCTTGTTCACTGTCTACCTCCAGAACCTCACACAGAATCTGGCACTTAGTAGGTGCACAACAAAATAATCATTGAATTAGTATACTGAGTCTTTAACAGGTGAGTACGCAGTTCCACTTTACATTCACTTTCTAATATTATGCCTTTTTATCCTCTTATTGTATAAATTTCTAACATGTATAAAAATAACACAAAAGTATAATGACCTTTCTTGTATTCCTCATATAGAATCAATAATTACCAATATTAGGGAAAAGAGTGAAACGCTGTAAAATATTTGAAGAGATTTATTCTGAGCCAAATGTGAGTGACCAATGGCCTGTGATACAGCCCTCAGGAGATTCTGGGAACGTGTGCTTAAGGTGGTTGGGATATAGTTTAATTTTAGGGAGACATGAGACATCAATCAAATATATAGAGATGTACATTTGTTCAGTCCAGAAAGGCAGGACAACTGGAAGTGTGGACTTCCAGATTTTGTGTAGATTATAAAATTTTCCAATTGGCAGTTGATTGAAAGAGTTATGATCTAAAGACCTGGGTGCAGGGAAAAGAAAGAGAGATCAGACTGTTACTGTGTCTATGTAGAAAGGGAAGACATAAGAGACTCCATTTTGAAAAAGACCTGTACTTTAAACAATTGCTTGCTGAGATGTTGTTAATTTGTAGCTTTGCCCCAGACACTTTGACCCAACCTGGAGCTCACAAAAACATGTGTTGTATGAAATCAAGGTTTAAGGGATCCAGGGCTGTGCAGGATGTGCCTTGTTAACAAAATGTTTACAAGCAGTATAGTTGGTAAAAGTCATCGCCATTCTCTAGTCTCAATAAACCAGAGGCACAATGTACTGTGGAAAGCCGCAGGGACCTCTGCCCTTGAAAGCGGGGTATTGTCCAAGGTTTCTCCCCACGTGATAGTCTGAAATATGGCCTCGTGGGATGAGAAAGACCTGACCGTCCCCCAGCCCGACACCCGTAAAGGGTCTGTGCTGAGGTGGATCAGTAAAAGAGGAAAGCCTCTTGCAGTTGAGATAGAGGAAGGCCACTGTCTCCTGCCTGCCCCTGGGAACTGAATGTCTCCGTATAAAACCCGATTGTACATTTGTTCAATTCTGAGATAGGAGAAAAACCGCCCTATGGTGGGAGGCAAGACATGTTTGCAGTAATGCTGCTTTGTTATTCTTTACTCCACTGAGATGTTTGGGTGGAGAGAAACATAAATCTGGCTTACGTGCACGTCCAGTCATAGTACCTTCCCTTGAACTTAATTATGACATAGATTCTTTTGCTCACATGTTTTTTGCTGACCTTCTCCTTATTATCACCCTGCTCTCCTGCTACATTCCTTTTTTGCTGAAATAATGAAAATAATAATCAATAAAAACTGAGGGAACTCAGAGGCCGGTGCCGGTGCAGGTCCTTGGTGTGCTGAGTGCCGGTCCCCTGGGCCCACTGTCGTTTCTCTATACTTTGTCTCTGTGTCTTATTTCTTTTCTCAGTCTCTCGTCCCACCCGACTAGAAATACCCACAGGTGTGGAGGAGCAGGCCACCCCTTCACCTGGGATCAATAGAAAGGAATATCTGGGTTAGGGTAATAAGGGGGTGTGGAGACCAAAGTTTTATCATGCAGATGAAGCATCCAGGTAGCAGGCTTCAGAGAAAATAAATTGTATTAGGTTGGTACAAAAGTAATTGTGGTTTTTGCCATTGAAAGTAATGTTTCTTATCAGACTTAGAGTCTGTTCTATCAGTAATTCCAAAAGAGAGGAGGGCATGTCCAACTTCCCACTTCCCATCATGGCCTAAATTGGTTTTTCAGGTTAGCTTAGTAATGCCCTTGCTGAGAAGAGGGTCCATTCAGATGGTCGGGGCTGGGTAAGAGGCTTAGAATTTTATATTTGGTTTATACCAGCTAAAGCCAATGTGTTTTCATCTACATGCCCACCCACTTTCTTCTTGTAATAATGTGAGGAAATCCCAGATATCATATATTTTATTCTTAGATACCTCAATGTGTTTCCCTAAAACAGAAGAACGATTTTAAATATAGCCATAGTACATTATCACACATGAAACATTAACAATAATTTTTTCATGACATCAAATATTCAATCAATATGTATGCTTCTAACTGTTATACAAATGCCATAAATTATTTTTTAGAGTTTGTTTAAATCCAAGTTCAGTTAAAGTCCACACATTCTGATTAGTTTGTTTCTTAAATGTACCTTAATGTTTATGCCCTTAGATGAGAAGATATTTTAACAATTTATTAGATCAAATTCATCATCTCTTTCTTAATAACTGCCAATTTTCTTTAAGGTACAACACTTGACAAGTCATTTAGTAAGAAACATCTCATAGTTTCTGAGGGAAAAGTATCTGGTAAGGTCAATTTTAGATCCAACTTAAGATGACCTCTCAGGACCTACCCGTACTCCAGATGCAGCTAGGAGCGACTGGATGGACTCCATTCTGCCCTGTCCATTGTGGTAGTAGAGCTTGGGTTTCCCACCATGATAGCAGACTCCTGGAGTTTTCTCTAAGCATGAATGAAAGAATGAATGAATGAACAAATAATTGAAGCCATAGAATCAAAAATGTTCATTAGGATGTATTGTTGAAAACCACCAACAATACTGAAGAAGAATCTGCCTTCTTCATGACTGGGTTGGAGGAGTTCCTGGAATGTTTTCTTGGCCCAAATTGTTATCCATCGGTGGCCACCCTCAGATTCTAGCAAACCAGTCTCACGTGCCCATTGGTTAAATGTAACCATTCTCGCCATGTTAAGAAGTGAGAGTTTGTGGTAATAATGCACATATGGAAGGTAGTGGGAAGAGGAAGAATTCAAGAACCAATATTTATTAAAAACATCCTGGTGACACTTCCCCAATGCTAGTCCCTTTTAATATGTTATATCTTTAATCCTCCAAAGTCCCATGAAATGACTATTATTATTATTATTTTATTTTTATTTATTTTTTTGAGATGGAGTCTCGCCCTGTCACCCAGGCTGTGGTAGCACAATCTCAGCTCACAGCAAGCTCTGCCTCCTGGGTTCAAGCCATTCTCCTGCCTCACCCTCCCAAGTAGCTGGGACTATAGGCACCCGCCACCACGCCCAGCTAATTTTTTGTATTTTTAGTAGAGATGGGGTTTCACCATGTTAGCCAGGATGGTCTCGATCTCATGACCTACTGATCCGCCCGCCTCGGCCTCCCAAAGTGCTGGGATTACAGGCATGAGCCACTGTGCTCGGCCGAAATGCCTATTATTATCTCCATTTTTTGGTTAATGAAATGGAACATCAGAGAAGTGAAATGCAATGTCCACAATCACACTCTAGGTGGTGATGAACATGAAAATCCACACCCAAGACTAAAATGAAGGCAGGCCTGGAACCCACCTAGGTGAAGGCCCTGGGAATCCAGTAAGTGACCAAGAAACCAGAGTATGTCATGACAGGGAGGACCAGGAAGGAGCAGAGCCACTCTTCAGCTCTTTGGCTATTAGGCTACTGATACGGTTTGGCTCTTTGTCCCCACCTAAATCTCATCTCGAATTGTAATCCCCATAATCCCCACATGTTGAGGGATGGACCTGGTGGGAGATGATTGGATCATGGAGGTGGTTTCCCCCATGCTGTTCTCCTGACAGTGAGTTCTCACGAGATCTGATGGTTTTATAAAGGACAGTTCCCCCTTCTCTCTCTTTCCCTCTGCTGCTGCCTTGTGAAGAAAATGCCTGCTTCCCCTTCACCTTCCACCATGACTATAAGTTTCCTGAAACCTCCCCAGCCATATGGAACTGTGAGTCAGTTAAAATTCTTTCCTTTATAAATTACTCAGGCTCAGGGAAGTTCTTTATAGCAGTGTGAAAATGAACTAATACAACTACGTTTGATCAAAGGGAGAAATAGGGCCTCAGACTTGTTTAACTAGCTACGAGATCCAAATTCTTTAAACAGATAGAGAATCATAATTTCTTGATTCTCTTGGAATTCTATTTTCTACCTCTGTAGGGTGCATTTTGTTTTATAACCTGGAAAAATAGATGCTGCATTAATTTTGCAGGGAACCGAAAGTGCTATCATTTGTTCAATGTCAGTCACACACTGATCATTCCTCCAAATTTATCTTCATTTTATTCTACAAAAATCACCTAAGTGAGTGCTGTTGTTAATCTCATTTTACAGTTGAGAATACTGAGATTTTTTGAGTAACTTGCCCATAGTAAGTGGTGGATCTGGGATTCAAACCCACTGCTATTCAAAACAAAGACTGGCTGGCGCAGTGGCTCACACCTGTAATCCCAACACTTTGGGAGGCCAAGGCGGGTGGATCACCTGAAGTCAGGAGTTCAAGACCAGCCTAGCCACATTGGTGAAACCTCATCTCTACTAAAAATACCAAAAAATTATCCAGGCTTGGTGGTGCATGCCTGTAATCCCAGCTACTAGGGAGGCTGAGGCAGAAGAACTGCTTGAACCCAGGAGGTAGTGGTTGCAGTGAGCCAAGATCGCACTGCTGTAGTCCAGCCTGGGCAACAGAGCGAGACTCTGTCTCAAAAACAAAAACAAAAACAAAAAACAAAGACTGGGCCTTATGTTTTATGTTAATGTTTCTCAAATACGCATGGTAATCTTTCAGCAGACTGTGAAACCCAATACTTTAAAAATAAGATATAAAAGAATAAAAAATACCAGAGAGCATGACATGCTGGAGAATAAGTAATGTTTCATGAGTTTTTAGTTTCAGTTATATGTGTGTTATGTGTATGGATGTTTGCATGGGTACACGCTCATTTGGCCATTGCAAATTGTTAGAGATAAATTGATTGGGGCTCATCAAGGAAATATGATAGCCTTTGCTCTATCCCAGCCTGCTTGGGAGGTGGAACGTAGCAGAGTATCAGAGAATGAAAACCAAGTCTACAAGGACAAACCATAAATAATTGTATCCTGAGTTTGAATGGAAACACACAAGACTCATTGAAAGCAGGCATTCCAGTGCCAGGATCTAGGAACAGTGGCATTTTCTCTCCAAACCCCCAGCTCTGTTATAAAATATTAAGATTCTTCCTGCAAAATTTTGTAGTCGTCGAGGTTGGTATATTGGTACAAAAATATACTTGTCTTTACCAACAGATGTATTTCTAGAAAAGTATGTGACTTGAATTTAGAAATCAAAATCTCTTAAATATCTACATTTTAAAATGTGGAACTCAATAGTCTAACTTTTAGAAAGTAAAGAATTCTTTGAACATACCTAATCAACTCATCTGTCTTGTAATTAGAGACTTTGCGCATTGCACTTTCCTCTCATTGGAAATGGAAATAGCATGATTCAGAAGGAAAGGGAGAGTGAACCTCACAGACAGTGGGTGTGCTTGTTTAATTGTTATCAACTAGAGTTCACAGAGTGATTCAAATCACACATTTGCACCCTTAGCCATTACTGAAGATCATGTTTCAAAGGGAAATGAATTGTTATCTTACATAGCATTTTATCATAATGCTCTCTCTTGTAAGTAACATATCACCTTCACAATATGAGGTTTCCAAAGGCCAGACCAAGACTGGGACAAAGTTTACCACAGAGCTTTGCTGGGTTAAGAGAATTTGAGAACCAGAGAGCTCAAAGATTTGCCATGAGTCACACATACATGCTCGTCATTCATGGTCAATATCTAGGGAGTGTGTCTACCTTCTGCAACAACACTGGGAAATGGCTCCTAATAGCCTAATTAAAGATGGGCACACAGAGGTTCAGAGAGCTAAAGCGACTGGCCCATGCTGCACACTTGGTGAATGTTGGGTCAGCCTGAACTCCTTCTGATTGCAGGTCCAGAGATTTTCCACTCCACCCTATAAGATGCCTCTGCTTCTGTCTGAGAAATCGTTTCATATTTTCCCATTCAGACTCCATTAGCCAGCTAAAGGTTTAAAGATGAGGGCAAGAGGCGAACATCTGAATCTTGAGTTCCTTTCTGTTAGCAGCTTTTCAGGAGCTTGATTAGAAGAAAAAATTAATAAAAGTTTGCCTTTCTCTTATTTGATAACCTAAAAACCTGAGTGAGTTGAGGACTAGTATATTTACCTCAATTAGAAAATGAGCTTGTATTGAAAGGAATATAACCTATGATAATCCCAGTAGTAAATTAAAAGAGTTAGGTCTCTGAGTGGTCCTAATTACACTGTTTCTTATCAGAGAGAAGGGAGACTGAGATAAATCACAACTCCTTCCATTATGAGGTTCATAAACTCAGGCTCTCTAAATTCTGAGCTCAATTTTCTCTTTTCAAAATAGGGATTGTTGGCCAGGTGTGGTGGCTCATGCCTGTAATCCCAGCACTTTGGGAGGCCGAGATGGGCAGATCATTTGAGATCAGGAGTTCGAGACCAGCCCAGCCAACATGGCGAAACCAAGTCTCTACTAAAAATTAAAAAATCAGCCAGATGTGGTGGTGGGCGCCTGTAGTCCCAGCTACTAGGGAGGCTGAGGCAGGTGAATTTCTTGAACCCAGGAGATGGAGGTTACAGTGAGCTGAGATCACACCACTGCACTCCAACCTGGATGACACAGAGAGATTCTGTCTAAAATAAACAAACCAAAAATAGGGATTTCCATACCTACTTTTGAGGGCTGTTGAGAAAGTTAAATGAAATAATTGATCTGGTTAGGCTCTGTGTCCCCACCCAAATCTCATCTCAAATTATAATCTCTATAATCCCCTCATGTTGAGGAAGAGACCTGGTGGAGGTGGTTGGATCATGGGGGCAGTTTCCCCCAAGCTGATCTCACGATAGTGAGTGAGTTCTCATGAGATCTGGTGGTTTTATAAGCGGTAGTTTCTCCTGCTCTCTCCTTTTCCTGCTGCGTTGTGAAGAAGGTACTTCCTTCTCCTTCACTTTCTACCATGATTGTTAAGTTTCCTTAGGCCTCCCCAGCCATGCAGAAAAGTGGTGCAGAATTAAACCACTTTTCTTTATAAATTACCCAGTCTCGGGTATTTTTTTATAGCAGTGTGAAAACAGACTAATAAAATAATGTACATAAAATTCATAATAGGAACTGAGTAATGAGAGTGTCCTCCGACCCCCACTTCTTGGGATGTGGATGAGTCTCTCTGAACACATTGGGTAGTACATGGGTCTCCTGTCTCTCTCTCTCTCTCTCTCTCTCTCTCTTAACCCATCAAGCTCTGGTAAAAATAAGATTTTATATATATCCAGATTTTTTTTTTCAGAGAAGTCATACAGTGGGTCTTTTCTATAAAGCTCCTGTGCAGAGGTTAATGATATTCACTAATCCAGTCAACCTGGGTGATATGGTTTGGCTGTATCTCCATCCAAATTTCATCTTGAATTGTAGCTCTTATAATTCCCACGTGTCACAGGAGGGACCCAGGGAGAGGTAATTGAATCATGAGGGTGGGTCTTTCCATGCTGTTCTTCTGATAGTGAGTAAGCCTCACGAGATCTGTAGGTTTTATAAAGGGGAGTTCCCCTGTACACACTCTCTTGCCTGCCACCATGTAAGAGGTCCCTTTGCTCTTCTGTCATCTTCTGCCATGATTGTGAGGCCTCCCCAGCCACGTGAAACTATGAGTCCATTAAACCTTTTTTACATTATAAGTTACTCAGTCTCAGGTATGTCTTTATTAGCAGCATGAGAACAGACTAATACACTGGATTAACAGGAAGTTTTCAGTGAAGGTTCAGGGAGGCCTGATCCATCGTTAACACAGTCTTGCTTAACTCCTAGACTGCAGCAGATCCCTGGTTCCCAGGTTGTTTTATAACCTCGAAAAAGAGATGATTTCTATCCCAGAAAAAGGCTCCCATACACTGCATCTTGTGGGCCTTTCTCCTGAGACCAGACCCAGCTACCACTCACCCCCTGCTCAGGGCAGTCTGAGCCTTTCCTATTGCCAGGCCCCCTTTGCATGAACTCCAGCCATGCATGTGGGAGCCCCACTGCCTCTCTCCAGCCATTCATAGCTCTTGGGCAGGGTCTCACTCTTAACACTTGATGAAAACAGTCACTTCTCTACACCATCCTGTTACTTACCTGAAAATGCAGACATTTTGCTGATCCTTCCTCAATTCCTTGTTTCTGGAGTGTTCGCCTCTTAAAAACAGTTTCGGTGTCTCAAGCAATGATGATGGCTTGTAGCAAAAAATATTTGGTATGTTTTGGTCCTCGCTCTAAAGGGTTTAAATCTAGTCAGAAAAATAGCCTTGTGGGGCCGGGTGTGGTGGCTCATGCCTCTAATCCCAGCACTTTCAGAGGCCGAGACAGGTGATCACTTGAGCCCAGGAGTTCGAGACCAGCCTGGGCAACATGGTGAAACCTCATCTCTACCAAAAATGCCAAAAAAAAAAAATTACCTGGCATGGTGGCATGTGCCTGTAGTCCCAGCTACTAGGGAGGGTGAAGTGGGAGAATCACTTGAATCCAGGAGGTGGAGATTAAAGTGAGCCTAGATCATGCCACTGTACCGCACCCTGGGTGACAGAGCAAGACTCTGTCACCAAAAAAAAAAAAAAAAGAAAGAAAGAAAGAAAAGAAAAGAAAAAAAAGAGAAAAGAAAAAAGAAAAACAGGCTTGTGGACAACTAACAGAGCAGAATGTGCTCAGCAGTGACTTCACTTTAATGGGTTCTTGGAAATTCCAACCCAAGAATCATAATTCTCTTAGCCAAGCAAATCAGAGCAAGGGGAGAAGGCTGCCAGACTCAGAAAAAGCTGAGGACCCTGTCTCTTCTGCCCAGGTGGGCTCCTTTTTTCCACAGTAGCATCTCAATCTGCAGGTTCAGTGGATTTTGTACTCCCAAATGTGTGCTTTCCTACCCTTCAAAGTAGGATCGCTCATCTGTATTTAAACATTGCTCTCTGTAATCTCTTGCAACTCTCATTTCAGTATCTTCTCACATGGCTGCTATATTTCTTTCCTGTGAATTCTTTTATAGCTTGCATAGCTCTCAGATCTGGATCCAAAAAGAGGATCTCACTGAAACTCCTGGTCTTCCTTTTATAACATCTCCCGCCCCTCAATATTAAACATTTATTCCAGGCCATCGTCGACTCTTATACTCTAATGACATCATACATTCTAGTCAGATGCTTCTTAAAAACTAGTTGTATGCTCGAATGACTGTGTAGTTCTCCTATCAGGACTTTTGACTTTTAACACTTTGAGAAGTCATGTAGTCAAGTGATTCTCAACCAGGAGAGATTTTACTCCCCTAACCCATTCAGCAATGTCTGCAGACATTTTTGGTTTTCACAGCTTAGGGGTACGTAGTGCTACAAGATCAGGTAGGTAGAGGCCAGTGATGCCTTGAAATGCCCTCTCATGAACAAGGCAGCCCCTGCACACAAATAATTCCCCAACCCAAGGGGTGCTAAGGGTGAGACACTTTTTCTTAGCTATTTTCTAGGTTTGTCATGAGTTGGTTGAATCCCAGAGAGAGAATGTGACTTGTCATCCAGCTAATTAGTAGCAAAGACTAAATTAGATTCTAGTTTTCCTGACATTCAGAGACTAATTTATTCTAATAGGAATAGTGCTGCTATACGTTTTAGTGGTCACAGAGATTTCTCCAATTTCTACTTTTGAGCTTGCTTGATGTGAAAATTAAATAATATAGAAAAAAATTACATAGAAAAATTAAATAATAGAATCACAACAATGGGTCAACCAATCCTGATTATCAGACTCAATTTTCTGCAGTTTAAGCAGAATTAATAAAGAAATGAGACTGTTCCACTAAGTGAAAAAGAAGGAGTAAGGAAGGAGGAATTTGGAAAGAGCAGGGTTTTCAGACAAATGTTCAATTGGGCAAAGGACAAGGATTAACAAATAATCATTGAATCAGGAATGTAAAAATTTACAAGAAGGGCATTCTTGTTCTTAATTTTTTTATCATAAATCTAGGTCATCTTGCTTTATAAAACTAAAAGTTCTACAGACTTAGATTAACCTGCAAGTTCTACACAGTGGCTCACAAAAGATTTTGCCTGCCCTTTGGAGCATAACAACCTTAAAGTAATATTGAAAAGTCAGTGGCATCAACACTTGGCAACAAATCACAAAGCACTTCCTGAAGGAAGCACGAATGTGTGTGATATCTACCATCAAGCTGTAAATTAGAATTGTGTTTGCTAGGTATTGGTGGCTCTTTCCTCAGCAGGAGATGGAGGTTTGGAGAAACAACTGCAGACATGGAACTGTGCAGATATACGTCCCTTTCATTGGTCATCAGGAATCCCAAGTCTGTGATCTTGCCAAATTTTCATTCACAACAATTGTATATTGACTACTTGTCTAGAGAAAACAACTTTGGCACAAACACCTATGTTTCCTCTGGCACTGCTCGTATTCTCAGATTATCTAAAATGGCACCATCACTTTTTTTTTTTACCTTAGATCATTAACTTTTTTCCTATTATTATATATCATGCCCTAGTTTTATAAATTCTTCCTTTTTACATTTCTGTAATGATTGTGAATGTTATCAGAAAAAAAATGAAGTTACTAATGTTGAGAAAACCTTGACAAACGGAGCTGGAAAACCATGAAGAGAAGGTTTTCATTCTTTTATGTCAGATAAGAAAAAAAGTTACAAAAAACATAAACTTGCACAAAGGTTATCACAACATTATACAAAAAACTTCTGCAAGGACATCTGACCAGCAACTGCCAGTTCATACTTGGCCTGACGTCACCCTTGTTATTGATGTTTGTAGTGAGTTATAAGTATTTTAAAAATTTATTTAATGCTTTTCATTTTTTTCTTAAAAAACCTTTGTCTTCCTTTATCTCCCTAAGCACATACGTGGTTTAATATGGTACACGCATACCCATTACAAAACTTTATTCCCAAATAAATATCTTTTATTTTAGAGTCTCTTTCTGTTTATTGAGTTGACACGATGTATCCAAAAGCAGCTGAATGCACAACTCAAACTGTCATCCAAGCACACAAAGAAGGCATTGATGTGAGTATTAAACAGATTTGTTTTTATTGTGTTAAGGATACATTTAAAAGTATTTTTCTAGTGACCTAGATGAGAGGGTATGAGGCAGTATGAGAAGATTTACAAGATCACTGCTTAGTTTGTTAAAGACTGTCATGCTCGTGGTTCAACAACTTAATTTAAGGTCCTAATGCGTTTATAAGCTACATGGTCCTTTCCATAGCTCCTTCCCATTGAAAGAGGTACAGTCAATTTAGCAAAAAGCCACCCCCACATGTTTCAGGGCCACAAGACTGCCTACTAGATTCTAAGAAAAATGGCAAGTCATCCTCTTATCACAGGGTAACTGGTTAATATGTTCCTTTTCAAGGTTGGCATTAAAAGTTTAACAAAATATTTCAGCAGATTTTGCTCTCTTTACAAGTCAGTAGAAACTGGCTTTTTGAAGACACTCACTTTTCATGACTTGGATGTAAGGACTAAAGCAGATGAGAAATCTCTGCTGGGAGCATAGCTGGGAGGGGATGTCTGTGAAGGGCAGGCTGATGGCACTATGGAAAGCTTCTATTACTGGGTTGCCACATAAAATGCAGGGAACCCAGGAAAATGTGCAGTTCAGGCAAAGAATCAATATCTTTTTAGTATAAGTATGTCCCAAGCACTGTAGGTAACATGATTATACAAAAAAAGTATTGATTGTTCATCTGAATTTCATATTTACTTGGGTGTCTTGTATTTTATCTGCCAAATCTAGCCACCGTATTTGCATACTTTTTCCTCTCTGCGTCACTCAGGTTGCCCTTCTTGACCTCTGGGCCTTTGCACATGGTAATTGTCCTGACTGGAATGCACTACTTTCACCTACCATGGTATTTTCTCTACTATGTCTTCTTTCCCTACACTGTTTTGACATGATGTATTCAATATCAGCTTCCCCACTAGACCCTGAGTTCCTGAGGGGAAAGCCTTCTTCTTGTTTGATTCCAGTCCTCATTGTCTGGCACAAAACCTGGTCATTGTAGGAGCTCCTAAAATAAGATAGTTTTTAAATTTACATGGAAGAATTCTAGCAAATACAAAAGTAGACAGAATAATATAACTAAGTTGAAAGTACCCATGACCTGGATTCACCGATTGACAAAAGCCTTTCTTCATCTACACCATGCAGTGGGTTATGTTGGCCCCCACAGAAGATAGGTCCATATCCAAACCCCTGGATCCTGTAAATGTGACCTTATTTGGAAAAAAGCTCTTTGCAGATGAAGTTAAGGAACTTGAGATGAGACCATCCTGGTATATTTAAATAGGCCCTAAATCCAGTGAGAAGTGTACCCACAACAGAGAAGACACAGACACAAAGAGGGTGAGGTGCTGGAAGCCCCATGCAGAAAGTAGAGTGATGTGGCCAAGATCCAAGGAAGTCCAGAAATGCCAAGAGCCCCCAGAAGCTGTAGGATGCAGGAAAGGATTGTTCTCTAGAGCTTCCAGGGGAATGTGGACCTCACAACTTGACTTCTGGCCTTCAGAATTTCTATTGTTTCAAGCCACCATGTTTGTAGGAATCTGTGACAGAAGCCACAAGAAAACAGTACAAACTTCTACTCCCCCCACTACCAAGGGATTTTTTTGAAACAAATTCCAGACAGCATATCATTTCTTCTGTACATACTACTGTTTATCTCTAGAAAGGAAGAACTACCTGTTGAAACATAATCACACTATTCTCTTATCATATTAAAATTCTATAATTCCTTAGTTTCATCAAAGCTTCAGCATTCTAGTTCATGTAAGTGTCCCATACCCGTAATCACAGCACAGGGGAGCAGACACAGTGGCCCTCAGGTGTTCTTAGAGGCTCACTGGGGCTCTGAGGAGGGCACAGAGGACAGCCCAATGCTCCGGAGAAGCAATAGGGTAGATTTAATTGTGATCACTGGGAAGGAGCTTGCCAGGCAGGGCTAGCAAATGCACCCAGGCAGGAAGGCAAGAGGCTCCACCATGCTCAGAGGGTTGATTGGGCTGGAGATCAAGGAGTGAGGACGGGTGTGAGGATACCTTCTATATGCAGTCAGGACTCACTGCAGAATTCTGTGATTTTTTTTTCCAATTTGTATTTTAGAAAAGCTATGCTGGTTGTAAGTGGAGAAGAGACTAGAGCAAAGTGAAGCTGCAGGTAGGAAGCCTGTGTCTGTCTGCTCCCTCAACCACCTCTGCCAACTGTGGGGAAGCTCATTCTAACAGGAGAGCTCAAATTGCAGAAGCCCAGGTGTCCGAGGGGAGATTAACACTATAGGCCCAGTATGTGGGTGGAGCTAGAAAGCACTCCTCATCTAAGAACTCTGGCACAATGACACACCACGGAAAAATGATTTTGCATATAGTAGTTACTTATATGTAATTCAAATATACCATCTGTATCTTGGCAGCCCAGGCCTGAGTGGCACTGAGGGAACTGAGGGAATGTTCATGACGGTGGCCCCCACAGAGCCTTAAGGAGCAGAGTGAGGATGAGCCAGGAGCACATGCACTGTAAGGGACAACAGGGTGGCCTGAGAGCAGAGGGTGGGTCTGTTTGCTCTTCAATATTTCCTCACCTCCTAGAAAACTGAGGAATCCACAGCAGACAGAATCATTGTTTTGAAAATACAGGAGAAAGAACGCTTTTATCTGAAACAAAATGACTGTCCAGGAAAAGAAGAAAATGTCTTTATGCCATTACCCAGAATGGTAACTCTTCTCCTGTGCATACCTGAAAATGTCAGGAGCGCATTTCTACATTGACATTTTAATAGATTGTATGACAAATGTTACAGGATAATTCTTGGTAAAAGTCAAACCATATAACCTACATTTCCCATTTTTACTAAATTTTTAATTTCAAGAAAGAGGTTAGGAGGAGATTAGAAATCTGAATTCATATCAGATCCTAATGAAAAGGCTTAAATTTTAACTAAGTTAGCAAATAGGAGTTTTTATTATTTAATTAGCATATAATTGGAAAGGGTTCATTAGCTTTACAACAGGCACAATCAACACTTAAGTAAAGCACTTCATTGTTGCAAAACTTTAGAATATTGGTCTTGCATGTTCTTAGCCTCCATGGCTGCTTTATTAAAACCTGAAAATCTTTCTGGCTTCTTCTAAAGCTTTTGCATCTGCGGGAGGCTTCCTTGGGCTGCCAGGCTGTAGAAACTTCTTCACCGTGGGCAGGTTGCTGATTCTGGTTTTCAGGGCCTGTAATTCACAAAGCACAGCCTCAGAGTGAAGCCAAGGTCTGCCACCACCATTAATACCACCCAGGGAATTTGACCCCTCCTGCCAGAGACCAAGTGAGTCCCCTCCATCAGCACCAGCATGGAGGCAGAAACAGACACCCAGTGATAAATGAAGATAAGAGGAAGAACATGTAGCTCACTTTATTTTCCGCAAAGATGTCTTAAAGTTTTAATCAATTCAGTCATCCCTATCTTTCTCCTTACATATCAATCCTGTAGATTAGTGACTCTTGTATAAGACAAGAAAAAATAATGTGCCTGTGAGATATCAACACAGGTCAGTCTCTAAGCAGAAGTGAAAATATGGAGAAATGAGTTGGAAAGGAAAATGTTATAGAAAATATTAAAGTCAAACCATGGGACCACGTTTTCTCAGTGAGAGATACAGGGTTGGGGGCAGTGTGTTGGGTGTGCTGTGCACAGAGGAACACAACTATCTGACAGCTCCTGCTGCCCACCCTGGCCAGAGCCTAAGGAAGGAACCAGATGGAAAGGGCCCTGCTCAGACCAATTCAGTGTGGGAACACAAGGACAGTCTTGGGATAAAGGGAATCACAGAACTCAGGAACAGACCACAGAGGAATGGGGGAGGAAGGAAGATGCTGGGCCCTGGGTCCTTTCCGTGATAAAAGGCAAAATACTTTTCATGGGGTAGCATGACCACAAATTTCCTTTCCAGAACAAGAGTCTTTTCATGCCTCAAAATTGGGGTCTGGAAGCTCATTTTGGAGACCTGGGGGTACTGAAGGCCTGAAAAAGGCTGGGGTCAGAACATGGCCAGTCCAAGGGCCCAGATACTAGATCCCAAGATGGGACATGTGGGGCTGTCTCTCTGAGGGCTGTGAAATGGGTCACCTTCAGCAGAGGGAAGTTGGAGATAAGGCTGGAGTCAAGCTCTTCCACATAGTAGAGAAGTTCCACCAGGCTAATGTCAGCCCGGCTCAGCTTGTTGCCAACAAGGTAGTCTTGTCCATGGCTCTGTAACACCTGGAGAATTTGAGGAATCAGATCAGGAATACATGCGCACCCAGGATGGGACCCCTGCTTCTCCCTGAGTCTTTCCAGCCTGACATTCCCACCTGTGTTGCCTAACTGGATGGTGTGAAGGTCCAGGCCTTTGTTTATGTTCCCTGATTGAGTGAGGGAGCAAGAATGTGGCTCTGCTCACTCCTCAGTTGGAGCTCAGGCTCCCATTTTCTCTTCTCATTCCACATCACTGTGGCATCCACACCATCCACCTGCTTGCATTTTCCACATGGGCCAGGGGTTTAGCACCTGCTACTGCATGTTCTGTCTGCCCCAGGCCCTACAGCGTGTAGCCTTGACATTCAGGATGTGGCTCTACAATCTGCTCTCTCCCTCTCCAATCTCCCTTGGGCAGTGACTCCACCTTCATGACAGCACTCTTCCTCCAGGAGTAGACTATTTCAGAGTCTTCATTTCTCCATATGTTCCATAGACTCAACAGCAACCTCTAGTGTGATTCAGAGCCTTCCACAGCCCACGTTCTACTTAAAAACATAAAATTTTGTTGAATAGAGAATTCTATATTGGGGTCTAGTAAATTGAAATTTTGCTGGAAAATTATAACTTGGGTATAAGTGGTATCATTGTTCCTCCAAGTCTATCTTCATAAAATGCCTTGTCTGCTTTCCTCATTTCCTGTTCTATCTCCCTGGGATCTGAAGTAAACCTGGGTTGTTATATATAAAGTTTCAGTGACGCAAAAAGAATAGTACTTGAATATAAAATTTTCTTTTTAATTCTCAGCAAGGCAAGGTACTTCTATATAGAAGGGTGCGCTCTCACAGATGGAACAACGGTGAGCGCACACTTGGACAAAGGAGGGGAAGGGTTTCTTATCCCTGACGCACGTGGCCCCTGCTGCTGTGTCTTTCCCCCTGCTGCTGTGTCGTTCCCCTATTGGCTAGGGTTAGACTGCACTGGCTAAACTAATTCTGATTGGCTAATTTAAAGAGAATGACGGGGTGAGTGCTTTGGCAGGAGTCAGGGCAGAGCAGGTAGCCGGCAATCGGAATGAGTTAGGAGGAGAAGGTAATCGGAATGAGTTTGGGTAGAGCAGGTAATCAGAATGAGTCAGGGTAGAGCAGGTAATCGGAATGAGTTAGGGTAGAGCAGGTAATCGGAATGGGTCAGGGTGGAGCAGGTGATCGGAATGAGTTAGGGTGGAGCAGGTGATCGGAATGAGTCAGGGTGGAGTAGGTAATCGAAAAAGATTGCTTTACGAGGTAGTTAAGTTTAAAAGTAGAAGGCAAAAAATTGAATATACTGACATGTTAATTCTTTGAAAAGAAATTTAGAACTCCTATCTAACAGGGTGAACTTGAATTCATCATCTTTCTTGCAATATCGGCTCTGACTCCTAACCTGCGCTGTTATAATCTGCAAGCTGAAGTGTCTAGGAGTGAACTGCACTGACGTCTGCAACTTACTTTAAAATGAGTTTTAAAAAATCTTCCTCTCCACCCCACTGTCACTATCCTTTTAAGAAATATCCATCTCTGAAACACTACAATATTCTCTGGTTGGGAAATTGGTCTCCTGTCTTCCTACACATGGTGCCAGAATAGTTTCTAATGGATCGCTTTCATCATGTTCATCTTCAGACAAAGCCTGTGTTCCACAGACTCAACAGCAACCTCTAGTGTGGTTCAGAGCCTTCCACAGCCCATGTTCTACTTATGAACATAAAATTGTTGAATAGAGAATTCTATACTGGGGTCTAGTAAATTGAAATTTTGCTGGAAAATTATAACTTGGGGATAAGTGGTATCACTGTTCCTCTAAGTCAATTTTCATAAAATGCCTTGAGAGTCAGAGAGCTGAATTGGTGTTCAGGAAGTCTCACTGAAAGTGAAGGTCAGTGCCCCAGGAATGCCCAGCCACTATTTTTCTACTGGCCTCTAAACTCAGTGCCCCAAAATGCTGAACAGCTTCACCTACTTTTTCGAAGGCAGGGAAATAGCGACTTTTTGTTTTCTCTTTGATCAAGGCAATCTTGGCATCTTTTTCCTCAGGTCGACATAAGGGCAGAAGAAGGATCATTTCATTCAAATCTGCCATACCTTCTGTATACATATCAATTCTGAAAGACAAAAACAGCCAAAGCATCAAATGCCTCTTGCCTTAGATTTTGTAGGTTTATAAAAACCTAAGAGAATAGAGGGTCAGATGGTGGTAAGGTAATTCATCTCCATTGGGTGCCTTTTATATTCTAGTCATTATGCTCTGATTTTTGCATGTATGTTGACGTTTCCTTCTTTCTTTCTTTTTCTTTTTTTTTTTTTTTTGAGATGGAGTTTCCCTCATTCTCCCAAGCCAGAGTGAGGTTATACAATCTTGGCTCACTGCCACCTTCGCCTCCAGGGTTCAAGTGATTCTCCTGCCTCAGCCTCCAGAGTAGCTGGGATTACAGACGCCTGCCAATATGCCCAGATAATTTTTGTATTTTTAGTAGAGATAGGATTTCTCCATGTTGGCCAGGCTGGTCTCAAACCCCTGACCTCACGTGATCCACCCGCCTTGGCCTCCCAAAGTGCTAGGATATAGGGGTGAGCCACCATGCCTGGCTGCCTTTTATTTCTTAAAACAACTTATCGAGGTAGATATATCTCTAAAATCTTTGTTATGCACATGACCAAATACAGGTACAAAGAGCATCGGTGACCTGTCTACAGTCACAGTCATGAGAGAAATTGGTGGAATCACTGCCAGTACCCACCGATGCTGTGCCAGGATTTATCATCTCCATTGTGGTTTGTTCTGTGCATAAACTTCGTGTGAGTCAAATGGCCAAAGACTTTTCTCCTAAGTAATCCCAAGAGAGTCCCTGGCACAGCCATCTCAGTCATGTTCCTTGTCCTGTCTCATCATTTACATCTCCCAGGCCCACTTCTATGCCCAATATTAGCAGTTTTTCCAATTACTCCCATGAAACATAATTCTACAGCCCTATCCATGTGCTATTGCCCAACTCTAGCCATGTGTGCCTTACTTGAGACCCCACCTAAAAGATCCCCTTCCTTGGTGAAATTCTATACACAGTTACAACCAGGACATATTTTAGGAAACCTTTTTTTCTTTTGTGTTTAATTAGGTTTTCCACAGTACTTTTTAAAACAACAGTTTCATTGATGTATAGTCACACATTATCGTTGTCACCCATTAAATTATAGTATTCAGTCACTTTTAGTACATTTACAGAATTCTGCAAATATCATCACACTCTAATTCTAGAATATTTTTATCACCCTGATAAGGACATCTGTACCCATTGAGTATTCATTTTCCCCAAACCCCAAACCTTTTAGCTTCAGGCAACCACTAGTCTACTTGCTGCCTCTATGGGTTTGAATATTCTAGACATTTCATACACACAATCCTACAATATGTGGACTTCTGTGCCTAATTTCTTTTACATAACATGTCTTTAAGGTTCAACTTTCTTGTAGCATGCATCAGTACTTCATTTCTTTTCATGAGTAAATATTGTTCCATTGCATGGCTAAGGCACACTTTGTTCCTCCATTTATTGGTTGATGGATATTTGGGTTATTTCTACGTTTTGAATACCATGAAAATTGCCGTTATTTGCACTGTACGTTTATGTACAAGATTTGGTGTGGAAGTATTTTGATTCTTTTGGTATATACCTAGTAGAGGAATTGCTGGGTCATTGGTAACTCTACACTAAACTTTTTGAAGAACTGCCAACAGTTTCACATAGGATGTTATTTAGAATCAGGCAGCCCTATTGCAACAGTGAGGAGACCCCATGGCTTTGCTGGTATTCGATAAATCTAGCTGCTTCAGCCTTGAATCCATGTTTCCAGGCAACCCCAGAGTTCTGGGTGCCAGCCTCTACTAGCCCTGCTCAAGTTGACCAGTCCATATAATTGGCTGGTAACTTGGGTTCCTGGGCATCATTCTTGGAATTACTGGGACCTGAGATTCAGCTTCTTTGCAGTCTTCCCTCCCCAGGCCTTCATCTACAGACTCTCAAACATTCTATGCCTGTCCTAAGCTGTTGGCTGGAGTCCAGCCTCTGAAGGCTTGAGCACCTGGAATCATTATTCCCCATCCTCCTGAGTTCATGGTTCATCAGTGTTTGGAAACCTCTGTCAGGGTGCTGGATCCATGGAATGCATCCTCTTCTAGAATCACACTCACCTGAACCCTCCTCACGTTCACTGTTTCCTCATCCCCATGGGACTCTGCAATACTGGACCTCAGTATACACGCCCAAGGCCCAGCCTGCTCCTGGTCATGATGCCCTGTCATGGTCTCACCCACTCAAGGAAGGACCTAAATCACTCTGTGTTCTCTGTGGATGGAAGAACACAAAATATACCGTACAGGGCTCTCTCCTTTATGTCTTTCCCGTAGAGGTTGTATTTGCTGGCAATGTAGTTGAGAATGGCTCTGGTCTGTACCAACTTCATCCCATCAATCTCAACCATTGGTACTTGCTGGAACATCAAACTCCCATCTTTAGAAAGAAGGAAAAAAAAGGAACATGAAATTTCTATGAATCCCACTATTTCAGGAAGAAAAATGATGGTTGAAATGACTGAGGTTATAAAATGAAAAAGAAATTATTGCCTGCTAACCTCAAAAACGAAATAGTATTTTGATTTTAGCTGCCTGTAGTTCTTTTTCTGACCTGATTCCTTTGACCTTTTAGCCTGTTATTTCATTTATGTTTTTATTCCCCATCCAGGTACATAGTAGGTCCCTTGTATTTTACTTGCGTTGATTTATCGTCATGATATTTTAGGAAAAAGCTGAGACAGGTTACAACGGGAGTGCCAGAGAGATGTCACTTAAAATGAGAACTTCTCAGGGTAAGTCTCATGGTGTTCATGGCCTTTAAAGTAGGTTCTGAGACACAATTTTATGCAGAGGTCCCTTTCTGTGTTCTTCCAAGCCTACAGTATTACTACAATATGACCTTATCACATGACCCATGAAAGAAAACAACTCAAGGTAATGGCCACATCTATTTCTATTCTTTTCGTCTTATTCATGTTCTTGTGTGTCCTTGGATGGGGAAGGCTGTGTGGGATCCTGAGCTGATGACCTCAGCTCATTCACGGTGCCCCAAGCATGAAAACAAGGAAAGGGCATTCTCAGGGCACTGGGGATGGTTCCTCTAGCAGATACTCTGAGAGGTCTGGCCTTTTAGCCTGGAGATAGTTGCCAGACCTGTTCAGGGAGCCACATCCCTTCCACTTTAACCACCTTCTCCCTCTCCACCACCACAGCTACCACCCCACACACACATAGGCATCGCCTGGTGTTAAAATCTTCAACTGTGGCCGGGCACGGTGGCTCACACCTGTAATCCCAGCACTTTGGGAGGCCGAGGCGGGCGGATCACGAGGTCAGGAGATCGAGACCATCCTGGCTAACACGATGAAACCCCGTCTCTACTAAAAATACAAAAAAAAAAAAAAAACTAGCCTGGTGTGGTGTCTGGCGCCTGTAGTCCCAGCTACTCGGGAGGCTGAGGCAGGAGAATGGCATGAACCTGGGAGGCGGAGCTTGCAGTAAGCCGAGATCATGCCACTGCACTCCAGCCTGGGCAACACAGCGAGACTCCGTCAAAAAAAAAAAAAAATCAATCTTCAGCGGTACCTTCTCTACTAGATACCCTCATCAGAGGCACTTAGAGACTTGATCTTACCATTTCTTAACTTTCCCAAATCTTCTGCAGATCCTATAAATTTCTCTTCAAACTGGAAGCAGAAACAGTAAATGGGTTCTTGTTAGTTCGTTCCATAGCATTACAGACTTGTGACCTTGAATGGCCTCCATCTGGTACATAATTTGGAGAACATAAGATTTCTGAGTTTGGCAGGGGACACAGAAGAAGCTGGTCATGGCCGCTTGGAAATTTAGATTTTATCCCTCAAGAAACAGGCATGGGTCAGACCATGCTCATGCTCATGGGTCTGACAATGGGTCAGAACTGCTCAATCTTCTTTTTTATTTTATTTATTTATTTATTTTTTTGAGACAGAGTCTCACTTTGTCGCCCAGGCTTAAGTACAGTGGTATGATCATGGCTCATTGCAGCCTTGATCTACCAGGCCCAAGTGACCCTCCCACCTCAGCCACCTGAGTAGCTGGGACTATAGGCATGCACCATCACATCCAGCTAATTTTTTATTTCTATTTTGTAGTGCTGGGGTCTCGCTGTGTTGCCTAGACTCATCTTGAACTCCTGGGCTCAAGCAATCCTCCCCTATCGGCCTCCCAAAGTGCTGGGATTAAAGGTGTGACCCACTGCTCCTGGCCTGCTCCGTCTTTTACTTCACCTCCCCACGATCTCACAAATGTCCATGATTAGGGAGGGAACGTCACTGGAGGAAAGGCACTGAGCTGCAGAGCTGATGTCTGGGTGACAATGAAACAGGGTATTCATTTGTACACAGAAAACAACCTGGAATGGAAGTGTGTGGATTTCTTGTGTGCTTATTTCCTCATAGGTTTGAGAAAGGTGAGTCCCAAGCCCTCGTGAAGCATTGGAGAAAGTGCCGCCCCGAGGTTCAGGTCCACACAGCGCTGTGAGGCTGAAGGGGCGCGCTAGAAGTTCCTTTCACAGGACGCCACCTCACCTGAAACCCTCCTTTTCTGCTGACACCCGAGGGACAAGATCTTCTGAGTTTTTCCATTACTTACTCTGGAGGAAAACCCTCAGGCAGTTAGTTACTGAGGGACTCTGGTCTGGACTGGGAAGTGTTTTTCTCAGTGACACCTCTAGAAGGCAGCACTTAGCGGAGTCCCACAGACACCTCCCAGCATTTCCTGCTCAAACACTGGGAGGATGGCCTGGTAACACTGGGGAATGCCTGGGTGTTCTAGAAGCCCCCACCCCTGATTTTAACCACGTGTTTTCTTATCTGAGTCCTTGTAGACATGTATGTAGTCTGCCTTAGGGCAGGAATTGTGTCTACCTTGTTCACTGCCAATCCTCAGGACAGAACCTGGCACTTAATAGGTGCACAACAAAATAACCACTGGCTGAATATACTCAGTATTTAACAGGCAGTTTGTCACAATCCACTCCCTCCCTGACCTCATTGTGGTTTATAGTTTATGTTTAATGACATTTAGTTTCCATGTACTTAGCATTTTATTGTATAAATTTCTCATATATATAAAAAATACACATAAAATACAATGGTCCTCTTTGTTTCAATCATCTAGCTGCAGTAATCACCAACCCAAGCCTGTCTTTCATTTGTATGCCCAGCTTCTCTCCTCCTCTGTCATAATATGAAACAAATCTGAGGTATCATATTATCTCATCCTAAATACTTCAGTGTGTATCTCTGAAACATAACAGAAACATCATACCTAACATCACAAAATGACACTAAAAAATTTAACAGTAATTCTTTAATATTATCTAACATTCAATCAATATTCAGGTTTCTAATTTTTATGTGTCATAAGTTATATTTTATAGTTTGTTTAAATCCTAATGCAAATAAGGTCCACTCATTGTGATTAGTTAATTCTTTTCAAAATATATTTTAATTGTTCATGTGTTCTTTTTCATGTGCTCTTTAATGGACAGATTTTTAAATTTTCATTTGGTAAAATTTGTCCATTTTAAAAAAATAACTGGGGATGCTTTTATTTGAGGCCAAAATATTCACAGGTCATCTAGTATGGAAGTCTCTTGGCTTACTAAAATATTTTGATACAGTCAATTAGGTCCAACTTAAGATGACCTAACTTAGAACATACCTCCACTCCAGCTGCAGCCAAGAGCCACCGGATGGGCTCCATTCTGCCCCGTCCATTGAAGTAGTGAAGCTTGGGCTTCCCTGCCATGGTAACAGTCTCTTGGTTTCTCTAAAATGAATGAATGAATGCATGAATGGATGAATGAATGAGTCTAGAGAAGCAAAATGCACGCTAGTATATGAATGGTTGAACAACAGGAGTGTCTTCCTTCCTCATAGCAGGATTGTTTCCACCTCTGAATTCTGTTTGCACTAGACAGGTCCAACACCAATGTGACTTCACAGGGTCCCTCTGAGATTCTGAGGCTTTCCTGTGTAAGACCTTTGTTTTCATTTATTTATTTTTATGTTGGTAATTATTCCAGGCACTACTGACTTGCATTATGTTCCAACCTAGTTGGTGACTTCATGTGCCTTATAAAAACTATATGTTCTATTGATATATCTAGTTCTCCCCTCAAGAGTTCCCAAATTATTGAGCTAGAAGGGATCTAGCTAGCCCTTCCTCCAGGTTTGTAATGAATATGTTGAACCCCAAAGAAAGTATGTGCAATTTGCCAACTAGCTAGTTAGTGTCAAAGTCTGGATTAGAACCTAGGTCTTCTGACATTCAGACTAGTTTCTTCCTGTTATGCCTCATTATTGACTATTTACAGCCTGCAGACGTTACCATTTTTAGCTACCAATGACTTTCTTCACAGAATTGGAAAAAACTTCTTTAAAGTTCATATGGAACAAAAAAGAGCCCGCATCATCAAGTCAATCCTAAGCCAAAAGAACAAAGCTGGAGGCATCACACTATCTCACTTCAAACTATACTACAAGGCTACAGTAACCAAAACAGCATGGTACTGGTACCAAAACAGAGATATAGATCAATGGAACAGAACAGAGCCCTTAGAAATAACGCCGCATATCTACAACTATCTGATCTTTGACAAACCTGACAAAAACAAGCAATGGGGAAAGGATTCCCTATTTAATAAATGGTGCTGGGAAAACTGGCTAGCCATATGTAGAAAGCTGAAACTGGATCCCTTCCTTACACCTTATACAAAAATCAATTCAAGATGGATTAAAGACTTAAACGTTAGACCTAAAACCATAAAAACCCTAGAAGAAAACCTAGGCAATACCACTCAGGACATAGGCATGGGCAAGGACTTCATGTCTAAAACACCAAAAGCAATGGCAACAAAAGCCAAAATTGACAAATGGGATCTAATTAAACTAAAGAGCTTCTGCACAGCAAAAGAAACTACCATCAGAGTGAACAGGCAACCTACAAAATGGGAGAAAATTTTCGCAACCTACTTATCTGACAAAAGGCTAATATCCAGAATCTACAATGAACTCAAACAAATTTACAAGAAAAAAACAAACAACCCCATCAAAAAGTGGGCGAAGGACATGAACAGACACTTCTCAAAAGAAGACATTTATGCAGCCATTAAGAGCATTTATGACATGAAAAAATGCTCACCATCACTGGCCATCAGAGAAATGCAAATCAAAACCACAATGAGATACCATCTCACACCAGTTAGAATGGCAATCATTAAAAAGTCAGGAAACAACAGGTGCTGGAGAGGATGTGGAGAAATAGGAACACTTTTACACTGTTGGTGGGACTGTAAACTAGTTCAACCATTGTGGAAGTCAGTGTGGCGATTCCTCAGGGATCTAGAACTAGAAATACCATTTGACCCAGCCATCCCATTACTGGGTATATACCGAAAGGACTATAAATCATGCTGCTATAAAGACACATGCACACGTATGTTTATTGTGGCACTATTCACAATAGCAAAGACTTGGAACCAACCCAAATGTCCAACAATGACAGACTGGATTAAGAAAATGTGGCACATATACACCATGGAATACTATGCAGCCATAAAAAATGATGAGTTCATGTCCTTTGTAGGGACATGGATGAAGCTGGAAACTATCATTCTCAGCAAACTATCGCAAGGACAAAAAAACCAAACACCGCATGTTCTCACTCATAGGTGGGAATTGAACAATGAGAACACTTGGACACAGGAAGGGGAATATCACACTCTGGGGACTGTTGTGGGGTGGGGGGAGGGGGGAGGGATAGCATTGGGAGATATACCTAGTGCTGGATGATGAGTTGGTGGGTGCAGCACACCAGCATGGCACATGTATGCATATGTAACGAACCTGCACATTGTGCACATGTACCCTACAACTTAAAGTATAATAATAATAAATAAATAAATTAAAAAAAAAAGAAGTTACCATTTTTATGTCCCCCACCCCTCAAACTGTGAGCTCCCGGGAAGCAGAGAAGTTGTCATAGTCTTTAAGCACAGTGTAGTGCATTGCTCAAAGTTCAGTCCGTGCTTTATAGGATATAACATGGCTAGATATCTCAAGAGCAATCTTTTTTTTTTTTTTTTTGCCATTTGCCTATAGCGCTCACTGTTTTAGACTACAGTAGCATAGAGTAATTAAAAAACAAACTAGGGCTGGGCATGGTGGCTCATACTTATAATCCCAGCACTTCGGAAGGCTGAGGAGGGAAGATTGCTTGAGCTCAGGAGTTCAGGACTGGCCTGGGCAATTAAATAAAGTCTCTATTTAAAAAAAAAATTAGCCAGGATTGGTGTCCCACACCTGTAGTCCCAGATACCCAGGAGGCTGAGGCAGGAAGATCACTTGAGCCCAAGATGTTAAGGCTGCAGTGAAACATGGCCACATCACTGCATTCCAGCCTGGGTGACAGAATGAGACTGTCTCAAAACAAACAAAAAGCATGAAAAAAGCCAAGCTAGGATTATGGCAATAAAATAACCAATCCTAATTATGAAACCCACCAATCTGCTGTTTAAAAAGAATTATCAAAGCAACCAAACTCTCCCACATAGTAGAAACATCGTGACTACACAAAAAATATTTTTTTTTAATTGGATAAGTGCTTTGGCAGGGTAGCCCAGGGTAATATTTCATTTGGCAAATAGAAAGAACTTGCATATAGAAGGAATGTGCATGTTCTGTTGGACAGGGAATATAACAGCTTAAGAGGGGGTTATTATTATTCTTAGATCTACTTGCCTACTACCCTAAAAGTCCTATATATTTAGATTCACTTGCAATTTTGAGACTTTAAACCCTGCTCACCCTTTGGTCCCAGATACTTCGAACAAGAAGGAGGAGGAGGAAGAAGAGGCAGAAGAGGAAAAAGAGGAGGAGGAAGAAGAAAGAGGGCAAAGAGAACAAAGAGAAGGAGGGAAGAAGGAGGAGAAGAAGAAGGAAAAATAGCATGCTGCTTGGTGCTCAATCACAAAGTCACTTATATAAGCAGTAAACTAATCTGTGTAAAATCAATGATGGAAGTGTAAATTTAGATCCTGATTGTCAAGCATTGGTGATTGGTTTCCCATTTGGAAGTGCCAGCTCTAGAGGAATACGACCATCCAGATGTATTTTCTTTTCATTGATCAAGTGGTGCTCCCAAATGTGTGACCCTGCCAGCTTTAAATCTAGTATAATTGTGTGTTGACTCCTGTGAATCACAGGAATGAATCACACGAATACATGTTTTTAATAAACAGCTTTTCCATAAGCAACCTTTGGCATGTGGCCTGGCACTGATGTGGTTGTATTTTCAGATTGCCCACAATGATACCACTCTTACTTTTCTCATATCATCAAATTCTTTGCCCTTGTTTTCTAAATTGTTGAATATTATTTTTCTTTACCGACCTGTCCTTCAGGAACTAACAAACAATGCTTAAATTGTCTCCTAAGCACACAGAAAAACAGCAAGAACATAAAGTACTCACACAAACTAACACATTTAAATTTGTTTTTCTTAGTGAAGTAGACATGAGAACATTTATGAAGATGTTTAAGGTCAATACTAACTTGAGTAAAGTCTAGCCGGTCTCCGCTCAGCTTCTCAAGGCCACCTCCTGATGTGTATGTTAGCTGTTTTAATACTATGACAACTCCTGCCTTCTGAAGGGGGTGGAGTCTAGTTGGGAGCAGCCACTCCCACACCACTTTAGTCTCCAGAGTTCCATGATCTGCTAGGAAGAAAATGACAGCAATTAATTTCAAGGCTATCCATAAATGCACAAAAAGATTTCATATCTATTTGGCTGCCTCAGAAGGTCACTGGGGACCAAGTATCCTGTGAACACTGCTTAAGGAGGATCTTGTTAAATAGGCTGCAGATTTATGACAGATGAGAAAACATTGTGGGGAGAGGAGGAAAGTGTCATAGGAGAGTCATAGGAGATGTCAGGAAAGGGGACTTGATAAAGAGCATAGGGAGATTGCCTTCTAAATTTGTTTAAAAAGACTAAATTACAAATAATGTCACAAAATTTTATAGGCCCAAAGAATCTGGCTGAGTTGTCCTTGCCCTGGGCAGACAAAAGACCTCAGCTGCATTCCCCGAGGTCATTTGCAGATTTTTCTCTGTGACTTACCAGTTAGCCTTTCTCCCTAGCCCAAGGCTCTGCATGCTGTTTCTCCTATTTGGAGCACTCTTTTCTCCCCTGCTCCAAGGCATCCTGTGCTTCCTCTATCACATCACTCTTTCTACATTCCGTGCATCATGTCTGCTTTCCCCCTGTTGAGTATGAGCTCCTTGAGGCAGGGCCTCAAGTCCTGGTGGTTAACCAAGTCCCCGTGGCTAACCACAGTGCCTGGACATAGAAAGGGCTTAATACACGTATATGTAATTTCTACTTTTCTAAAGGAAATTGTCTGATATACATAAATCTGGAAAGAACACTACAAAGCCTTGATGTACCCATCACCTTGCTTCAAAAATTATTGACAATATTTGAAGCAAATCTCAGACTTAGTTTTTTTCCTCTATAATCTAATCTGTATCTTTTAAACTTGTGGGTGGGGGAGTTATTTATGTAACAGAAAAATTGCAAAACTAGTACAAGTTTCCCAAATACCCCTCACCCAGCATCCGCTAATGTTAACATCTTATGTAACCATAGTACAATGATTGAATCCAGGAATTTAATGTTGATACACTATTGACTAAACTCCAGGCCTTACTTGAATTTCACCAGTTTTTCAATCAGTATCTTTTTTCTAACCCAGGATCCCATCCAGGACCCCAGCACTGCATTTCGTTGTCACATCTCCTTAGTTACCTCCAAACTATGGCAGTTCCTCAGTCTTTTCTTGTCTTTCATGATGGTGGCATTTTTGAAGAGTAATGGTCAATTATTTTGTGGAATGTACCTCAATTTGGGTCTATCTGATGTTTTCTCATGACTCGATTGACGACATACATTTTTTGCAAAATGTCACAGCAGTTGTTCCAGTCTCAGCTGATCATTTCCACCCATAATTTCATATCCGAGACATGGTATGTCTTATTAATTTTGATCTTAACCTTAATCCCTTGATTAAAGTAGCGTCTGCCAGGTTCATCAACCGTAATATTACTATTTATCCCTTTGGAATTCATAAATATCTTGTGGAAGATACTTTGTGACTATAAAAATAGTCAGTTTCAAAATAAGCTTCTGCTCACTAACTTTAGCATCCATTATGGATCTTGCCTGCAGCAAATATTACTGTAGTGTTTGTCTAATAGTGACTTTCTATTTCCCTCATTCCATCTACATTTAATAATTCGAATTCTTCTGTAAAGAAAAGCTGTCTCTTCTCCTTTATTTATCCTTCCATTCATTCAATTATTTTCTTAGTACAGATTTATAGATATTTTATTCTAAAGGTTACAATCTAATACCATCGATATCTATTTTATTGCTCAAATTGATCCACCTTTAGCCTGTGGGAGCTCCTTCAGATTGGCTTCTGTGTCTTTTATGGCAAACCTCCTCTCTTATTGTGAGCATTTCCAGATACTTTCTGTGCCAAAGATGTTCCAGGCTTATCTTGTCTTGTCTGTGTCCCAGCCTTGAAGTCAACCATTTCTCCAAAGATCCTTGTTTCCTTTTATTGGGGAAGGTATTTGAAAACTAGGATCTCGGAACTATGTGTACTCATTGCTTCTGGGTTTTCAATGCTTCTAGGCTCTCCCCAGTGGGAAATATATGTATGTATATTAACCCACACATACATACACTTCTGTATGTATTTATATAGCTATCTGTATAAATATGATAAAAAACCATGAGTTCATACAGATACCTACTATTTCAATTCAATAGATTCATTTAGCCGTGTCCTTTCATTTCTAACCTCTCTGACAAGTGAGAAACCTGGCTATGATTATCTAAAATATACAATATTTGCATATTTGTTTAATCCTAGTACAAGTAAAATAGTTGCAGAATTGCCAATGCATACCTCTGTGAAAAACAAATCTACTAACAAGAGTACAGTATTTTTCTTTCCTTCTTTTTTTTTTTTTTTTTTTTTTGGTCTTAAGCCTTACAATATCCAGTCAAAATTGTGGTTTTCTGTGGTTATTTAGGTCAGTTCTTTTCCCCCCCACCTCCTTCAGTTTGGTAATCTATTCATTTGAAATGCTGTTAGGTTGTTAGTGTTTGTATATTCCACTTTGCGGTTTCCTTACATCCTGGTTGGTTTTAATTAATTACTTAGTTTTCTGGTATGCAAAACTTTACCATGATTCTAAGAGCCAGAGTTATATGAAAAAGTGTCTTTGGAGACACTGTCTCTCTCTGTCCCTAATTCCCATTCCTAGTCCCTCTTTTTCCCACCCATTTCTCACTCATCCCCCTGTAGACAACAAATCTCACTAATTTCTAACTTTCCCCTTTTGTTTTTCTTTTGCTCAAGTACATATTTCCTTACAACCCCTTCTTTCTTACATAAAGGGCAGCATACCATAATACTTTTTTGCTCTTTGTTTTGTGTGGTTGTTGGTTCCCCCACCCTTCACTTAATGATAGGTCCTAGAAATCACCACCATCTAAGTTCATAGATGTCTTCCTTTATTTGCTACAGCTGCAAAATACTCCATCGTATGAATGCATCATAGTTTATGCAAGCACTCTTTATTTATTTATTCATTTTTTTGAGACAAAGTCTCACTCTGTCACCCAGGCTGGAGTCCAGTGGCATGACCTCGGCTGTCGGCAACCTCTGCCTCCCAGATTCAAGTGATTCTTCTGCCTCAGCCTCCCAAGTAGCTGGGACTATGGACTACAGGTGCGCACCACCACGTCTGGCTAATTTTTGTATTTTTATTAGAGACAGAGTTTCACCATATTTGGCCAGGCTGGTCTTGAACACCTGACCGCATGATCGGCCCACCTCGGCCCCCCAAAGTGCTGGGATTACAGATGTGAGCCACCATGCCTGGCCTGCAAGCACTCTTGTATGTGTGGACATTTAGGTTGTTTCTAATGTTTTGGAATTACAAACAATGCTGCAATGAATAACACTGCATATGCATTTTAGTATTGCTGGAGGTATACTTTAGTATGTTTCTTTAAAATGTAAGTGCTTTTTTTCTGGACATCACCATTCTATTCTAACACTAAAAATTTATGTTTCTTAATTTTGTCAAATAACTGCATGCACACTTCCTCAATTGTCTCATAAAAATTTCTTTGCCATTGGTTTATTTTTGTCAGGACCCACGAAGTCCATACATAGAATTTGAGGGACATTTGTCAGTATGTTTTGCAGAAATGGATGAGATACAGAGTAGGGCAGAGGGTGTGGGGATTTGTGAGATCTCAAAGCCCAGCCTCATATCCTCAGTTCCTCAAAATATGCGTGGAGCTGTGCAGGTGTTATTGTTCATTGGTGGTGCAGGAATGGGGATCCAGCAGGCCATGCCCCACACCAGGAGGTCACAGGACTATTGTGCAGACACAGTGTCCCTCAGGTGTTATTAGAGGCTCACCAGGACTCTGGGAGGGCACAGAGGAGAGGCCAAAGCTCCCAGAAAGCAATGAGATAGGAGTTAGATGTGGCCAGTGGGAAGGAGCTTGCCAGGTAGGGCTAGCAAATGCACCCAGGCAGGGAGAAAGGAGGCCTTGCTGTTCCCAAGGGGCTTATTGAGCTGGAGATGACAGAGTGAGGACTGTGGTGAGGATGCATCCTGCATGACATGGAGACTCACTGAAGAATTTAAAGAAAGACAGTGATATTCAGATTTGTGTTTGAGCAAACCTACTCTGGTTGTAAGTGAAGAAGAGACTAGAGCGAAGTGAAGCTGCCAGCAAGGAGACCCACTGGGAGGACCCTGGGGTGGTGGAGATGAGAAACCATGAGGCTCTGACCCACACAGTGGAAGGAGATGGGACAAGGAAAGAGATATGTGAGGTAGTTAGGAGGTAGAGTTGACACGGCTTGTGTCCCATTCTGTGGGGGGTGTGAGGAGAGAGAGTGGAGAGTGTGTCCCGGTCACTGGTTAGGACTCCTATAACACAGGCACATCCCATTCATGGAGTGAGACAGGATGGTGTCAACTTCCATACCTGGAGCCAGCCCTGGGAAGAGCCACTCTGATCCGTTTTCCCCTGGGACAGCAATCCCTCCCACGTCTCTCTGAGATAGAGAAAGGTCTGGGCAACTCTAGTTGGGCACATTAACTCCGTTAGGTGTGGCCAGAAGAGTTTAGTGAAATCAGCAACTGAACTGCAGGGCAGGTTTCTGGGAAGATACTCTGCACAGACCTTTTTCCTGGGCATCAGACCCCCGATCCTGTACATCTGCCTTCTGGCATGTTCACCTACCCACCCCTCAGGCAACTCCAACTGACCCTGTCCCAAACTGAAATCAGGTTTCAAATCTCAGAGATTAAAGCTCCACACTGTTGGTCCACCCAGTTGCCCAGGCTGGAAATCTGCCATCAACCCTTACTCCCCCATCTCCCTGTGTGTCCTACCATTTCCTTCTCAATCTCTGTCCAGTCAGCAGGTTGCCCTCTCTTCTGGCCCCAGTGCTGCAGTGTTCTGCACACTGGACTTGGTGTTCTTGGGCCTTCTGCATGATTTTCTGGCTCAAAACCTTCAGTGAGCCATTAATGCCCTCAGGGTGAAATCCAAACTCAACAGAGTTTACAAAGCCCTGCATAACCCACCTTCTTTATTTGTCCAGCCTCATGTTGGCCACTCTTCCTCCCTCACCTAGCCATGCTCACTTTCAGACTTTCTAGCCCTCTTGCCCTCACTGCCTTTACTTTACTACCTGATTGGTTGGGTGTGAGCTAAGTTGCAAGCCCCGTGTTTAAAGGTGCATACACTCAACTTCCCAGCTAGGCTTAGGGATTCTTAGTCGGCCTAGGAAATCCAGCCAGTCCTGTCTCTCAGTACCCCTTCTCAACAGGAAAACCCAAGTGCTGTTGGGGAGGTTGGCTGATGACTGCTCTAACTGCTTCCTGCTGAATTGGGGCATACTAGGGGTTGTGCAGTTGAGATTTCTTCAAGAGGGGTGCCTTCAATGTCATTAACATCGAAGCATGGGCTAGCAGGCCAGTCCAGAGGTCTGCGGTAGATCTTAGCCATGGATTGCATCTGGGGCTCCATTTGAAGAACAATTTTTAGGTTTACAGCTTCGATTCTGGAAGAGACAAACTTAACAAGGCGGTTAAAGATATAGGGATTGAAATGTATGGCCTGCAGTGCAGGGGATTATTTCTTTGGCACACTTCACAGGCCCTGACTATCTGCTTGATAGTTTTGAAAAGGCCTGGTCCAGTAAATAATAATTTGGCCATCTGATGGGTGCTATCAATGCCTAAGTGAAAGGTTTGGTGAAGGGTTTTAAGTAATTTCTGTTGGTTAGCTGCAGGCAAAAGTATTTTTCCTTCTTCAGTGGCTAGCCATCCTGAGGGGAGGAAACTATGTCCTTGTGAGGTTCCCCATTCTATTTCTTCTTCTGAGTACTGGGGCTTCATTTCCCAGAAGGGATTACCCCATACTAGAAGTCTTTCTATAAGCATTTCTAATGGAGAGTCCTGCCTTGCAGCTCTTTTGGCTTCAATATCTGCTTGGCGGTTCCCTTCTATTTCTCTTTCCTTTCCAATGACCCTGGCAGTGTAAGACTGCCACCTGTTTAGGTTTCTGTACAGCCAATAATAATCTCCTAATGGCTTCCTGATGTTTGATAGGTGTTCCCTCGGAAGTTAGGAATTCCCTTTCTCTCCATATTGCTGTGTGGGCATGGAGGACTAGGTAAGCATACTTAGATCCTGTATATATGTTTACCCTTTCTCCTTCTTCTAATGCTAGTGCCCAAGTGAGGGCTATTAGTTCTGCCAGCTGAGCACTAGTTCCTGGAGTGAGGGGATTACTTTGAAGTATTCCATTATCACTGACCACTGCATACCCCGCTTTTTGAAGTCCTTTTTTCTACAAAGGAACTTCCATCAGTATACAAGTTGAGGTCAGGATCAGTCAAGGGAACCTCTAAAAGGTCCCCTCAAGTGGCGTATATTTGAGCAATTACTTGTTGACAGTTATGTTCTATCTTTTCTTCATTGTCTGGGAGAAATGTGGCTGGGTTAAGAGTTGCACAAGTGCACAGTCACAGCACTGGCCCTACAAGTAATAGAGCCTGATATTTAAGTAAATGGTTGTCTGACAGCCACAAGTCTCCTTTAGCAGTGAGTATGCCATTCACATCATGAGATGTCCACACAGTAAGATCTCTTCCCTGTATTATTTTAACTTCTTCAGGTACTAAGACTGCTACTGCTGCCACTACCCATAAACAATGAGGCCAACCCTTGGCCACTACATCAATTTCCTTACTCAGGTATGCCACAGGTTGCAAGCTCATCCTTCAGACCGGTGTAAGGCCTCCTAGAGCTATTCCTGTTTTTTCTGTGACATATAAAGAAAAGTCTTGCCCCATTGGCAAACTTAACTGGGGCTTGGTTTAGGGCCTTCTTTAGGGCCTGGAAAGCCACTTCTGCTTCAGGTGTCCATCTTACTAAATGGGCATTGGCTTTCTGAGTTTTCCTAATTAGTGTATATAATGACCTGGCTATTTCACTGTACCTGGGAATCCATATTCGGCAGAAGCCTGTTATGCCAAGGAACGCTCTTAGTTGCTTTAGTGTTTTGGGATAAGGATAAGCCAGTATAGGCTGGATACATTTCTCACTGAGGGCCCTGGTGCCTTTGGACAATTTTAGCCCTAAGTATTTAACCTGCTGTGAGCAGAGCTGAGCCTTTGGTTTGGAAACCTTGTAGCCACAGGTGGCGAGGAAATTTAAGAGCACTTGGGTGGCACTGGGCACGGTGGCTCATGCCTGTAATCCCAGCACTTTGGGACGCCAAGGCAGGCAGATCACAAGGTCAGGAGATCAAGACCATCCTGGCTAACATGGTGAAAACCCGTGTCTACTAAAAATACAAAAAATTAGCCAGATGTGGTGGTGGATGCCTGCAGTCCCAGCTAATTGGGAGGCTGAGGCAGGACAATGGCATGAATCCAGGAGGTGGAGGTGGCAGTGAGACGAGATCGCACCACTGCACTCCAGCCTGGGTGACAGAGCGAGACTCTGTCTCAAAAAAAAAAAAAAAAAAAGAGCGCTTGGGTGGCCTGATGGCACAAGGTTTCTGAATGGGCAGCTAAAAGTAAATCATTCATGTACTGAAGGGCAAGAGTGTCCAGGTATGAGAACTGGCTCAAGTCTTGGGCTAATGCCTGGCCAAATAGATGGGGGATACCCCTGAACCCTTGGGGTAAAACAGTACAGGTGAGTTGAGATGTTGGGTTCAAAAGATCTTCAAAGGCAAACAAGAATTGAGAGTCAGGATGTACAGGGATGCAGAAAAAGTCATCCTTAAGGTCCAGGACTGTAAACCACTCTGCTTCCTCTGGTATTTGGGAAAGCAGAGAGTATAAGGGTTAGGTACAGCTGGTTACAGAGGGACAACAGACTCATTGATAATCCTGAGATCTTGCACTAACCTTCACCGTCCGTTGGGTTTCGGTACTCCTAAAATTGATGTACTGCAGGGGCTATTGCATGGTTTTACTAGGCCTTGGGCTTTTACGTCCTTAACAATCCTTTGGAGTCCTTGTTGGGCCTTGAGTCTAAGGGGGTACTGCCTTTGGTAGGGAAAGGAGGTGGAATCCTTCAGTTTAACTTGAACAGGATGGGCATTCTTTGCTCATCCATAGTGTCCTTCTGTTGCCCAGACTTCAGGATTAATTCCTTCCTCAAGCAGGGAACAACAAACAGGTGTTCCTTCTCCTATGTTCAGGTGTATAATGGCCCCTGCTTTTGCTAGAATGTCTCTCCCTAACAAGGGAGTGGGGCTTTCAGGCATAATTAGAAAAGCATGTGAAAAGAGTGAAGTTCCCCAGTCACAACTTAGTTGCTGGGAGAAGTATCTAGTGACTGCCTGTCCTAGGACCCCTCGGATAGTGACAGATCTGGAGGACAGTTGTCCGGAACAGGAGAGTAAGACTGAGAAGGCCGCGCCAGTGTCCAGGAGACAGTTAACCTCCTGGCCCTCAATGGTCACACATACCCGGGGCTCTGTGAGGGTGATGGCATGGGCTGGCACTTGCCCCAGGCACCCTCAGTCTTGCTGCTGGATCTTCTGGTTAGTGGCTTCTGACTCAGAGGACCTTCATCCCCTGGGGCAGTAGGCCTTCCAGTGATTCCCTTGACATAAGGGGCATGGACAAGGGGGTAGCTTATTTCTACTTGGACAATCTTCTTTAAAGTGCCCTTGTAGATCACACTGGAAGCAAGCCCTATTAGGCATTTGATTTGCCCTTTCCAGAGCCTCCAAAGTCCGCTTGCCTGAGGGCTATGACTAAAGAAGTGGCCTTTTGTTTATCCCGTTTGTCCAATCCGCCTGCTCCTCCTGATCTCTATTATAAACAACTGAGGTTGCCAAGTTCAATAGTGTTTCTAAATTTTGCTCCAGGCCTAAGGCGGACTTTTGAAGTTTTTTTTCTAATGTGTGCAGCTGACTTAAAGGATAAACTTATCCTTTAAGATTAGTTGGCCTTCAAGAGAGTCAGGTGACAGAGAGGTATGCTTCCTCAATGTCTCCCTTAGTCTCTCCAGAAAGGCCGTAGGATTTTCTTCCTTTCCCTGTGTTATAGTGGACATCATTGAATAATTCATAGGCTTCTTCCTAGTTTTCCTTAGTCCTTCTAGCATGCAAGGTAGCAAATGTCTGTGGCACCAATCTCCATGTTCTGAATCTGTGTCCCAGTGTGGGTCTACACTGGAAACTGCCTGCTGGCCTGTGGGGAATTGTTCTCTTTCCTCTGTTGTCATCCTGTCATTGACCTGACGGAGATACCAGAGATTGCCACACTCTTGGGCTGCAGTTTTGGTGGCACTTCTCTCATTTGGGGTTAGTGTTTGATCTAGCAGTAACATTATATGTCTCCATGTCAGATCAAAAGATTGTCCTAACCCTTGTAAAACATTAATATAGCCATCAGGGTTATCTGAGAATTTACCTAGGTCTATTTTAATTTGCTTCAACTGTGAGAGGGAAAAAGGTGCATACACTCTGACTGGGCTGAATTCTCCACAATACATCTTAGGGGTGTTTTTGCCTTGGGGGAAACGTTTCCCATCTGAAAAAAGAACATAAGGATGCCAGCACCCCAGTAATTTTCCAATGAGCATTAGTCATAGAGCATCCTCTATGGTCCTAATGCTTATTACTTTCCAGGGTGCGTAACCACCCATGGACCTCTGCTTATTGGATTAGTTAAGCTCACTGATGTGGCAGTCCTGCCCCTGTTTTCCCACCTTTCTTGACCACAAAGAAATGGGTCTGGGCTGCTGGATTCTAGTGGTCCTTTACCAGTGTGTCCAACATTGCCTTTGTGCTCAGGGGTGAGTCCTAGAGCTGGGCTGGGTTCCTGAATATTTCATAACAACCCAGCTGCCCCATCAAGATGCATTCCCATAAACAACAGTTCTTATGCAAATTCATTTCAGAGAACGTGTAGGTAACTTTTTGAGTCAGGATTGAGTAAGTACTTGATTCTGTAAGTACTTTAAGGCTTGGCTGAGTGCAAACAGCTTGCATGTTTGAGCAGAGCAATTATTAGGCAATTTTTCTAACTCTGCTTCCACAAGAATCTCCCTGTCAGTTACTGAATACCCATTGTATCCTCAATCACCTGAGAGGAACCATCTATCTTCCTGTCCTGAAGGGAGTTCCTCCTAGGTCTGGTTGGACCTTTGTATGGTAATTAAGATTTAAATCCCCTGTTAGGAAATCTGCTGGGTTAAGGGAATTATCAGTGGTTGGAGTTACATTACCTTTTTCTAACAGAATAGCCCCCATACTTTAAGATTTTTGAGTTAGTAACCTTTTTGCTTTTTTGACTTAGAATAACTCTGAACTGGTGAGGTGTGCTCACAATGAGGTTTCCTCTAAAGGTTACTTTTCTACTTTCTTCTGTTAGCAAAGCAGTTGCCGCTACAGATTGAATGCATCCATGGGTTACTGGGTTAAGGATTTTTGATAGGAAAGCTACTGGTTTTCTGTGGTCTCAGTGTTTTCAGGCTACGCCCTTGTTTACACTGACAACAAGGTAGTATTGGAGTGTTATAGGGTCACGGAGAGGACCTTCAATTATCAATTATAGGTTTTAAATTTACGCTGGCTTTTAAAGGAGTACAGCGTACTTTTTTTTTTTTTTACTATTTCTTTCTTTTTGACTCCCTCTGTCTCTCTCTCTCTCCTCAGTGTCTCTCTCTCCTCCATCTCTCTGTCTCTCCCCTCCGTCTCTATCTCCTCCATCCTCTCTCTCTCCTTCTCTTAGCCATTACAAACTTGGGGCCCTGGCAAGAGTGGGGGGAACAGGTCCCTCATAACTGCCCATGTTGAAAGCTGTATACCTAAATCGGGAGGGACACCAGGGATAAGACTCCCTGGGTTTATAGCCTAGATGCCTAAGGATGCAGCATAGAGCTTCCTTAGACCCCTTTGGAGATACAACTTGCTAGAGGAAATGAAAGTCTGAACCTTTGTACCTAGGAGGCAGGGATCAGAGGAAGTAGATTCAGAGGTAAGGAGAATTTTGGGGCTACTCTTTCAAGAAAGTCTTGGTCAGGACCCAGAAAGTGTGGGTCAGAAGGAAAGGTAGGGGTGCACACATGGGCGACTGTTGAATAGAGACTTCTGGCTGCACCATGATCTCAACCAGCTAAAGCCGGGAGTTCAGGACGTCAGCTTTCTGCCTCTAGTCAGCCCTTGGCTTCCCCAAGAAAATGGAAAGCGGAAACTGGTTCTAGGCAAGCGAATGTTCCCAACCCAGAAGGGTTGGATGTTGTTAGAAAGATCTTCCTTCCTGAGACGGCCTCACACCTGAGTCTTAAATCTGGTGGCCATGTTAATCATTTTTAACTGGCCGACAGGTACCTGGTATTTTCCTCCAATTCTAAGGAAGGATAGGACAGAATAGCAAGGGAAAGTGTTCCAATATTGCCACTTTGGAGGTCCCATCTGGGTCGCCAAATGTTACCGGGGGGTCCTTGCTCCCAGAGCTCCCAAGATGGTGGCAAGCTGCTTCCAAGATGGTGGCAAGCCTTGTGTTCTCTGACCTGGGGTTCTTGGCCTCACGGAATCCAAGGAATGGAATCTTGGGCCATGCGGTGAGTGTTATAGCTCTATTAGAAGCGGTGGGTCATGGAAGAGAACTGTGGAACCCAGTGACTAGTGTTCAGCTTGATTAGGATGAAGCCGGGCACTTGGCCGTGCAGGAACAATGGCAAGACTTTAGCCAAATTGGGAGGGGCAATGGGCCCCTCACTGGATCAGGAGCACAGCGGACACCCTGCTGGATCCAGAGGTATGGAAGTCAGTGGCGGGTCTGTGACAGCGGCAAACAGCAGTGGTGGATGGCGAGCGAAAGCTCAGTTCGAGCCGTAACAAACACGGAATGGAAGAGTGTGCAGGTGCAAGATTTAATAGAGTGAAGACAGAGCTCCCATAAAATGGGAGGGAACCTAAAGGGGGTTACCGGTGGGGGCTCGAATGCCTGGGTTTATATGCCGATCATTGTCCCTCCTGCTGTGCTCTCAGGCAATAGATGATTGGCTATTTCTTTACCTCCCGTTTTTGCCTAATTAGCATCTTAGTGAGCTCTCTTTACTACCTGATTGGTAGAGCGTGAGCTAATTTGCAAGCCCCATGTTTAAAGGTGGATGCAGTCACCTTTCCAGCTAGGCTTAGGGATTCTTAGTCGGCCTAGGAAATCCAGCTAGTCCTGTCTCTCAGTGACAGGGGTCGGAGGACAGCCAGTGTACCTGGATCAAATTCTTTTATATTGACTCATGGTTAAATATAATATAGACAAAGCCAGCATAAATTTAGTCCTGTTTAACAGCTTATTGCAAAAAAGCCTGAAGTAAAAGTACGAGCAGCTTCGCCAGCAGACATAGAGTTAAAAAGGGAGTCCAAGAAACAGCAAGAGAAGCCAGTTTTGCAGGAGCCAACAGAGATAATAGAAATTCTTTTATGTCCCAGCCTACGCCACTTTACCGAGGCCAACAGCCCCCTCAGAAACCAGATTCAGGAGCTAATACGCCCCAGGTCTCACCTCGAAGGGGAGGATTGGAGCCTCAATAGGCCAAGGAAGGAAGTCAAGATAGTCAAGTGGGCCCTCTCAGGTCTGGTCTTGCTGGAGCTATGCAAATGCCTCAGGGAGATGTGAGGACCTGTCTATTATAATGACCAGGCCCACATCCGGGGCGGGGGCAACAGACTATCATCTATCAGCCCTTTTCAACCATCGATCTACTAAACTGGAAACACCCTGAACCCGCCACCTTGCTCCCGGCAGCTAGAGCCCTGTTGAGCATAACTGTGTAGAGGTGTTGGACTCAGTTTACTCTAGCAGACCTGACCTCCGGGACCAGCCTTGAGCATCACTAGACTGGGAGCTATACTTGAACGGAAGCAGCTTCATCAACCCACAAGGAGAGACATGTGCAGGATATGCGGTGATAACCCTGGACTCTGTCGTTAAGCTGAGCTCATTGTGTGGGGAAAAGCAAGAGAGATCAGATTGTTACTGTGTCTGTGTAGAAAGAAGTAGACATAGGAGACTCCATTTTCTTATGTACTAAGAAAAATTCTTCTGCCTTGAGATTCTGTGACCTTACCCCCAACCCCGTGCTCTCTGAAACATGTGCTGTGTCAACTCAGAGTTGAATGGATTAAGGGCGGTGCAAGATGTGCTTTGTTAAACAGATGCTTGAAGGCAGCATGCTCCTTAAGAGTCATCACCACTCCCTAATCTCAAGTACCCAGGGACACAAAAACTGCGGAAGGCCGCAGGGACCTCTGCCTAGGAAAGCCAGGTATTGTCCAAGGTTTCTCCCCATGTGATAGTCTGAAATATGGCCTCGTGGGAAGGGAAAGACCTGACCGTCCCCCAGCCCGACACCCGTAAAGGGTCTGTGCTGAGGAGGATTAGTAAAAGAGGAAGGAATGCCTCTTGGCAGTTGAGACAAGAGGAAGGCATCTGTCTCCTGCCTGTCCCTGGGCAATGGAATGTCTCGGTATAAAACCCGATTGTATGCTCCATCTACTGAGATAGGGAAAAACCGCCTTAGGGCTGGAGGTGGGACCTGCGGGCAGCAATACTGCTTTGTAAAGCATTGAGATGTTTATGTGTATGCATATCTAAAAGCACAGCACTTAATCCTTTACATTGTCTATGATGCAAAGACCTTTGTTCACGTGTTTGTCTGCTGACCCTCTCCCCGCAATTGTCTTGTGACCCTGACACATCCCCCTCTTCGAGAAACACCCACAAATGATCAATAAATACTAAGGGAACTCAGAGGCTGGCGGGATCCTCCATATGCTGAACGCTGGTTCCCCAGGTCCCCTTATTTCTTTCTCTATACTTTGTCTCTGTGTCTTTTTCTTTTCCAAATCTCTCGTCCCACCTTACGAGAAACACCCACAGGTGTGGAGGGGCAACCCACCCCTACATCATTGCTTTAATTTAGGCCTTAGAACTCAGTGAAGGTAAGACTGTAAACATTTACACTGACTCTCGGTAGGCCTGTTTAACCCTCCAAGTGCATGGAGAATTATATAAAGAAAAGGGCCTGTTAAACTTTAGGAAAAAGAGGAAAAAGACCCAGAGAATGCAACTCAGCTTCAGCGTTTTCAGAGGTACCAAGAGGCACTTCTGCAGAGGCTAAGAGTTAGTAGAAAAAAAGCAATTAATATAAAAAAGATTTCAGAAGTGCTTCAAGGAGCTGACAAGAGCCTAAGTCAGTTTTATAAGAGACTCTATAAAGCATTCTGACTTTACACCCCATTTAACCCTGAGGCTGCTGAAAATCAGTATACAGTGAATACTTCATTTGTAAAGCAAGCCCAGGGTAACATCAAGCAGAAGCTGCAGGCATGAATACCACCTAGTCTTTAAAAGGTGTATGTTAACTGTGACCAAGGAACAAAACTGGAAAGAGCAAAAGCAACAAGCATGGAAGCTAGGCACGCCAAGGATTAAGTCCCTCTCCCCAGCCTGGCTCTAAAAAAGGAGCCAGGGACTGGAGCTGGGAAAAGAGCAAAAGAAAAAGAAAGACTAAGAGTAAGTGTGAAAAAGAGAATCAGCAGAAAACAGGAGAGACAGACAGCAGTACGCGGGGGCAGGGCCCGTGCCATTGCCCGGCCCTGCCAGCTGGCTGTAGGATCAGGGAGGAAAAAAAATTAATTAAAGTTTAAGGAAAAAAAAAAAAAGGCAATCTGTTGGCAACAGCTCTTACAAAAAGAGAGATTAGCAATGTGAGGGATGTGGATGTGGATGTAGATGTGGAAGAAGTCAAGTTAGGCAAGGATTCAAGAGCCAGACAAGGCTAGAGAGAGATTAATGTGTGAGATGCAAAAAGAAAGGACACTAGAAAGATAAATGTTCAGAAGACAATGAGGAAAGTGGCCAAGGCCGCAAGACAAAGAGGCCATCGGCCAAGGACTGCCGCACATTGGAGGAACCAAATACTGATCTGATCAGGCTGGCAGGAGCTGAAGAATGTAAAGACTAGATCAGGCCAGGCATGGTGGCTCACGCCTGTAATCCCAGCACTTTGGGAGGCCGAGGTGGGCGGATCACGAGGTCAGGAGATCGAGACCATCCTGGCTAACACGGTGAAACCCCATCTCTACAAAAACACAAAAAATTAGCTGGGCGTGGTGGCGGGCGCCTGTAGTCCCAGCTACTTGGGAGGCTGAGGCAGGAGAATGGCGTGGACCTGGGAAGCGGAGCTTGAAGCGAGCCAAGATCATGCCACTGCACTCCAGCCTGGGCGACAGAGCGAGACTCTGTATCAAAAAAAAAAAAAAAAAAAAAAAAAAAGACTAGATCAGACCAGACGGACCAGACACATTCTCATTAGGCTCCCAGGAGTCCATGGTCATGTTAAAAGTTAAAAGCAGCAAGATTCTACCATATCTAGATTCCAATTTCTCAATGATGGCTAAGCCACTAGATAGAGTTACAAAGCGGGGGAAGAAAAAGAACCCCTCCTGTAAGAAACTTAAACAGGAGGAAGAGTCATACCTTGTGAAAACTTGCTTATAGATATTACAGAACTGCCCCATGCCGGAGGCTATTGGTACATGCTAGTGCTTGTTTGCACCTTTTCAGGGTCAGTTAAAGCTTTCCCCACCAGGACAGAAAAAGTACAAGAAGTAATTAAAGTACTTTCAAAAGACATTATCCCCAGGTTTAGACTGCCTCTAACTTTAAAGTCAGACAATAGGCCAGCATTTGTAGCTAAAACAGTGCAAGATTTAACAAGACTGTTAAAAATAAAATAGAAGTTACACACAGCCTATCGGCCACAAAGTTCAAGAAAAGCTGGAAAGCATGAACCAGACACTCAAGCAGCTACTGAAGAAATATTGCCAGGAAATTCATTTAAGATAAAATCAGGTTTTTGCCTATGGTCCTCCTCCGAGTCAGGTGCACCTCCACCAAACAAATTAGGTATTTGCCCTATACGATTTTGTTCAGTCGGCCACCCCCAAATCATAGGTCAAATTAAAGATGACCTCCAGGAACTAAAGGAATTAACTTTAAGAAAGCAAATGCAGGCTTTAGAAATAGCCATACAAAGTGTTCATAATTAAATAAATAAAAATGCCTATAAGCCTGACACCCCTTTAAATCTAGTAACTCTGTTTTAAGTTAAAAAGTAAAATCTAATTTTTCTAGGACCCATATAGGATGGGCCCTTTACTGTAATCTTGTCCACTCCCACTGCTGTTAAAGTTGCAGGTGTTGTGTCTTAGATCCATCACAGTCAGCTAACACTGGCAGCTCAGGACAAGTAGACCAGCCAGCAGGACACAGATCATCCAACCCAGCTGATCCTGAGACGAGACCAAGCTGCTGCTGAGGACGACAGCCCTGCTCTGGTCACTCTGGAGGCTGACCAGTCTATTCACGGCTGAAGCTTGAAGAAACAACAAGCCCTGCTCTAGTCACACACCGGCAGCTGACTAGTCTATGCACAGCCAAAGTTTGAAGACTCATCAAGCAAGTAAATGTAGTTTAAAATCTTAAGATTAATAGTTTTCCTGTAATACTGACTGCTTTCCTATTGTTCTGTTGCTGTATTCAACCTTTTTCCCGGGCAAGGACCTCTTTTTTCCTTGCTGGATATGAATATACTGTATATTGTTTTGTTGTTGTTACCCCCCATAACCGTGCTAGAAGAAAGACCTATATAAGGTTTCCCCACCGTACACATACTACTTAGTCAGGAAACCCAGACCCGTCTGGCCCAGTAACAATTTCGAGTCTTTAAGTCATTCTTTAAACATATAAACCAGAAGTTACCAGAGCCTCCTCCTTTAGCAAAAAACAAACAAACAAACAAACAAACAAACAAACAATAAAACCTATTTGCTCAGCTGGCTGAAAACATTGCTGGCAGCCTAGTCATTTCCTCATGTTATGTTTATTAAAAGGCTAACATGAGAAACCAATGGTCTTGAGAAGCAAAAGAGTTAATGCCTCAAGATAACTTTGCTTTAACAGACTCTTTCCCTAAACAGACACCCACAAGTTCAAGCATCTGGCTCTTAAAAACTTCTATTATTAAAAAATACTGTGTTGCTCACTAGGAAAAAAGCTTTTAAGACCCAGTAAAAGAACTAACCTGCTTAGGACATGACAAAGTTGGCACATGTGCCTGTACAGGTTTAGTGCAGGTTTAATCCTAGGTCTTTATTTAGAAAATAGTTTCCAGCTATAAGATAATTTAAAACCCTCATTGTAAGTATATTACTAGTAATAGACGCTTGCTGCTCCCCTGTGTATTACACTTGCTCCTTCAAATGATAAAAGGTTTTGTAGCTACCATTGTTTGTCAGAAAACTTCAGCATAAGTGTATTACATAAAACACTATCACTCTGTCTCAGAAAGAGACTCAGAAAGTAAAAATAAAAGTGAGAACTCCCACTAATTAGTGAAATTCTCAAAGGCGGGGATAAGGAAGGAGACCGCTACTACTCCTGCTGCCCTCCTCCCCCAACCTTGCCTAGTTCACAAGACAGGAGGAAAGAGAGAAAGAAAAAGTTGGAAAAAAACAAAAGTAAGATAAATAGCCAGACAATCTTGGCACCACCACCTGGCCCTAGGAGTTAAAAAACTAATAATAATAATAATAACATCAACCGCTGACCTAAACTACTTGTGTTGTCTGTAAATTCCAGACATTGTATGAAAAAGCATTGCAAACTTTCTGTTCTGTTAGCTGATACATGTAGCCCCCAGTCACATTCCCCACGCTTGCTCGATTTATCACGACCTTTTCACATGGACCCCTTAGAGTTGTAAGCCTTTAAAAAGGCCAAGAATTTCTTTTTCAGAGAGCTCGGCTCTTAAGACACAAGTCTGCTGATGCTCCCGGCTGAATAAATCTCTTCCTTCTTTAATCCAGCGTCTGAGGAGTTTTGTCTGCAGCTCGTCCTGCTATAGTTCTACTTTGAAAATGCACCATATTAAACTCTTTAATGATTAAGTTAGTATCTCTATTAAGGCCAGCTCCCAGACGGCTTTATGTTGAGACTAACTGTCTGAGCTCTCCCACACCAGATCTGAAACATCAGAGAGAAACTCTCTCTCCTTAGAGCAAAATGTTTAGAATTACACAGGGTGAAATAGACCTATCAACCCTAAAGGAATGAATTAGTGAAGATTAGGAATACACACCCCTGGATAAAAAATATCTATGTTGATAATCAAAAAAAGCAAGCTAAAAAGCAAAACATCTTGGCTGAGAAAATGCAAGCAGATGTAATTTTTAATCCAAGCTGTTCATTCTTATTATTTTAAAATATTGTTTCTTTAACTGGAACCTTGACCTCTAAACTGTATGTGCAGCATTAGCGGTTGGTACTGGGACTTGCTGATAATTCAATTTTAAAATCAAATGAAGGCCAGGTGCAGTGGCTCATGCCTGTAATCCCAGCACTTTGGGAGGCCAAGGTGTGTGGATCATGAGGTCGGGAGATCAAGACCATCCTACCCAACATGGTGAAACCCCTGTCTCTACTAAAAATACAAAAATTATCTGGGCATGGTGGCAGGCACATGTAGTCCCAGCTACTTGGGAGGCTGAGGCAGGAGAATCACTTGAACCCAGGAAGCAGAGGTTGCAGTGAGCCGAGATCGCATCACTGCACTCCAGCCTGGGCAACAAGAGCAAAAACTTCTCGAAAAAAAAAAAATCAAATGAAACCTTTAAAAAACCATACTTCAAAATGGACACTTCACTTCTTTAACGTTTTTACTATTCAACTATTATCAAATATGTAGCTTGTATAATATACCTAGTTAGAACGAAGATTTGATGTATAAATCAGTTTCAGCTTTTTTTTTTCACCATTTGGAAAAAATAAGATACTCCAGAAAAATTCAACTTTCCCTCCCACTGAGTTACCAAAGGGGGGAAAAATTGATTAGAATGTGTCTTCTTTGCTTCTGCTGACCTCTAATGGCATCAGAAACAGTGTTTTTGTTTTTTTATTATTTTTTAAAATTTATTTATTTTGAGATAGAGTCTCACTCTGTCACCAAGGTTGGTGTGATCTCGGCTCACTGCAACCTCTACCTCCCGAGTTCAAGCGATTCTCCTGCCTCAGCCTCCCAAGTTGCTGGGATTATGGGTGCCCACCATCACTCTTGGCTAATTTTTGTATTTTTAGTAGAGACGAGGTTTCACTATGTTGGCCAGGCTGGTCTTGAATTCCTGATCTTGATTGATCCTCCAACCTTGGCCTCTCAAAATTCTGGGATTACAGGTGTGAGCCATCGTGCCTAGCCAGGAACAGTGTCTTTAAAAGAAGCAAAGAAAACAAGTAAAATGCAAGAAGGAAAAAACAAAAGTACCCGCTCTTTGTAGAATGAATATAATTCATAGTACCCCAAACATGTTTTAATTAAAAATGAATTTTTATACCACCAAAACTGTAACTTTTTGAATGGTGATAAAAATGTACCGTATCCTCTCAAACAAAAGGTTGCTATAATTGCAAAAATAATAACCATATTTTGTTTGGAAACAATTTGAGTAAAAGATCTCATCCTAAATTTGCAAACTGGGAACTGCCCAAATCAGAGCTGAATTCATGGCAGACCAGGAAGAAGTGCTGTTCACATCCAGTTCTCTGGAGCCACTAATGGAGAGGGGTATGGGCCCAAGGATAACAAGGCCATCCCTGCCAGGGCTGCTCAAGATCTGATTATCAAGAGATGGCCAAGGGCCAGCCATGTAGCCAGGAAGGCTGAGCAAGCAGATGAGTCATGTGCCAGGCAATATCTATACAATGTGGAGAGTACTAATGTCTTCATTTTAGAAATGAGGGTCACACAGATAAAAACTTGCTTAGTCATCCATCTGGTAAGTGAAAGAGCCAGATCCCACATCTTTCCAGTGTCAAAGTCCATGCTTTTTTTGTTATATCATATGCCTCTCCCCCAGAGTAAAAGGGAAGAAGCAAATTGTGATCTTGGGCTTGAAGAGAACATGAACAAAAGACACCATTCCCGGAAGTGAGTGAGGGTCTCAAATCTGAAGCAGACAGAGATGGGGGGTAAGGATCCTTACGTACAGAGAGCAAACAGGGGATGCAAGATCATAGAACATTCTCACATCTGGAGAGAACCCGAGACTGTGTTTGGAAAGATGAATGATAACACAAGGCAGTGTTGCAAACTTTAATGGGTACACAAGTCACCTGGGGATCTTGCCAAAATGCAGATGCTGATTCAGTAAGGCTGGGGTGGGACCTGAAACTGCATTTCTAACAAGTTCCCAGGTGCTGCCCATGCTGCTGGTCCAGGGCCACACTGTGAGTAATGAGTGTAAACAATGTAAGCCAAATGGGCGGTTCAGACACAAGCGCTCTCTGCAGGTGAAGCCCTCCACACCAGGTGGGGGACAGAAGGCGCTTATGGACAGCAGCTGAGAAATCACAGCCATCAGTGCTTCAGACACAAAGGCCTGCAGAATGCCTGTGATTTTTTGTTGCTGATATAGTTCAACTGTGGTTCGTACTGTTTTACTTCGCAAAAGGCATACAATGGTACCTTTGACCAGAATTGTTGACCTGGGAGTGTTATCTCTTTTCTATTGGCTGAAATGTTTTAAAATTTCCAATCGTGGTTAAACTACCCATGAGGCTTCAGAGTGTTTATTTACTTGTAGGCATTTGTGTTAAAGGATGGAGAGGCTCTCACTCTGCCTCTCCTTCTCCAGAGTAAAGGAACTCTTTCCCCACAATTCCACTTTTCAAAGCTTAATTCTTGGTGAAGTACAAGCAGCAGGACTGAACTGTGGGACCAGACATGGAGGGGCTGGTAAGAAGCAAATCCCAACTGGACCAGGCCTGAGCACATATTCAGGAGGAGGGAGGCTTTCCTGCCCAGGACCAGCAATGAGGCTTCTATTGAATGTACCTCTGTTCCTGATTTGAAGGACTTCGACGTCCTATTTGATGGCTCAGAGGCAGATACAGTCTTCCGGCCTGCCAGTAAAAGTCTCTGCTCCTCCTTTCTAGGTTTGGAAAGAAAGGGGAAGAACTGCAATTTATTGAAGGTCTGCTGTGTGCCAGGCATTGTGTCTAATCCATCACTTGATTAACAGACACACACACACACACGCACACAAGTACATGTCGAAGAAAGAGTCAGAAAGCAGCCTCTGGTTTTTCATTTTGGTTGAACTCATTTCATTTGTGGGCATCAATGTCTGTCCTTAGAGTCTACAGATAAACCAGACCCTTCAAGGACATCTTTTTGTCTTTTTTGATGTGGATGCCCTGATTAAACTGGAGATGATTTTGGAAATAGCTCATGAAAATTTACTTGAAGAGGCTTTGCAATTTCATTCCCAGAAGAGGCTGAGGGTTGCACCCCCCTTCACCAGAGGTATCTCCACTGTGTCTCCAGGGTATCACCTGATTTGATGAGCTCTGGCTTCCCTTCCAGTCCTGGGGCTCCCCTGTCTGTATGTTTTACACTTCACAGGGCACTTTATCACTACACAGAGGTACTCTCTATGATGCCTTCTGAGAAGAAGAAATGTAACTAAATTATAGTTTTAAATTCATCCACAAAGACCTGAAAAGAAAATGTAATTAACTAGATTATTGGATTCTTTTGCAATTGTAAAGGGAAATGGGGGCATTTAGAATTCTGGGAAATAGCAACTACTTTTAAGTGTACATTACAGCTCTATGAACAGGTAACATGGCTTAAGTAACACTTGAGAATTCTCCACATCCCCCCTCCCATTTGTACTGGCATCTTTGTTATGCACAGTCTAGTAACAATGCAGATCCTTCCCTGACCTTCCTCTGCTAGAGTAATTGACAAGAGGCACCTGGAGTCAGGACGGCCTGTGCTCAAACTGTCTTTCAAGCACATACTGGATCTATGATTGTGGAAAGTTACTTAACATCTTTGGGACCTACTTATAAGGTACTTGTGAAGATTAAGTAAGAGGTAAAATCTGCTTAGTGCAAACCTAGGCACAGATCAGGCCCTCAAAAACCGTGGCCATGAGGCTTATTGTTTCATTAACAATGGAAGAGGCTGTGGAAAGAGAATTTAAGAGTACACACTGAAGAGTGGAAATGGAAAGTGTGAAAAAGATAAACATGAAAGTCAAAATTTTAAATTAGAATTCTTTTTATATGTATTTTCAAAAAATTTAAATGAGATCACTTAAATATAGCTAACATCTCAAATTTTAATTTTTGAAAAGTTAACTAAACCTTACTATATTTTTAAATTTCTATTTATTTATTTAAATTCTTTGCATGAAAATACATTCAGCTTTTGTGTGTTTGGAATACAATTAATTTTTTTTTTTTTAATGAGACAGAGTTTCGCTCTTGTCACCCAGGCTGGAGTGCAAAGGCACGATCTCGGCTCACTACAACCTCTGCCTCCTGGGTTCAAGTGATTCTCCTGCCTCAGCCTCCCAAGTAGCTGGGATTACAGGCACCCACCACCACACCCAGCTAATTTTTGTATTTTTAGTAAAGATGGGATTTCACCATGTTTGCCATGCTGGTCTCGAACTCCTGACCTCAGGTGATCCACCCACCTCGGCCTCCCAAAGTGCTGGCATTATAGGCTTGAGCCACCACGGCCGGCCTCAATTAGATTTTTAATGCTTTAGATGATCACTATAAACAGGACCCAAATTATTTGAAAATAAGGTAATTAATTATTTTTGCTGAAGTTAGAATAAATTTTGTGGAATGAAAAAAAGAAAGAGACAACTAATGTGTTAATTTGGTTAATAAATATTGTTAAAATAAATTAAAAAACAAGGTAATCTAAGTTTAAAAAATGAAATATAATAAAGATTTTTATACTTAAAAAAAAGAAAATAGAAAGTATGGATGAGAGAGGTGCGTGGGTTGCCTCCACAGACCGTGGATAGCTACTGTCTCAGAAGTTTAGAAGTCTGGCCAGGAAGCCAGCCTAAATGCACCTGGCAGATCCTGGGGATGCTGTGAGGGAGAATGGGGCCACACAAGCAGATCTACCACCTGAGGACTCTTGAAGTTATCCACCACCACTACCTGGAAAGCAAACTGCTCCTCTGGCCCCTTTCTGGGCTGCTGGCCTGGTGGCCCTGGCTGGTTAGAATGCTCTCACCTGGGCTGAGCCAAGCAGGGAGGTCCTTGCAGGACTGGATTCTTGAATGTTATTGGAGGCCATGCTGGGAAACAAGGTGAAATACTCTCTCTCCTCAGCTGGCATCTGGATCTTTCTAAAGTCTTGTGCTTTACAGATGAGATCGGGCATGTTCAGGGTGGTATGGCTGTAGACAAAGCCTTGTGCTTTACAAAGATTTGCTCTTACCCCTTGAAGAGAAAGCTGCCTGGGGCCTGGCATGAGTAGGCCTGGCTTCTCACCCTAGTCATGGTCACGTCTCTGGGAACCTAGGTCCCCAGCTTCTCAGGGCCTCAATTTCCTCACCTGTACAAACTATAATGATCACATGTCTCTTGGAGGGTTATTGAAAGGATTAAATTATATAATGGATATAGAGTACCTAGAAGAGAGCCTGGACTATAGAAAGTGCCCAATAAATATTACTTTTCTCCATGATATTTGTCTAAAGCAATCTCTATGTGGTGTAATTAAAGCATGAAGGACCCTTTATTCCTGATACAACCATACCTATTTCCTGGTACCTGAAATTCCTTTTAGAAAAGACAAAGTTGTTTTTTGTTTTTTTGTTTTTTTTTTACAAGTAAATATGAAGTACAAAGAACAAATTGTTCAGAGAGGTTCCATAAATCTGAGAACTAATCATGAAGGGGAAGAGCATTGCAGTTAAAGAAGCCAGAAAGAACAGACTCCCAAATAGCATCTCAGGCAAAGACGGCCACATCCTGTTGGGCCGTCAAGTTCAGGGACTGTGTGTCAGCTCTGCAGGTCCTGAAACACAATGGGACAAAGTGCTTCTGGGGGTAACACAACAGGAGGAAACTTACTTCCATTAAAAACACCCAAAACAGCCTTAAAGAGGAATACAATTCTATTACATGCCACAACATGGATGAACCTTGAAAACATGCCGAGTGAAATAAGCCAGAGACAAAAGGACAAATATTGTATGATTCCACTTACACGAGCTACCTACAATAGGCAAATTCACAGAGATCACAACTAGTCCCTGGTCCCCACCAGGGGCTGTGGGGAGGAGAAAATGGGGAGCCATTGTTTAATGGGTAGAGAGTTTTAATCTGATGTGATGAAATAGTTCTGGAGATGGATGGGAATGGTGGTGATAATTGCACAATAATGTCAATGTACTTAATACCACTTACTGTACACTTGAAAATGGTTAAAATGGTAAATTTTATGTTATGTGTATTTTATCACAATCACATACATACATACACACTAGGTATATACAAATAGCAATATCAGTTGTTTAACAAGAAGAGCATAATTGCCCAGAAAATAAGAGCGCACCTGAGGACCAGCTAACACACTCTCAACCCTGGAGAAAACTCTACAAGTGAGGCTGTGATAAGTACAGAATCCAAACTAGGAAAGTGGCAGGATGTTGAGAGCTGGCTTGACTCATGAAATGATAAACTCGGGGCCCACCATCAGCCCTGCAAGAGCAAATTCCCAACCTTTCACAAATTGGCAGAGACAAGAAATGGTAATATGTGTAAGTCCTGGGTGTAAACCCGGAGGCTGCTCCAGCTTCCCCAAGGGCTGAGATGATTGATACCTTGGCCCTCTGCAACCCTTCCAGGGCACACGAGTTCTGTGGTAGGAGCCCAGAATATTCATTATGTGCAAGTGCTAGAACAGTCTGCAAATTCCTGCCCTTTAGCCCCTTTTCGTGGCACACTGCTGTACAAAACTGTTAATTGAAGTATAGCTTACTTTTGCATTAAATCCTGTTTTCTTGAGATCATACCTCAGAGTACTTAACTGATCTAGGAGTCTCTGAAATCTTTTCCACAGCACCTTGGTGATATGGTTTAGAGCTGTGTCCCCACCAAATCTCATGTTGAATCATAACCTCCATTGTTGGAGGTGGGGTCTGGTGGGAGGTGAATGGATCATGGGGGTGGATTTCTCATGAATGGTTTAGCACCATTCCCTTGGTTCTGTCCTTACCATGGTGAGGGAGTTCTCAAGAGATCTGGTCATTTAACGGTGTGTGGCACCTCCCCGCTCCCTTTCTTGGTCCTGCTTTGGCCATATGAGGTGGACCCCCTTCGTCTTCTACCATGATCGTAAGTTTCCTAAGGCCTCCCCAGAAACCAAGCAGATGCCATCATGCTTCCCATACAGCCTGCAGGTAGGAATGTGAGCCAATTAAACCATTTTTTCTTTATAGATTACCCAGTATCAGGTATTTCTTTATAGCAATGTGAGAACAGACTAATACACTTGGTGAACTCTGTTTGGCTGGTGATGTCTGTGATGCCTTGTTTCATTTGCTGGTGAGAGATGGAGCTACAGGGTTAGGAGGGAAATTCTGCTGGACCTTCCTGATTCAGGAAGAAAGAGCCACAAGAAGAAGGCCCAGGAGCACTGTCTTGGCATTGTGGGCTCAAGCCAGTGCTACTGTGCAGAAGTAAAATAGACCAGGACCAGAAGATCAGTGACTGCCTGGGGCCAGGGGTGGGAGCAGCATTTGGCAAGAACAAGGACACTTTGGTTGGGGTGAGGAGACTGTTCCAAAACTGGAGTGAAGAGATGGTTGCACAAATATATACATTTACTAAAAATCATGAAACACTATAATAAATAAATAAATTGTACCTCAAAAATGCTGTTTAAAAAATAGACATGTGGTCGGGTGTGGTGGCTCATGCCTGTAGTCCTAGCACTTTGGGAGGCTGAGGTGGAAGGATCCCTTGAGCCTAGGAAGTTGAGACCAGCCTGGGCAACCTAGGGAGGCCCTCTCTCTACAAATAAAAAAGAAAATTAGCCAGGCATGGTGGCGCATGCTTGTGGTCCCAGCTACTTCGGAGGTTGAGATGGGAGGAGCACATGAGCTGGGAAAGTTAAGGTTGCAGTGAGCCACAATCGAGACATTGCACTCCAGCCTGGGCAACAGAGCAAGATCCTGAAAAAAAAAAAAAAAAGAAAGAAAGAAAGAAAGAAGACATTTGTAAAAACAAAAACAACATTGAGCTATAAACTTAAGATGTGTCCCCTTTACTGTATGTTTATTTTACTTTGACGAAAAATTTGTCAAAAAAATGCATAAGTTCCAAAGGTGTTATAATTTGAAAGAAAAAAAATTCTATTCCTTGTAAGGTTTTTTGTTTTGTTTTGTTTTGTTTTGAGACAGGGTCTTGCTCTGTTGTCCAGGCTGGAGAGCAGTAGCGCAATCACACCATGCCCCAGGCTCAAGCAATCTCCCCACCTTAGCCTCCCAAGTAGCTGGGATTACAGGCATGTGTCACCATGCCTGGTTAATTTTTGTATTTTTTGGTAGAGATGGGGTTTCACCAGGTTGCCCAGGCTGGTCTCAGACTCCTGAGCTCAAGCAAGCCTCCCAAAGTGCTGGGATTACAGGAAATGGGCTTAGGGGAAAAATAGATATACAATAAATCATAGCATTAAAATGGCTGCAATAGCCAGGTGCAGTGGCTCACCCCTGTAACCCCAGCACTTTGGGAGGCCAAGGCGGGCAGATCACTTGAGGTCAGGACTTTGTGACCAGCCTGGCCAACATAGTGAAACCTCGTCTCTACTAAAAATACAAAAATTAACCAGGCATGGTGGTGTGCGCCTGTAATCCCAGCTACTCAGGAAGCTGAGGCAGGAGAATTGCTTGAACCCAGGAGGTGGAGGTTGCAGTGAGCTGAGAACGTGCCACTGTGCCACTGTGCTCTAGCCTGGGCAACAGAGAGAGACTCCATCTCAAAACAAAACAAAACAAACAAACAAACAAAAATGGCTGCAAGGACTCTGAGTGGAAACACCATTTTCATATTTGCCACCCCTTAGAAACAGGAGAGATCTATTTCCTAGCTATTTCAAGTCTCCCAAGCTAAACAACAGGTTGCTGCCATATATATTTTAAAACCTTGAGTCCTGACTTCTAGATCCAGGCTCTGGCTCAGCCACTCATTAACTTATGATCCTAGGCAAATTTGCCTTCTTCCTTTTGGTCTAAATTTTCCCTTCCCTAAGAATGTGATGCCTGCTGGCAACACCATACAGTAGGATCATGGCTCATATGGTAAGGCACTCGCTGAGCCTCACTTTCCTAACTGGAAACTGAGGAGACAGTAGACCTTTGTGGTTCTGTTGGCCCCTCCTCTCTCCTCCTCTTCCTCTGGTAATACCAGCCCCACTCTTTTGAGGAACTTCTCCTGCCTCCTCCACTTGGTTACTTTTGGCTGCATCAGGACCTCCATGGCAGCAGCAGGGGCACCAAGGAAGAGGTGAGCCAACAACCGAACCACAAAAGGATGTGAGGCCAACACAGATGTCAGAATGAGTTTTGGGCCATCCTGACTGTCTGAATGTCCCTGAATTCACACTCATCTTTCCATATGTGTGTATTAATAAACCCCCTTCTTTGCTTGAAAGTAATAACTACAACTCCCCTCTGACCCCCGCACTCCTGATAAAGAAAATCAAAGACCAAAATCAAAGCCAAACTTCTTTCTATCAATTTTGCTCAGGGCCGGCAGTCAATGGAAGCAAACCGTCTCTGGCTTGGTCTTAACCCCTCCCTCTAGCCCTGTGCCAAGAAACTCATGCAGCAATCACACATTTAAAGCTTACAGAGGAGTCTAAAAGAAGGAGTAATTACCAACATCAAGGGGTCATTATGGGGGCCACTGCTTAGGTTTGAATTATTTGTACACTGATGTCCAAACAATGACAAAAATAGGCTTTCATTGAAACAGGAGAGATTTATAGCCACCAAGAAAAGAAAATAAATTTTCACTTGCCAGAGTGCTAAATGGAGGACTAAGACTAGTAGTAGTGTTTCTATCCCAGTATCTTCTGGAATAAAGGATCAAGGCCCTTTTAAGCCCCCAGCCCTCCATTTTGATGAGTATGTTGAGCTAGATGCTTTCACTTGCCTTTCTCTCTCTGCCCAAAAGTAAGGCTCTCTGGTGATGGGGGGCATCATAGTGGGGCCTTGAATGTTTGCTGTGTGCTATTGGGGTCTCTGAGGCTCACTTTTCCTCGGGCACCCATGGTTACCTCTACTAGTTTGGGTGAGACCCCAACCAAGAAGCTAGGGAACAGGCCCAAATAAAACCACACAGGGAAGAATGAAGAGATGAAGACTATTACAAGAAAGACATCAACTTGTACTTACGAGATGACTAGACAATGAAACATGCTTCTGGCACTGACCGGCTGGCTGGCTGTGTCTGTGGTGACTTTGGGGAATTCTGTGAGAGCATGCCAGCATGCCAGGCAGAGGTCAGGCCTAAGGGCTTGTTTTCAAAACCTATGAAGTAGAACCAAAGGAAAAGTGGCTTGGAGCACCAGGAACTCAATCACACAGCACTTGGAAACCCAAGGGAGGCATTAGAGTAAGGAGTAAAGGCCCAGAAGTGGTTGTTTTGAAAGCAATTCAGAGAAAGAAGGATTTCCTTTTTCACTGTATAGCCTTTTATACTGTCTGAATTATTAACCAAGGCCATGTAATTATAACAAAAAGAAATTGGTTTACAGTTTTGAATTATTAAAAATGAATTTTTCTTTTCCACTCAATTCCTACAAGTTCAGATCCTTGGCTTTGCTGGAGGTCAGGGGGAAAAGTCATCCCACACGGGAAGCAGGTGCAGGGTTTCCAGTGAAAAGCCTCTTCTCCCAATCCATATTACTCTGTCTTTTTCATCATCTGGTAGCTGGCTGGCAATGGCTTGCTCAGGGTGGGGAATGAGGTGGGACGACAAGCTGAATACTAATCTCCAGGTTGGGATTTGACCACTCTGGGAGCTGGAGCTCAGGTCTACATGGACTGGCTTGGGGGGATGCTGAATGGCCTGGGTTATCAGAAAAAACCCTGTTGCTCAGTCCATCATCTGAAGAGAAGAAGAAGAATGAATGGGGCAGAAGGTAATGTAGGGAATGGTTATGCCGTGTAGTGGCCCTGAGGAAATGGCATGAAGTCTGGTGGTAATTAAGTCATTTCACAAGGAAGGACATATACCTGGATACACACTCAGCTGTTAATAAAGTGTGCAACCCGGGATGGAATGTCCCAGCAGGAGTTGGAAGCTGATAGAGTTGTGTGCCCCAAACCACTGGCAGATCAGAGACCTTGCTTCAGACCAGAGACCACCAGGAACTACAATTATGCCTACAACATCATCCTGAATATATGCTCTGCGACAAAGTCAGCTCTTCTGCCTCCCATCAAACAAGCCCCAACATGAGGCTGAGTTTCAAATTTTACAGTTTAGAACATAATAGGTACCCTTAAAGAAAGAGTTCAAGGTTGCAGAGAGCTATGATTGCACCACTGCACTCCAGCCTGGGTGACAGAGGACCCTGTATCTTAAAAAAAAAAAAATGTATCAAGGCTGGGGAGTCTTTTGTTCAGCTTGTATAAGTAGTATTTGTCAGTTATATTATTATATCTTAATCTCAGTGCTACTTGGAATTGTTTCATCATAGCAAAATTCAGTCTTGGGTGGCTCTGTTAGGTGGAAAAGTGTTGTCTAAATATCCAACTTTTTTTCAGGGTTTCAGAATGAACATTCTCTGTTCCCCACACATCCCTGTAAGATTTACTAGCATCAGCCAATGTCTAACTCTTAATTTGTCATTTGCCACTTTTTTTCTTACCCCAAGTACTCAGCAATTATGGTGGGTGTTGGAGAGATCCTTCCCTGCAAATTGCTGGTCCCTGTTCCCTCAATGGTCCCAATCTTGATGCAGACAGAAGAACAGGGTTATATGTGGGCCCCTGCCCTACATATATCTGGCTCCTATTTATTTATACAGAACATTTATTTCATAAAAGTTGTAGACTATCATCCACAACTGACAGACTTTAAAAAGCCACACACATCTGAATGATTTTATACTACATTTAATCAGCGTTGCTGTTAATGGCAGCATGGTTTTGTTCTTTTCAGACACTTTGCTCCTGGGATCTACAGTTTGCTTCTATTATCCTCTGCAGACAGCACATGCTGGTGCTGTGACTGGATCATCATGTTTGTCATCACGCAACCTGCTGCCATTAGAGCAGCACTATCTTCCTGGCAAGTTCAACATAGTGGGTATCGGGGGTGGCTTCCTCTGACTCCCAGGCTGCAGGAACTTCTTAATTGTAGGGATGTTGCTGATTCTTATTTTAAATGCCTGAAATAAGAAAGAGTAAAATCAGGGCCTCAATAGCAGTCACAACCTTTAAGAAAAATCTCAACTTTGTCATGAATGAAGGGTGCTTAGACCTCAGTTTATGGAGTACAGTGTACTGAATCTGCTTAATCCCTCAACAAGTGTTTGCTGGGTATTTCTGGGATGGATAATAATACAACTGCTGACAAGTTTAGCATGAGTTATATTATCTATTAAAAAGTCACAATCAGGCAGTGCATACCCCTAAAATATTCATATTCTTTTTTTTTTTTTTGAGATGGAGTCTCACTCTGTTGCCCAGGCTAGCATGCAGTGGCACAATCTCAGCTCACTGCAACTTCCACCTCCTGAGTTCAAGCAATTCTCCCACCTCAGCCTTCCAAGTAGCTGGGATTACAGGCATGCATCACCACACCTGGCTAATTTTTGTATTTTTAGTAGAGACAGGGTCTCACCATGTTAGCCAAGCTAGTCTTGAACTCCTGACCTCTAGTGATCCACCTGCCTCAGCCTCCCAAAATGCTAGGATTACAGACACGAGCCACCACATCTGGTCACATTCATATTCTTGACCTATCAATTCTTGTTTTAGGAATTATTATAAAGGAATAAGTAAGGGTGTGAGCAAAGAAATAGCTATAAGAGGCCAAGTGTGGTGGCTCACACCTGTAATCCTGGTACTTTGGGCGGCTGAGGTGGGAGAATTGTTTGAGCTCAGTAGTTCAAGACCAGCCCAACAACAGAGTGAGACCCCCATCTCTACAAAACTTTTTTTTAAGAAAGAAATAGCTATAAGAATGTTAACAGGGGCTAGGCGTGGTGGCTTTCACCTGTAATCCCAGCACTTTGGGAGGCTAAGATAGATGGATCATGAGGTCATGAGTTTGAGACCAGCCTGGCCAATATGGTGAAACCCTGTCTCTACTAAAAATACAAAAATTAGCCGGGCATGGTGGCATGAGCCTCTAATCCCAGCTACTCAGCAAGCTGAGGCAGGAGAATCGCTTGAACCCAGGACGCAGAGGTTGCAGTGAGCCGAGATCGTGCCACTGCACTCTAGCCCAGGCAACAGAGCAAGACTCTGTCCCCCACCAAAAAATAAAAAAAAAGGATGTTAACATGCTAAAAATTGGAAAGAACCTATGTTTCTAGGAAAAGGAGACTGGTTATGTAAATTATGGTACTTCTCTACAAGGAGTATAAACTAGTAATTTAAAATGCTCTTATGTAACAGGAAAGAGGAAGGTCCTTGTATTGACAAGGAAGGATCTCTAAAATGCATTAATAATAATAATAATAAAAAGCCCGGGGCAGAACAGAATATACACTATTTTCTATTTTGTGCAAGAAACTTGAGAGTGGCAAAGAATACAACTATATATTCCGATTTGCTTTTATCAGCATAAATAGGAACACTGGAAGTATACATAGAATGCCAATAAAGTGATTATGGGAGCAGAAAGGTGGCGGGGAAGGGGTGGGAATGAGAATTCTGAATTTATGCTCTTTTAATATAGCTCTCAATTTTTTTTTTTTAGATGAAGTCTCACTCTGTCGCCTAGGCTGGAGTACAATGGCGTGATCTTGGCTCACTACAATCTCCACCTCCCGGGTGCAAGTGATTCTCCTGCCTCAGCCTCCTGAGTAGCTGGGATTACAGGTGAAAACCACCACACCTGGCTAATTTTTTATATTTTTAGTAGAGACAGGTTCTCAGTATGTTGGCCAGGCTGGTCTCAAACTCCTGACCTCTAGTGATCTGCCTGCTTCAGCCTCCAAAAGTGCTGGGATTATAGGCGTGCACCATCACACCCGGCCATAGCTCTGATTTTTTAAAGAAGATGTGATTCTATTGATTAATGAAAATAAAATAGCATACTGTTTCAAAAGAATATTTGTTGACCTGTAAATATACTCATGATAATTGAAAAGAATGTTAAATGCAGGCCACAAAACAATCTTTAGTATGACCCTATTTGGAGGGAAAATGCAAAATAATAGGTCAGAAAATCTCATGCAGATAACATTTGGCTGGTGAGATTATAGGTCTTTTTTCTTTTCTTTTTTGAGACAGAGTCTTGCTCTGTAGCCCAAGCTGGAGTGCAGTGGTGTGATCTTGGCTCAGTGAAACCTCCACCTCCCGGATTCAAGCAATTCTCCTGCCTCAGCCTCCCGAATAGCTGGGATTACAGGCATGCCCCACCACGCCCAGCTAATTTTTGTATTTTTAGTAGAGATAGGGTTTCACTATGTTGGCCAGACTGGTCTTGGACTCCTGACCTGAGGTGATCTGCCTGTCTCACCCTCCTAAAATGCTGGGATTACAGGCATGAGCCACCGCACCCAGCCAGTCTTTTTTCTTTTCGTCTTTTGGTTTACACAAATGTCTAATGTAACTACATGAACTTGCATTTCTTTTGTAATAAGAAAAACTGCTAATTCTTAAACCACAAGACCCGTGGTTACCTATTAGATAAAATGTTTCTCAGGAACTGGAACAGAGGCCAGGTAAGGTCTGGCAGGAGTGGAATTCTGTCTGAGGGCTGGGGCAGTGCAACAGGAGGCTGACAGTGTCCCCTAAGCAGATGCTCTGAACAATGCAGGAACTATGTGGGGCCCCAAAATCAGGGGGACTAAAAGCAGGCAGGGTTGTCTGGTAGGACCTAGAGGGAGAAGCAACGAAGACAGACTTGTCAGCTTTGTTTTGTCAGGAAGAAAATTTTAAAAGCACTAAAAACAGGAAAGTACTAAATGTTCATGCTAGACATCAAAATAATCAATTCTTTTCCCCCTTCATAAAGTTTTATTTCCTAACAGATCCTGTAGATAAGCAAAAGAAAAATAACCAAAATGAAGAAAAGAATGATTGTTTATTTAGTTTTTTTTTCTTGAGAAGAGTCTCGCTCTGTTGCCAGGCTGGAGTGCGGTGGCACAATCTCAGCTCACTGCAACCTCCACCTCCCAGGTTCAAGTGATTCTCCTGCCTCAGCTTCCCGAGTAGCTGGGATTACAGGGGCAGGCTGCCACGCTTAGCTAATTTTTGTATTTTTAGTAGAGACAGGGTTACAGCGTGAGGTGTGAGCCACTGCGCCAGGCCAAGAATGGTTTTTTTTTTTTTTTTGAGACGGAGTCACTATGTCACCAGGCTGGAGTGCAGTGGTGCTATCCCGGCGCACTGCAACCTCCGCCTCCTGGGTTCAAGTGATTCTCCCGCCTCACCCTCCCGAGTAGCTGGGATTACAGGCATGCGCCACCATGCCCAGCTAATTTTTGTATTGTTAGTAGAGACGGGTTTTCACCATGTTGGCCAGGATGGTCTCGATCTCCTGACCTCGTGATCCACCCACCTCAGCCTCCCCAAGTGCTGGGATTACAGGCATGAGCCACCGCGCCCAGCCAGAATGATTTTTAAAACAGTGTTCTTGGGCCAGGCATGGTGGCTTATGCCTGTAATCCCAACACTTTGGTGGGCCAAGGCCAGGGGACTGCTTGAGGCCAGGTGTTTGAGGCCACCCTGGGTAACATAGAGAAACCCCCATCTCTACAAAAAAAAAAAAAAAAATAGCCAGGTGTGGTGGCACACACCTTTGGTCCCAGCTGCTTTGGAGGATGAGGTGGGAGGATCGCTTGAGGCCAAGAGGTCAAGTCTGCAGTGAGCCATGATCATGCCACTGCACTCCAACCTAGGCAACAGAGTGAAACCTTGTCTCAAAAAAACAAACAACAACAACAAAACCCCACCACACACACACACACACACACACACACACACACACACCCCCCAATGTTCTTAAGTTTCTTTTGAGATTGGCCTAAAGGCACATTTTGCTTCAGTCTTTGTTCATTTTTTTCTGGGCTTTGTGTGGATGTTAATACACTACCTTTAGCAGAGTTGCGGGAAGTCAGGGACCCCAAATGGAGGGATCGGCTGAAGCCATGGCAGAAGAACATGGATTGTGAAGATTTCATGGACATTTATTAGTTCCCCAAATTAATACTTTTATAATTTCTTATGCCTGCCTTTACTGCAATCTCTAAACATAAATTGTGAAGATTTCATGGACACTTATCACTTCCCCAGTCAATACCCTTGTGATTTCCTATGCCTGTCTTTACTTTAATCTCTTAATCCTGTCAGCTGAGGAGGATGTATGTCGCCTCAGACCATGTGATAATTGCCTTAACTGCACAAATTGTACAGCATGTGTGTTTGAGCAATATGAAATCTGGGTACCTTGAAAAAAGAACAAGATAACAGCAATTGTTCAGGGAATAAGAGAGAGAACCTTAAACTCTGACCGCCAGTGACCCGGATGGAACAGAGCCATATTTCTCTTCCTTCAAAAGCAAATGGGAGAAATATCACTGAATTCTTTTTCTCAGCAAGGAACATCCCTGGGAAAGAGAATACACGCCTGGAGGTATAGGCCTATAAATGGCCCCCCCAGGTGTGCCTGTCTTTTATGGTCGAGACTGCAGGGGTGAAATAGACCCCAGTCTCCCATAGTGCTCCCAGGCTTATTAGGAAGAGGAAATTCCCACCTAATAAATTTTGGTCAGACAAGTTGATCTCAAAACCCTGTCTTCTGATAAGATGTTATCAATGACAATGGTGCCCAAAACTTCATTAGCAATTTTAATTTCGCCTCGGTCCTGTGGTCCTGTGATCTCTCCCTGCCTCCACTTGCCTTGTGATATTCTATTACCTTGTAAAGTACTTGATGTCTGTGACCCACACCTATTCGCACACTCCCTCCCCTTTTGAAAATCCCTAATAAAAACTTGCTGGTTTTTGCGGTTTGTGGGGCATCATGGAACCTACCGACATGTGATGTCTCCCCCGGATGCCCAGCTTTAAAATTTCTCTCTTTTGTACTCTGTCCCTTTATTTCTCAAGCTGGCCAATGCTTAAGGAAAATAGAAAAGAACCTAAGTGACTATCGGGGCAGGTTCCCTGATTAAAAAAATAGCCAGGTGTGGTGGCACTCACCTGTGGTCCCAGCTACTCTGGAGGATGAGGTGGGAGGATCGCTTGAGGCCAAGAGGTCAAGTCTGCAGTGAGCCATGATCATGCCACTGCACTCGAACCTAGGCAACAGAGTGAAACCTTGTCTCAAAAAAACCAAACAACAACAACAAAACCCCACCACACACACACACACACACACACACACATACACACACACACACACACACACACATACACACACACACACCCCAATGTTCTTAAGTTTCTTTTGAGATTGGCCTAAAGGCACATTTTGCTTCAGTCTTTGTTCATTTTTTTCTGGGCTTTGTGTGGATGTTAATACACTACCTTTAGCAGAGGGAAGTCAGAAAGAACAGAAGCTTTGAGTTCTTCCACCATTAAAATAGCTTCTAACAGCTGTATGTCTGCCCAGCTGAATTTGTTGCCAACAAGAAAATCCTCTCCATGGTCTTTCAAAATCTACAGAAAGAAAAATAATAAAGAATATCAAATGAGAGTAAAAACCATTTTGCATGGCTAAATACTTAACAAGAGCATGAAGCCTTTGTACTGATTAGATTTAATAAAGAATCTTAACAACAACAACAACAACAAATCTCCAGTGCTGGTAAGAATAGGATGAAACCAACACTCTAACACATGCTGTAAACTGGCACAATTTTTTTGGGGAAGTTTTTGCCAGTGATTATCGAGTCCTTTTGGGTGGTGAAATGCTAGTACTGGGCTCCTATTATAAACCTGGAGGTGGCTAAGCAAAATTGTATCCACCAGTGTAGAGAGACACAAAAGTTACAACTAGCTTAAACCTGCTGGCTATACCACCAGTAGAAACAAGTGACCAATGTGATCCCACAAGTCCAAACCAGAGCCACATAGAAAGCTAATTTTTCACTATCCAGTGAAGAGTGAATATTTAGAAATCTCTCAGGTGCATCTTTATGCACCAGATGCATATGGGTATACTTGATAAATAATGAGCAAAGGTAAATTCAAGTGCTATGTATCTTCTCGTAATATATGCAAGAATAAAAATAAATGTTAGTGTGGATGGGGAAAAATCGCCAGAATCAGTGAATTCTATAGTATAAACACTTGATGGGCTATATCAAATAAATGAAATAGGACTCCTGCTAAAGACAAACTCACAGCTAAAAATTACACAGCATATAAGGAAACCCAAAGTCATCTATGAGACAGAGGTAACAGACTGATGAAAAAGGAGAATTTTGAACCACAGAGCCAAAAATAAGAGTTGATTCTGTAAAGGGTTAAAAATGTTTTCAAATGTTCAAAGAGATGATAAAAAGGTGTTGTGGGTGAGTAACGACCATCTGGGCTGGTGGCACGGGGGTAAAAGAATTTACCAAGATAGTTGTAAAGAAAGGCAGATTTGTTCAAGAAAGTAGGAAACTTTGTTGTGAGGAGGCAATGGGCAGGATCTGCAGAAGAGAAGCTGACTGCAAAGAAACAAAGGCTTGCTGGAGATTTTATAGATAGTGTCTATGCTGTCTGCAAAAGGGGACTTTGTGCAGTACTGATAACGCCGTGATTGAAGTGAGCTGACTTGCAGGTGTCTGGTGATAGTTGGGAACGGGAAGATTGTGAGTTATTTGCACAGGAGTATTATGTGTCTTGGACCATGAAGAAAGACAGACTTGTAGCTTACTGCTTTCTCTTTTTGCTTTTCCCTGCTCCCACTTTTCCCTAAGTAGTACTCCACAAAAGGCATATAGAAAGAAAGAGCATATGGATTTGAAGAAGATACAAATAAAGTTTTGAAATGAAAAATATAAACATTAATATAATAAAAACTCCATGGAGAAAGTGAAAAAAATCAGTAATTTGACAAACACATCTAAGGAGGCAGAGATCAAAAATATGAAAGAAGGTAAGAGACAAGTAACACAGAATGAAGCTTCAACATAAAGCTAACAGGAGCCCAGAGGGACAAAATAGAATAGGAAAGTGGTGATTTTCAATGCTATTTGTTAGAGAATTTTCCAGAACAAAAAAAGAAGGGAGAATCCTCAGATTGAAAAAGGAACACTAAGCAGATAAGCACAAACCTAGAAGTAAACACACAGTGTTGAATGTGTATCAGACAGCCTGGGCAACATGGCAAAACCCCATCTTTACAACACACACACACAAAATAGGTTGGTGTGGTGACTCACACCTGTAATCCCAGAACACTGGGAGGCCCAGGTGGGTGAATCTTTTGAGCCTAGGAGTGTGAGACAAGCCTGGGCAACATGGAGAAACCCCATCTACACACACACACACACACACACACACACACACACAAAATCGCTTGGTGTGGTGACTCACACCTGTAATCCCAGAACACTGGGAGGCCCAGGTGGGCGAATCTTTTGAGCCCAGGAGTTTGAGACCAGCCTGGGCAACATGGAGAGACCCCATCTATGCACACACACACACACACACACACACACACACACACTCTCTCAGCCTGGCTCAGCGGCATGCGCCTTAGTCCCAGTTACTCAGGAGGCTGAGGTGGATTGTTAGGTCCAAGAGGTCGAGGCTAAAGTGAGCTATGATCACTCCAGCCTGGGCAACAGAGTGAGACCGTGTGTGTGTGTGTGTGTGTGTGTGTGTGTGTGTGTATGTGTGTGTGTGTGTCTGTGTGAGAGAGAGAGAGAGAGAAAGGGAGGGAGAGAGGGACGAAGGTGAAGGGGTGGCCTGCCCCTCCACACCTGTGGGTATTTCTAGTCAGGTGGGATGAGATACTGAGAAAAGAAATAAGACACAGAGACAAAGTATAGAGAAACAACAGTGGGCCCAGGGGACCAGCGCTTAGCATACCAAGGACCTGCACCGGGACCGGTCTCTGAGTTCCCTCAGTTTTTATTGATTATTATTGTCATTATTTCAGCAAAAAGGAATGTAGTAGGAGGGCAGGGTGATAATAAGGAGAAGGTCAGCAACAAACATGTGAGCAATAGAATCTACGTCATAATTAAGTTCAAGGGAAGGTACTATGACTGGACGCGCTCGTAAGCCAGATTTATGTTTCTTTCCACCCAAACATCTCAGTGGGGTAAAGAATAACAAGGCAGCATTGCTGCAAACATGTCTTACTTCCCACCATAGGGCAGTTTTTCTCTCATCTCAGAATTGAACAAATGTACAATCGGGTTTTATACGGAGACATTCAGTTCCCAGGAGCAGGCAGGAGACAGTGGCCTTCCTCTATCTCAACTGCAAGAGGCTTTCCTCTTCTACTAATCCACCTCAGCACAGACCCTTTACGGGTTTCGGGCAGGGGGACGGTCAAGTCTTTCTCATCCCACGAGGCCACATTTCAGACTATCACATGGGGAGAAACCTTGGACAATACCCCGCTTTTAATGGCAGAGGTCCCTGTGGCTTTCCACAATGCATTGAGCCCCTGGTTTATTGAGACTAGAGAATGGCGATGACTTTTACCAACTATACTGCTTGTAAACATTTTGTTAACAAGGCACGTCCTGCACAGCCCTGGATCCCTTAAAACTTGACTTCATACAACACATGTTTTTGTGAGCTCCAGGTTGGGTCAAAGTGGCTGGGGCAAAGCTACAAATTAACAACATCTCAGCAAAGCAATTGTTCAAAGTATGGGTATTTTTCAAAATGGAGTCTTTTATGTCTTCCCTTTCTACACAGACACAGTAACAGTCTGATCTCTCTTTCTTTTCCCTACAGGAAGAGAGGGAAGGAAGGAAGGAAAAGAAAGAAAAGGAAAGAAAGGAAAGAAAGAAAGAAGAAAGTATACTATATACCAGACAAGGAGAAAATCTAAAATGAGAAAAAAGATAAATATAATGCCATCAGAAGAAAAATAACCACACTAATGGAAGACTTCTAAAAAGCAAAAATCTAGGCCAGAAGAAATAATAATATCTTCGGAGTGTTGAAGTAAAATAATTATTAATCTAGAATTCTATAACCATCTAAATAATTATTTTAGTGTAAAGGTAAAAATAAAGATATTTTCTAGCAAAGACTGAAAGAGTTAACCACTTACAGACCTTTCCTGAAAGAACTCCAAAAAAAATGTTCTTCCCTTAGAAGGAAAAAGCACCCAGAAGAAAGGCATGAGAAGCAAGGAGCAATGGTGAGCCAAGGAATCAGTTAAATGTGTTGATAAATATACATAAGTAGTGGCTTAAAAAAAAATTAGAAGAAGTTTAAAAACACGTTGGATCTAAACTATTATTTAACAAAAACAGAAACAGAAAGAAAAGTTTGGAAAAAAGTTGAATCTTTGTCCTATCAAGAGAAGGATAAATATTAATAGTTTCAGAAAGAAATGTTTACCTTCTGAACCATAGAAGAAAAGTTGGGAATAAAGAAAACCAGATCATCTACCAGGATCTAGAAAAACAGAGGAAAACTCAAAGAAAAGTTTTGTTTTTGTAAATAGAATAAATAAAATAAAGCGAAAGGGGTAAATACAAATGTATTAGCAATGACAAGATATTTGCCTATAAGGCTCAAAAACATAAAGTTGGTTGATAAAAACAAGTAGTAGAATAAACTTATAGTATGATGCTATGTACATAAAAATATTTTAAGATCCACACTGTAAACACTTTTAAAACAGCTCAAAGCCAGGTCTCAATTTTTAAAAATGAAGAGAAAGAACTTACATCAAATTTCTGATAGTGGTTGCCTCTGAGAAGGGAGAGAGGAAGGGTATAATGTTTGAGTACAGTTCAAAGGAGGATTTAGCTATCTATACACATTTGTTTTAAGGAGAAAGTAAAGTTCCTAAGCAAGAAAATAAAAGTACTGACATTTGTTACTGCCAAGTAGTAGGTACATAGCAGTTCTGCTTCTGAAAATATTTTAAATACAGTTGACCTTTGAACAACACAGGTTTGAACTATACAGGTCCACTTATACATGAATTTTCTTCCACTTCTGCCACCCCTGAGACAGCAAGACCAACCCCTCCTCTTTCTCCTCCTCAGCCTACTCAATGTGAAGATGATGAGGATGAAGACCTTTATGATGATCCATTTCCACTTAATGAATAGTAAATATATTTTCTCTTCTTTATGATTTTCTTAATAAAGTTTTTTCTTTAGCTTACTTTGAATACAGTACTTAATACATATAGCTACAAAATATGTTAATCCACTGTTTATGTTATCAGTAAGGCTTCCATTCAACAGTAGGCTATTCATAGTTTTTGAGAAGTCAAAATTATATGCCCCAACTCCCATGTTGATCAGGGGTTAATTGTAATGGAATACCAGGCAAAATTATCTTCTATATAATCATAATTATCTAAAAGTCCAAAAAACAAATAAAAATGTATTTATAGGGGAAAGACTAGGAGGAACCATATAAAAATAATACTGAGATTTATCTTTGGGTGGTGAGGATAGTAGTGGTTTCTTTCTACATTCTACAGTTCTGTCCTAATTTTTTATATAATGAACATCTACTTATAAAATAATTTTTAAAACTCACCTCATTTTCAGAAATAAAATTTGACATCTAAATACAAAAACTTGGACTTAATATATTTCAAAATACAGCATCTACATTATTGAATTGAAGTATTATGTTGAAGTACAGTATTCTTTGATTTGGAAAAAGCAGTTTAGTTATCTAGTAATAGGTGAATCAGAGAAGCAGGGTTTGTTTTCTGCTCAGTATCATTCTCTTTCACACAGAGAAAAGGTCTATCCCAAAGCCCCAGAGAGAATGCTTTGTTTGAAACAGCAGCCTCCAGGATATATTCTCTTGATCAGAAGGAATATCATGAAAAGATGGTTTGGCAACTAAAAAAATAACACAAGCCCAAGTCTCAATGGCAAGGGAGGGTGATATCACATTTTGAATAGTTCCCAGTTCTTTGACTCAACATAAGGAAATTAGTAAGTTTGTATTTAAATCCAAAACACAATCAAAATTATTTAGTACATTGTGTCTTACAGAATAGAAGTAACATAGCCCTGGCCAAAGACTACACCCAAGTATTTAGCATCTACTTATTTCAGAAATAACAACTATGATATAAATGAATCATATAGTTCCACCTTCTTAAAAGATTCTCTGGGAACAAACTATAATAGACACTAAGGTACATTTTCAAAAACTATTATATCCAACTCCAAGTTAAATAAAATAGTCTTATAAATGAGTGTTCTTTTAAATAATCCAACATCCGATTAAGGAGGGTTATTTGGGCCAGAATGCACTACCCAGGTGCCACACTTCACTGCTGTGTGTCAATAACAGAGAATTGTTTTTTTTTTTTTTTTTTTTGAGACGGAGTCTCGCTCTGTCATGCAGGCTGGAGTGCAATGGTGCGATCTCAGCTCACTGCAACCCCCACCTCCCGGGTTCAAGTGATTCTCCTGCCTCAGCCTTCTGAGTAACTGGGATTACAGGAGCCTGTCAACACACCCATCTAATTTTTTGTATTTTTGGTAGAGACGGGGTTTCACCATGTTGGCCAGGCTGGTCTCAAACTCCTGACCTCAGGTGACCCACCTGCCTTGGCCTCCCAAAGTGCTGGGATTACAGGTGTGAGCCACGGCACCTGGCCAATAAGAGAATATTTGAAGAGCAAGCTCTTGAGGTTGTCAAAAGAGGCTTGGAGTGATGGAGCCCCCAAAGCAGTCTCTTCCAGCTGCCAGCTGCTTTGCCTGTCTGTGCCAACACCATACAAATATCATAATTCTCTAGGACTACTATGGCATGAAAAAGTTAAACATAAAAGGAACCAGAGCTCCTTAAAAAAATGGCTGATTTCCTGGTGCAGTGGCTCACGCCTGTAATGCCAGCACTTTGGGAGGCTGAGGCGAGCGGATCATCTGAGGTCAGGAGTTTGAGACCAGGAGTTCGAGACCAAGGCCAACATGGTGAAACCGTGTCTCTGCTAAAAATACAAAAATTAGCTAGGCATGGTGGCACACGCCTGTAGTCCCAGCTACTCGGGAGGCTGAGGCAGGAGAATCGCTTGAACTGGGGAGGCAGAGGTTGCAGTGAGCCGAGATCACGCCACTGCACTCCAGCCTGGGTGACAGAGTGAGACTCTGTCTTAAAAAAAAAAAAAAAAAAGGAGAGAGAGAGACTTTATCTTTTGATTGAGGCATGATTAGCCTCTAGTATTAGACCTAAAAAAATACCTGACAGTATTCAAGGTGGTCACATCTTGGTCTGATGTCTTAATTTAAAAGACAGAACAGAAATGCTGTATACTTTCATTGTACTTGGTATATTCCAACTCTATTTTGTTGGAGTTTCCATAATTTTACCTGTAATTTGTTCTGGAATCCTTTTTAAAGTTTTGATCCAAAAGCAGTAAAGCTCTAACATGGCCTCTGTGTGTCTTTTCAGATATTCACTCTTGAAATATTCTCAGAAACAGAAAAGGTAAAAGCCCTGGATCCCTGAAGCCTACCTTTTCAAAGGCAGGCAAGTACTGAGTTTTAGCTTTCTACATGATGGAAGCAAGGGTCTCCTGTTTTTCCTCAGGGGATTTGAAGGGGGCCACAATTATCATCATCGTCAGGTCCAGGGTGCCATCAACTTACATGTTGATCCTGACAAAACAACCATTTGACCCTCAGGTGGAGAGCTTTTGAGTACAGGGTTCTTAATCCAACACTTCTCTAGTACAAATAGATGCAGGAAAAAATAATTTTTATTTTTCCTCTTAAGCTTCCACTCTCATGAATGATTTCTAGCTCCAGAACCAGCCAAGTGCCCAGGATATAGTAGAGTCTCTGGAAATACTTATTGAATAAAAGGATGTATGAAAGAATTCATGAATGCCCTTAAGTTGAAATCTGCCGTAAACAAATAATTGATTATTATGGCTTTAAAAACTAAACTCAATGAAGTTTATTAAAACTACAAAACAATTAGTACCAGAACATTTTCACTTACTTAGAGAAGACAGATAATTTAACAGGTCTTCTGTTGACCTGGCAACTGAGAAAGAAAAGTTTAATTTCCTAGTCAGGTCAAACTGTTGTATTTCCTTCCCTTTAAAGTTTTCCTTTCATTGCCAAGCACTAAATAAATCAATAAACAAACAAACCATAGTATCTATATTTCCATTATTTACTGGCCTATTAGTACATTCATGCTGTGCTGGTTATGTCTTCAAGAGTGTCTTTGTATTCCCCATTATATGCTAATTGCTTAATGAATTTGTTTTAATGGTCTTCTGTAGTCTTTTTCTTTTTAACAGCATAAAAGAATAATGGAGCCAGGCTTAATGGTACATCTATGGCCCAGCTATGCGGGAGGCTGAGATGGGAGGATTGCTTGAGCCCAGCAGTTTGAGTCTGGCCTGGGCAACATACTGAGATGCCATCTCTTAAAAATTAAAAAAAAAAAAAAAAGGCCTGGCATGGTAGCTCACACTGTAATCTCAGTGCTTTGGGAGGCCAAGGTGGGTGGATCACTTGAGGACAGGAGTTTGAGACCAGCCTGGCCAAAATGGTGAAACCTGTCTCTACTGAAAATACAAAAGTCAGCAGGGCGTGGTGGCACATGCATGTGGTCTCAGCTGCTTGGGAGGCTGAGGCAGGAGAATCACTTGAACTCAGGAGGCAGAGGTTGCAGTGAGCCAAGATCATGCTGGTACACTGCAGCCTGGGCAACAGAGCATGACTCTGTCTCAAAAAAAAAAAAAAAAAAAGAAAGAAAGAAAGAAAAAGAAAAAGAAAAAATTGAGTAATATACTTTCATTGTCCTATTTGAATTACAAATAATTTTTCTTTCATGTTAGTGTCACCTAGCCCACTTGCTTTAGTTTACTACAATTTATGGCTAACCCAAAGAAAAAGAATATTAACAACACCATCTATACCTTAGCATGTCTTAGAAAAAAACCAAGGAGATTTTTAAAGACCAATTAAAAACTTTGCATCAAAACAATAAGAAACAGACTGTGTTTGCATATTTGTACTTATTTACAAAAGTACCATGTTCACATACTGTTTGACATTGCTTCTCTTGCCATATACCTTCAGAATTACAGGTTGGAATGACTAAGCCTGTTTTAAAGATGAAGATATGGGAAAGTTGGCATGGGCTGCTACTTTTTATGGACGTTGCTCATTCCTATGTTATGTTCTTTCTCCTTTTTCTGAACAATTGAGCCCTGGGCTTTCTCCCTCAGCGTCTTCTGTGCATACTGACCACCCACACTGTGTCCGTGCTCATAGTGATGACTGTTTAGGGACCTCTGAAAAGGCCCCAGGACCCCAAATCCCGGTAAGAGTTTATAGTTGCAAGTATTTGTTTTGTCTTAAGTCTAGTTATTTCTTATGAAACTAAACTATCCCCGTGAATAATTACCCAATCATTTTCTGACAGGCCTAGGACAGTGCCCAGTGTAGCATAGATGTTTGTGGTATACAGAGGTCAAAAAAAGGCCAAAAACTTCACCTTCTTGTATTTGTGATGAAACTTGGCAGCTCCTCCCATCAATAGATGGGGTCTATTTCCCAGTCTATTTGTGGCTTCCTTTAATGAGTGTAATGAGGTAGAAATGATGAGGTGCCAATTCTGAACCCAGAACTTAGGAGGCCAGTGTGCTTTCACTCTCACTCTCAGAACTCTGCCTTGCTGCCATGAGAACAAGCTCAGGATGAGAGGATGAGAGATAAATGGTCTATTCATATCCCAATTGATAGCCAACACCCACGACCAGAGCTATCTAGCTAACTATAGACATGAGTGAGTGCAGCCTAGCTAAGTCAAGCTTGATCCAGATGGGCCACTCAGATACTTGCTCACCCATAGACAGGTGAGCAATAACAAATGCTTGCTGATTTAAGTCACTGTGTTTCAAGGTGATATGTTTTAGAGCATTATTTATAGTCAACAGATCATTGATACAATGCTCAGTATGTGTGTGATGAATCAGTCATTTCTACCTTCATGTAGAATAGCTTACCAGTTTATTTTCTAAGAACATATTTTGTTAGGAGTGGGGAGAGAATAGGAGAATGTTGAATGCAGCATTCAGTGCACTATGAGTAGTACACAGAAAAGGGGGATGTGGAGTACTTATTAAGAGTAAGTACAAGGTGGCCGGGCATGGTGGCTCATGCCTATAAACCTAGCACTTTGGGAGACCAAAGCAGGTGGATCACTTGAGGCCAGGAGTTTGAAACCAGCCTGGCCAACGTGGCATAACCCTGTCTCTACTAAAAATACAAGATTTAGCTGGGCATGGTGGCACATGCCTGTGGTCCCAGCTACTCAGGAGGCTGAGGCATGAGAATTGCTTGAACCCAGGAGGTGGTAGTTGCAGTGAGCTGAGATCACACCACTGCAATCCAGCCTGGCAACAGAGCGAGACCTGTCTCAAAAGAAAAAAAAAAGAATAAGTACAAGGCATGCCAGGTCTAGCAAGTCATTTCCCCTTTGTCCCATTTGTCTTTTTTGTCTCAATCCAGATTGAAAGGTACACCTGAACCAGGTCTCAGTTGGTGGAGAAGTGAAGAAGCTTGTCTAAGAATCAAGTAGAGTAATGAACACTATGGTACCTGACTTTTTCCCTCAGGTCCTTCCCATAGAAGTTGTACTTCTCAGCAAGATAGTTGAGGATGGCTCTAGTCTGCGTCAGCACCATTCCATCCATTTCAACCAAAGACACTTGGCCGAAAAGCAAGCATCCATCTGTGGTTTGAGCAAAGAGAGGTTAAGATACCCTTGTTCAGTGGTTGCAGTAAATCTAAGGATGGTTCACTTCTAATTTCTATCTGTGATTTTTAGGTTCTATCCAAAGTGATGAATTAAAGACCCTAGTTGTTTAGGAAATGGCTATCATTTGCTTCATGTTAAATCTGAGATTCGTTTGGTAGTCTCATGCACTTTTGTGTGTTGGTTAACATGATTATTTAAGATTTTCTACATTTACTGTAACTATGTTATAGTATAAGCGCTTCTGATTCTCAAAGTTTAGGGTGTTGACTGGGTGTAGTGGCTCACGCCTGTAATCGCAGCACTTTGGGAGGCTGAGGTGGGCGGATCACTTGAGGTCAGGAGTTTGAGACGAGCCTGGCTAACATGGCGGGGATTAGGCGGGTGCAGGGGTGTGGGGATTCTTAAAGGATTCTTCAGTGAGATGGGAAGAATTAAACCAATTAGCTCTGACACATATGAGTTTCATTCTATCCTCTTAACCAAAGTCACCATCATGACCTACTTGATAAGAGTTTCTGAAGGCTAACTGGTGTGGCCTTTGCTGATGCAAATTAAGCTGTGTGTCAGGAACATGATGAACAGCCGATCAATGTTAGCAGTCATGCTATGTGTTTGCCTTTTCTAGCAGTAGCCATTCTAGAGCTCTGTCTCTTTTATCAAAACAAATACTTCCCAAAGCAGGTTTTCCATTTTTCTCTAATAAGATAATATTGAACAAATCTAGGCTTACCCTTCTGCAACTTTTCATATTATTCTCGTTTCAAGAAATTCTTCTTCAAACTAAATAAAAGATAAAGAGACATTATTCCAACTTTAAAGTCCTCAAGAAAACAAAGAGATTTTGTTTTTTGTTGATTTTTTTATTTTTGCTCCCATTCCTCTTTTTCCTTTTCTTCACCTAAGTTCTTCCTTCTTTCCAAACTTATGTCCTTTCTCCAACTTCCCCAATGATTTTTCCTCTTCTCTTTCTTCTTCCTCCTCTGTTATTTTCCCTTCATATAAAGACAAGTTAAATTTCTCTTTAATGCTCATATGTTCAATGAAAGGAATCCAGAGATCTTTAATCAGGTGAGATTATCATGATTTGTTGATGATGTTTCTAAAGCTTTTGTGAGAAAGATTGATTTTTTTGGTCCCCCCAAACCTTGAGATGTGGGTAAGCAGTTTAAGTGGAGATGTCCCTAAAAGGGAATAGAGAAAAACAAACAAAGTAATGAGTCCTTGCTCTAGAGAAGTTGGCATTCAGATAGGGAAAAGGAAGCCTACATCTGTATAAAATAATTCCAAGGCACTTGTGAAAATCTATGGAAAAGTCAGTGTGGAGGGAATTCAGAGTTAAGGAAAGATCCCATGAGGTAGATCTTTCAGGGAGGAGTTAAGGGGGAGGCCAGACTGCAGCTAGGCCTAACATTCCAGCAGCCATGAGTACTACATGACTGGGGTGCTGAGGCAGAGCTGAAAGACCCCAGAAAAACAGCTGGTCCCAATGAAGAGAACGAGACAGATGTGGGTCTCCTCTCTCTTCTTTGTCTTGTGATCCACAAAAATCTTTTTAGCCCCTATGAAGCTTCTAGAACATGACCTCACCCGACAGCTCCCCCAATCCTCCCTAATCCTCCATCATCCTGTGATCCCTCCCTCACCTCTTACAAAGGAAGACAATTGGAAAGGAAAAGAATAGATACAGCCTGTAGGCACCATTCCAAAGCTTGAAGCAGAAAGGAGGCCACTTCATTCCCACCCAAATTACCATCCTTCCCAATCCCAGTCAGGAACCAGCCTCCCCTCCAGCTGCAGCCAGCAGCCAGGGGGATGGACTCCATCTTGCCCCTGCCATGAAAGTAGTAGAGCTTGGGTCTGGCTGCCATGATTCCTGGCTCAAAGTTTTCTAAAGGATATTTAAAAAAATTAAACAATATACTGACCAGCTGTATGGTATTTCTTCCCCATTTATAGCAATTCCAAAACGGGTAAAACAAAACTAGTGTTGAGGGATGCATACATAGGAGGTGAAACTATGAAGAAAAGCAAGAAAATAATCACCAAGGAAGCAGGATAATCGTTACTTCTAGTGAGGAGAATGGGGTTGTTATTGGGGAGGAGCATTTAAGGTTTCCGGGATGCCAACAATGTTCTATTTCTTAAGCAGAATTAGTGGTCTTTATTAGTCTTAAAATTGCACATAAATGCATTTGCACCCTACCCTATAAATGCTCTAGCTCATAATTTAAGAAAAAAGAAAGAACAAATTATGTATATTATTTCAAAAAAAACCTCACACCATATTTTTCCTCTGCTGGAAACACAAAAACAATCAACACAGAAGAGTTCTGTGACCCCAAAATATGTGGGGATTTCTCCCCACCGGCAAGCAAGCAATTAATTCTGCAGCAGACACCAGCTGAGTGTCCTCCTATTTAATTCTGACACTATCCACCCGGAGACAGCATCAGATCCCAGAGAGTGAGGGCTCTGTCCCCAAACTGCCTCCCTTTCAGACACCAGTCATAAGTCCAGGCCTCCAGAACTTCTGACCAATCAGCTTCAAGTTGGGATTCCCACAACCCCCTCTTTGGGTTTAATTAATTTGCTGGAGCAGCTCACAGAACTCAAAAAAACACTGAAGTTTACCAGTTTACTATAAAGGGTATTACCAAGGATATAGATGAAGAGAGGCATAGGGTGAGTTGTGGGGAAGAGGCATGCAGTTTCCATATACTCCCTAGGCCTGTCACCCTCCAGGAACCTTTACTTGTTCAGCTCTCCTCAAACTCCAGGAATCCAGTCCTGGGTTTTTATTGGGCTTCATTATGTAACCATGATTCATTAAGCCATTGGCCCTCTTCGCTACATAGAGGTTGGGGTTTGGGGCTGAAAGTCCCAACCCTTTAACCATGTCTTTGTCCTTCCAATTGAACAGCCCCATCCTGCAGCTATCAGTCAACATTAGCATACAAAAGACAGCACTGTAGAGATTCCACGAATTTAGGAGTTGTATGCCAGAAAAGCAGAGGAAGACCAAATATGTATTTCACAATAGCACAGGCTACCCTCCCCCACCTTTGAACACCAAGGTGTTTGAACATTAAAAGGACATACAACTTAAAAAGTACTGCCACATTACTAGAATCCATTTAATCAGTAATAATTAGTCCAGTCCATCATATTGTATTAATGTGTCCAGAATTGGTGGGTTCTTGGTCTCACTGAGGCAGTGCACCGTTGTCCTCTGGGGCAGTGCACCTTCCAGTGATTGCTTCGGCATAGTGGACATGGACGAGAGGGCAGCTTGTTTCTTATTGGACAATCTTTTTTAAAGTGTCCTAGTAAACCACACTGTAACGAGCCCTACCGGGTGATTGGCCTGCTCTGTTTTCTGTCCTCTCTGAACCACCAAGGTTTGTTTGCCTGAGGGCCGTGACTAAGGCTGTGGCCTTTCTCTGATCTCGCTTTTCCTTTTTGGGCCTGTTCCTCTTGGTCCCTATTATAGAACACTGAGGTTGCCAGGTTTAATAATGCCTCCAAATTTTCTTCAGGGCCCAGGGCTTGCTTTTGGAGCTTTCTCCTGATATCTGCGGCTGTGGCTGATTGGGTAATAAACTTATCTTTTAGAATCAATTGACCCTCGAGTGATTCGGCTGACAGGGGAGTATATTTTCTTAAGGCCTCCCATAGCTGCTCGAGGAAGGCAGAAGGATTTTCTTCCTTTCCCTGAGTTATGGTGGACATCATTGAATAATTCATGGGCTTTTTTCTAATTCTCCTTAGTCCTTCTAGAACACAGGTCAACAAATGTTTACAACTCCAGTCCCCATGATCTGAGTAAAGGTCCCAGTGGGGATCCATACTGGGGATGGCTTGCTGACCGGTAGGGAATTTGTCCCTTTCTTCAGCTGTCATTCTGTCATTTACTTGACTAAGATACCAGGTATCTCCAAACTCTCGGGCTACAGCTAAAGCTGCATTATTTTCATTAAAGGCCAGGGTTGGATCTAACAGTAGCATGACATCTCTCCAAGTGAGGTCGAAGGTTTGCCCTAGACCTTGTAGGACATCTCTGTACCTATCAGGATCATCTGAAAACTTCCCCAGGTCTGCCTTGATCTGTTTTAAGTCAGAGAGGGAGAAGGGGACATGTACCCGGGTTGGGCCAAATTCCCCTCCCCCTACAGCTTGAAGGGGACATAACCAGTAGCCTGGGGGCATTTGTGGTCCTTTGGAGATTTCTTTACTTATTTCCTTCTGGGCAGGGGAGATTAGAGGAGGATTATCATTAATGGGAAGGGGAGCTATAGGGAGGCTATGATATGGGGGTAAGTTGAGCGGTCCTCCTGTGGGATGTAAATTGTAAGCTTTGCATTGTTGTGTATTCTCTGTCAATGAAAAGAAAGCTTGGACATAAGGTATTTCACTCCATTTGCCTTCCCTCTTACAGAAAAGGTCAAACTGCAGGATAGTATTGTAATTTGTACTTCCCTTCAGGTGGCCATTTTTCCCCATCAGAGAGAGAATATTGGGGCCAGGCTGTAGTGTAGAAAAAAATGAGCCACCTCTTTTTCGGGGTTTGTGGGTCAAATTGGTCCCAATGGCTTAGGATGCATTTCAAGGGTGAACCTGTTGATGCCTGAGTGTTTCCCATCTGAAAGACAAAACTGCCTGCGGTTTTGGTTTGTTTTGTTTCTCCCCCTGCCCAAGAACCCGTGACAGTCCCTGAACCCTGCTGATCGGAATAGTTGTGCTCACTGATGCAGCAACAGAAACAACCCCTACCCAAGAACCCGCAATGGTCCCTGGACCCTGCTGATCAGAACAGTTGCGCTCACTGACGCAGCAGCAGAAACATTAATTTTCCTCCCAGACCACATGGAGGACCAAGGAAGGTCGGATTTAGTGGCCCTTACTGATGCATTCTCGAAAACCTGCACCCTTGCCTGTCCTCCTAGACCACAAGGAGGGCTGAGAAAAATCGGATTTAGTGACACTTACCAACGCATTCTTGAAAACCTGTTAGAGTCCTAAGCATTCACCTGTTAGTATTGGGACCTTACCCATGTCCTATAAAGATGTTATGCCCCAAAAATGAAGTGGAGGGCCATACCCTGAGGGAGGGAAGGGATCTCCAGGGTTGGAATAGTGACACCTTTTGTCCTCACTTATATGAATAGGAAGGATACAATTTCTGGGGCTCCCCATATCCTAGCTTCAGGAATAGCTTTTGTTAGGCCTGTTAGTCTGAGGAGGGATCCTAAAATTCCAGGTAGTCCCCCCTACAACAGGGCTTTGGGCAATAATTATGTCTTTCTGATTGGTGAGCCAGGGTGCCTAAAGAAGTTAACAGAGTCTTGGAGTTTATACTAGAAGTCATTCTTATAGGAGAAACTAGAAAAGCCCCAGAGACAGGGAGCGATTTTTAGAAGTGGGACTAATCTCGGAGAAGAGAGGAAGTTTGTCTGGCAGGCATTAGGACCCAGGGGGCAAGGGTCAGGATAGACAGGATAGATGGGCGAGTCTCGCTTAGGTGACACGCCTTTGAGAGTTCCGCTCATGACCGCAGGGTCAGCCAACTTGTTGTCAGGACCCCGGAGCTGAATGGCTTTCCTCTCTCTTGACTCTCAGCTCAGCCCAGAAGTACAGGAAAAGCAGAAGCCGGTTCCAGGCAAACCAACGCTCCCAACTCTGAAGAGTCAGGGGTTGTTAGAGAGCCCTTTCCCAGAAAGCCTGACACCTGTGTCTTTAGGCCGGCGGCCGCGCTAGTCACCTTTAACTGGCCAACAGGTGCCCGGTATTTAGCCCCCAAATTCTAAGGAAAAATAGGACAGAATAGCAAGCAAAAGGGGTCCAATGGTACTCACTGCTTGCCAATAGGTGACAGTCTTACCGCTTAACAATAGGCAATGGTCTCACCACTTGGTGATAGTCTTACTGCTTGGTGATAGGCAATAATCCCTTCTGGGTCACCAAAATGTGTCCGGAATTGGTGGGTTCTTGGTCTCACTGACTTCAAGAATGAAGCCACAGACACCTGCAGTGAGCGTTACAGTTCTTAAAGATGGCGTGTCTGGAGTTTGTTCCTTCTGATATTTGGACGTGTTTGGAGTTTGTTCCTTCTGGTGGGCTCATGGTCTCGCTGGCTTCAGGAGTGAAGCTGCAGACCTTCGTGGTGAGTGTTACAGCTCTTAAGGCAGCACGTCTGGAGTTGTTCGTTCCTCCTGTCTGGAGTTGTTCATTTCTCCTGGTGGGGTCGTGGTCTCGCTGGCCTCAGGAGTGAAGCTGCAGGCCTTCACAGTGAGTGTTACAGCTCATAAAGGTAGTGTGGAGCCAAAGAGTGAGCAGCAGCAAGATTTATTGCAAAGAGTGAAAGAACAAAGCTTCCACAGTGTGGAAGGGGACCTGAGCAGGTGGCCACTGCTGGCTGGGGCAGCCTGCTTTTATTCCCTTATCTGGCCCCACCCACATTCTGCTGATTGGTCCATTTTACAGGGAGCTGATTGGCCAATTTTGACAGGGTGCTGATTGGTGTGTTTACAAACCTTTAGCTAGACACAAAAGTTCTCCAAGTCCCCACTAGATGAGCTAGACACAGAGCACTGACTGGTGCATTTACAAACCTTGAGCTAGACACAGGGTGCTGATTGGTGCATTTACAAACTTGAGCTAGACACAGAGCACTGACTGGTGCATTCACAATCCTTTAGCTAGACATAAAAGTCCTCCAAGTCTCCACCAGATTATCTAGATACAGAGTGCTGATTAGTGCATCCACGAACCCCGAGCTAGACACAGAGTGCTGATTGGTGCGTATACAATCCTCTGGCTAGACATAAACATTCTCCAAGTCCCCAGCAGATTCAGGAGCCCAGCTGGCTTCACCCAGTGGATCCTGCACTGAGGCCACGTGGGTGGAGGTGCCTGCCAATCCTGCACCACGCACCTGCACCCCTCAGCCCTTAGGCGGTCAATGGGACCAGGCACCGCGGAGCAGGGGGCAGCACCCATCAGGGAGGCTCGGGCAGCACAGGAGCCCATGGGGTGGGGGGGGGGGGGCAGGGAGCCCGCACCCACCCAGAATTCATGCTGGCCAGTGAGCACCACGCAGCCCTGGTTCCCATCCATGCCTCTCCCTCCACACCTCCCCACAAGCAGAGGGAGCCAGCTCCAGCCTCGGCCAGCCCAGAGAGGTGCTCCCACAGTGCAGCAGCAGGCTGAAAGGCTCCTCAAGCATGGCCAGAGTGTGCGCAGAAGGCACTGAGAGTGAGCAAGGGCTGCCAGCACGCTGTCACCTCTCATTAATGTCTTCAGAGGGAGGTCACTCAGGTTTGCAGATTTCCTTTCAATCAGTTCCAAAAGCAGGAGCAAACATATAGCTGCACCCTTTCAGACATCTGTTATAATTGAGCTAAGAGACATGTCATCTCTTGCTCTGAGCCCCTTTCAAGGTGTTAATGTAATGTTGGATTTCCCTTCATTTATAACCCATTTATTCATTCCTTTACACTCAGCTACTTCTCCCCTGCTCCATTAATACCTAAACTTTTTCACCTTTGGGAAGAACATTAGAACCGCCACTGTGCTGGTCTAGATTGCAGGCAGCAATACTAGTCTAGCAAGTACCTCCTCCTCAGTCCACTGCCATTCAGGTGGGGTACAGTTCCATAGGTGGAGAACTAGTGAGCTATTTCTATCACCAGGCAATATAGCTGCATTCATTCAGCCCCACTTTTGCTAGACAGGATGAAGGCACAATCCTTCCCCAACAGGCCCTTAGGAATTCTGACACAAGGTCTGAAAAACACTGACAGTTTCTTGCTTAGAAATCCCTGCTTCCAGCACTTCTAGTTGCAGCCCCAGTCCTAGGACCATTGCATCATGTTGGCAATAGGCCCCCAAAATCTGGCCATAAACTGGCCCCAAAACTGGCCATAAGCAAAATCTCTGCAGCACTGTGACATGTTCATGATGGCCATGATGCCCACACTGGAAGGTTGTGGGCTTACTGGAATGAGGGCAAGGAACACCTGGCCCACCCAGGGCAGAAAACCACTTAAAGGCATTCTTAAACCACAAACAATAGCATGAGCGATCTGTGCCTGTTCTAATGTTCCTCCAAAAGGTGAAAAAGTTTAGGTATTAATGGAGCAGTGGAGAAGTAGCTGATTGTAAAGGAGCTGCAGATAACTAGCCCAACCCATCCCTTTATTTTGGCCCATCCTTTTGTTTCCTGTAAGGAATACTTTTAGTTAATCTATAATCCATAGAAACAATGCTTATCACTGGCTTGCTGTCAATAAACATGTGGGTAAATCTCTGTTCAAGGCTCTCAGCTCTGAAGGCTGTGAGACCTCTGATTTTCCACTCCACACCTCTATATTTTTGTGTGTGTGTTTTTAATTCCTCTAGCGCTGCTGGGTTAGGGTCTCCCTGACTGAGCTGGTCTTGGCAGCATCAGGTAGGTTAGAAGAAAAACGTTTTTGAGGTGATTTGGGAAAGACAGAAAAAATTATAGTCGTTATACAAGTGTACTCTTCCCTTGGCAAAAATTGCATAGTCGTGTCACTGAAATGTGGGTTAGTTGCCACATGTAGAGTCCAATTAACAAGAGCAAGGTCTGATACCAAGAAAGTTAACTTAGCCCTTTCTTGCCACAGTCTTTTCACCCTCTGGGCACCATCTGTATTGAGTTGCTATTAAAATTCAGTCCTTTTACATTGACTCTTGAGCTATTGCATGTTGAAAATTGCAGGAACTTCCTAAAAATTTATCACTTTACTGTCTTGGGAGACACCATGATAAAAAGGCACTTTGTTAACCCACATGCCCTGATGAGAGAAATCACGTGGTGGTTCAGTGACTCAATCCTAACAAACCTTAACATGAACCTTACAATAAAATGAATGTGGAGAAAACATGAGGAGAGGGAGAGGAGAGACTGTGCCTTGTTAATCTCTCCTTAACAAGAGAACTCATCAATTCCCTGGCCCCCACCAGGGACCCAAGCAGGATGCTAAAGGAGTTACCACACTTTTAGAGGTCAAAAGTGGGGTGGCTAAGGAGTTCACAGACATGCCAAAAGCACCACGGGACAGCATACCCAGTGGCTTCTGGCATGGGCAAAGTCACCTTGTAAATGGGCCATGTTCCAGGTACTGACCAGGTGACAGGCAACCAGCAAATCAAAAGTCACTGGACCATTGACAAGCAATGCCTCACTCAAAGGACCCCCACTCCCCAACCCGGTCTCCACCTGGCTGCCTTCTGAGAAAGATAAAGCAGCACTGGGCCCAGCGCAGTGGCTCATGCCTGTAATCCCAGCACTTTGGGAGGCCGAGGCGGGCAGATCACCTGAGGTCAGGAGTTCGAGACCTGGCCAACATGGTGAAACCCAGTCTCTACTAATAACAAAATTAGCTGGGCGTGGTGGCGTGTGCCTGTAATCCCAGCTACTCGGCAGGCTGAGGCAGGAGAATCGCTTGAACCCAGTAGGCTGAGGTTGCAGTGAGCCAAGATCACGCTACTGCAATCCAGCCTGGACAACAAGAGTGAAACTCCATCTCAAACAAAACAAAACAAAAAAGATAAAGCAGCACTGTTGAAGTTCAGTATCGGGGCACACTTGGGAAGTGCCATCTCTCCACTGTCCTTTTAGTGCACAGAGCTCTGATCCATTTGACCCCTCTCCACCTGCTCTGAGAGACGGGATAAAGCTGTAAAGCTGGTGGGGGGGCTGGTCTGGTTAACTCCTGTGGTTCTGTCTCACTAAAACCTTTATCAGACCAAATTGTATTTGAAACTAATCCTGGGTGAAAGAACATGGGCACAGGAACTACTGTTAAAACCCTTTATACAATGGTTCTATTCTGCTCCCCCAGTTAGACATGCTGACTGTTACCTTTTGGTTTGTCCTGTGAATCCAGATAAGGTCACTTCTAGTAGGCGCCAGAAAGCTGTTTTTTTTTTTTTTTTTTGAGGCAGAGTCTCACTCTGTTGCCCAGGCTGGAGTGCAGTGGTGTGATCTCGGCTCACTGCAACCACCGCCTCCCAGGCTCAAGCAATTCTCCTGCCTCAGCCTACAAGTAGCTGGGATTACAGGAGCGTGCCACCATGCCTGGCTAATTTTTGGTATTTTAGTAGAGACGGGGTTTCACCATGTTGCCTGGGGTGGTCTCAAACTCCTGAGCTCAGGCAGTCCGCCCACCTCAGCCTCCCAGAGTGCTGGGATTACAGGTGTAAGCCTCCACTCCCAGTCTGAAAGCTGTTTCTAGGCAGTGGTCACTTAAAATGCAGGCTGGCTGGTCCTTCTTCTGTCTAGTTATTCTCTTAGTAATGAAAACTCAGCTCTGGGCTGCCCACAGGAGACGGGTCCCTAATGTAACACTGAGTGTCATGATTCTCTGGCTCTAGGTATTATGTCTTTCCCAGAGACCTGGTCAAGAAGGTGAGATAGCAATGGCTGTACCTCGTGCCAATGACAGTAAAATCTCCCAGATGATAGGAGCGGCAGCAAAATGCCATTCTCAAATGAGAAAAATAGGGCAAGCTTCTTGCTGGCATTGCAGAGCCAACATTCAAAGAGATGCAGAGATATGGGCCCTTGGATATGCTGGAATAAAGCAGTGGGGTCGGGCAATATCAGACAAGTGGACACCAGTCTGGGTACTAGAGATGGGATGCAGTTTTTCCTTTGGGAGAGCTGGAGTCACAGGGTGAAAGGGGAAACCTCTGCTCCTTGGAACATAATCTTCTGGATGTGGGCTAACAGCTGTTCTGACCTCACCAAGGGAATGAACACTGAGAAACCCAGGTGTGGATCCACTCCTGTTCATCTGCTCCATGCAAGTACAGGACCATGTTCTGTACAATTCTCAAATGGAAGTGATAAGTGAGTGTTAATATCCCCTTCTTTCAAAGGCAGGGGTCTCTGGGGCCTCAGGGGCACGAGTCCTCACTATAGTGACAAAAGCTTATTCCATCTAAGCCTCAGTCTCCTAATCCTTAAAATGGGGGGTGGTGGTTGAACTACCCACCTTAAAGGGTTATTGTGGGGCCTGAGGATGGAAGCAAGCAATAGATAAAATACGTGCTGCACTCTGTGACCTATATCAAGTAGAGTCCTCCATGCCTCTTTAAAGGAATTACAAACCGATTTAGTGTTTTCTAGAGTATCTTTTACTAAGATTAGCTTGTCTGTTAGTTCTCCATGTCTTTTGAAAAATGTTTGTTGTAAATGCAATTGATATTTTGTAAAAGAAAGCTAAAACTATTGTAAATTTGACTCAGTATTGCAATAAAAGGTGTGTTAAAAGAAAGATGTGGAGTGGCTTTTGCCTTCATTTTGTGATTTATGAGCATAATTGGAGAATTTTCATTGTTTGGTGCTTTGTGGTAGTGAATTTGGAATTTCGTGTGACGCCTTTGGGCCAGCATAGTTTTCCCCACTTCACTCCTGCCTGCCCCCTGCATGTTCTCAAGGCACGTGGGAGATAGAAGGATGTAACTTTGAAGGCCAGCACCTCAAATGATAAGCAGTTACCACTTCTTGTAAAAATCTCAGCAAATGTTTGCATGCCCCATAAATAGCTGGCTCTGGCCAAGTAGTCACCGTACCTGGTCTCTCAGCCTCGGCTCCATGGGATTCTAAATTAGGCTCTCAGATTGCTTGAACCCGGAAGGCAGAGGTTGCAGTGAGCCGAGATCGCGCCACTGCACTCCAGCCTGGGTGATGGAGGCAGACTCTGTCTCAAAATAAATAAATAAAAATAAATAAACTAGGCTTTCAGGAGGCATGATGAATGGACTGAACTAGAGGGTGTCCAAAAAGCCTCAGCAGGACTCCATTCCCCACCCCAAGCTCCTCCCAGGAGGAGCTCTTCCTTGTAGAACAGCTGAGTGCAGAGAAGGGGCCCCATACATCTTACAATCTCACGCCCAGCCAAAAGCCAGCTTCTGTCCCTGGATTCTACACTGCAAAATTCTGAGGAGGTGGTAAACTCCTGGAAGGCAGGGTCAGGTCATGTTTCATCCATCCCCCTGTGTTATACTGCACATCGGCTGTGCAATATATGTAGTGGATACTGTCAATGTACTATTTTAGGATACCAGTTTCTAAACTTGATAATATTCCTGCGTTCAGTCTTTTATTCTTTCTTTCAACATCAACATTTATTAAGCTCCTTTTATTTATTTACTTCTTTTTTTTTTTTTTTTTTTGAAATGGAGTACCACTCTGTCACCCAGGCTGGAGTGCAGTGGCACGATCTTGGCTCACTGCAACTTCCGCCTCCTGGGTTCAGTGATTCTTGTGCCGCAGCCTCCTAAGTAGCTGGGATTACAGGCGTGTACCACCACGATTGGCTAATTTTTGTATTTTTAGTAGAGATGGGGTTTTGCCATGTTGGCTAGGCTGGTCTCAAACTCCTGGCCTCAAGCAATCGGCCCACCTCAGCCTTGCAAAGTGCTGGGATTATAGGCATGAGCCACCGCCCCTGGCTGAGCTATGGATAAAGTGCTAGGTTAGGTACTCTGGGCACTGAAAGATAAATAAGATGTAGTTCCTGCCATCAAAAACATCCAGACTACTATACGGTAAGTCAGAATGAAATAAGTGTTTAATAAAAGTACAATATGGTATTAAGAATTGAACAGACCCTTTCTGAATGAGTACAAATAGATATGTTTGTTTGTCTGACCTCTCATCCTTCTCTTCCTTATGACATTATAAGTTCAGGGCCTAAACCAGGTCCTTTAATCCTTTTTCCTTGACCTCTAAGGAGTTTCAACAAAGATTAGGCTAAATCACAGCTTAGTAATATAGAAGACCAAGTTTGTTTATACTTCAAAAAGTAAACCCAGTTATTCTGATTGTTTAAAAGTATACTGTCAAAGCTTAAAAGAACAGGTGCAATGGAAATATATACCCCATCTGTGGGAAATGAAGAAGCAGGGAACGAAGGAGCAGTGCTTTCTGGATTTCACCCAAAATGCAAACACTCTGAGAACTCCGCTGCTGGAAGGTCCAGAACCTTAGAAGCTAAGATGAGCAGGCACTCAAGCCCATCTCCTCAGCTCTGGTTTTTCTGATGCTGATATTGGCCAACAGGTGTGTCCTCACATGGGTCTTATAACATTGGAAATTAAGTCCTATCTCTCAGGGCTTGAAAACTTCACCTGTGTGCAGCTTCACCTGAGATGAGCCAGCCGTGGGGATGCATTCCCCCACCCACAGCCCCGAGTACATATCTAAGGTGGGCTGAGCAGAAAGGAGTGAAGACAGCATGATGACCTTTGGCTAGTTGGAGAATAGCCTTTGATTTAAAAAAAAAAAAAAAAAAAAAAAAAAAAAAAAAGCCCGCAGCTGGGCGCAGTGGCTCACGCCTGTAATCCCAACACTTTAGGAGGCCAAGGAGGGTGGATCACCTGAAGTCGGGAGTTTGAGACCAGCCTGACCAACAATGGAGAAACCCCGTCTCTACTAAAAACACAAAATTAGCCGGGCTTGGTGGCACATGACTATAACCCCAGCTACTTGGGAGGCTGAAGGAGGAGAACCGCTTGAACCCAGGAGGCAGAGGTTGTGGTGAGCCAAGATCTTTTAGAAAATGTAGAAGAACACATTTACCCAAACACATTAATCTGAGTTAGGCTCTGGGTACTGAAAAAAAGACCCAGGTTCAAATCTCAGCTCTCTCTCTCTCACATGAACAGGTTTCTTAATCTCTCTGAGCTTCAGTTTCCTTATTTGCACAATGAGGCTAATAGTGCTTAATTCATTTGGTTATGAGGTTGAAATGAGATAATGTGTGCAAACTGTTGAACATAGCAAGGACTCAAAAAATGCCACATACACACACATGCATCTCCAGATTGCAGCAACATTCACAAGTAAGAAAAGCAGTCAAACTTGCTTCTGATAGAAGTGCAGGCCATTCTCTGGAAGTGTGATTTTGGACCAGCGGCAGTGGTGCCTGGGAGCCTTTTAGAAATACAGGATCTCAGTCCCTGAGCCAGGCCTACTGAGTCAGAGCCTGCATTTTTAACACCATCTGCTAGAGATTCATACGTATAAGAAAATTAAATTTAAGAAGCTGGGCTAGAGTGAAAACCATTAACCTGCCTCTGGGGCTCAGTGTGTGGCCCTGGGTTGTTCTCCCCAGGGACTGCTGGGCAGGCATACATTGCAGGACATGATGTTTAAAACAGGGGCTGAATAAAGTGCTGGAGTTGTATGTGGCTATGGATAGAGAAAGGAGAGGGAAGACTAGAGAATTATAAGTAAATTCCTCATGTTAGATCATCTGCATTAACCCTCTTTTAAGATCAGAACTCCTAGAATTCAAGGCCCCCCTTCTTTTTTTCCCTACCTTGAGAAACAAGGGTTTGTGTTTATTAACCAACGGGAGGGAAGTCAGAGCAGTGCAGCCTACTAACCAGCCCCTCTTGTAGTCTACCCACCTAGGCCAGCTGGACAAGGAAGGATTGGAAAAAGCAATAGATAGGCCCCCTCCTCCCTGCCCCAACCCAAGGTGAGTTCCCAGGGAGCCAGAGCCTGGTGAGTAAGGAGGAGGAAGTCAGCAAAGGTCAGAGGCCAAGGAAGGAAGGAAGAAAAGCCACCAGGGAGACAGCCTTGGGGAGATCCCTTGGGCCTTCACTCTCAGTGGGCAGGGGCAAAGCACCCCAAATGCAGCCCCACAAGAGGAACTAAGCAGAGGTACATTCATGTCAAAAACCTTGTATGTGGGGATGGGGGAGTGAGGATGTCCAAAGTCAAGAACAGCTCCCTCCAGGGTCAGTCCTTGCCCAAGGATGCTGGTTCAGCCTCCAAGGCTTTGTCTCCATACCAAGTTTACACCAGGGAGCAGCCTCTGACATGCCCAAATCCAGGGAATGGATACAAGAGAGGACAAGGGGCCAATTGCTTCTTTAAGATCTGTCCTGTGGCAAATTCCGAGTCCAGTGGAAGTCCAGCCTTCAGCTGCTGGGGTCTCCCGTGTCTTCCTTAATTCATACAACCACTTGATCATGGGTGTGTTGCACTCCACCACCAACATGCCACAGGGGACATGCTCCTGGGCCCGCTCCCCAGCAGTAGCCAAACTGAGGTGGGAGCAGCTTCCCTTGGAGTTGCCCCCACCCAGCACTGGGCCCAGCCAGGGACATGATGTCCAAGTTGGCAAGGCCCCCCTTTGATTCCCAAATTTAACAACGTGCCAGATGTGTGGGTTCCAGCCCTGAGGCAGGGTCACAAAGAGATGTCAGTTTCCTCAACTATAAAATGAGGAATTGGTTTAGAATCAGATCGTCTCCTTAGTTTCTTCCAGTTTTAACCACCCCCCCCCACTGCCTTTTTTTTTTTTCTTCTTGAGACAGGGTCTTGCTCTGTTGCCCAGGCTGCAGTGCAATGGTGTGATCATGGCTTACTGGGCCCTTGACCTCTTGGGTTCAAGGGATCCTCCCATCTCAGCCTCCCAAGTAGCTGGGACCACAGGTGCATGTCACCACACCAGGTTAATTTTTCTATTTTTTGTAAAGATAGGGTCTCCCTGTCTTGCTCAGACTGGTCTTGAACTCCTGGGCTCAAGCCATCCTCCCACCTTGGCCTCCCAAAGTGCTGGGATTACAGGTGTGAGCCATCACACCTAGCCTTCAAGGGTCTTTATAATCTTGTTTCTCCTCCGATGCATTCATCCTTTGCCCTATGGTCTTATCTGCTGAATACACCTTGTAAAGGGAGCCAGTCTCTTTGCAGTGACATTCTACTGACAATGTTAACAGTCACTCTGGATCGTTGAGGCAAAACAAGCACGTTTTTCTCAATTACTTGAATTGTTAGGCAAAAGCAGGGTTTTAGTGAGTTTTCTGGATAATAAAAATTATAAGGAGCGAATTTAGGAGACCGCCAGTTTTAGGGATGTTTTGGGCCAGAATATAAGATGTCAATTCTAAATATATTATCAATAGAAATATCCTTAACATTTACCTTAGCTTCACTAATGGATCAGAATGGCCTATCTTTATTACAACCAGCAGATAAGAATGTGTCACTGGAACTAAAAACTCTCCTGGCTAGCCCTGAATTTTGATTTGCTAGTTTAGAAAGATGTAGCATCACTTTTGCTTTAAGTGTATAATACAACAGAGAAAGAATATTTTAAAGTTGGAAGATAACAATGATAATAACACAACCAAGGGTTCCAGTAGAGCTTTAAAGTATAGCCTTATTGTAGCTTCAGTAAAACTTTAAATTTATAGTGATTGATTATAAATTATTTCTCTCTACTTTTCTAACATATGACATGTTAACAAAAGACTGAATTAGTTGGGTTTGACATGCTACCAGCAAACATGGTCTCCTACATGGAACAAGCCCTTCCAAAAAAGATCTCAAGTATTTACATGGCACTTTTAGTACACAACCAACCAAACAATATTACTGTGGAGGAGGTGATGGTCACTTACTTTGTAAAATGATTAAGGAGGGAGGTCTATTGCAAGCTTGTATAAAAAGCATCTTCTCCAGAGAGCACTATATTTCATTTTCGGAAACTAAATTTCCTTTCAACTAGGGCCTAATGGATTGATTCATGTTTCCAAAACTCACAAGAGATTGACTTATACCTCCAAGGCTTACAAACATATTTACATGAAAAATATATCTGAGTCAAGAAAGAGACTTTTATCTACCCAGGTTTTTGAGACTTCTTGGAGAATAAATAAAGTGAGCCATCACATGGCTCATTGCTGTCGAAAGACTGGGGCGAGTCCTAGAAAAATTTGTGTGAGAATTTTTGAGTTCTCATCTTGGCATAGTTCCCTGGGGGTGTAGAACCCTGAAGGAAGACCCCAGGGTCAGATCATTTGAATTAAATCTTCCAAGCATACATGGAGTAGATCTGTAGGTGCAGGAAGACTTAGTTTACCCGTTAGACACCATGGCACAATGTGGCTGGGGCCTATGTCCTTTTCAACTGGGTACAAAATTATCTGACATTTGCTTGAGATGGAAAAAATGTAATGGTCCAAATAGTAAGTATTTTTAAATTCTACTAAGCGTATTATGTCAACCAATCAACTGAAACACCACTTAACTCTTAAATACTTATTTTTAAAATTACATGTAATGTGTGATGCAGGTATGGGGATATTTTAATACGTCTGATAGTATGTATATTATGCATAGACAATAAAAACCTTCAAAAGGTCTTGTCTACACGTACATTGGCTGTTTTTCGTTTACATTATCTACTCTGCAGAAAACAGTATCTGTTTATTTGATAGACTCAGGCTTGGAAATACTAAGCATTAAATTAACCACAAAGTTAAAACAGTTGCTGAGTATAAGTAGAAAATTGGGCAGTAAAATATTATAACTATCCAACCAGGCCCCCAAAAGAGTATATAAGAACTTCACCACTCACCTTCTCTCTTAGGCTCTTATCTCCAGGGTGCTGAGGGGAGATTAAGTGAGGGTTTATAACCCTCTCCTTTCCTATTGAAAGCTCTGCCTGCTCAAAGTATCAACCAACAGTCATTCCAGTTTGGGCCACACCTCTGGGGTTTCACTTTACATTCATTTTTAAAAAAATATTTTATAGCACATTGAGCTAACTAAGAAGAAAGTAACATTCCACTGGCTCATTCAACAATTGTTTGCTGAATACCCTTTTCTGCCAGACATTGTTTTAAGATTTGGCTCTATAAAGGTAGGTGTGACAGCATTTCTGCACCTGTGGTGCTTACATTCTAGAGGAGGACAAGCAGTACATATATATTTTTTAATGTGGTTTGTTCAAAATAATAGCAACAATGTATTGGATGATTATAACTTGTGTATGAGTTAATGTATGAAAGCAAAGTTACAAAGAATGGGAAGGGGCAATTAGGAGCACTGTGTTATGAGGTAGCTGCACTATTTGAGAAGTGATATAGTGTTACTTGAAAGTGGTCAAGATTAGTTGTTAATATATACTAGGGCAAATTCTAGGGCAACCACTAAAAATATGTTTTAAAAAAGTATAATTGATTTGCCAAGAGAGGAGAGAAAATGGAATCATATAAATAATATAACCATATGTGATGGTTAATACTGAGTGTCAACTTAATTGTATTGAAGGATGCAAAGTATTAATCCTGGATGTGTCTGTGAGGGTGTTACCAAAGAAGATTAACATTTGAGTCAGTGGGCTGGAAAAGCCAGACCCACCCTTAATCTGGGTGGGCACATCTAATCAGCTGCCAGTGCAGCTAGAATATAAAACAGGCAGAAAAATGTGAAAAGACCAGACTAGCCTAGCCTCCCAGCCTACATCTTTCTCCCACACTAGATGCTTCCTGCTCTCAAACATCAGACTCCAAGTTCTTCAGTTTTGGTGCTCGGACTGGCTCTTCTTGCTCCTCAGCTTGCAGATGGCCTATTGTGGGACCTTGAGATCATGTGAGTTAATACTTAATATTAACTACCCTTTATATATATATATATATCCTATTAGTTCTGTCCCTCTAGACTAATACACCATACAAATGGAAGAAAAAAAAGAAATAAAGGAGCAACAATAGGAAACAGCTACAAACATGGTAGGTATACATCCAACTACATCAATAATTACTTCAAGTGTGAATGGTCTTAAATACACCAATTAAAAGACAAAGACTATCATGAGTAGATTAAAAAAAAAAAAACAAGACTCAACTGTGCATATACAAGGAAGCCATTTCATATATAGAGACACAGATTGATTAAACAAATAAGCATGCCAGAGGGTGCTGAGTGCTATGAAGAAAATAAGAGGATAAGAAAGGGGTTATGTGGGGGCTGGGCGCAGTGGCTCACTCCTGTAATCCCAGCACTTTGTGAGACTGAGGCGGGCAGATCACTTGAGATCAGGAGTTCAAGACCAGCCTGGCCAACTTGGTGAAACCCCGTGCCTACTTAAAATACAAAATTGGCTAGGCGTGGTGGTGCATGCCTGTAATTCCAGTTACTCAGGAGACTGAGACACAAGAATGGCTTGAACCTGGGAGGCGGAGGTTGCAGTGAGCCAAGATCGCACCATTGCACTCCAGTTTGGGTGACAGAGTGAGACTCTATCTCAAAAAGAGAGAGAGAGAGAGAGGTATATTGGTGTATGGGGATGGGGGGCGGGGAAGCTCTGTAGATCTTATGGTCAGAAAAGGATCCCCTCACGTGGGGATATTAACACTAAAGGAATAAGAGCCTGCCATGCAATGTTCTGAGGCTTGTTATTTGGGTTAAAGGAATAAAATGCACATTCAGCCATGAGGGAACAACAGCAAATACAAAAGCCCCTACTGGTTATTGTCTGTTGCAGCCCCTGTCCCGAGGGATTCACTTTCTGCTCTGTTCCATCCCCTAGGGAGGTTGGCCCCTGCAGAACTGCTTCGGCCAGGTGAGGACAGGAGGAGAGTCAGAGTCAAGTGTTTCTTCAAGCACTCAATCTGCCAAAACCTCTCTGAAAGTGTGGCTTTATTCTGGGTCCCTTGGCACTTCTGTCCTAGACACCAGGGTCCCAAGCTGTCCATTTTTCCTCTTTTGTTCCTGACACTGAAGCCTCTGCAACTGCCCCATTTAGGCATGGCTGTGCACTTTAACCCCGTTGGTTCACGTGTCGTGGCTTTTACTCAGTGAACCTCTTGTCTTCCTTCTGCTCTTTCTTGCACCCTGTCTCACTCATGCTGACTTTGGGTTTAGCCTTGAATGCTCAGCATGTTGATATTTTTTGAGGATAAACGATCCTGTCCCTGACTTCCTACTCTATTATCAAAGTCTCATAACTCATGAAAATTGTGGGGGGTAATGGTGATGGTGGTGGTTGGAGGTTTGAGACTAAAGGGTGGGAGCCTGCACCAAAAAAGGAAATGATGAAACTGGGGTAATGCCACCTGAGGCAGAACAGGGTAGGAGGGTGCTGGTTTCCAATATGGAAAGCGAATTGCACAATTTAAGGTCATGCAACCATGAACACGAGAAACATGGGAACCTCTTTTTGTTGGAGAGGGCCTGGTCTCTTGTTTTTATTTCTCTAATCCTTTAATTCAATGCAGAAGCCAAACTTCCTCCCTGGTTTTTTCCTCAAAGAACCAGATTCAGGGGCCCTCTTGTGTCTAAGAGAATTAAAACCCAAGCAGCAAGTACTTGCAAAATGGTTTAAGGTCTATATAGCCAGCCCTTGATTAAAAGTATCAGGCAGTGGCACTGGGTAGTAAAAATAGCAACACAGTAATATAAACTAGCCCAAATTTGCTGCCATCCCACAAAACTCAGTACAGGTTGAGTATCCCTTATCCGAAATGCTTGGGACCAGAAGTGTTTCTGACTTCAGAACATTTTTGGACTTTGGAATATTTGCATTATATTTACTGGCTGAGTATCCCAAACCAAAAAATCCCAAATCCAAAATACTCCAATGAAGATTTCCTTTGAGCTCCATGTCGGCACTCAGTTTCGGATTTTAAAGCATTTTGAATTTCTGAGCATTTCGGATTTCAGATTTGGGCTGCTCCACCTGTAATACAGACCCCTGAGGATTGTCAAGTCAACTGTTTGTTCTCATGTATAGTCTCTAAATGTGTGTAAAATGTTTATCTTCCCTGAAGAGTTTAGAGGGAAGTTTGAGGGGAACCACCCTTAGGTTGGATGATTCATGATTCATTCGAAGGACAATACCCATGGTGTATTGTCAACTGGAGAAGTTTACCCAAGCCTTGGAGCCTAGGTTTTTTACTGGGGGGTCCATCAGGTAGGCCTGGCTGACTGCCCAACAGGTGATCTGTTTTCACTCCCTCCAGAGTTGAGCTGATACCACGTGAACCAGAGCTCTCACCCAGTATCACATTGCTGGTGTGGCTCAAAGCTCTCACCCTAAATCACATTGTTACTAGCTGGGTGGCCCAAGACCCCCAGGCAAACAAAGACACTCCTGTCAGGTCTAGCATTCAAAGGACTTAGAGACTGCCTTCCAGAAGCAAAGGCCACACCTCTGTTGGGGCAGGGTGAAAGTCTTTACTACACACTTCCCATTTTCTTTTTTTATTATTGGCTACTGCACTCAGGGGCCTGGCCAGGGCTGGGCCTCTTTCTCAGAACAGCAGCCTAGGTCAGCACTGTTCCTCAGGCCTGCCTCGGGGCTGCCCCTGCCACCAGGCTTTTGCTCTTGCAGGAATTTTAAATATCAGGGTGATAACAGAGTGCTCACATTATGTAAATATGAAGGCAAATCACTGCCTTGATGTTTGCGCTTGATTTTCCTCTGACGAAAACAGTATTGATTGCATCAGACAATGATCACCTCCCACTTGTCTTTTCTTCTTTTGTTTCCACTGAGCAAAAAATCCCTTCTGTAGCGAGATAAATGAGTGAGACTCTCATCAAAAACTTGCCTTTCCTTAGTTTTAAAATTTCTGAGTAGTAGATACTCCAAAAGCGGCAATTCTTTCCTTTTTAAAATTACTTCTGCTGTTTACATGTGTGTCTCCCCCTACCCTATGCTGAATTCTTCTAAAGCAGGGGCTTTGCTCTACGATTCTGCCTCCTGGCAGTCTGCCTGGCATGTAATAGGTGCTTGATTAGTATTTTTTTTTTTTTTTTGAGATAAGGTCTCAATCTGTCGCCCAGGCTGGAGTGCAGTGGCATGATCTCAGCTCACTGCAGCCTCCGCCTCCCAGGTTCAAGCAATTCTCCCACCTCAGGCTCCCAAGTAGCTGGGATTACAGGGGTGCGCCACCACGCCGAGCTACTTTTTGCAGTTTTAGTAGAGATGAGGTTTCACCATTTTGGCCAGGCTGGTCTCAAACTCCTGACCTCAGGTGATCTACAACTCCTGACCTCAGGTGATCTACCCACCTTGGCCTCCTAAAGTGCTGGGAGACCCTGAGCCCAGTTGATGCTTGATGAGTATTTGAGACGTGAATCAACACCAGTTTAACAGCAGCATTATATTAACAGACCATACTTTTAGTTCTGAAATGCAAAAAATTAGAAGCCTACAAATAACCATTTTGGGTAGTAAGAAGATAAAAATAATATATATTTGCATTTTCTTATACATGTGTCAGATGTAACTGGAAGGGTACACAAATAGTAACTGCATTTGCCTGTGAGAAGCAGGATTCGGTTGCGGGGAAGCAGGGTTGAAAAGACTTCCAAGACTGTAGACCCTTTTATACTTTTTTGATTTTTGAACCGTGCAAATGTATTCTATATTTGAAAAAAACTAATTAAAAAATTCTCACAACAAGACAATGAGCAATGACTCATAAATTCTTTATTTTGGCTAATACTGATTGCATTCATTACTACCATTTTATTTATTACAGCTCAGAGGAGAGTCATTTACTAGACATTCGGTTGTTATTAAACACTAAAAATTAGGCAGAGACTGGAGGGGATAAGGATAAGAGAACAGGATAAGGAGAGCAGAAAGACGCTCAGGAGAGTAGAAAGACACTCAGGAGAGAACAAGAGATCCTGCCCATTCTTATTATGAGGATGAACTGGCTACAGGACATGAGTAGCCCAATCAGATCTAACTTAAATACCAGCCTCTCCAAAAAAGTTTTCCAATAAAGATCCCCTAACAATTATTTACTGGACAAAAAAGGTTGATATTTCTAGAAGAGATGATCTCGTTGACACAAAAGACCCAACTTAGGACCCAACTTAATACATAGATAGCACCATGACAGAGCTGGGATCCATTAAGACATGACTGTAGACAATACCATCTCTAGGAACACACTGTCACTCACACATGGATGTGTTGTTTTATGGCCTAAAGATGTTGTAGACGGTTCTCACATAAATTTCATCAGGGGGAGGCTTCTTCTTGCTGCCAGGTTCAAGGAATCTCTTAATTGTAGGGATATTACTTAGTTTCACTGTGTATTCCTGAAAAAGGAAAACCAAAACTTTAAGGCTAACAAAAAAGGTATTAGATACTACGAAGATATGGTTATGCAAAATGGCCCACCAAAATTTGTTCAATAAATACTTGTTGAAGAGTTCCAAGCAGAAATGAAATTTAGCATTTGTTTAGCAGGGGTGTCCAATCTTTTGGCTTCACTGGGCCACACATAAAATACACTAACACTAAAGGTAGCTAATGAGCTGAAAAAAAAACCTCAAAATATCTCATAATGTTATAAGAAAGTTTATGAATTTATGTTAGGCCACATTCAAAGTTGTCCTGAGCCACATGCAGCCCGCGGGCTGTGGGTTGGACAAGGCTAGGTTAAGATCTGATCTCTATGATTATTTACAATCTCTGTCATCAATCACCGGTATCAAGATCAGAGTTTACACAAATCTCCAGGTTCACAAAAAGGTAAGCACTCTTTACAGAAATGGCAAAAGTAAAAACATACTCAAAATAGAATTATGACACTTAAGGTGAAAAAAAAGGAAGGGGAAAACTCACTGAAAACACCTCCAGTGTATTGTTTTGTATTGTTTTTTAACAGTAGTCAATTTGAAGCAGTGGGAGTGGGGAAGGAACAAAGAAATCTGTAACTGGTTGTGATCAATTAGCTGTAAACACCACTCGGACTAGCCACCTGAAGTGCACTGATCTGCTGGGAGAAAATGCATGAGCCACTTAAGTAAAGGTGCTTTAAAAAGTCACTAGATGGTACAATTTATATCTTAAGATTCAGCTTCTTCAGAGTTTTTACTCCTATCAGTAAGTGAATCCTCTTTCTGGCTATGTGCAGGAAATAGCCAGTTGCATTTTTTTCATAGCCTCTGGCTCAGATACCAGATATTTATATAAACTGGAATGGAAGAAAAACATTGTATTTTTCATTCACAGAATCAAATCTTACCAATTCTCAGTAACTGAGAAGAAAAGCCCATTTGATCTAATGAAAAATCTGAACTATATGAAGAAGCATATGCTCATCATATATAATTATTCTAATAAAACCTTTTAAAGATATTTAAATAAAACCATTTATTTAAAAGTGAAGAGGTCATTTTAAATAGCTACTATTTATTAATTGCCTATTATGTGCAAGGCACAGCCTTAATTAAGCACACACACAAACATACATACGTCACTAATAGTAACAAAAACCCTAATAATGATGCCAATTAATTATATATAAATATGACAATTTTCTCTTTTCATTACGTACTTAAGCTCTACTTGTATGATTTTAAATATTATACCAAAATTTAGAATCTTGTTCCAAATGATGTATTGTTTCAAGATTTATCTGGGGTTCATAGTTATCAAAGTATAGTAAAATTTTTGTGACTTTTTAAATCCATTAATCAACACAGGAATAACCCTTTAAATTCAACACAGATCTGGTGTCCGATTCTGAAGTTTTAAAATATTGATGCTCAATCTGATCACAGATTAAAACTGTATTTACGCAGATAATGCTTGGGGCTTAAAAAAGGGTTGTTATTATAGTATCATCAATGTAAAATACCAATAGGTCCTGGTGCTACAGTTTACCAAAAAACCTTGATCTCTATCATTTACCCTAGACTTTTAAAATCTTTTGTGTCCATTCAATGAAAAGTACTTTACTGCCTGTGAGGTGTGTGTCTATGTGTACACAAGCATGTATATATATGCATGCCTGGAAAGATTTCACTTTGTTTTTTTTTTTGAGACACAGTTTTGCTCTGTCACCCAGGCTGCAGTGCAGTGGCATGATCTCGGCTCACTGCAACCTCCACCTCCCCAGTTCAAGTGATTCTCCTGCCTCAGCCTCCGAGTAGCTGGGATTACAGGCACATGCCACCATGCTCAGCTAATTGTTTTATTTTTAGTAGAGATGGGGTTTCACCATGTTGGCCAGACTGGTCTTGAACTCCTGACCTTAAGTGATCCACCCACTTCAGCCACCCAAAGTGCTGGGATTACAGGTGTGAGCCACTGCGCCCGGCCTAGATTTCACCTTTAATAAGCTTAGCATTCTACCTACTTCTGGGTTCAGCATCCCACCTATTTGGGGCCAAAGGTACTTCTAGTACTTCTAAATGTGTTTCTCAGAAACCACACAGTCTAGTGGAAAGAGTACAGACTTAGATCCCTGACTCCCCTGTGGCTCCCAACTCAGTCATCCACAGTCTTGCAACTATGCAGAATGTAATGTTTCCAAGCTGGTAATTTTCATCTGTAAAATGGAGATAGTGAAGCCCATCTCCTAGGGTTATTGGGGTGGGGTTGACGGGACAGATGAGCAAATGCATGTAAGTGCCTAGCAGACTGACTGGAATGAAGCTGGCACTCAACAAGTTGCAGATCCCTTCCTCTAATTTCCCTTCTCTGCTAAACAAGTAACTTTTTTAACAGTGCAAAAGAATACTTCAGGTGAAAAGTATCCTAAGTTCTGAATGAATAAAATCAAATTAAGGAAAGTCAATCTCTGTGTCTGCAAAAGTAAATGAAAAAAAAATTGAAAAAAAAATATAAACTATAACATAAATGATATGGTGGTTTATTGCCTTGTTGAAGATTTTTATTCTCATTTTCTGGGTGTACTTATTGAACTGGTGGTAATTGCTCTCATTAGTATATCAAAATATTTAATAGACTTGGCAAAAAATTGTTTTAAGTATGTGTGTTACTCTTTGGAGAGTTAGTGTATCTCTCTTGGCTTTTGATAACTTGGTCAAACATATAGCAATTTGGTCTGTATCCAGGCTGTTTCAGGGATTGGCAAGCTTTTTCCATAAAGGACCAGTCAGCAAATATTTTAAGTTCTGCAGGCCATATGGTCTCTATCAGATCTACTCAACTCTGCTGTAGAAAAACAAAAGTAACCTTGACATTGTGTAAATGAGTGGGCATGGCTTTGTACCAATGAAATTTATGAATACTAGAATTTGAATTTCATATAATTTTTATGTGTCATGAAATATTATTCCACAGATTTTTTTCAACCATTTAAAAATGTAAAAATTATTCTTAACTCACAAGCTGTATAAAAACAGGTGGCAGGCCAGGTTTGGCCCAGGAGTTACAGTCTGCACATTAGACTTGGAGATAAAAGGCTAAGGTTCTAGATAAAACTCAAGCATCCACTGCCTAAGCCAGCTTGGCTGCTGATTTCTTTATTCTGGGTCTCTACTTCCTCAAGTGAATATTGAAGTCATTAAATGAGTTTTTTTTTAAAGGCCCTTCTCTCCTTTAAAGTTCTATGATCAATCCTGCCAGAATAACCCTGAGGGATAATTTGAACCACACAAGTCTTTCCTTGGAATTCTCAGAAGGAGAATGGTAGGAATCCTTTGGGGTGATGTTTAGGGTGCTAACATCTCTCATTTGCTCTCAGAGCTCAGGCTTAGAATTTCCTAACTTGAGACCATACTATTTCTGAGAAAGGGAGTCATAGCCTGATGAATGAGACTGTTTTGATGTTTATCTCGCCCACTATTCCATCAGTAGATACATGTGAGTGTGAGACCACCTCATCTCTATGGTTATTTCTATGGAAAGTCCCCTGAGGCAAACTCCCTGTGCATGGAGTTTTTTCCAGGAGTGCAGTTATGGAACAAAATTAAGATGAAAATTTCTGAGCTGGGTGTGCTGGCACATGCCTATAGTCCCTGCTACTCAGGAGACTGAGGTGGGAGGATCTCTTGAGCCCAGGAGTTCAAGACCATTCTGGGCAACATAGTAAGATCCCACCTTAAAAAAAAAAAATTTTACACTTCAATGATCTTTCAACTTGAAGGATTTAAGGACCAGAAAAATAACTTTGGGTCCTTACTTTCATTTCATTTGCCAAACTAGAATCTTAAAAATATTACACATACACACACACACACACTCCCCAAAGCCAACCAAACAATAGACACTGAAGGAAGGCCCAAGAGTTCTAGGCCAATCTTCTAATACATAGTTTTATTTACCTGGAGGAAAGGAAATGCAGACAGGATATTAGGAATTTTCTCTTCTAGAGCTAAAATGGTTTGGAGTAAAATCACATCTGCAAGGCTCAGCTGATTACCAACAAGAAAGCTTTGTCCGTGACCCCTTAAAATCTGTAGGGAAATGGTGTGCATCAGTTACAATATTCCACATGGAGAGAGTGATGAGGCTATTGAATCAGTGCAGTATCTGAGAAGAGGTGAAACTATGACCTTGTCATTTCATGCTTTCATAAATAACATCAATTAAGAGAACGCACCCTATATCTGACAGAGAGAGTGAGAGAGAGGGGGAGAGAGAGAGAGAGAGAGCGAGAGAGAGAGAGAGAAAGTACAAAAAAGGTGTGGAAATGAAAGCATCCTTAAATATCTGCTGTGGATCTGAATGAGACATTGAAGTGGGGAAGGGAAAATTCCTTATTTCTGGATTTAGCATCTGGTGTTTTGAAAGGATATATCTACTCCAAAAATGTATCTACAGAAATGCATGCAGGAGGCTTGGGGAGGGGCAGGGTGATTTAAGAAATCTAAGTGATAGATCATCTTCAAGGGGCCCACTCTTATTTCCCAGTTCTGCTGCTAGAACATCAAGAGGTGTAGTCATAAACTCAACCCAATTATAAAATTAGACTTCCTCTTACATGTCCCAAAACAGAGAAAATGAAAAGCTTGAGTTCATCTTGACTCCCATTCTGAGGGTAACGTATAGGTGTGGGGCTTATAAGAATAGATTGTGATTAGGGAGAGGCAAGAAGCAGTAGTAGCAAAGGGGAGATCCCCTTCACAGTCAACTCTTGGATGCCCATGGGTGTCTGCATGTGCACAAGTGTGTGTGTCACAGGGACTCCGAACACAATTCCAGGTCAAATATAGCTACTGGAGCCAGAGTGGCATAGTACAATGCATCCTGAATTTGTAGTCAGAGGCCAGAGTTCCAACCCTGCTCTCCATTTTCTGGCCATGTTACCTTGGACAGGTCACTGAATCTCTTCATGACTTCATTTCATTATGTGTAAAAGGGACAACGGTTCTCACCTCATAGGCGTGTTGCAAGAAACCCTGACACAGTCTGGGCCCTTGGGACCTAAGAATGAGCAGTGAACCTTTGCCAAAGCACCAGGTCCTCTGTGCCCGTTCCAGACCACATTTCTTCATTATCCTATTTTACATTCACAAAGTGCCTGTGGGAAAGATACCATAAAACCTAGCTACAGAAACCCCAGAAAATACCTCTCCTTTTTCCTAAATCTAGTTCCATAAAGATGGTCAGAGGAAGCTTGCCAAATAGGTCTTCCCATATTTTCACACCCTCTTCTTTAGTGTTTGCATTGAAACACTAAAAAAGTTCCTCCCAGTTCAGGAATAAAGAATTTGAAGCTCAGAAAAGCAGATATAACAAGAAGAGAAAAACAACAAAACCAAAAACAAAAAGAGCAAAGGGAAGATAAATAAAATGGAAATGGTTCTTCTACTCATATCGAATTATCAGGGAGGATGTCAGCTGAGACAGCTGTTCGACAACTTTTGTTGAATGAATGAATGAGGTAGTTTTTGTTTTCTGTATCTTCTGAAGTTTCTGCTGTATCCACACAAGGTGGGAACTTGGTGAATGCAAGGAACAATAAGGAACAAAGGCAGGGAGCCCATACTTTTTCTAGACTTCTGAATCATGTGGTCCTAGCAGAGTCCAAGGGGCTCTAAGACACCAGCTTTGTGCTGTGGCTACTATTCGCTCTTAGGAGTCCATTAGCGCTTAGGTTAGTTCAACTGGGCTCAGTTTTAAAATCCTTGGACAGAAAAGGGTGTTTGTGGCAGCTTCTTTGTGGTTTGTGGTTTGGTTGCTCTGTGTATGTAGGCATCTCTGCCACCTACCTTTTCAAACACAGGAAAGTATCTAATTATAGCCTTCTGGGCCATGTTAACCACTTCCTTTTGCTGATCATCTGGTTTTAAGAAAGGATGCATGATAAGCAGTTCCAGCAGATCCAGTGTCCCCTCCACGTACATGTCAATCCTTAAAACAAAAAAGCAGTTGTCTCAGTTTCTCCTCTCTTTGAAGCCATCAGTTTCCACAACTAAGAATTCAGAGTGCTTTTTTTTTTTTTTTTAAAGATGCTGCAACTTAAGTCCCTAGAAGCATTTACCTATACCTGTCTCTTAAGAGCAAAGATATAAGGTCAATTCTAGTTGTAACTCAGAAAAATCTGTCACAGATCAGACAGCTTGACAGTCATGAGTGCTCTCTCTCCTGGCATCCTACTCCTCCACTTTTACCCCAGCATCCATGTTTTGGTCTCTTCGTATGGGTCAAACTTCAACTTTATAAAAATAGTGAATACCACTTATTGAGTGCTTAGAGTGTACCAGGCATGGTGCTAAACACTCTCTATCCATTATCTCATTAAATCACATGACACTATGAGAAATGTACTATTCTTATACCCACGTTGCCCAGGGTCATACATCTAAGGGGTGCAAGGACCAGGCTTTGATTTCAAATTATAATCTAATGCTCACTCTCCCAGGCCTTGAATGTCACAGCAGCTCCTCATTCCTAATACTTAACAATAGTGAATGTGCAAGAAAGGGAAAAAGCAGTATCAAAGCATTTAAAAATGTTGAAATCTGAAACAATGACACCCTAGATATAATATTCAATATCTGAATCCTATTCTTTTGTTTTACTCAGACTCTCTCTACTGAAGTTCCAACTGGTCTTCGTGACCTTCTTGGGTTTTTGTTCCCTGATCTCACTAACTATGTAAGACATAAAGTAAATGTGGTGTGCTACAGAGGTTGCTAATCAGCTAAGGCATCAGTAAGCTGACAAGTGACAACACTCGAGAGGGGCCACAGTACAGGGTTCTCTCCTTGAGGTTCTTGCCAAAGAGATTGTGCTTGTCTGCTATGTAGTGGAGAATGCTTCGGGTCTGTACCAACTTCATCCCGTCAATTTCAACCATGGGCACTTGTTGGAACAGCAGGTGGTTACCTGAGAATGGAAGCCCAGAGTTAGAAGTGATCTTTTCTTCTCTGTCCCCCAACCCCTAAAAAATGCTCTGTGGAATGAAAAGAAACGGTGGAATCATGGCCTTAGGAAATAGTGTAAAGCTTCCAGATGACAGATAACCTTAACTTCATTCAGGAGAGCAGATTTAGCCACAAAAGAAGCCTGAAGGGGCCAGGCGTGGTGGCTCAAGCCTGTAATCCCAGCACTTTGGGAGGCCAAGGCAGGCGGATCATGAGGTCAGGAGTTCAAGACCAGCCTGGCCAACATAGTGAAACCCCGCCTCTACTAGATATACAAAAATTAGCCGGGTGTGGTAGCAGATGCCTGTTGTCCCAGCTACTTGGGAGGCTGAGACAGGAGAATTGCTTGAACCCGGGAGGCGGAGGTTGCAATGAGCCAAGATCGCGCCATTGCACGCCTGGGCAACAGAGCAAGACTCTACCTCGAAAAAAAAAAGAAGGCTGAAAACTAGCATTGTTATAAACGTTCCCTTTTCATTTTCACCCCAGGAAAAATACCTATCCACAGTGATAAGGGATTGAGGGGAATGTAGTGAAGATATTTCTTCAGTGCTACACTGGCCAATACAGCAGTCACCAGCTACACGCAGCTATGTAAATCTAAATTTAAATTAATTACAATTTTTAAAACTTAAAATTCAGTCCCTAAGTTGCACTAGACATATTTCATGTGCTCAACAGTCACATTTGCCTAGTGGCTACCATATTGGACAATGCAGAATAGAACGATTCCTTCACTGTAGAATGTTCTGCTGGACAGCACTGTTTTTAGAGAATCTGATCATGAAACCTAAGTAACTAGCTGAGACTCATGTATACTCTTTGGCTCATGTATACTCTATGGCTACTCTGTAGCCACAGAACAGACCGTTTACTACCAAGTTTGCTGTCACTAGTTAAAAAAACAACCCATTGTTTTATTTAACAAACCTGAATCCAACACTTTCCACATACCAAACCCTGGGGAGAGATGCCGGTATAGGGTACAGCTTGGCCTTGAGGGTTTGAGCATTCGGAGCAGGTGAGGGGAGAGGCAAGAGGAGTACTTAGCACATGCCTAGTGGCTTCCAGCCACCGTCACACACAAAAGGTGGCCTTACAGCCCTGGAGAGCCGGTACCACACAGGGGAGCCTCCAGCTGGGCCTGAGGACCCTGCTGTTGGCTGGGAGGGAGGCTGCTCACAGGGTTGATGGGCGCATTCTTTATGGGTCTGCTGGTGGCTCCTGCTATAATGGATGGGCAAGGAGGGAGCAGGGCTGACCAGGAATTAAAGGTGAAGGGAGGGGGCAGTTCGTTGATTTCACTTCTGTGTAGTATTTACTTCAGAAAGTACCCCATGTAAATGGGGATATTTATTTGCATACTTCAAGCAGGCCAGGATGCCTCAGATAGTGTGAAGGAAGTAGGGAAAGATGAGAAGGAGGGAAGGGGCAAGGGAGAGAAAGAAAGGGGGAGGAAGAGATTGGAGGGGAGAGGGGAGAAGAAAGGGATGGAGAGGAGCTGTTCACCGGGATGTGGAAGGAACTGCTCACCCCCTTCGGCCAGCTTTTATGGAACTATTGAATAAGAAGTGATTTCCTGGCAATTTCAACTATTTATTCCCTCTTGCTTTTTTTGGTTTTAGGATACTGTTCTGAATGTTCAGTGTCATTGAATACTTTTGCCCTTCCACATAAACAGCAGCTCTTAAAGGAAAATCAGTATTAGAGGCAGTTGTTTCATTTTCATACTCACCATCCTGCAACTTGTACAACTGTTCTTTTGTTTCCAGAAATTCTTCATCAAACTAAATTTTTAAAAAAGAAACGTATATATACATAGTGGAATATTATTCAGCCATTAAGAAAACAAAATCCTGTCATTTTCAGCAACACCAACAGAAACAGAGGTCATTACGTTAAGTGAAATAAGCCAGGCACAGAAAGACAAAGACTGCATGTTCTGATTCATATGTGGGAGCTAAAAAAGTGGATCTCATGGAAATAGAAAGTTGATTGGTGCTTACTAGAGGCTGGGAAGTGTAGAGAGGAATGGGATGTGAAAAGAGGTTGGTTAATGGTACATAAATACAGCTAGACAGAAGAAATAAAATCTAGTGTTCGATAGTACAGTAGGCTATAGTTAACAATAACGTATTACACAGTTCAAAATGGCTAGAAGAGAATTGGAATGTTCCGCCATAAAGGAAAGATAAATGTTTGAGGTGGGTGATGGATATCCTAATTACCCTGATTTGATCACTACACATGATACACATGTATCAAAATATCAAATGTATTCCCCAAATATGTACATTATGCATCAATTTTTTAAAAAGATATCCTCACCCTCCAAAAGGAGGTAAATATCATACAGGCTCAGGACAAAAAATGCCAAGTTAAACAGTCTTAAGAAGCAGAGAGAAAGAGCAGACTTAGCATCCACATCTTGGTTTCTAAATATCACTGCCCCCTAAAAGGAACTAGGGGTCCTATAAGAGAAGGTTGATTTTGTTATGCCAGAAAGCAAGGAAGTGCTCAAATGTGAAAGAGAAAGGCATGGAGGGCCCTGTAAGGGGAATCCCTACCAAATCTGGGAAAATTTAAGCATCAAAAAGAATGATGTCAATTATGGATTATAACACCCAACAATAAAATCTCTATGTCCATAAATGATGATGCTAAAAAAAAAAAAAGGTAGGAGGAAGGAAAAGCTCTTTTTTACAGAAGACTTAATTAAGTTACTTAATTATGATAAAGGGAAAGTGTCGATTTATAATGGAGAGATCGGGAGATCTCTCACCCTCTGTCTAACCAAACAATCAAACTTGGCTCCCCAGTGGAGAACACTCTGACATCCTGAGGCTTCTGTTGTTAACAAAGTGAGAAGGGCACAGTCACACCTGCTAAAACAACACCAAAAATATTTACCCTGAATCTACACACAAGGTGAAAATCAGGTATATTCAGGATGTGGGACCTTACGAACATAATGGCCTGGACTTCTCAAGAGTCGAAGGCATGAAAAAAAAGTCAGGTCCTGTTGATGAAAATCAACTAGAGACTTAACAACCAAATTGGAAGTAGATTTCAGAGGAGAGGAAACTGTTATAACTGCTAAACAGACGTGTAACCATTATATAGACATTTGGGGGAAAACGGAAAATTTGAATATGGATTGCATATTAGATGTTGTGAAGGCAGTGTTAATTTTCTTGGTGGTGACAATGGTATTGTGGTTATTAGGACAATTATTTATTTTGCCTTGGTGTCAGAGGCGTGTGAACCAGAGCAACTCCATCTTGAACAGGAGCTGGGTAAAATGAGGCTGAGACCTACTGGGGGGCTGTATTCCCAGACAGTTAAGGCATTGTAAGCCACTGGATGAGACAGGAGGTCAGCAAAAGATACAGGTCATAAAGACCTTGCTGATAAAACAGGTTGCATTAAAGAAGCCAGCTAAATCCCACCAAAACCAAGATGGTGATGAGAGTGACCTCTGGTCGTCCTCATTGCCACACTCCCAAACAGCACCATGACAGTTTACAAAGGCTATGGCAATGTCAGGAAGTTACCCTATATGATCTAGAAAGGGGAGGCATGAATAATTTACCCCATTGTTTAGCATATTATCAAGAAATAACTATAAAAATGGGCAACCAGCAGCCCTTGGGACTGCTCTATAGAGTAGCCATTCTTTTATTCCTTTACTTTCCTAATAAACTTGCTTTTGCTTTGCACTGCAGACTCGCCTGAAATTCTTTCTTCTGCAAGATCCAAGAACCCTCGGTTGGGGTCTGGATCAGGACCCCTTTCCTGTAACATTGGGAGGAAGACACATGCTGATGTCTGCAACTACTTTGAAACAATTCAGAAAAAAAAGGAAGGGAGAAAGCAAATGTAGCAAAATGTTAACAATTGGTGAATTTAGTTGAAAAACATTCAACTTGGAGGGGTGGGGCAGAATCAGGATCATAGGCTTGGCTTCTGCTACTTGCCAGAGTGGGTGCTCATGGTGTGAGGAAAGGAGCCTCAATGCTCCCAGAGGATCTCCATCTAATGCTCATGAACAGTATCCTTGGGGCAACAATGCTCGAAGCCTAGATGGTCAGATGTAGTGCAGGCAGTACTCCTGGATCAATTGACAATTTGTCTCTCAGATAGATTCAGTTGAGGAATTTGTCCCTGGATATTTGTACTACAACATACTAAAATCAAAAGTCAAAACATCATATTAGTTAACAGAAAGGGTTATTTATTTATTTTTTCTTAGAGGTCTGTCACACAGGCTGGAGTGCAGTGGCTCAATCACAGTTCACTGCAGCCTCAACCTCCTGGGCTCAAGGGATCCTGCCACCCTCAGCCTCCCAAGAAGCTGAGATTATAGGCTCAAGCCACCACATTTAGCTCAGAAAGTTTATATGATATATGCAGGGACAAGGTGCTCAACTGATGCTCCCAGTTAATGGTAGAAATGGTGTAAATCCTCCACGTCTCAAAGGGGATTTGCCTGGGTTTTAAGGGGTCTTCGGGCAAGTAAAGTTCCAAGCATGGAAGAAACAACCAACATAGAGCAATGTCAATGATGACTCAAATTAAGTGACTGACCAGCATTGAGAACTCCCTGAATTAGAAAAGGCTGTTTTTCAGTAGGTTTTAGTGACCTAGTTACTCAGATGTGTGTGCTTCAACTTTAGGTTCAACCCAATCGTGGGATATTGAGAATCATGGACTTGTCTGGTGGCTGCCAGCTGGTCCCTCCCGACTGTCTCAGATCTATGTGAGCACAAACTTAGCTGGCAAAGAGACGGGGAGGGCCCCTCCCCACCACCTTGTAAACCATGTGGTCACCCTGGGAGAGAGACCAATCTAGCTTCATCCAGTCTGGTCTGAGGAGTGGGCTCATTACTCTACCTGATCAGCCTGTTCCTGTGATTGGACTGGGGTAGGTGGGTCAGATGACTCATGTTCTTTTTTTGTTTAACTTATTTAGGGTTGAGTTTTTATTACTGTAACTAAAAATGTTGACTCATAGGTGAGTAGGAGGGGCAGGGTAGAATGAAGAGAGAAGATTTGACAAAGGGTTATATTGCATACATATATAAGACATCCATTCAAAACCTATGAAATAAATCAAGAATTACAAACTCAGAAGCCTATGGGGGTTAGAAAAATGACAGACACAAGTGAAGTTGAGCAGGTTCAGGGGACCATGAATGTTTTTCACTTTCCTCTTAACAGTTAGCAAACACACCCTGAAACAAGAGGGCGAGGTGGGGCAGTCCTTATTCAGATCCAACAATTGCTGCCCTGTGAAAATGAGCTCAGGATCACCACATCTTCCAATTTCTAAAGACAAGTCAGAAATCAGAATTTGCATATGAAAATGATGTCAACTCATTTAGAAAATTGTAAAACACCATGTGGCAAGTTGTCATAGGCAAAAAATAAAAACAAAGAACAAACACAAAACGCATAACCCAACAACTCACATTTGCATCTTTGGAGGTTGCTAGGGCAACAACGCATTATTGTGAAAATTTATAATCAAGCATTTACCTCGCCTTTCCTATATGAAGCATATTTTAAAGTAATTAAATAGTTAATGAGTGACAAGTACTCTCTTAGAAGAGAATCACAGTTCATAAACATAGGTGAAATGATGGAAATTGAAAGAATTGCCATTTTGTAATCCCTAACAATGATGATGATCAATAGCTAGTAAAACCACAAGTTGAAAAGAATATGGGAGAAACTATAATGTGTGGATTGGGGTTGATATCACAGGAACACACCGATGAAGGTCGGCATCACTGAAAACGAGACAACCCCTGATGTGATACAATAGAAGTGTGTTCACAGTATCTCTTCTGACATAGTCTGGCAGGGAAAAAAAAAGTTAAAGAGAAAGAAAAAAGGAGCCTGAAGTGATCATGCCTCTGGGTCCAGCTAGTAATTTATGGGAAGTACAGAGAATAGAGGAGCATGTTAAAATAAAGGTATCCTCACTTTACCATGTTACCTCAAGGCAACACCTGGAGGGTAAGTAAACCAAATCCAGAATAGGGAAAATTCTACAGGGCAGTTTCTTCCAAAAATAAATGGCACTAGAAACAAACGTAGACATCTAGCACCCAGATCTTGGCTATTAATACCTTTTTTTTTTTTTTTTTTTGAGATGGAGTCTCGTTCTGTTGTCCAGGCTGGAATGCAGTGGGGCAATCTCGGCTCACTGCAACCCCCGCCTCCCAGTTCAAGCGATTCTCCTGCTTCAGCCTCCTGAGTAGCTGGGACGACAGGCACATGCCACCACACCCAGCTAATTTTTGTATTTTTGGGAGAGACGGGGTTTCACCATGTTGGTCAGGCTGGTCTCGAACTCCTGACCTCATGATTTGCCCACCTCGGCCTCCCAAAGTACTGGGATTACAGGTGTGAGCCACCGTGCCGGCTGGTTAATACCATTTTTCTATTGAAGAAATTCCTGATTCTAGGGCTAGGGAAGGGAAAATATTAATACAAGATGAGCACAGAGCATTTTATACTGTCAGAAAGTGCTGAGAACAAAAAAGAGGCCAATCTGAAATAAAAAAAGGTAAACCTGAAAGAGCACCAGTGGCTAAAGCTGAAACAATTTAGGCAATTTAAGTCATCAGACTATAATCTAAAATATAAAATCAATATACTTAGGTCTATAGTGACACAAAGAATTGAATAACTGAAGAAATGAGTGGAGATAAATCTTCCTTATATAAAAATTCCAAATGTAGATACTCCCTCACCCAGGAGGTAGAGCTTAATTCTCATCATTTTGAATGTGGGCTGGACTTCATGATCTGCTTCAGAAGAATACAAGGAAACATAGTAACTTTAAAATGCAGCAACCTGGCAGAGACTACCTTAACCATGTGATCCAGGTTAATACTGCCAGTGACAACTCATGTTGATACGTAACCCCTAATATGATGACGTGAACATACTTCACCTCTGTGGCATTCTTTCCCCAAACCCATAACCTCAGTCTAATCATGAAAAAAACAAGATAAACCCAATTTGTAGAGGATTCTACAAAAATATCTGACCAGTGCTTTTCAAAACCGTCAAGATGGTAAAATGAAGGAAACGACTGGGAAATTGTCATGGATTGTTGGCAACTATGGAAACAGGATGAATAAATATAATGTTGGATCGCGGGATAGTAAAAGGACATTAGCAAAGGGCCGGGCGTGGTGGTTCACACCTGTAATCCCAGTACTTTGAGAGGCCCAGGTGGGTGCATCACTTGAGGTCTGGAGCTCAAGATCAGCCTGGCCAACATGGAGAAACCCTGTCTCTACTAAAAAAATACAAAAATTAGCTGGTCGTGGTGGTGTGCACCTGTAGTCCCAGCTACTAGGTAGGCTGAGGCAGGGGAATTGCTTGATCCTGGGAGGCGGAGGTTGCAGTGAGCCGAGATCACACCACTGCACTCCAGCCTGGGCTACAGAGCCAGCCTCCGTCAAAAAAAAACCCAGAACATTAGTAGAAAAAACAGTGAAATCTGAATAAAGTCTGTAGTTTAGTTAGTCATGCACCAATGTTAATTTCGTAATATGACATGGTGATGTAAGATGTTATCATTAAGGGAGACTGAATGAGGGACTGTATTATTTTACAACTTTTCTATAAATCTGAAAATATTCCCAAATATAAATTTGTAAAAAATGAAGAGGAAACTTACAGGTTTTTAAAATACCGAAAGAAACATAACCATTTTAAATGTAATGCGTAGACCAATGTCTAGATCCAAACTAAAACAAACTATAAAAACAAACAAACAAACAAAATGCCTGTTTGAGACAATCAGACTGAAGGTTAGATGACAAAGAATTGCTAATTTTGTTGGATGTGATAATAATATTGTTACATTTTAAAATCCTCATCTGTTAGAGGAAAATGTTGAGGAACTCCCAGATGAAATGTTATGATGTTTGGATTTTGCTTTAAAATACTCCCACAAAACAAGGGAAGGGAGGTGATAGATGAAACAAGATTAGCATAGAGCTGATGATTGCTGAAGTCGGGTGATGAGTACATAGAATTCATGGCAATGTTCTCTCTACATTTATTGGTATTTGAAAATTTCCATACTAAGAAGCTAAAAGAACAGAACGAAAACAAAAACAGACACACACACATATGTAAGCAAGATACCAAGGCTGCCAGTTTGAAGCCACTGAAGAAAACAAGAAATTTACCCTGAGAATGCATAATTAATAAGAGCTCAGAGTAACTGACAATTTTCAGGTAAATTTCCTTTCTTCTTATTAATAAATATTCACTGGTGCTAGATCAGAAGCCAATAATTAAGTAAAAGTCAAAAGGAAAATAGAATTCCATCAACTACGTTCTAATTATAAAGAAAAATCCCTTCAGGGATGGTATCTGACTCAGTGAAGCGTGCCTGTGATTTTGGTGGACGAGAACTAGAACTGAACGGTGCTTCAAAACGTATTTTTCTTTCAAAGGTCTCAAAAGCTGTATGACAAATCCGTGAAGAAACAGCATATAAGGTACCTCGACTCCGGCGGCAGCTAAAACCCATCTCACGGACTCCATCCGGCCTCTTCCGTTGGGATAGTGGAGCTTGGGCCTTGCTGCCATGATAGCTTTTCAGGCTTTCTGAAATACAAATGCAGCAGCTCGTCGCAGACCAACAGTCCCAATTTCGCGTCTTCAACCCAGTGCTCAGGGGCGAAATGAATATTCAGGATTTTGGCACGGGAAACTGTTCTTTATTTTTGTTGCTGCATTTTCCCTCACTCAAGAAAAAAAAACCACCATTTTAAAACATGGAGAAAAAAACCTTGGCTTTTATATGATTTCTATTTATGACTTCTTATCCTGGATCTTGGGAAGCTGGGGCCATTTGTTGTAAAAACATATGTGCTAGCAGTACGGGATTTCACAAATTCAGAATATTATATATTTTGACCTCGAGAATCTCAGATTTTCCAAATTCAGCTGGGGGATAGGGGGTGGCAGGCGTTGAAGAGGGTAGCGAAGGAAAATCGCACAGCCACTGGAAGCTCTTCAAGTATTCATGCTTTTACATACATCATCATATTTTATTATCACGGCAACTGGAAGGTGAACAGGCCGAGTACTACTACTGTCTGCAAAATGTGCGTCCACCGTCACGCATGCGGTGGCTGCGCCCCCCGGGTCCCGCGTGTCCACCACCCCTACAGGGAGATGAGCCCCCGGCCTTGTAAAACGAGCCGGGGGCCAGGGCTTGGCCATCTGAGATCGCACTCTCCCATGCTCGTCTTCCCCGCTCAGCCCATGCAGGGGCGTAGCGGCAGCCCAGCCAGGCCCGGGGACGATCCGAGCCCACCTTCCACCAATGCATTCAGACTCCGCAGAAGGGGTTTAAAAAAAAATACGCACACTGAGCCAAGAAGGACCCCAGCTCCAGCCAAGGGGCCCACCTCTGCCCAGACTGGATGGAGCAGGAGGACAAAGGACAAGAGGAAGAAAAGACAAGAGAAGGACTGAACTGGGGGAGTGAGGGAAGAATGCGAGAGTGAGACTCAGAGAGTAAAGGGGAGGGAAAAAAAAGAAGAGAGAAAGGGCGAGGAAGGGGGCGACCGCAGGAGGGAGACAGACCTGGAGTCCACTCGGAGGCCTGGAGCCGCACAAAGCGCCAGGTCAGCGGTCCCGGCTGGGTGAGACCAGCAGGCGGCTCTAGCGCGCGGGAGCTGGGCGAGGCTCCGGGACGACCTCACCAATGGAGACTGCAGTATTTAGCATGCCCCACCCATCTGCAAGGCATTCTGGATAGTGTCAAAACAGCCGGAAATCAAGTCCGTTTATCTCAAACTTTAGCATTTTGGGAATAAATGATATTTGCTATGCTGGTTAAATTAGATTTTAGTTAAATTTCCTGCTGAAGCTCTAGTACGATAAGCAACTTGACCTAAGTGTAAAGTTGAGACTTCCTTCAGGTTTATATAGCTTGTGCGCCGCTTGGGTACCTCGGATGTGAGGGCGATCTGGCTGCGACATCTGTCACCCCATTGATCGCCAGGGTTGATTCGGCTGATCTGGCTGGCTAGGCGGGTGTCCCCTTCCTCCCTCACCGCTCCATGTGCGTCCCTCCCGAAGCTGCGCGCTCGGTCGAAGAGGACGACCATCCCCGATAGAGGAGGACCGGTCTTCGGTCAAGGGTATACGAGTAGCTGCGCTCCCCTGCTAGAACCTCCAAACAAGCTCTCAAGGTCCATTTGTAGGAGAACGTAGGGTAGTCAAGCTTCCAAGACTCCAGACACATCCAAATGAGGCGCTGCATGTGGCAGTCTGCCTTTCTTTTGACCCATTACCCATCTAAGTTAGATGCTTTTTTAAATGTTTTTTAATTTTTAAATTTTTAATTTTTTTCATTATTTATTTTTTATTTTTGAGACGGATCTCGGCTCACTGTAACCTCCACCTCCCGGGTTCAAGCGATTCTCCTGACTCAGCCTCCCGAGTAGCTGGGATTACAGGCGCGCGCCACCATGCCCGGCTAATTTTTCTATTTTTAGTAAAGACGGGGTTTCGCCATGTTGACCAGGGTGGTCTTGAACTCCTGACGTCAGGTGATCCTCCTGCCTCGTGCTGGGATTGCAGGCGTGAGCCACCGCTCCCGGCCCTTAGATGCTTTTTAATCAGCAAGTACGCAATGCTTTCCTGACAGGAATGTCAAGTCCGTCAGGAAATCCACATAAGGGTGTTAAGCAGGCAAAGTACCACATACAGATTAAAATCAAAAGCACTGTCAACGCTTATTTAATTTATACAGTAGACCCTAACTTTTCTAATTTTGTGTATACATATATATACATGTATACATGTATACAAACATACATATTTTCTTCTTTCTTTCTTCATCTCAGTGGGACATCTTGAGATTTCTCTTCATTTTGTACATTTTAGAGACAAGTGCTCTATAGTCACGGTCTCAAGTCAGCACCTGTTTGGAAGGGGGTCTTTGGAGTTGGGGGTGGTGCTAAAAGAATAATTTGGCTGGCAAGTTAGTTAAAACATTAAAAATATATTAAAACTATCAGGGCTATATTATGGAACAATTGCAAAATTCACATGGATTTCAAAGTTTGAAATATATGCCTTCGAAAATAAATTTTGTTTTTAGAGGCAGCTTCTGCTATTTCTCAGGCTATAGATGTTGTTATTTTCTTCACCCACGGGGGCGCTCGAGAGTACCTTGCTTGACAAGCCTGGGTGCTGAACAATTGCAGCCGCTAACATGATCAGATTTTATTTTCAATAGGTTTCTCTGGCCAAAGTGAGGCGAATGAATTGGGGTAGTAGGGGTAGAGAAAGAAACCTCTTGTGTCTGTGTAAATTAAAGTAGCACCATGAGTTTGAAGAATATGAGTAAGAAAAGGTGAAATACTAAGGAGGTAGGTGGTAAAGCAATTGCTAATCAGATCAAAGGGAAGGGAGGAGGAAGAAAAGTCTAGAATGATGCCCTGTCCAACACACACACACACACACACACACACACACACACACACACACACACACACACACACTTCTTGTCTTTTTTTTAATAACATGTATTGTCATCTAACAGGACTTTTTTATTTATTTGTCTGTAGATTCCTAGAATGTAAATTCCACGAGATCGAGGATTTTTGCGCTTTTGGTTTTCCTTTTGTACATCCTGGTTAGTATAGAGTAGGTATTCAGAGAACACTTGTTGAATGAATGAATGAGCAATGCTTTGGTTTCTAGTTCCATAAAGAGCGGAGAAGGAAGACAAAGTTTGGGGAAAATGGGTTGACTTGTCTTTTGTTGCTATGAACCATCCAGCTGGAAATACCCACTAGACAGTTGAAAAAGCCATTGAGGGCTGGGCGCAGTGGCTCACGCCTGTAATCCCAGCACTTTGAGAGGCTGAGGCGGGCGGATCACCTGAGGTCAGGAGTTCAAGACCAGCGTGGCCAACATGGTGAAACCCTGTTTCCACTAAAAATACAAAATTAGTCGGGCGTGGTGGCCTGTTCCTGTAGTCCCAGCTATTCAGGAGGCTGAGGCGGGAGAATCGCTTGAACCTGGAAGGCGGAGGTTGCAGTGAGCCGTGATCACGCCCCTGCAGTACAAGCTGGGCGAGAAAGTAAGACTCCCTATAAAAAAAAAACCGAAAAGACAAAAACCAACCCAGTGAGGACTCAGTAGAGAGAACTGAAATCGGTTGAATTGGTGGCAAAAGAATGAGCTCATCCAGAGAAGGTATGCAGGGTAAGAAGAGAGGTAAGTCAAGGACCACTGGGCACCCCAAAAGTCAGAAAAGTCGTTTTCAAAAAAGACTTAACAGTGTATATCCAATCATATTTCTAGTTCTGATTTAACAGCAATTACTCAGTTTAACATGAGTAGGAAGCCATATTTTCCAGCCTTGCTGAAAGTGGTCATTCTTTTTTTCTTGCTTTTAGTTTATAATTAAGGAAGGTTTATTGAACATCTGTGCTGAGGTCTACTGGATTTACTGAGACATAAAAAATAAATTATAAAATCCAGTTCTTGCCCTCAAGGAGCTTATTTTTTAATTGACAAATAAAATTGTATATTTTTACTGTGTACAACATGATATTTTAAAGTACAGTCATCCCTCAGTATCTGTGGGGGATTGGTTTCAGAACCCCCTCAGCTACCAAAATCAGACCATGCTCCAGTCCCTTATATAAAACGGTGTAGTATTTGCATGTAACTTAACACACATCCTTTGGTTTACTTTAAATCATCTCTAGATTTTTTATGTTAACCTAAATAACAAACAGAAAGAGGCTCTTTAAAAATATTTATTTGGAAATTGAATTTTGCAATAGGAATATGCATGCCATAGTAAATTATGTGTGTATTCAGGGAGGTAAAATAAAACAAAGATTTTTAAAGGACAAAAATGACGATGGCATAATTGTTTTAAAATAAGTATCCTTTGCTGCAAAGATGAATAACAAGGGCAATAATCCCAGTATTTTTTTGTGTAAGACTGCAATGGCCATTGTGGAAGGTTGTGGTTCTTATAGTCTTTTGTGATCGTGTGTTGTTGTTGTTGTTGTTGTTGTTGTTGTTTGTTTGTCTTTTGGAGACAGGGTCTTGCTGTATTGCCCAGGCTGGAATGCAATGGTGCGATCAGGGCTCACTACAGCTTCGAGGCTCAAGTGATCCTCCCACCTCAGCCTCCTGAGTAGCTGAGACTACAGGCGCATGACACTACTGGCTAATTTTTAGTTTTTGTAGAGAAGGGGTCTAACTATGCTGCCCAGGCTGGTCTCAAACTCCTAGGCTCAAGTGATCCTCCCACCTCTGCCTCTTAAAGTGCTGTGATTACAGGCATGTACCTCTGCACCTGGCTTTTGTGATTGCTTTTATTAGACATTTAAGCCAAGCACTTGTCTCCATTTGCTTAGTTCCAACTGGTTGAATTATACCAAATTGCTAATATCTTACTGTTTTTAACCTTCAAAAATGGCAGTTTCAGATGTCCAATCTTATAAAATAGAGGCAACATCATCCTAGAGTTAGGGAAACAGGAGTGTAGGAGAGCCAGGGTGACAGCATTTTAAAATCAACTCCATCTTACAATGAGAACACATAGACACAGGGAGGGGAACAACACACACCAGGGCCAGTCGGGGGGTGGGGGAGTGAGGGGAGGGGGAGCATTAGGACAAATATCTAATACATACCGGGCTTAAAACCTAGATGATGGGTTAATAGGTGCAGCAAACCACCATGGCACACTACACCATGGCACAACTACACGTTGTGCGCTTGTATTCTGGAACTTAAACTAGATTAAAAAACAAAAAAATCAGCTCCATCTTAAGATGTCTACAGCTGAGGAAATAGCTTAATAATACCTGGAAGGACAAATTCCTATGACAGTAGAATGTCCAGATGTTCCAATATTGCATAATGCTAAACACCTTTAAGGTAATTATAGTCATGCTTTCACGTATTTACGCATGAAAATGCCAAGGATACCTTTCTTTAAATTAACAAAGTACTAATTTTTTTCATTCTGTTAGCCCACTCGCACGTAGACATTGCTTAGCTTACCTTTTACAGAGATAAGACCCCTATCGAATAAAAACAAAGAAGAGGCATTCCTCCTCTTGCTTTCTGAGAATGCTCTACTCTGTAACTGAGTAGCTTTCAATAAAATGTTACTTCTCATGGCACTGGGTGACTCGCCTTACATTCCTTCCTGTGCGAGATCCAAGAACCCTCTTTTAGGATCTGGATCAGGACACCTTTTTTGGGTAACACTCAGCCTTGTTCACCTGAAAGTGTAACTAAGGTAGCAGCATGACTGCTATTACACAGGCTTGGGGAGAAATGAAAACTCCTGTTATAATAGTTCTGGCACTCTATGACAGGTACCCCAAAGGCATTTTATTCCTTTGAAGCCCCTGACATCATCAACCTACTTGTTCTTGAAGACCCTTAGAGTTGCCCTCATCCTGAGACAGTCTTACTCATTTTATCTATCTATTCTACCTACCTACCTACCCACCTACCTACCTGATACATTTTCAGAGGCCCTGAGAAGTCTTCTTAGCCTCAACCCTTCACTCATCTGCTCAGTAGTAGGTAAAATTGCTTGCACAGAAGTCAAGAGCTTCAAATCTCAGTTTAAGAGCTTTGTATACTCCCAGAAGAGGGAAACATTTGACTTAAATTCAGCCTTAGCTATAAGCGATTGGTGTAAGACCCTATTCTAACAAGTGGGTTTTCTTATCAGGAAAGATGGTTGAGAGCTTGAAATGGCTTCTTCAGGGTTTCTGAAGGGGCAACATGGGCCCAACGTGATGCCAAAAAGACAAATGCCCATGACTACACAGTAAAGTCACTGTTCTGATGGCGAGAGGCACACTTAGGGATTCACCAATGCAAGTTTGATTGGTAGATCATGTTCCTAGAAAATCCTGTCAAGGAGTCAAAGAATGTTTAGAAAATGAATTTCCTGTGACATTCTTTATGTAGTTCATGAAGTTATGAACTTCTTTTGAAGGTTTATATTGTATATGAGAATGTGCTGTGAAAAGCTAAAAGACATACAAGGCAGGTTAAAATGATGAAATCAGGAACAAGAAACTGTTTCCACCTGCTTTTGCTTTTTTTTTTTTTTTTTTTTTTTTTTTGAGACAGGGCCTCACTCTGTTGCCCAGGCTGGGGTGGAGGGGGGTGATCTGGGCTCACTATAACCTCTGTCTCCTGGGCTCAAGTGATTCCCCTGCCTCAGCCCCCCAAGTAACTGGGACCACAGGTGCACACCACCACATCCGGCTAAATTTTGTAATTTTGGTAGAGACAGGTCTTGCCATGTTGCCCAGGCTGGTCTCGAACTCCTAGGTTCCAGGGATCCTCACGCCTCCACCTCCCAGAGTGCCGGGATTACAGGTATGAGCCACCACTCCCAGACGCCTAACTTTCTAAAAGCTGAACTTTAACAAAACCTCCACATTGCAGGATAACTCTTCATTCTGCTGCTCTAAGTGCATGCATCTAATTTCATAGCAGTAGCACGATAGATACTAAGCATTCAGGAGAAGTTAGAAAACATCGAAGTTCCAAATGGACTAACTAAGGACAAAAATTAGAAAATACTAATGGAAGAACATGAAAACAAAAACAGAACACTCAAATCAATTTTTCTTAAACTTCAACTTTATTTGGACCAGGAAATTTTTCCTTACATAAGGTTGACATGTTTTAAACACCTTAGGACAAACTATTTAAAAAGCAACATTTTTTATTTCAGAAGGGTCTTGCTTAAGTGGTTTTCTGAATTCTTCTCGTTATTATGAATATGTGCTTTATAAATAAATATATTGTCGGTTACTCCATTGTAATCAAATCAGCTGACTAATTGCTATCTGTACTGAGTTATCTGAGATCAGAAGACTTGATGCAGGTCATTTAAAATTCACATTAGCACAGTGTCTATGAGAAATTGATAATACAGATTAATGTGATATTTACCTCTAGTTTGTTTTCCTAATGGCTTCCATGAGAAGGTCCTCACAATAAATTATATAACAGTACAGTACATTTGTTTGGAAATCGTAAAAATAATTCTACAAATTAGCTCCATATATTATGTTGCTACAGTATGGTTTAAATGATATAAAATAATTAGTATGTCAAACATCTTCTTATAAACATATTGCTTTTGGTCATACACTGAACTGAAATGTACAGCATAAATTCCTTTTTTTCCTCTCCTGAATGGCACAAAACAATGGCTTGATGGTAGGGAAATGCTACTTCATGAGAAAGCATGGTGCCCATCAACTCCAACAGTACCTGTATTTGCACTCAAAAATAAAATAATTCTTGTGTTGTCTTGATTGTATACAATTTTTGATAACTCCAGAAGATGACACAGTGTTACTTTATTAGATGTATATAGTCCTTTAGGCAAGAGATACATTTAAAAAATTATTTGAAAATCAAGTTTCTTCCTACATAAATCCTATCACACATGGGCTGGGTGAGGGCTTGGTAATTAATGGAATTTTTTTGTAAAATGAACAATCATGTCAAGAGTAGTTTTTATGCAAATGCAGTTTTCCCTACTCTGCTGGCACTACCTGGGGCACATCAATACCCCTACAACGCACCTTCGTCACTGAATTTCTGTCTCATTTCGGCACGAAATGAGAACCAACCCTGTATCATTTCCTGACATCCCAGTAAGCTTTCTGACTGTAAATGAGGTATAGTCCTGATAGGTACAGTTACAGGTATATCATTTCTGTTGGTGTCTTACATTACATTTCATAATTGTATAGTAACAAAAAATAGAGGTAACAAGTAGCATTTTGTTTTCATGTAACAAGAAATGGCTGCAGGTTCTCAGTCAGAACAGAAACAGAGAGACAAAAGAAATGGTTACTATTCCCTTCTATAGTGCATAGGTTTTTTTACACAATTTGTCCTTTACCCATTTCAGAGAAGGGGAGGAAGAGTAATTCACAGCATTTGCTAGTTAAAATTTGTTTTTTCAGTCCTCTAGTTTTCTCAACTGCACATCAGCTACTTGATTTTTTTTATGAATATGTGTTTGGCTTCCCCAGGGAAGTTGCTTGCTGGTAAACAAACGAAAGCATAAAAAGAAAAAAGCGAAGTATTTTCTGAAGTTGGGCCCTATAAAGTATTAGAAAAACAATTTTATAATGTGCAATAATCAGGTAACTAGGTTTTTCAGTTAAAAAATGTAATGACCTTATATAAGCTAGATTACTGAGACTATGGTATTAAACAATCCATTTGCTCCTCTAAGGAATATTTACAATTTAAAACCTGCTTTCCAGCAAGCTGGGCCAGGTTTCACATTAATTTACTTTTCATATATAATACAGAAAATGAAAATAAATATTAACCTTATAGTAAAGGACTCATCTCTGAAAACACATGTTCTGATGCTTTAGATAACGAGTTGAGAATATAATACAGAAATGAATTCAGCTTCAAGTTGTGCTTGCATATATATTTTCTGAAGCTTTGCTGCCAGCTTGTTAACAGGAAAAGACCACCTATCACATCCACATCCATTATGTGCTTTTCTCATGCCCCTAGGGATCATGGTGCTTGGTCAAGTATATATTTGAGTCAAATTCTCCAAAGCATAAATTACTCTCCGATTTTAGGTTAGGGCCCTTTGGAAGCCATGGTTATTTGTTCAGAATGCAACATATTATTAATACACCAAGGCAATAATTTACCAAGTCATTAGGTTGAACCATATGAAAGTGTCTATATTCATTTCACCTATCATTTTAACCTATAAAAATGATCACTTGGCTGGGTGCAGTGGCTCATGCCTGTAATCCCAGTACTTTGGGAGGTGGAGGAGGGTGGATCACGAGGTCAGGAGATCGAGGCCGTCCTGGCTAACACAGTGAAACCCCGTCTCTACTAAAAATACAAAAAATTAGCTGGGCGTGGTGGCGGGCGCCTGTAGTCCCAGTTACTCAGGAGGCTTGAACCTGGGAGGCAGAGGTTGCAGAGAGCTAAGATCGCGCCACTGCACTCCAGCCTGGGTGACAGAGTGAGACTCTGTCTCAAAAAAAAAATAAAAAATAAAAGATTACTTACATATGGTTCAATTTGTCATTATCCTGGAACCAATAGAGAGTAGTTTGAGCCCTAGGAGAATATGAATCAATACACTGTTGAGATTGCATTGCGTTCACTGATGGTGACCTTCCCTCTTGCCTTTAAGGCAACCATAAGTGAGGCAAATGTACCATATAGAGATGGATGAGACTGGACCTTTTGTCTTTTTCTGTCTCCAAACTGACTTTGTCATTTTTGAAACTGCTGTAAACATTCCTCTCAATGGAACAGCCTCTGCCCAACAAATAAAGTTCTCACTCTTGAAAGAAACTACACCAGGGTTAGGAGATCAAATGTGGCATGTGACTGTGACTTTGTAGATGAGTGGAACCTCTGCCATAACTCTTTCTGCTCCCCAAATTGTCCTGAGAATTTGGCTAGGACAGAACATTAGTCATTGACTGCTCCTAGCCAGATCTGGAGAACTGAGCTAGGCACAAAATTCCATCTCAGTTACTATAATCAAAAACCTTCTGCTGCTTTGATACTTAGTTTTTTGGCCATGCATCTTGGCAGGAATGTAAGTTTGATTGACTGTGTTAACCTTCATGTTGAGAGCCTTTTGAAGCAGAAATCTCTTTTATTGGTACACATACAACTTGATTTCAAAAATGGAATAAATTAGAATATAATGGCATAGTATAATTAAGCTTGGTTTCATCTGAGATCTGCAACCACATTAAAGGGTGTCAGAAAAATTTTTTAAAATGTATTTACTTAGAGTTCTTTCATCTGGGGAACAAAAGTAAAACAAAGTGAATTATATAATATAATAGTCCTTTTAGAACAGCAGAGTGGTATCCAAAAATCAAACCAATGACCTACTAAGAAAAGCAGAGGATCACTTTTCTAACAACAGTCCAAGAAGGCCTGAAGTACCTAGTGAGCCACACTTGAAATTTCACCACTTCATAAATATCTGCACACACTGAGTAAATAACCCTCTATCACATAGCCTTAAATTGCACCCCTGTTGCAATACTGCATTAATATTATTACATTTTTCAAAATCTGTAGAAAATATTATCTGGAACCCCAAAGGAAAATCAATTAATTTTTAAAAAGTTCATTACAAAGTTGACTGTATAAAATGCTAAAACATAATCCATATATACAAAATGCTGTTGTTTAAGAAAATAATGGGACCCAGTTTTAGAATAAAATAATTTTATACAAAAAAGCCTACTGCATTCAAATCAATATTTTAAAAAAAAACTTTAAAAAAGAATATTGACATGTCTTAGTTCAGAAGAATAACTATAAAGTGTTGATTTGCTTTTATGCCCTCTGCACATCTTGCAGGTAGAACACCAGTCAGCTGAGGGAAAGTATCCTGCTTCTCCCTAGGAAGAGATTCATCACCAAGGCAGACAGTCATCGCCGAGATGCGTACTTGGAAGCCCAGTCTGTCCGGCCATGCACTGGCTGGGCGGCTGGAGGCCGTGGTATCAACCCAGGAGTGCTTCTAGGCTGGGTGTGGAAGAATGGTCGCCCAGGATGAGGTCTCATGGCCTTCAGGGAGGAATAACCTGCAATGAAAGAAAAAGGCCGGCATGACTGATATGGGGCCAATGTAAGCAAAGTACAAATAAATGCATTTTGGTGACAAAAACATGAGAAAATAAGGAGTTCAAGAGGAGCATCTTGTCTCCTACTTATAATCTTCTCTACTGCAGTTAAAGACATCGTTTTAAAGTTGTCAGGCCAAAAATAATGGCATCATTCTTGACCCCTCTTTTTTTCATATACCACATATAATTTGTCAGGATATCCTATTAGTTCTACCTTCCAAATATTTACAGAACCTGGCAACTTTTTACCAACTGAACTACTACCACGCTGGCCCAAGCTAGCATCATTTCTTACCTGGATAATTTCAACATCCTCCTAATTGGATTCCCTGCTTCCTACCTTGCCCCTACTTCAGTCTCATGACAACAGCAGCTTGAGGGAGCCTGTGGAGATGGCTGTCAGATCACCTCACTTATGGACTCAAAGCCCTCCAGGGACTCCACGTCACTCAGAATCCATGACAATGTGCTTACAGGCATCGTATCACCCCTGACCTCATCTTGCTACTCCCCCTCTCACTCCTGTCACTCCCACACTCTGGCCTCCTTGCTGCTCCTTGAATTTGCCAGGCCAGTTCTGCCTGAAAGCTCAAGCACAGAACAATCTCCTGTCTGGAAAAGCCTCACTCATACTGTATGCTTGCTCAATCACCTCCTCCAGGTCTCTACTCAACAACTCCTTTGCAGTGAGCTCTTCTTTAGCTACTCTATCTAAAATTGTAACCTGTACCCCACACTCCAACCCCCACAATCCCTACCTCCTGTCTGCTGTATTTTTCTCCTTAGCACTAAGTCAGTAAGCATCTGACTTACTATATGTTATATAGCACTTATTTAGCTTACTTATTGTCTGTAGAGTGCAAGTTTCATTTATTGGTGGATCCCAGGCCTAAAACATGCCTGGCACAAAGCAGTTGTTGAGTAACCATTTGTTGAGTAAATTCATGAATAATTTAAAATACAACTCACCAGGGGAAGGGTCTGGAATAGGTGCTAGGTGTACCCTCTGCATAGCAGAACCGATTTCTTTTTTCAGAAAGGAAGGGACATAGTTTCCAGTCAGTCCACTAGAACTTGTAGAGCTGGAACCAACTGATTTGCAAAAGCAAAAAGCTCATTATTACAAAGACATGTACCCAGGACACCAACAAGGTTAAATGACAGCACTGCAGAGCAATAACAAACTAAGTTTTTACTTTTAGGGAAAAGAGCAAATCATGATAAAAATGAGTTCAGAGCCAAGCATCCCACCATACTACCCTGTCAGAAAGACTGCGGGGGCCAAAGACAGTGCTGCTCCTGTGAGGGGCAACCAAATAGAGGGTGGGTTGGTTGTGAAATTTTTTTAAAAAAGGGAAATATGACATTTGTTCTTTATTTTCTTTTGTAAAAGTAGATTTAGACTATTCTAAAATTTGCTTTTTTCACTCCATAATATAGAATAGTTATCCTTCCATGTGAGTACATATAAATTCTAGAGTATGGCTAAACCATAATCCATTTAACCATTTTCTTATTGATCAACACACAGGTTATATTAAATTATTTAGCTGTGACAAGTAATTACACACTAAATATTCTTATCCACATCAGAAAAATTAACCATTTTTTACAATGTGAAATACCTTAACTTTTTATGTCATTTCCACTTGGGAGTGCTTTAAGGGCAGGGACTGTATGCTACTCGTCTTGGTATTCTGGGGAGGATAACAGAATGCCTTGCATATAGCAGATAATCAATTAATTTTGGATGGGTGAATGAATATAATTCTTATTATTTAGGCTTAAAGGTACACATGGAATAATGAAGACTGTTATTATTGCCCGTTATAGAAATGGAAATTCTAACCATTAAGAAAAGTCAGTAAGTAGTAGAGTTGCTCTGTTTTCACAACACAGAGCTTTTTCAGCAATTGTTTAAGGCAGAGTGGAAACACAGTCTAGAATGCCTGCGTGAGGAGTTGCGTTGGTCAGCTGGGGTGTATTTTGTACTTTGGTGAATGAAGAAACATGAAGAAAAATGGGAAGAGAATTTGAACAGGTAAGTCACAAAAGAGAAAAAACTTATAGTCAATAAACACAAGAAAAGATGATGAACCTCATTAGTAAATAGGACATGCAAGTTTAAACCACAATAGGATACCATTTCTCACTCATCAGATTAGCACAAATTTTAGTCTTGACAGTACCAAGTGGCATCAAGGATGCAGAGCAACTCCCATATCCCGCTGGAGAGCAAGTAGTTTGGCAATATCTGTGAAGTTGAAGATGAGCACACCCTTTAACCTAAAATGTTGACTCTGGCTGGGCATGGTGGCTCACACTTGTAATCCCAGCACAATGGGAGACCCAGGCGGGTGGATCACCTGAGGTCAGGAGTTCGAGACCAGCCTGGCCAACATGGTGAAACCCTGTTTCTACTAAAAATACAAAAAAAAAAAAAAATTAGCTGGGTGTGGTGGCACATGCCTGTAATCCTAGCTACTTGGGAGGCTGAGGCAGGAGAATTGCTTGAACCAGGGAGGCAGAGGTTGCAGTGAGCCGAGATCATGCCACTGCACTCCAGCCTGGGCAACAGAGCAAGACTGCGTCTTAAAATAAATAAATAAATAAAAATAAATAAATAAAATAAAATAAAATAAAATAAAATGTTGACTCCTAGTTCTCGTACCCAGAGGAATCCTCACACATGTGCATAACAATAGGGGTACAATAATCATCTCAGCACTCTTTCTAATAGCAAAAATTGCAATCAACTTATGTATTTATCAAGAAGAGAAGGCATACATAAATTATGGTCCACATAAATAATAAGTTATGGTGTTGTATAGATATATATTGTATATGTTATATAATATATGATATATATCTCTATAATTGCTACACATATATTTATTAAAATGCATGAAGCAGTGATCCAAGATTATCTTCACATAAATTTTAAAACCTGCAAAACCACACTATGAAGTTTATACAAACCTAAATAAACACTCGATCAGGCTGGCATGGGGGGAGGTAAGGGGAAGCAGGGAGGCGGGAAAGGCACAGACACTGGGCTTCATGTGTATTTGCCAAGTTCAACTTTTTTTTTTTTTTTTGAGACAGAATCTCACTCTATCACCCAGGTTGGAGTGCAGTGGCGCAATCTTGGCTCACTGCAACCTCCGCCTCCCAGGTTCAAGTGATATCCTGCCTCAGCCTCCTGAGTAGCTGGGATTACAGGCCTGCTGCCACCATGCCTGGCTAATTTTTATATTTTAGGTAGAGACAGGGTTTTACCATGTTGGCCAGGCTGGTCTCAAACTCCTGACCTCAAGTGATTCACCTGCCTCAGCCTCAGCCTCCCAAAGTGCTGGGATTACAGGCATGAGCCACCACACCTGGCCAAAGTTTGACTTCTTAAGCTGGGTGATGGCTACACAGGTGTTGCTATATTATCTCTTTCTTTTTTATTTTCCTTAAATTAAACAAACACCTAATGGATGAAGGCAGTGCACTTGGCAGTGCAGAGGGGAAAGCAGCACATGGCAGGGGCTGCCTGCATCAGGGAAAAATGATGCAGGAAACGTCTCTACTGTGAACAGGGTTTGTCAGCCTTGGGACTCAGTAAATTCATTCATCCGTTTAACAAAAAAAGTGGGGAGGGTCTTCCAAACTGTCCACCTTCCAACTAGAAGGGATCTTGATACTCTGGGCCTGCAGCTGGGTCATCAGAAGGAGGGGACAGGCTGGAACAAGGCAGACACAGCCAAGGGTGACTTCCACCTCAAGAGGAGGGTGCCTGCTGCAGCCAGGGCTTTAGCCATCAGGCCTAGTAAGAGTCTGTAAAGGTATTTTTGTTTTTCCCTTGAGCCAGGGATGACTATGCTCTACTCCCCAGCTACCCTGGAAGGCAGACTCCCCTGGGAGCTGGCTGAGTCCCAAGGGACTGCTGCCGAGAAAGAGAGGAGGATAGGGCTGGAAAAGAGGCCTGAGCTTTCAGATGACAAAGGCCCCTGTGCTTCCAAAGCCCGTCCCATGACTCCTTGTGCCCACCTTCCTGCATCCAGGGAATTTGCTTTTTGCCATTTAGGGGTTAATGATCATTACTCACCTGAATTTACTTTGCTGATTACTGACATTGTCCCTGAAGATTTTCCAGACAAGCCAGAACTAGACCATGGATTAGGTGGAATAAATTCCTTGCCTGGATTCGAGAGTATGCCATTTCTTATACTGATCCCTGATAGAGAAGAAATGATTTTAAAATGCAAAATACACAATGAATCTTACACTAGACTACAAAGATAAAATTAATGCAGAACTCAATTTGTCAAAAACTCTCTATGATACAATAATCAAAGCAAAAACTGACTGTGATGATGTCATCTGACAGATGTCCGAGGAAAGATATCTCACTGGTTGGTGGCCCGAGAGAGGCCTCTTATGCTTCTAAGATCCAATGGATCTGTCCCACCTCTTGGCCCTCTGGTGCCATCCTGGGCTTCACTGCTGCTGGACATGCTGTTCTTCCCCTTCACAGACTACTTCCTTTCAGTCACCTTTTCAGTTTCTTCTCCATCCCCCACCCATGGCCTCCAACTCTGCAGCCCTCTGCTCTCCTCTCTCTGTCTTGTCTCCAGAGTTCCATCTTCTCACCCGACCTGGACCATTACTCCCATTCCCACAGGCACTGCAGCTTTTTTTCAGAACTGAAAGTTTAAATTCCCCCTTTATCCTTCTCCTTCTTCCCCTACAACCAAAAAGAAATAAAATAGCTCTCTGATTCACTCCCTGCTCCTTTTTGCCTGTGGTCACTGTAATTCGAGGCTTGGCCACTCATACTGGATCACTCTATACCTGTCATCTGGATCTCTCTTCTTCCAGATCATCCTGGGGCCTGTCAGGCCAATCTTCTAAGAACAAAATGTCAATCCTGATGAAGTCTAGCAATATTTAGAAGCCACATTCCAAACCAGAGGGTGAGGAATTTCATGCATCAAGAGGGCCTGCCATTCTCACCCCATTCCTCCCTTCTGACTCCAGCTCAGCCTGTGCCGCCATCTCCCTCACCTGGATGACAGCTACAGCTTGCTGGCCCCTCCCCTACTCAGCACACAGGTGTTGATACAACCACATCACTCCTTCAGTTAAAACCCTTCAGGGACTTCTCATCGCTCATGAAGCAAAATCCAAATTTCTTACAAGGCCCCAAAAATGCCTCATACTACACATTACGTCACCTCCTTTCTCACTATGCTCTGGCCACACTGGCTTCTGCCATTCCTCTCACAGGACAAGCCCTCTCCTGCCTCTAGACCTTTGCACTTGCTGTTTCCTCTCTCCCTGGTGTGCTCTGCCCTCAGCTCTCTGCACATTTGGTTCCTTCTCATTCTTTGGGGCCCAGTCAAGTTGCTTATTCAGAGAGGCCTTACCTGACCATTCTTTTACAATCTGTGATTACTATTTGTCTATTTGTTAAAGTCTCTCTCCCACCACTAGCAGATAAGCTGTGTGAGGGTGAGGATGTTGTTTGCAAAGCTGCTGTATAAAGCTGCTGTATAAAGCCACTGTGTAGACTACAGTGTGAAGGAATTCCCCAGGGTTGTGTGACCCAGTGGCCCTGCCTGGCTGTTTTGTTCACAATAATATTCGCAGTGCTTGGCATGCAGTAGATGCTTGATACATATGTACTGAATGAATGATTCACTAATGCTGTAAGTTTGGAATATAGAAAATCAGGAGAGAGGCTTGGATACCCACCAAACTATAGCATTGACATTTAACCCCCATAGTACTGCCAGGACAGTGTGACTAAGCTCCTACCCTGGTTTCCCTATTGGCCATTTCCCCTAAACCTGGTCTGGTAGAGGGGCCTCAGACATGCCGCCCAGCTTTTGCCAGTTCCTCCCTCCCTGGAGGCTGGACCCAGTTTCCTATACCATATTTCTTATCTTGGGTGACTATAAAAGATAAAAATGTGAGGCCTGGGCCCAGGCACGGTGGCTCATGCCTGTAATTCCAGCACTTTGGGAGGCCGAGGCTGGTGGATCATTTGAGATCAGGAGTTCAAGACCAGCCTGGCCAATATGGTGAAACCCTGTCTCTACTAAAAAATACAAAAATTAGCCAGGCATGGTGGTGGGCACCTGTAGTCCCAGCTACTCAGAAGGCTGAGTCAGGAGAATCGCTTGAACCCAGGAGGTGGAGGCTACAGTGAGCCAAGATGGCGCCATTGCACTCCAGCCTGGGTGGCAGAGAGAGACTCCAACTCAAAAAAAAAGTGAGGCTTGGGCTTCAGCAAATATTTCTATGATGTTCCCCTCAGTTCTGAAGGGAAGCCCCCTAGTATCTGCCTTCTAAAACAGAACCTTTGTGAATATGTGATTCCAAGGACAGGGTTTCTTATTAATAATCAAAGTAAAGCCAAGTCATTTATATTACCAGGCAAGTATCGAGAGTGCTTCAAATAGTGCTGCTTGGCTGCAGATCTCAGGGTGGGCGTGTCTCGCCGCTGATATGACGTCTGGGTGGGGGCACTGTTTCCTGTGCCCACAGGCTCAGAGGGCTTCAGGTCCAAAACACTCTCAAACCTGAATGAAGAGAGCATGGCTTGGGTCAGCACGAGAGACAGTATGTATTCTCGGATATGTACCCATAATCTCATGAATTCCAGATTCAGTCTGTTTACAAATGTGAGCAGCACACTTGCCTGCAGAGAGTGTCATCACTCTGTCTTTTCTTGTTTTTCAGGTCAATCCTGCTGAGGGATGGACTGAAATCCAAGTCATCCAAGTCAGCCCAATCATCTGAATCCTTTGTTGACCTGGAAATAAGACCCCACCTTCTCCTACTCTTTGGCTTTATCTCACCATTTTTGTGCTCCAGGCCAGCTGTGATTTTCTGTGTAAACAAACGGGGTGGGGGAAAGCAATACTTGGCATTAACAGAACTCATCCATGAGTAATCTCCATCTGAACTTTCTCTGCTATGCAAAGGAGGCTCCTGGGGCATAACATTGCTTATCTGAAGGGGCAACTGTAGAAAACACATTCCCAATCTTTCTGTCTCACTCATCCTTCACAGATTGTATCAGCTGCCATCCATTGATGATGTTAAAGTTGTATAAAATAAGGATAAAAAAATTTTTAAGATACTTCTTACACACCAGGAAGATGGCTAAATTCATACTCAGTCTCATCCTAGATGAGTTAATATGATCTCTGTTATAAATATGGATGTAAGAAATTAAGGCTAAGATGTCAGTTAGCCTGTCCTTTTACAGAAATCAATGCAAATAATGCTTTTTTTTGCCTTCTCAGTATATATAGTTACTATCTCTTAGCTATAAAGAATTAGCTACAACAGGACATTTCCATACACATACCACTTCTAAATTGTGTGCTGCAATAAAGTGACTAGGCCAGAGATACCACCCTTGCATCTCACATTGTGGTGGTTGGGAGCCAGCAGTCAGCAAATACTAACTGACACAGAAAGTGCCACTTTTTCATAAAGGATAGACAGTTGGCCTCTTCAGACAGCACTGCAAAGCTAATAAAAAATAGAACCCCTTGTCAGGTTATTATTTTACTAAATCTAACACTCATTTTTTTCTTTTGAAAAGCAGCCAAAGAGGAGCAGAAAGATCTGGGCTCAGTTAATAGCCCAGCATTAACATATTGAATAACAGCAGTAATGTGGATAACAATCTACAAATATTAACACAGCGCTTTATGCTTTTCAAAATATCTTAAAAACATCATGGCCTTTGATCCTCATGAACAACCCTGTCTGGTAGGTAAGACATGCACTATAATCTTCCTTTGATAAATGAGGAAACTGAATCCATAGGGATTAATAACAATTACTGACCTTTACAGAGTTGTAACTAGGTGCCAGGTATTATTCTAAATTCTTTTCAAGTATTAACTCATTAGTCCTCAAAGCAATTGTATCAGGTAAGTACTATTATTATCCTTATTTTACAGATGAGGAAAATGAGGAGCAGAGAAGCCAGATAACTTGCATAGGTATCAAGCTACTAAACAGCAGAGCTGAGATTTGAGCCCCTGGCAGTCTGGCTGCAGAGGCCAGCTCCCAGCCACTACCCTATAGCTGCCTCCATTAGTGACAACGGTTTTAACAGGCACAGCCAGAACTTGAATTTAGATCTTTCACTCCAAAGCCAAGGGTCTTTACAATTCCATGCTGTTGCAAACATAAATCTACCATAACTGGACCCTGTATACTGAAAAAGAAAATATTTCACACAATAATGGGGTCAGAAGAGGAATAAACAGACACGAAGCTCACTGGTGAATCTGGGCTGCTCACCGACTGTGGATGCTTGTTGTGGAGGGATGGGAAAAGCAACGGGCTTGGCTTGTCCTCCTGGAGATGGCTTGGGTGATCTGTCCTGGAGACCTCTGCTTTGTAGGGGTACGTGAGATGCAGAGGGGGCTGGCTGGCTTGATGCTGTCGTGAAGAAATTCGTGTGTGTGGCTTGGCTGGTGGCTGGGCAGGTGGGACTGGCTTAATATAAGGAGGTGGGCCTGCCTTTTCCAGGATGCCTTTCTGTGGTTTTTCTGAATCCTGAAGGTTTTGTGTGGTGCTGCCTAGTGGGTGTCCAACTTGGAAGTAAGGATATCGAAGTGCCTGGAATGACAAATAAGGCTTTAGGAGAAAAGTCTAGCCAGGAAAGTTACCACTGTCTTGATTACTGGGCTATATTTCATTGTGACCAGTTTACTACTGTTTCTTAGCCCAATTAGAAAACAGTACCTTGAATTTTTAACACCCCTTGTGATTTTTCTTATCTAAGATACCATAAAATATATGTAATGATTGCAACACAAAGTTATTTATATATAGTAGCCAGTTACACTGCTGTTACCCTGGCTACTTCTAAAAAGCATTCTGGATCAACACAGATCCTGGTTTTGTAACTTATTTGCTATGTGTCTTAAATAGAGTATTTCATCCTTCCAAGCCTATTTCCTCATTCCACAGAAGAAGAAAAAAATAATACAAAACTGAAAGAGCCAAACATAATGATCCTGGAAGACTCTGAAGAATTGAGTACAAAATAAGCAGGCACATATGCTTTTATCCCAAAAGTGCCAAGAGTGTAATACATGATATAGTTAACCCTTCCCTATCAAGAACAAAACCGTGTCAGTTGTTCTGGATAACTGAGTTTTCTGGATAGCCAAGAGATAACTTAAAGTTTAGGGGGTTACAATTCTTTCTGAAATATTTCCTATATTCTCTTGTCTTTCTGAATGAAAGTTATTAAGCATAACATAATCTTTCTGAGTAGGCCTGGGACAGTTATAAACATCTGTAATGATTATATGCAAGTGTAGATACAGAGGCAATTAATGGGAATAGCCTGGTAGAGGTCCCAGACTCTAGCATCTATTATAACTTGAAAGCCTTCTCTGTAGTCACAGACATTTTTGCAAGTCTTAACTGATTTGGGGGGTATTTTTAGCTTTTCACACTATTCTTAAAAGCATACATTCCTCTCTTGCTTCCTTGTTACAGAATCTTTTTCTTTCCATTTCTTACATGCATCTGTTAAAAAACTGGGTTCATCCAAAAGCTTCTTTTCTGCCCTGCAGCCATTTGTGAATTTCACCACCAGAACTGCATTCCTGAGAGCTTTCCAGCCCTTGAGCCATCCAAAGTCTTACGGCACCAAATTGTAGTTCTTTTTTCCTTGAGCTTTCAGAAAATTGCTTTTCTACACTCCTTAATTATTCCTCCAACTATCATCTCCCCAGCTATCACAAATTCTACCACCACATTGGCACTTTTCTTCAAATATCCTCATCACTCTTCTTCTGAACATCTTCTCTGATTAGAATTGGTCACTTATATGATCCTCTGAGCAATGTAATTGTCAGTGAGACAAGTTGAGAAGGGGCCAGATGTAACTACCACAAAAGGAGGCTTGCAAGATGCCTGTGAGTGATAAGAGCCCCCAGCGTTACCATACCTCTTTTGGGTATATTTCATTATTTAAGTCTAAGTGGCCCATGGGAGGATGGATTGGGAAAGGAGCTATGAAACCAGTGGACCTGACTTCATACTTCCGGTCAGTTGGTTGAATTGTAGTTAGTTGCACTATTTGAACTAATTAATGGATGAGTGATTAGAGCAAATTGCTTAAACTTTCCAAGATTGAGTTTTCTCACTCACAGAATTGAAAACAATAATGCCTGTCTCATGGAGTCTTTATTGGATTAAAAATCATATAAAATATATTCAAGCATTTGCACACTGTAAAGTGCTATGAAATACTAAGTGCAGTTACTATCCTAGGTCTATCTCATCTGTCAATCTCTTCAGGTTATGAGTCAGTTGGACTTTTACATAATATGAAGTTGCCTTTCAACAACCAGTACCGGCTTATAAACAAACTACTATATAATTGTAACTCATAGAGAATAGATTTGAAAACATTCTCCAAAGACAGATAAATATATGTTTATTTCCATTTCCATATAAATGGTGATATATCATGTGAATTACATGCCAATTTTCAAAGCAACTATATTGTTTACATTGTAACTACTTTATACCCAGTAAGTTTCAAACTATTTTAAGTTCTCATACCTTATATAGTACACCATTAGTGGTATTCTGTACTATTTCTCACCCATAATACTAAATACTAAATATTTCCTGTGCAATTCATAGAAATTATTCAGAGTTAGATATGAACGTTATAACAAGAAAATGGAAGAAAACCTGACTAGCTGTTGGTCGTTTCTTGGGATCCCACTGAAGCATGTCTCTCAGGAGCTGGACTGCTTCACTGCTAGCATTGGGAATCAAGGTCTTTAAGTTATTGGGTACACACTGTGGCCAACGGAAGTTCATTGCACTTGAAAGTTGATAGCCTTCAGGCCAGTCAGTCTGAAAGAAGGAAAAGATAGAAAATCTTGCTCAGCCAATTGCTGTGATATAAGTTTGTATTCTGGCATGTGTGCCCCAAATGGAAAGGCAACCATGTCATTACCCACCCACATTCATTAACCACCCACATTCACTACTGTGGCACTGTATGGAATGAGACATAGATTTAGATTAATAGAGAGACCACCAAGACCATGAAATCTGGGGGAATAGTGGAAAAGACACTGGATTTGCCAACTTAATTATCTTTACATAAGAGATTCTCTTGAGATTTTGGGATTGAAACAAATTAATATTTCCCCAACTGTGTTCCATGAGACAGAGGTTCTGAAAACTGCCAATGAGATATTCTTTTGGGGAAAACAAAATAAAACAAAACATTTTGTTCCTGGACAAATAAATTTGTGAAACTCTACCTACAGTATCTTCAACTTGGTGATTGAAAGTATACATGTGGAGAAAACCAGCAGTAAAGAAAGGTGTTTCACCCAGTCTCAAGCTTTCCACTTTTTCATGCATCATTTCTATGGGACACTAAATGCTGGAGGGAATGATGGAAAATGCTAAAGAAATGGTCTTTAAGGTTCCTTCTAGTTCTAACACTCTACTATTTTATAACATACAGCCTAAGGTAATTGTTCCTCCACTCCTTTTTAAAGCCAAGTGGCAATACATATAGCTTTTATCGTTCATTCACTTGACAGTTCTGGAATGCCTACTATATGCTTAGTGTTGTTGGAGATCCAAAAATGATCCAATATAAATCCTGCGCTTAAGAGTATTACTGTTCTTAAAAGAGAAAAGAGCATTTATTTAAAAATGGTATAATGCAGAGTAAAAACTGACAAAAGCTGCAAGAGATGTGCAGGTACAGATATGCAGAGGAGAAAGATTCCAGCATTGGACTCAGGAAACTTTCTTGAAGAGGTGGCATTAATAATTCATTCAAATGATTAAAAAATTTTTTTGAGGATCTAGTTTGCACCAGCAATGGTGCTGGGACCTGGGAAAATAAACATACAGCAAATCCTTGTCCTGAGTGAGCTTATGGTCTAGGAAACAACTATGTACGCAAATAATAATATTAATAACATAGGACACAGCTGAAGATGGGGAGGAGATTAGAGAAACAGTGAGGAGGGGGATTACTGACGGCCATGTGACAGATATCACTCAGGCAGAGGGTGTTATGTGCAGAGCACAGAAGCAGGGAAATTTCAGGGCATGCAGCTGTTAGGTGTATAGGTATGAAGTGAGCGATAGGAATAGGAGTTATGAGGCTGGGCAATGGGGAGTCAACCAATACTTTTATGAGGGGAAGTCAGTACCAGAGCTGTTCTTTAGGAAGCTGAATCTGGCCACAGACTGAACAAGAAGCCAGAGTGAAAATACTTCAAGGCAGAAAGATGGGGAAGATGACATTAGACACAGGGGGGTGACTGTGGTCCAGTCTGTAATGGCAGCAGTGGACTTGAAGGAACAAGAGCCATGTGGCAATATTCAACAGGATTTACCCACCAACCGCTTAGATGAAGGGAAAGGGGAGCAAGAGAAAGACAGAAGGTAAAGCTGAAATTCAGCCTCAAGGTGGGGGCTCTGGGATTATGATCAGACCACAAATGAAAATGGAGAATGAAAGAAGGAAGCTAGTAGGGTGTTAAACAAAAGGCAATGATGAGTTTGAGGTGATGGTGAGGGAGTCAGGAGAAAATCCCATAGAGCGTTGTAAACATGTGAGTGTAGTAATAATGGAGGGAGGCAGCGGCTAAGGATTACATTCAGGAGACTTCTGAACAGGCGTAGGAGTTGTAGCAATGAGAACTGAGAAGTTCTGCAAGGGAGGTGAGATGATACAGAGAGGAAGGCAGAAGGAGCCATGACAGATGTCATACTTAAGAACAGGAGGAGGAAGAGAAGCCGACCGTATCTGAGAACGTGGGCAGTGGAGAATGACTGAGGTCAAGAGAAAGAGCCTAGAATGGGCAGGTGCTCAATCATGCCAGTGCTGAACAGGGCTGAGCGGAGGAAGCATGGGAAGCTGTTGGCTTTGGCCCACTGGCCTTTGTTTTGTATCATTACCTTTTTTGGTGTCCCCAGCACTTGGCAAATTTTGAATATTGTGTCAATTTCACTGGCTCCAGGGAAGAGTGGCCTGAGGGTGTAAACTTCTGCCATGATGCAGCCCACCGCCCAGACGTCAATGGGGGAGCTGTAGTTGGTAGACCTCAGGAGTACTTCTGGAGCCCTGTACCTGGAGGAACAAAGGTTAACTGCTAGCTATTGCTTCCACCACTCAGACATTAAATTAAATAACAATCAGTTCTCAGTGAGGGGGTGTATATGTTCCTATTTTCTCTCTAGTTCACTGTGGTGTAATGGAATTGTGAGAACTTGGCAACTGCCGTGGGCTGCTGTTGACAAGTAGTGCTTCTCTAGTTCACAATATTTTCTACTGAGCATTTCTCTACAGGAGACTTCTCTATGGCATCTTTGAGAAACACAGAGAAAGTAAGAATTAGGAAAAAAGAGAGAAAAGAGAAAGTGGAAGGGAAAAACTAAGAGAGAAAGGAAGAGGGAGGAAAAAACCTACAACTTGTGTGTAGACTACTTGGTCATGGCAAACTGCTTAAATCAAATTCCCAGTGTCTCAAAGTTTTCACAATAGCAATTAGATGGTTCTCAGACAGGTCTTTGCAGAATATTTTACATAATTCTTTTGTTAAGCTGTCCTCAGGAAGGCCTATATATAAAATTTTATTTACATTATAGAAAAGCATAATAGGTTTTCTTTTAACATGATTTAGAACACAAGATTTTTAACCTTGTACATTACCAACATATCTATAAATATATGTTTCAGACTGCACTGTTTCTCTTAGTGAAAAGTTAACATTTGTGACTTTAATATTATCCTTAGCATAATGATATCTTTTTAAAGAAGTGCAATTAAATAATTTTGAGAAAAATGGTATTCACCATCTGGTAGATACATAATCTGTATATGGAGGTTTTGATCGTATTTCTCGGGCCAAACCAAAGTCTGCAATTTTCACAAGTTCTGGTCCCATGCAGAGGAGGTTCTCAGGCTTTAAGTCTCGATGAAAGAAGCCTATAGAGACAGTAGAGGAGAAGAAATCCAAATGCAAGTTTGCTTCGTATTATTCTTTGCAATTGTATTGCTCTCTGCAAAATAGTTATAATTTAAAAAGTAGTCTGGCATGGCACCAAAGGCTTTATGCATTCATCCCACAGATAATGTAGAGTCCTTCGAACTTCTCATAGGATTACTACATTCATTTCCCTTTGCAAATCATTCAAAGGTGTTCTTCATAATTTTTTTTAACTAGAGAGAAAATTTCTTTTAAAATATCAAACTGGATTATAGGCTGAGATAACTTTGCAAAAATAAACTGTCACTCAAGGGAAAAATATCACTGACGGCATCTCATTCTATTGCCTAGGTTGGAGTGCAGTGGCACAATCATAGTTCGCTGCAGTCTGGGCTCAAGTGATCCTCCTGTCTCAGCCTTCCAAGTAGCTGGGACTACTGGCACAAACCATGGTGCCTGGCTAGTTTTTTTGTTTTTTTTTTTTTTGTTTTTGTAAAGATAGGGTCTTGCTCTGTTGCCCAGGCTTGTCTTGAACTCTTGGCTTCAAGCTATCCTCCTGCCTCAGCCTCCCAAAGTATTGGGATTATAAGTGTGAGCCACCATGCCCGGCCCAGATAACTGTCTGATGGGAATTGAGAGTTTATACCACAGCAGAAACACAATTATAATTTTTGTTTAAGAAATAATTTATGAATATGACCTACTCATATCTGAGATTGTGGTGTATGTTGCAACATATGTTTAAATGTTAAGTACTTATTACTTTGCCTAGTGAGGAAGTACAATGGTACATTTGCAGCTCACATGAAAGGCAAAGATAACTCATTACGTAGGAAGCCTGTCTCAGCTATAGCAGAGCTCTGGAGGTACAGGCAGGAGATAGTCAACATGGCAATCTTCCAAGCTCACTCAAACGCCCAGTGAATTGCAATATATGTCTCTGAAAACCCCAAACCTCCCACTTCCTGAGAGTATCACCAACCTAGACATCATTTAATGTGGCTCCAAATCTCAATGGGACACCAATACTGGAAATACAACTCAGCTGCTGCTGATGCTATTATTTGTTACACATTATCATTGCTATCATTACAGGCTGAGTATTCCCTACTCTGAAAATTCAAAATCTGAGATGCTCCAAAACCTGAAACTTTTTGAGCACCAACCTGACACATAAAGAAATTGCTTACTGCAGCATTTTGGATTTCGGATTTTTGGGTTAGGGATGTTCAACTGGTAAAATATAATGTAAATATTCCAAAATCTGAAAAAATCCAAATTCAGAAACACTGCTGGACCCAAGCATTTCAAGTAAGAGATACTCAATCTGTATCAATGTTGTGAAAGCTGGATTCTAACTAGCACATTATGGGAGAAATTAATAGCCATCACTGAAGATCTACACGATTCCTTGACAACCTGTATGTTGACAACGCTCAAGTCTACATTTCTAATGTGCCTTCTCTACCCTTCTGAAGACATAAATCTCTATTTGGACAGCAACTGGATGTCACTATCATCCCTATGTTAACTTATCCAAAACCACTTTTGTCCTCTCCCAAATCATCTCCCCTTCCTAACCTTTGGATAAGATTTCTAGGTACCTTGCAGTTATGTTGGATCCATCCTTACCCAGTTATGAGATTGTGTCGTATTTTCTATCAAAACATCTCATATCAGCTAGGCGCGGTGGCTCACGCCTGTAATCCCAACACTTTGGGAGGCCGAGGCGGGCGGATCACTTGAAGGTCAGGAGTTCGAGACCAGCCTGGCCAATATGGTGAAACACCATCTCTACTAAAAATATTTTAAAAATTAGCCGGGCGTGGTGGCACATGCCTGTAATTCCAGCTACTCGGGAGGCTGAGGTGGGAGAATTGCTTGAACCTGCGAGGTGGAGGTTGCAGTGAGCTGAGATCACACCACTGCACTCCAGCCCAGGCAACAAAGCAAGACTTCGTTTTGGAGCGGCGCGGGGGGGTTGGGGGGGTAAATCTCATATCTGTCTCTTTCTACTTTCTCACTGCCTATGCCTGCATTGCCACTTTCTTGCAGACCTTCCTTGCTCCAGCTTCTCTCCTATAATCCTGACCACTTAAACACTATCTTTCCCTTGTCACTCTCTCATTCACCCACAAAAACCATCCATGACTCCTTTTTATATTAAACAGGGCTGAACTCCTTTCACTCTACCTAAAGAGAGAAACTTATTTTCCAACACTTATCAATACATGTAAAGTGTGCTCCAATCAGGTGCAACTCCTCATTCTTTGTAAGTTCACTGTACAGTCATGCACTGCATAACGAAGTTTCAATTAATGATGGACTGCATATATGATGGTGGTCTTATTATAATGAAGCTGAAAAATCCTTATCTAGTATTCACTATACTATACTTTTAATCATTATTTTAGAATTGTACTCCTTCTACTTACTAAAAAAAAAAAAAAAGTTAACTGTAAAACAGCCTGAGGCAGGTCCTTCAGGAGGTACCTAGAAGGCTTTGTTATCATGGGAGATGACAGCTCCCTGCGTATTATTGCACCTCAAAACCTTCCAGTGGGACAAGATGTGGAGGTGGAAGGCAATGATACTCATGATCCTAACCCTGTGTAGGCCTAGGCTAATGTGTGTATTTGTGTCTTAGTTTTTAGCAAAAAAGTTAAAAAAGTAATAATAATAATTTAAGAACAGTAAAAGCTTATAGAATAGGGATATAAAGAAAATATTTTTGTATAGCCATATGTGTTAAGCCAAATGTTATTATAAAAGAGTCAAAAAGTTAAAAAAAGTATAAGTTTATGAAATAAAAAGTTTCAGCAAGCTAAGATTAATTATTGAAGAAAGAAATTTTAAAAATTTAGTGTATCCTTGGTGTACAGTGTTTATAAAGTGTCCTAGACCTTCATACTCACTCACTGATTCACCCAGAGCCATTTCCTGCAAGCTCCATTCACAGTAAGTGCCCTATACAGGTGTACCATTTTTAAAAAAATTTTTTATACTATATTTTTACTGTACCTTTTCTATGTTTAGATACACAAATACTTACCATTGTGTTACAATTGCCTATAGTATTCAGTACAGTAACATGCTGTAGAGGCTTACAGTCTAGGAACAACAGGCTATACCATATAGTCCAGCTATGTAATAGGCTATACCATCTAGGTGTGTCTAAGTAAGTGTACTCTATGATGTTTGCACAACAACAAAATTGTCTAACAACACATTTCTCAGAACATATCCAGTCATCAAGTGATATGTAACTGTACTTATTTCCATTAATAATGTGCCCTTTACTCCTTTTTGTCTACATCAATCCCAACTTTTGCCATCCTCCAACACCTGTTTTGAGTTTCGCTTCTTCCATTATGCCATTCTAACATGGTAGCCTTCATTCATTCATTCATTCATTCTACCAACACATTTTCACTGAGCATCTGCTCCATGCCAGGCAACAGATTAGGTTCTAAGGATTCAGAAACAATGCAATGGACATGACTCTTGCCCTCATGGACATAATAGGCCCTCCCCTCTAACTCCAGTTGAGCTCTATCAACTTCAGGTATGTTAACCATTTTTTTTTTTTTTGAGACGGAGTCTTGCTCTGTTGCCCAGGCTAGAGTGCAGTGGCACAATCTCAGCTCACTGCCAGCTCTGCCTCCTGGGTTCACGCCATTCTCCTGCCTCAGCCTCCTGAGTAGCTAGGACTACAGGCGCCTGCCACCACACCCTGCTAATTTTTTGTATTTTTAGTAGAGGCGGGGTTTCACCATATTAGCCAGGGTGGTCTCGATCCCCTGACCTCATGATCCACCCACCTCAGCCTCCCAAAGTGCTGGGATTACAGGTGTAAGCCACCGCACCTGGCTAACCATTTTTTATGAATTAGACAGAAGCACTTTAAGGGCAGAGGCCACATTTATATTTCTTATGAATGCCTGGCACAGTGGCAGGAGCACTGTGGTCTCATAATATACTCTTGCTGATTGAACAAAGGACTTTCGTCTGTAGGGAACATTAAACAGCTTAATGTTAACACATCTACCTGAGCCAAGCACCAGGGTCAACTAGAGAGCAAACCAGAGCTGTGAGGAGGATGGGAGGGAGGAAACCCATGAGACAGCACTGAGAACTGAGAGAGAACAATGACCCAGTAGTGCAGGGGACAATGAGGGCTCAGAGCTGGTTGTCCTTGTGACAGAGGGAGTTGTATTAGTTGAATGAATGAATGAAGGCAGGAACTCTAGTAGGACTAAATCTATTAGTCAAGGTTGTTTTCCAAAGACTGTCACTGCCCTAGAGCAAAGGGAGGGTGATTGTGATGTGGTTATATGTGAAAATACACTAATTGCCATTATCATGGAAAGGAACAATATTTTAGTAATAGGACAATCCTCTCTGTTCATCATTCTAAAGACAACAGTACTTAATACTGGGTCAAGTTCCAAATGGATAGTATTATACTATGGCATAATGGCGGATCTGTAGGAGAAGTAGCTGGCATAGATGGACAAAGTGAATGTAATTACAGAGCCTAGAACCCAGTAAATACAGAAGGGGATGAAGGTATAGAAGTGATCAGATACATTCAAGAGGGCATAAGTGAGAGGAGGAAGTACTTCCTTCCCACCACGGGGTTGCTTTTATTTTCCACAATCCAAGGCATTGATGAGATCAAAAAAGTTTGACATGGGTTAAACCAGAGACAGGCACAGCAAGTTTGCTATTTTATAGCACATGCATACACGGGTTTGTATGTATATTGTGAAATATTTATGAATATATATTCCACTGCTCATTCTTTATCCTGCCATTGTACTGGTACACACCTAATGGCCTTCCTCATACAATTCCTTGAAATATCCTAGTGAACTTAATAGTAAAATAAACCAAAATTATACATAAGAACCAAACTTGAGGTTGTCAACTCAACAAATGCAAAGAGCATTCAGTATCAGTCAAGAATGGCCTTTAAAATGAATGAAAAGATTTCTGATATGGACACATTTAGATGCTTATGATCAGCCTAATTAAAGATTTATTCATGCCCACCACAGTGGGTGACATCTCTAAGACTTAGCATAACTGAGTCATTGTGTTTGGACCCTCTGTTCTTCAGAGCACCCTCCAGCTTGCAGAAGGCCTGATTGTGTGTTTCCATTTTGGAACTGGCTTAAGAATGTGTAAGGATACAAGCAGTGATTACAGTGATCTTTGGTCAACGCACCTGTGACCTCTGAAAATAGATGAATTGTGAGACCATGGTTTGTCTTCCTAAAAACTCAGAGTGTTCAAAACATTCCAGTGAAAAAAAGGAATGGCAAGCATCATTTTCTTACTCCACAGATGGGAAAACTGAATCATGGTGGCAGGGGGCGGTAGATGAATTACTCCCAATTCCACCAAGAAATGTGTCATAGCTATTATAGTGTCCAGCTCTACTCTCCCTTTCAATCCATATAGCTAAATCTTTTTTTTTTTTTTTTGTAAGACAGAGTCTTGCTGGTCGCCCAGGCTGGAGTGAAGTGGCACCATCTTAGCTCAATGCAACCTCCACCTCCCGGGTTCAAGCAATTCTCATGCCTCAGGCTCCCAAGTAGCTGGGATTACAGGCCTGCACCACCATGCCCGGCTAATTTTTGTATTTTTAGTAGAGACAGGATTTTGCCATGCTGGTCAAGCTGGTCTCCAACTCCTGGCCTCAAGTGATTCACCCGTCTCAGCCTCCCAAAGTGCTAGGATTACAGGCGTGAGCCACTGTGCCCGGCCCATATAGCTAAATCTTGATTTGTTGTTTTGATCCTCTCAAGTCTAGATTAATGCTATTTCCCCTCATAGACTCCCTTTTTCTCATTTAGTTGGGGTAATTATTATTTCCAAACTTATGTGGCAGTTCCGTTATAATGGGTCCTTTGTTCTGCAGCCCCTACCCACTATGGCAACTCCCTCTGGCATCATCTAGAACACCCACCACAACAAACTTGTGTCTTCTCTCTGCTCAGTTCTTCCTATCATCAATTCATACTCAGATGCAAGTATCGTGCTCACACTCCAGACCTCGTTCTTTGTTTCCACTGTAGTCATGCTCCTGTAAACACTGGCCACTCCTCCCATCAGCCAAGCTTTATCCTCTCCCTCACTGCTAACTCCTCTTTAATCATATACTTCCACAGAGGACATGCACACTAATGAAATGAGGGGAAGGAAGATTCCGATTCCCCACATATCCCTTTAAGCAGCTTCTCTTTTTATGGGCCCTACTTCAGGCTCAAAACAAGCAAGGGAAAATGGCTGGGAAAGAAAATTAATTGCTAACAGACTATAAAAATGACTGATGAAAAACTGTATCTGTCAGTTGACATATGCTGTATTTGTTATATTGACTTCAAGTAGAAGTCAATATAACAAATTTGTGAATATATCTGTAGACTATCTAGCCCTCTGTTAAGTACTGAATAATGTAACAATGGGCTGTTATTAGCCTTATACACATGAGATCTATTCCTGGTAATTAAAAGTATAAGATCCTTATGTCATATACAGGTGCTTTTCATGTCTATTTTAACATGACATTACTATTTCCTTATGAGCGGCAATGCCACATAGCGGGTAGGTGTGCAGACCAGCCAAGTTGCCTGATTTCAAATCATAATTCTGTTACTCACTGGCTGAAAAGTACTTATCCTTCCTGTGCCTTAGTTTTCTTATCTGTAAAATGGGGAAATAATAGCATCTACCTAATAGGGTTGTTCTGCAGGATTAAATGTGTTATATTTGTAAAGCTTTTTTGTTTGTTTGTTTTTTGTTTTGTTTTGTTTTGAGACAGAGTCTCACTCTGTCACCCAGGCTGGAGTACAGTGGTGCCATCTCGGCTCACTGCAACCTTTGCCTCCTGGGTTCAAGCTATTCTCCTGCCTTAGCCTCCCAAGTAGCTGGGATTATGACCAGCTAATTTTTGTATTTTTAGTAGAGACGGGGTTTCGCCATGTTGGTCAGGCTGGTCTCGAACTCCTGACCTTAGATGATCCGTCCACCTCGGCTTCCCAAAGTGCTGGGATTACAGGCATGAGCCACTGCGCCCAGCCTATAAAGCTTTTTGAGCAGTGCTTGCACATTAATACCTTGCAAGAGCTGGTCATTAACAGTACTACTATTAACACATTCTCTCATTTGACTCTCCCACATACCTGTTGAAGTAGGGAGGCAGACATGGCTCCATTTTTTGCTAATAAGAATTACATCTGACATGCTCCATCGGTGAGGAGGTGGTAATAAAACTCTGATTCGTAGCAGGGTTCCAGTTCTGCTGGTGTGTGCAATGTGACCTATAACAATAAGCCTACTTCTTCCTTTGGGCTTCTGATTCACAATGGAAACCCTTTTAGTTGTGGTCATTCAGAGATCACGCAACAGCAAAGTTCTATTATGATAAGAACCTTCCTGTTCAAAACTGTTTGACTTCCAGAAGACAGGAACAGACCTTCAATTTAATTTCACCCCTATATGCCAGCTGAATAACAGAGGGATTTTCTTTCATCCTGGCAGAAAATGTGTGTGCTTACTTTTTCATTAATAACCCTTGGGCAAGGAAAACATCAAGCCACAAAGAAGGCTTTCTCCCCTCTACCACATTTTGTTATTGATGAATCAGATATGAATATATGGAAATAACCAGAGAATCTTCAAACACTATGAATTTATACAGGACACTTTCCTGCTGTGGAAACTTTAATTTCCCAGATATTATTAAATTCAAACCTACAATGTTTTTATCAAGAAGGCTAGAACGACAGCAATGCATAGAAAGGCAATGGACTATCTCAAGGTCATGCACAGCAAGACAGTGAGGAAACACAGAGGCAGAGAACCATCTCTTGGTGCAAAACATTGTCCTTCAGACTGCCCAATGCATTTCTATTTCTGGCACGGATAAGTGTGACCTGGATATCTGTAAGGTCAAGTCAGAGTTGAAACAGACCATTTGCATTAATTATTTAATTCCTGCAAAGGACATATGCTTTGGCATTGCTCAATCAGTACCAAGTAGAGCTGTGTTTTCATTCCCTGTAGGAAGGAAATAGTGACACGAAGTATGGCCGTACTAACTACCTGCAGCACTGTTCTCCCCTCTCAGAGAAGTCTACCCCCCAGAGGCAGAATGCACCTCCTCACAGTGAGAATGGGCTACCAGAGAAAAGCCTGAAATTTACATGACTAATCTTTGAAGTGCTTTAAGTACTTTTTTTCCATTGCTGAAGGAAAGGAATATAGAGGTACACGTGCACTTAACCAAAGTCAATACCATACAAAAACCATTAGACAATTTCTAAAAATCATTTAGCAGTGAAAATGGGATAGGGGCTGGGTGCAGTGGCTCACTCCTGTAATCCTGGCACTTTGGGAGGCCAAGATGGGTGGATCACTTGACAGCAGGAGTTGGAGACCAGGCTGGCCAACATGGTGAAAACCCCATCTCTACTAAAAACACAAAAATTAGCCGGGCGCCGGGCACAGTGGCTCATGCCTGTAATCCCAGCACTTTGGGAGGCCGAGGCGGGTGGATCACGAGGTCAGGAGATCGAGAACATCCTGGCTAACATGGTGAAACCCGTCTCTACTAAAAAATACAAAAAATTAGCCGGGTGTGGTGGCATGCGCCTGTAGTCCCAGCTACTCAGGAGGCTGAGGCGGGAGAATGGCGTGAACCTGGGAGGCGGAACTTGCAGTAAGCTGAGATCGCGCCACTGCACTCCAGCCTGGGTGACATAGCGAGACTCCGTCTCAAAAAAAAAAAAAAAAAAAATTAGCCGGGCGTGGTGGCATGCACCTGTAGTCCCAGCTACTCAGGTGGCCGAGGCATGAGGATCGCTAGAACCTGGGAGGCAGAGGTTGCAGTGAGCCGAGACTGCGTGACTGCACTCCAGCCTGGGTGACAGGGTGAAACTGAAATTAGTCTCTATACCACTTACAATGATTATTATTTTCTTCACCTCTTATTCTCTTGTTCTCGCTGAGCACAGGCAGGTTTTTCTAATCAAGCATGGCAAACAGGCATAGGCTATCTGAACTAATCTCCACTCAACCACTTTATTGCAATGGGACCTTTCACAGGTGTTTGAACTTCTCTGAACCTTAGTTTCCTCTTTTTTGTAAAGACTAGATAACACCTATTCGTTCTACCTGATAAATTGGCAAGGAAATAAGGTAACAGATAAAATGTTAAGCTCAAACTGGAACTGGGCACTTAATTGCTGAGGAAAAGTGTCAACAAGAATCTCTGGTAATGGCAATGGTGTTGAGGCTATAAAAGCCAAGGTCCAACCTTCTCCATAAACTGAGCCTTCCCTGGTACCTTGTGGTCTGAGTGTCTAGTGCATGGAGGGAAACACAGTGCAGAGTTCCAACAAACTGTTTTGACACAGTAATATATGGATGCTAAATTATGTACTACAGATGAGTGTGTGTGTGTGTGTGTGTGTGTAAGATGAATGTATATGTAGGCATATATGCATGTGGGTATGTGTACATGTAGATGTTTGCATGTGTCTGCATGTGTCTTGGGGTGCTTATGTGTGGTCTATGTGTTTGTGTGTGTGTGTATATATATATATGCATACATTTGATTAGGTAGAGGCCTGGACAGAAGGCTACTTTCTGGCAACAAGTATCTGGGTCTAAAGAATAGCAACAAAAATGAGAAAGAAGAAAAAACCAAAGAATATTAACTTTTGTTTAAGTCTACCACTCAGTTCCCAGTACTGAGAAAATAGCCTGAAAAACTGAGACACTATGACTGGTCTCTATCTGAAAATGTGTTATCTCTTTTGAGAATCCCATTGAATTCTCATTATTTCTTTTCCCTGAGCTCTTAATCTAATAAGTGACCTTTCTCCTATTTGTCCCTAAGATACCATGCCAGAAGTTTTTAATGTTTTGCAAATTCACACCATCTCTTGTGAATTCTTGTGAATAAAGGCCCAAGTACTAGTTCCACAAATGTCAGTGGAATCAGAGAAAACTTGTACTAGAAACTTTTGACTAGAACTGGTTCACAATTTGACTCAGTCTTGCATAGTACATGCTGATTACTCAGTATGTGCCTGAGGCAGACTAGGATTTGCAGATAGCCTAGGTTTGTCTGTGTTTCATTTAGTCTCTAATTGTAAGCAGCTACCTCAGAAGTAAAGGACAGGCTGGTAATGATCCCAGATGCACTATGCCACCTTCTTCAGCACAAGGTCTTTTCTACTCACTGTTAATTTACATCAAATCTAAACTAGCTACTCAGGAGGCTAAGGCAGGAGGATCGCTAGAGCCCAGGAGTCCAAGGCCAGCCTGGGCAGCATATTGAGACCTTCTCTTAAAAAAAGTTTAAAAATCTGAACTGACTATATTATCAAAGGGCTTCCACCCAGTCTCCTTGAGTAATAAAACTTATTTGTTGGTGCAATATTTACAATGGCAACAACATCCTTGGACTGAGAGTAAATGGATTTCTACCTATGCAAAATCAGCTTCGCCCATCTGTCTGTATATTACAATGACCTCAAATGACCTCCTGAGAAGACTTCTGGCCCACCTGTGGATACGTCCATCTGGTGGCTCTGTGCTCACAAGAAGTATTGATCCAACCCCAGCTGGGTCTGTGTCTAGTTAGTAACAACAAGCAGCAATACTCCAGGTAGTTGCTGGAAAATAGAACCTCAAACTCTTTGCTGCTTAATACCTTTCAAAAGCTCAGCTAAGAACAACAGTGATGGGGGATTTCCAGAATGGTATGTGGTCATCGTTCCTTTGGATATTCTAAATTTCTCCCCAGCCTAACCAGACCATCTGTAGAACAACTCAGACTGGCCCCCGTAGAAATGTTTTCTCTGATTAGGTGATGTAATTGGCCTCCATTGAGGGATATGACAAAAAACTGCCCTCTAAAACCCATCACTGTGTTTATGATAAAGTCATGTTACATACCGTCCTCTCTAAAGGGTCCATGAAAAAAGCTTCTCTCTGGTCTTGGTATCAAGAATAGTTCTGCTTTTCTTGGGTAACTGGTCTCTTTTTACCTATGTGTGTTGTAACTGGTAATATTTCACATTTTGCATGGTCTGACAACGAGCTCACAATCAAATCTTAGCCTGCTTCTTCTATTGAAATAAAACTTGCTGGCATGCATTTTGAGGACTAACCTCACCTCTGGCTATATCCACATCTTGTTTTGCCTTTGTCTCTTTTTTTAGTTTGCTAATTTTTAATTTATTCTATTTTCCTGTGTCGCATACATTTTGTTAGACTACTTTTAAACTCGCTTGAAACAAGTTGAAATATAAATACATTAGAAAAATGAGAAGTAACAGTGAAGCACTGTTAGTGGACCAAACATAATACATGAAACTGCTCAGAATTCTAATTGTAGGTTTCTCATTTAACATACTACTCAATGGTCAGAAACAATATTTAGATCTATAACCAACAAGCTTAATGTTAAAGCCTACAGAATAAAAACATGCAGACACAATAAGTAATGAGGGAAATTCAGAGATCAAGTTATAAAAGTTAATATATTTTAAAATCCATTGTCAGCCTCTCAACTCTTCAACCTTTTCTGGGAGTCAGCTACAAAAAATATTAATGTTTCCTACAACTTCTACTTGATAACAACATTTCACTGCTCTTCAAAAGCACAACACTCCGAATCACCTACCGTGTTTGTGAATAAATGCGAGTCCTTGTAATATCTGATACATGATATTCCTTATAGCAGACTCAGGAAACAACTTATTTCTGTATGAGGCAGAGGAAAACAAAGTTATAAATCAAAGGCCAGATCCTTTGATAATAAATACTAAAGAATACCATTTGTCCATACAGGGGAGCTACCTTATAAACACCAAATATAGTCACATGTTACAAAAACAAAAAGATTAAACATTTGATAGTAAGCCAAAAAAAAGTTTTTCCTCCAACATAGCATATAAATATCAAAAAATCTCCTCTTTCCATGATACAAACTAAAACTTTAAAAATTTTTGGTGGGGAAAATTTGAGGTCTTCCAGATGAAGCCCTTATGCAATGCAATGGCTAACATTTTCCTCCTGGCTGGGCAAAACACACAGCACACTGCCGTCATTGTCAATAAAGATGATATTTGTTCATTCAGATCACTCAGAGGAGTACTGTGAATGGCATTCATTTTGCCACAAAAAATGTGCCCAAGAGGCTCCATACGGTTCACCTTTGAAGTTCAAAATTACCGTCGCAGGTAAATTTCTTATTAGCCTCCTCTTGCCAGCATGCAATTACCTGAGTACTGCAGCAAGAGAGGAACTGAAATAAACCTAGAACTTTTCAACAGAGGTCTCAAAATCCAGGAAGCTGTGTCCACCCTTGACTTCTAGTTGCTCTGCCCATATGTCCTAGTGATAATGGAAAACTGCAATGTCTATTAAGTCTGAGCTTCTTTGGATGAATAACTCTTCTTTTTTTTTTGAGATGGAGTTTCGCCGTTGTTGACCAGGCTGGAGTGCAATGGTGCGATGTCCGCTCACCCCAACCTCTGCCTCCCATGTTCAAGTGATTCTCCTGCCTCAGTATCCCTAGTAACTGGGATTACAGGCATGCCCCACCATGCCCGGCTAATTTTGTATTTTTAGTAGAGACAGGGTTTCCCCATGTTGATGAGGCTGGTCGTGACCTCCTGACCTCAGGTGATCGCCCGCCTTGGCCTCCCAAAGTGCTGGGATTACAGGCGTCAGCCACTGTGCCCAACCTGGATGAATAACTCTAAAATAAGAAAATGACTGCATTGAGAACAGCTTCTCTGAAGCTATCAGAGGGCCTCTAAAGTAGAAATATGGGTGGGCCCCACACCTAACTGGCAGCTTTCAACATGAAAGCCCAGTAGCGTGAATGTTAAAGGATTGGAGAAAAAATCAGAATAATGCAATAAGAAAAGAAAAGCACACCAGCATGGCACATGTATACATATGCAACTAACCTACACATTGTGCACATGTACCCTAAAACTTAAAGTATAATAATAATAAAATAAAATAAAAAATAAAAAATAAAAAAAGAAAAAAAGGAGAGAAAGAAAACACAAAAGCAGAAAGAAAACACATCTGCTTTGCCTATTTATTTCTATAATAAGATAATGATGACCAAACTGTACCTCTCTTTAATGAGCTGGTAAAGATTTTCCTTCATGTACTCGAAGATAAAATAAAGATGATCATTTTCCCTGATAACTTCTTTTAATTTGACTACATTGGCATGGTTGAGCTTCTTTAAAGACTAAAAGGCAAGGAATAAACACAAAACAAAACAAATATTAGAGAAAATCTGTTGTTGAAAAAGAAAAGTAATCCTATGTATACTTGGAAAGAAACAACTAATTTTAGAACCTCAGAAATGTGCTAAATTATATTTTATTGACAGTTTAATAGTATACCTCTGAAATTTATAATAACTTTACATAGAAAAACTACTTCAATGAACTGAGTAGAAGGTATGTATTCGACCAGTAACTGGTATTTCTGGCTGCCCCCAGCACCAGGCAATGTACCAAGGCTATTTTGGGCCCACCCCCTCCAGATGATGGAATTCAGGCTGTGGAAGAAGCCAGAGGGGAATCAATAAAAGAAGCTTAGATTTTTCTAGCACTGGAGAATTTGCAGCTGCAGTGGGCTGAGATCACCAGCTAACAGTTTGCAGACACTCTGAATAGGAAATTGTTCAAAACGACGAAGGGTTGATGGCCTGCTTCTCTTGACTTTTGTCTGACTCATGTATGTCCATGAGGCATAGAGCACTCCTTCTTACAATGTGAGTTTGAGTTACAGAGGACCAGAAGGAGACGGAAGGACCCTGAAGTAAGACAAGAGAAATCCCTCTGTTTCCAAGAACAACGAAGGCAAAAAGTCAGGCAGTGGATGAGGAATGAGAGGGTGGCTCAGAAAATGGTGCGTGGCCTTATATGTGTGAAGATTACTCATCTTCACACATATGTACCTTTCCTCTTCCTGGAACATGTGCGTACATGTGAGTATAGCCATGTGCACACTGTTTTCTGTTTGTATTGCTAGTTCTGTTGATAGTGAACAAATCAATTTTGTATTAGTAAGCAGCATCCCTCTTCTTGTACAGCAGACATACCTAAAACTGTTGGTTTGGATAATCAGAATCTGATAAGACTGTCTCCTTCATGAAAGCCTCCAAGTGTCACTTTGGCCAGTGAGATGAATCCTTTAATTAAAATAGCCCTTTCCTCATACATAGAGAAGAGAGTCCAATATTAAGTTATCTTTGAATTTCACTAAAAAGAACATCCTTTTTATAAAACAAAGAAAACATGTGAAGAGGAAAGTGTTAAAACAAATATCCTCATCTAGAAGAAAACTCAGTGATAAAGTACCCAGGGTTCAAAGCTTGGGAATGTGTAATATAATCAGTTACTTCAAGCAGCTGGCGAGAGAGAGGAAATATGGTCAGCAAAAGAGAACAAAATAAGACTCTCTGGAGCTTCCTCCCCAGAAGAATAGTTCCTGCCAACATACTTCTCTGGCAGGGAATCCTCAGCTGTTTTGGCCAATTGTTTTGCTAGATCCTTCTAGTATGGACCAAAGGGGCTGATTACTTCTTTCGGTCGGGTTGGATTCCTGGTTCTCCATGAGTAACAAATATAAACATTGCTTAACTTGTAAGTATTCACTAAACTCTCAGTGATCACAGCTATCTTTTATGCCTGTTTGCTTAAAACGCATCACAAGCAATGGCTGAGGTAGCTAGTGGATGAGCAGCCTTGGGGAAAATTCATTCAGCAGAAAATGAAGTGGTTTTAAAGCTTTCCTGGGAGAGAATTCTAGGCAAGGAGTGGGGTGCCTCCAGCTCTTAGCCTGAAGTGTGTTTGGAGCCATGAATTACTGGCCAACTCTATGGCAGCTCACAGCTTTTGTTTCTAGGTGAGTCTCATGAACAAGAAAGTCCCTAGTAGTTTAATATAAAAAGAATTAATTTTGTGTGGGGGACGTCAAGTGACTGGCTTTATGAAGATGTATTTCCAGAAAGAGGCATCTTATTTTGGCTCAGGAAAGGATTCCAAAGCAGAGATAGAGGCAGGTCAGTTGTGTCAGAGTGGAGAAGCAGAAGTAGCAAATTAAGCCCAATCAACAGTCCAAATGTGGACTGTTTATCCTCATGGATGAAGCTTTCAGTTGGATATTACCAATGTTGTCCACATCAGGGACTGAGAAACACTTTCTAACTATTAAAACAACAATGTACTGGGCCCCCAGGGTATCCTGGGGCTTAAGATGCAGTGCTTGCTCTTAAGAGGCAAACAACCTAATTGGAAAGTCAGGACATGGATACAAAATACATCTAATAAAATAAAGAAGATCATACTAAGTGTCAAGGGAATGACAGAAACAAGGACCATCAGAGATGTGTCAAGGAGTAATCAGCAAACCCTGAGTGGTCAGTGGGAGCATCACCAAGATGTGACTTGAAGGAAGAGTGACACCTGGATGAGCTTGCTGGGAGGGAGCGGGCATGTCAGGAGGGAAGCCCGCTGCAGGTAAGGCATGGAAACTGAGTGGAGGACTCTGTGTCTGGGGGACGAAGGATGAGAATCAACCTAGTTTGGTTCTGAGGGAGACTCATCTGTAAGACTTTGGCTGGAGAAGTGGGCAGGGCGCAAACCATTTGGATGCCACGTATATACCTGCTGAGTTCTTCTGGTGAATCTGCTGCCTTAAGTAGAGTTGCAGAGGGAGATGCCTGACTTGATGAGGTTGAAAAGTAAATGGCGTGTGGGAAAGCTGCACTGAAGAAAGAAGTTTGGAAGGTAATGTAAGAAAAGGAAAGAGGTAGAAACTCAAGGGGAGAAGGGCTTGGGACTTTTTTGGGTTAGAGAGAATGGTGGGCACATTTATAGACTAAAAAGAATGAGCAGGTGGAAAAAAAAAGAGTTTAATGATATGGGAAGGAGGGGGAAATTGTTGCAGCAAGAACCTACAGATATAAAAAATTAAGATGGTTAAAAAAAACCAAAACAGCAAAGGAACACGGTAGGCAGAATATAGGCAGCCTATGGTTTCAAGATGGTGTCTAGAACAGCATAGTGCCATGTAAGACTATGCTTCTAAGAAAAATAGCACCAGGTGCCATTCCCCGCATGACATCATGGGAGCAGGGATTCCCCTCCCTGCCATGGCCGTGAGGTGCAGAATATCCCTGAAGTCCACAGGGTCTTCATGGGCAGACATGCAAATGTACAGGCAGGCAGCAATGAGGAGAAAGGAAGAAGGAACAGTGGCGTGGTGAGTACCCAGGATTTCCCTTCAGTTCCCTTTGCTGCTGGAATGAAGCAGCTGGCAGGACATGAGAAACGACAGTGATAAGAGGCCTTCAGTGACCTTCCTTTCCCTTCCCCTTCTGAGTCAGCAGGCACAAAAGAAGGACCTCATCAAGGAGGAAGGGATGAGGAATCTTGTAAGGTGCGCCTCCTTTCTACCTGCTTCTGCCTTCCCTCCCCTCTGTGTTCAGGGTTAGGCTGTGGCCCAGTGCTGCTAAGTCTGTGTGAGGCCCAACAAGCGCGTGGGTGTGGGGGTGGGGAGGATCCCAGTTGGCAGCCGATGTGGCATCTGTGCAGGCAAGGAAAGAGTGGGAGTTGTCTGGTGGTCATCAGCTAGAGGAGCAGTTTCTTCAACTATCTTGCCGAGGCAGTCACTTGCTTCCTAAGACACTATGTGCCCATAGTTTTTCTAAACTGTATATATGAGTAATCTCTTTTGCATTAGAACTAATACACAATTAGCTGTCTGGAAAAATAAAGGTTTAACATCCAAGCCATGGATACCTCTCAGAACTTCATGTCACAGAGAAAATGTCCTTGGATTATCTTTGTTTTTTATCTCTGATGTTTGTTTTTTTATATCTGATGTTTTCGGATCATCTCAAACTTTTATTTTCTAGAACAGAGGTTGGCAAACTATGTCCCATGGGTGAAATCCAGCCCACCACATGTTTTTGTATAGTCCACAAGCTAAGAATATTTTTGTTTTTGTTTTTTTAAGACTGAGTCTTGCTCTGTCACCCAGGCTGCAGTACAGTGGCACAATCTCAGCTCACTGCAACCTCCACTTCCCGGGTTCCAGCGATTCTCCTGCTTCGGCTTCCTGAGTAGCTGGGATTACAAGCACCCACCACAACACCTGGCTAATTTTTGTATTTTTAGTAGAGAAGGGCTTTCACCATGTTGGCCAGGCTGGTCTCGAACTCCTGACCTCAAGTGATCCACCAGCCTCAGCCTCCCAAAGTGCTGGGATTACAGGTGTGAGCCACCACACCCAGCCCAAAAAAGATAAAAAAGAATACTTTTATAAATGAACGGTTGCAATCAGTTTGATGACAGGGAACACTAACTTTGAACTCCAATTAAGTTAAATATTATGTCCCCTCAAAAAGAATATCATTCTTCTCACTGGAAGACCTCTAATACAGAAAATTATACTAAATTATTATTACATTTTATATTTTATAAATAAAAATTTTATGGAAATTTGTTTTTGCTCTTGTTACACATGTATCTATATAACATCTTCAATATGACCTTTTAGTCCTAGAAGCATAAAAGACTGACTATCTGGCCCTTTACAGAAAACGTTTGCTGATCCCTGCTTTAGACTTGTAACCTCACTTCCATGTACAGGACCCCTTTGGAGAAAAAGAAAGGGTGTTTTTCAGTATTCTATTAGGTGTTTCAAACAGGGCTGGGTGAGAGGACTAAAATTAGATGAAGCACCACTCCACTGCACAAGGAAGAGAATTATGCATGTAAAACTCAATGTGATCAATCTACTCTGACAGAGAGAAAAATTGGAACAAAATCAATAGAAGAAGGGGCAGGGGGAAAGGAGGAGAATAATGAATCCCAGGGGCAGGGGGAAAGGAGGAGAATAATGAATCCAGTCAGAAGGCTGAATAAAAGTAAAGATCGGTGCTCCACAATGCTTGACATGGCACAAAAGAAGGACCTCAGCAAGGAGGAACGGATGAGGAATCTTGTAAGGTGCCTCCTTTCTACCCGCTTCTGCCTTCCCTCCCCTCTGTGTTCAGGGTTAGGCTGTGGCCCAGTGCTGGTAAGTCTGTGTGAGGCTCAACAAGCGCAAGGGTGTGGGGGTCAATGAATTTCCTCACAGAAAGTGGAGTGCAAATTATTAGAGCAAGAAACTGAAGTAAGTACTGCTATTATGTCTAGGAAAAACACTCAACAAGTGATTTTCCTTTACGTTAATAATTAAGAAAATAGGCAATAATAATTCACTAAATCAACACATTCAACTTCTTTATATTGAAATATATTGATATAAGTGATCCATTAAAGATGAAAGCTTTCTAATAACAGTATATACAATTATACCATAATCTTCTGCTTCAGCTGTAATGTTATCATTTGCCTCCCTTTCCAGCATTAGTGAAAAAATTCAAATGAAATGACTATATCAACTATAAATCTAAGCATGTACAAAGCTATTTTAATCATCCATAAATTATTCCTTGGTATATTAATATATACCTTAACCTCCCGAAGGTTCATGCATTCCTCCCAGGAATAAAATTTTCTTTTCATTCTAGAAGAGAAGAAAGAAACAAACAGCACACTTATTCTCAGTAATAGGTTAAACTTTGCTTTTAGAAAAATGCTTCCATTCTGATCCTAATTAACAGTACTTAAAGTGGGTTTAAATTTCTACCCAGTATTATACTATCCCAAACCAGCACTTATTTTCAAACAGCAGTGCAATAATCCTAAGTCACAAATTTTGCCAGTAGCAGTGGTGTGGTGCAGTCCAAAGAGGCCTGGACTGCTGTCTTACTCTATACTAACTAACTAACCTTGCTCTGGAAGGAAATTGCTCAGGCTTATTCTATTTAGACCAGAGCTGTCCAGCAGAACTTTCTATATTGGTGAAACTGCTCTGTGCTGTCCAGGATGGTAGCCACTAGACACATGTGGCTACCGAGCACTTTGGCATGTGGCTAGCACAATGTGGGAACTGAATTTTAATTTTAATTAAATTTAAATTTAAATGCCACATATGGTTACTTGCTATCATACTAGACAGCAGAGTTCTAGACCCTCTAGTGCAGGAGTCAGCAAACTATGACCCATGGGCCAAAACCTCACCACCATCTGTTTCTGTACAGCCCACGAGCTAAGAATGGCATTTACCTTTTTAAATTGGGGGACAAGTCAAAAGAAGAATAATATTTCACAATGTGAAAATTTTGTGCAATTCAAATTCCAGTTTCTATAAGTGAAATTTTATTGGAACACAACCATACTCATTCATTTATATACTGCCTGTGGCTGCTTTCAAACTACAACAGCAGAACTGAGTAGTTGCAAGAGACCATATGGCCTGTGAAGCTTAAAATATTTACAGCCTGGCCCTTCATAGAGAAAGTTTGCCAACCCCTGGTCTAGAGCCTCAATGGAGAAAAGAAAACTCCAGAGTTAATCAGAAATTCAACTTTCAAGGTTATATTTTTCAGTGCATTTCAATCACATTGTCTCATTTGTCTTATAGCAGTCCTGTGAAACAGATAGGACAGCTGAGGAAACAGAAACAGAGAAGGTACACGACTTTCCCGAGGTCTTACTGCTGGCCAATAACAAACTTCCCATCTCTCCAGCTCACTCTGTCCTTGTCACACTGTCTCCCGGTAGAGTGATCAAATCCTTTATTCATGCCCGAAATATTATTTAGCCCCTGCTATGTAGTACAGTAGGTGCCTTGTCAGGCACTGGAGAGACAATGATGAGAAAGACATCCCTCATGAAACTGACATCATGGCAGGAAGGTAGAAAATAATTTTCTGTACCAAGTGCTGTGAAGAAAGGAAAAGGGCCTATAAAAGTGAACCTGACGGGAGCAGTGGCTCAGCCAAATGATGCAGCAATTTGTAGGTCACATAAACATTTGGGGCTTCATCCTAAAACTGCCAGGAAGACATTGGAAGCTGTCTTGGTTTGGATTCCTCCAAAAGCAGGGCCTGGGCAAGAACTTGGGTGCAGGTAGTTTATTTGGGAGGTGATTCCAGGAAGCCAGGGCAAGGAGCAGGAGACTGAGAAAAGAGAGGTAGGGAACCCAATAATGGGTGTATGAGTAAGCCAATAACAGGGTTGGCAACTGGCTCAGGCAGGCTGGGGACCTTTTAAGGAGCTGGACAGAATGCACCTTGGTTGAAAGTCTCCCACATGCACTTGGGATGGGGTGCTGGCATGGGCATAGAGCTGTGCGCTACAGCTGCACTGACATCAGGTGGGAGCAAGGGATGTGTTCATGGAACACAAAGAACATTTGGTCAAGTAGTTTTAGATGATTGAAGTTGTATGTTTAAAATAATCCCTTTGGTCTGATATGAATAGGGGGAAAAAAGCCAGGAGCCCTAGTGGCGGAGGACCTCATGGTGGAGGTGGCAAATGGTAATGGGTTGAATGGAGGTTAGCAGTGGGAATATACAGAAGTAGGTGGATGACATAAATATTACGTAAAATTGACAGTACTAGATGACTAAAGGTGAGGCATAATGGGGAGGGAAGGCAGGAGGACTCCCAGGTTTTGAGGGTATAGTACCAATTATTGAAATAGGAAACACTGAAGAAGAAACAAATTTGGGGTAAGAGAGAATATGCTAAATATGAGTGTAGTTTTGGGCATGGTGAGTGTGAAATGTCTGCAGGGCATTCAAATATAGATGCTGACAAGTCAACTGGATAGAGATAGTTGTGGCAGTCTCCAATGTGGTTCCCAGAGACTCCCACCTCCTGCTACCCAGGGCCTTTTAGAACCCCCTCTCCTTCAACGACTTGCTTCTAACCAACAGAATATAGCAATTTGACAAGGATGTCACTTCTGTGATTAATTTACAAAAGCAAGATATGACTTCCATCTCAGTACAAGTCTCTCATTGCCTTCTTGACTCCCAAGTTTTGATGAAGCAAATTGCCATGTTGTAAGCTGCTTTTTAGATGCCCACATGGCAAGGAACTGAGGGCAGCCTCCCACCAACAGCCGGCAGGGAACTGAGGCCCTCAGGCCAACAACCCATAGATCAACTCACAATCACAAAATGAGCTCAGAAGTGGATTCTTCCCCAGTCCAATCTTTGGATGAGACCCCAGCTTTGGCCAACACCTTGACTACAGCCTCATGAGAGATACTGAGGCAAAGAACTTAGCTAAGTTGTGTCCAGACTCCTGACCCAGAGAAACTGTGAGATAATAAATGTGTGTTGTTTTAAACAACTAAGTCTTGGAGTAAATTGTTACACAATAACAGATAACTAATACAATGTGTCTGGACTCAGGTTGTGAAGGGCAAGGGGGTGCAGAGGGAACAAGACAGCAGTCACCAGACCACCATACGCATGTAGATGGCCCAAATGAAGTCATCTTATTTCTTAGAGTTTCAGTTTCCTCTCATGTAAAATGATGTTTATTAACCTGCTTGTTACTACCTCACAATAAGAGAAAACACACTTTGATAACAAGTACTTTTACTATGTGCAAAGTAGTAAATCTAAAGTGGAAATGTTTTCAGACCTCTAACATGAGTGTTACAGAGTCAATAATCATCTAACCCACAGCAATCATTATCTAAGGTTCTTCTCTAGGCATCCTACCCACTCCCCTTTAGAACTGTTACAAAGACGGGTAATGGTGAGGGTAGAGTTAAAATTATCATGGCAGTGAAGGATCAAACTTACTTTTTAATAGCGATCAGCTCCCCAGACTCAATGCTTCTTCCCAGCAGGACGGAACCGTAGGTTCCATCCCCGAGCTGCCTGATTGTTGTGTATCTATTCATGGTGTGCCTGCTCAGGCCGGACACTCATCTCACGGCCGAAGTGGTTCAGTTCTGCAGTGGTAGCAGTCCTCCCCAGAGTGTAACCAGATTTTTCGATGGCAGCACCAGCACAAGGTATTCAATAGGACGTGACTGTCTCCCAAATACATATTTCCAAAAATCAGTCTTCTGCCTGCAGAGAAAAATGAGAGACAAGGATAAATGTTAATATACATTTTGAGTATACGTGTTTTTGTAAGTCTAAATCTGTGTTTTATTGGAACACAGTCATACCCACATACTTGCATACCATTCATGACTACAACAGCAGAGCTGAATAGTTGTGTGACGCTGTAGAGCCTGCAAAGCCCAAAGTACAGCAGGTTTTGGAATAATGTTGTTTCATTATAATGTTGATGAGGGACAAAAACTTGATTCCCGGCTGGGGCTGCTGTCCATGTGGAGTTTGCACATTCTCCCTGTGTCTGTGTGGGTTTTCTCCAGGTGCACACTAGGTGAACTGGCATGTCTACACTGTCTCAGGCTTGAGTGAGTGTAGGGTGGGTGTGTGAATGTGCCCTGCAATTGGTGCCTGTCTAGGGTTGGTTCCCACTCTGGGCCCTAAGCTGCTGGGATAGGCTCTGACCACCCACGATCGTAAACTGGATTAAGTAGGTAAATAATTACCTTACCTTTTTTTTTTAATCTTTCTTAAATGTATTTATAGCTCACATCCATTCCAATGTTTAATATTCAAAGTGTTTTAGTCTTTATTTGGAAGTTTGGTGATGTTTTTATGACCAGAAATATGCTGTAGGAACTTAACTCTTGTTTATATCAATTAGCCTATGGCAAAATTGGTTTTGTTATATGTTGTTTGGCATAAAGTCACAGTTTCCAAAGAACCTATTGATAAGTTAAATGAGGACTTAGTGTATTGACTATGTTGCCCTTTACACCGTTCACTAACCCTTGGTCTAAATAATGCTCTTTTCTAATTTCTTATACAACTAGAGATATTATGCTTGGAAAGTAAATTTGTCACTGACTCAGAAATGAATCAGCTCCAATTCAATGCTTTTCTGCTGACTAACCATTCTGGGCAAACACTGAGAGATAACTGTGGTCGATGAAAATTGCCAAGCTATGAAAATTTCGCTAAATATACTGTGTTCTATACACTTGAGCTACAATTAACAATGTAAACATACAAAAGCTAAGAAATGCTAAAGTTCTCCTGATGCAGAACTTAAGTGTGCTCCATGAACTACGTGTGGCTAAGCATCAATGGTATTATTATCACTACTAGACATTCAGAAGCTAAACAAAGAACTAGGAATTCAAGGCCTATGTGCAGGGTATGCTCCTTTTAAAGTCATTCAGTTTGTGTCTTAAAAATAATGTCATTGATTTTTCATTTATATAATTCAGTCTGCCTATAATAAAGAAACTGTAGTAATAATGTAAAGTGACTAGTATTCCTACAAAGTGTCCAGATCACAAAAGACAAGGACAGACTAAGGAACTGTCACAGATTGGAGGCAATTAAGCAGACATGCCAAATAAATGCAATGTGGGATCCTTCACAGGACCCTGGAATAGAAAAGGACACTAGTGAAAAAGTTGGTAAAATCTAAGTAAGATCTGTTGTTAGTAGTATTGTGCCAATGCTAATTTCCTGGTTTTGATCATTGTTCTATGGTTATGTAAGATATTAATATTAGGGAAAGTGGGGTGAAGGGTTTCTAGGAACTCTGTACTATTTTTGCAAGTTTTCTGTAAGTCTAAAATTAGTTCAAGATTAAAAATTTAAAAATAGGCCAGGCGCAGTGGCTCATGACTGTAATCCCAGCACTCTGGGAGGCTGAGGCAAGTGGATCACCTAAGGTCAGGAATTTGAGACCAGCCTGGCCAACATGGTGAAACCCCGTCTCTACTAAAAACACAAAAATTAGCTGGGTGTGGTGGCATGTGCCTGTAGTCCCAACTACTCGGGAGGCTGGGGCAGGAGAATCGCTTGAACCCGGGAGGCACAGGCTGCAGTGAGCCGAGATCACGCCACTGCACGCCAGCCTGGGTAACAGAGTGAGACTTGGTCTCAAAAATATATATATATATATTAAAAAATAAAATAAATAAATAAATCCAGACTGTGTTCTCCTGAAAGCCGTGTGTGAGCTTGAAAAATCTTAAGACATATAAAACTCCTGCCTGATTTTACCATGCTTTATCACAGAATCAAACAAGCTTTTAGAGATCAAGCCCCACTCTACCCACCCTCAGCTCATTCCCTTTCCCCTAGAACCACTGTAAGGCCTCTGGTTGGAGGGGCATTTTCCTTCTTGAAACTCTTCAGGATCAGACTCCCTACAACCTCCTTCAGTAGCTCTTTAGGGTGATGTATTCCATTGATGACTAATAAATATTTATAAAGCACCTTCTGTGTGACAGATCCTATCTTTAAGCTCTGAGGATATAGAGACCAATAAAATATGGTCCCTTCTTTTAAAGAGCTTAGAGTCTCCTGGCAGGGGATGGGGGTGTGGATGGGAGGGGGGAAGCAGATATGTACCACTCATGAATACAAACTAAGATATTTCAAGTATGTGGAGGGGAATTAAGGAGAAAGCCCTCTTGGTTTCCAGCTGGGTTAATTCCATCTGGGCTTAGGGAGGGCAGGAAAAATCTTCATAAAAGATTGTCTTAAAAAAGAGAAAAGTAGGTGTTTTGTAGGGCAAATGGGGTTCTAGCACTCCAAGAAGCAGAAACTAAGAGGCAGGGCTTGAAATTAGGGGGTGGGAAAGGGGGAACTTGTGGAAAGAGTTGGCAGAGTTTTGTTTATGGAGGAACCCAGATGCCATTTTTTAAAATACAGGTTTTGACTGGATTCTGTACTGGAGAAGAAAATGCAATAAAGCAGGGGTCCCCAAACCCAGGGCTGTAAACCAGTCTGTGGCCTGTTAGGAGCTGGGCCACACAGCAGGAGGAGAGCAGTGGGTGAGTGAGCATTACTGCCTGAGCTCCACCTCCTGTCAGATCAGCAGCGGCGGCATTAGATTCTCACAGAAGCACGAACCCTACTGTGAACTGCCCATGGGAGGGATCTAGGTTGCGTGCTCCTTAGGAGACTAATGCCTGATGATCTGAGGTGGAGCAGTTTCATCCTGAAACCATGGACAGTAGATTAGATAAAAATATTTATCTGTGTTAAAGTTATTGTAGTTGTAGTTACTGTCCTGTGATTCAGTAAGAATATAGTTTCATTCTTGGGAAATATACTCTGAAGGGTTTACAGGTAAAGGGCCATGATGTATGCAATTTATTCTCAAGTGGGTAGAACAAAAATTTTGTGTGCATTGCGAGGAAAACAAATGGGGTAAAATGTTAACAACAGGTAAATCTGGGTAAAGAGTATGCTATGGACTGAATGATATCCCTCCTCCAAATTCACATGTTAAAGCCCTAACCTCCAATGAGATTGTATCTGGAGACAGACCTATGGAAAGGTAATTAGGCTACAGAGGTCGTAAGGGTAGGGGTCTGATACAATAGGGCTAGTGTCTTTTACCTCTCCCCCACACACCCTAGCAAATGACGACACAGGAAAAACGCAGCCATCTAAAAGCCAGGAAGACAGCCCTCACCAGAAACCAAACCATTTGATCTTGGACTCTCCAGCCTCCAGAACTGTGAAAAAAATAAATTTCTGTTAAGACACCCAGTCTATGTTACTATGTTATGTATGGTAGCCCAGGCAGACTAAGATAGGATCTATGGGTATTCTTTTGGTATTCTTGCAATTTATGTAAATTTAAAATTATTATAGATTAAAAATTTCAATTATCCCTAAAATGGTAGAAGAAGGGAAATTTTTTAAAGATACAGGCATCTTAAATGTTTTATCTTAGATCAAAACATACAAATGCAGACTTATTTAATACAACTTGTTGAGAAGACAGAACACTATCATATACCATGGTTCCTCCACTTCATGATTACTGTATTATGGAATAGATTGGATTCAGGCTGTGCCTTAACCCAAAAAGTATATTTGGACCACAGCACAAGCAATTTTGGCTCTGCATTTGTTTTCCCCTTTTTCTTCTTTATCTTCAACTATTTTTTTCCTATAGCATACACACAGTCCTCAACTTTTGATGGTTTGACTTACGATATTTTGACTTTGTACAATGGCGCCAAAGCTACATGCATTTAGTAGAAATCGTATTTCGAGCACCCATACTATTCTGTTTTTCACTTTCAGTGCAGTATTCATTATATACATGAGATATTCAACACTTTATTATAAAATGGGCTTTGTGTTAGATAATTTGCCCAACTATAGGCCAATGTAAGTGTTCTGAACATGTTTAAGATAGGCTAGGCTTACAATGATGCTCAGTAGGTTAGGTGTATTAAATGTATTTTTGACAATGATTTTTTAACTTACAATGGGTTTATAGGGATGTAACCCCACTCTAAGTTGAGACACATCTGTGTATGAATCCTCCATCATTCATTATTTCACTTTCCAACAAATTAAGACTCCCAAACCATCGTTGTATGTCATCTTCCTAAAAAAAAAAAAAAAAAATTCCTGGAAGCTTGATTTGTCAAAAAAAAAAAAAAATCAGCCAACTAATAAACAATGTCTTTATTTTTATTTTTTAAAGAAGGCTTTGCCCTATAGACAATGGGAAGTCAATTAAAGTTTTGTAACTAGGGACTAACATGATCAGATCTGCATTTTGTAATCCAGTTAGAATATTTTTCTTCATGTCCAACCAAAACTTGCATATTCTAACTTAAGCAAATTTCTTCTGCCTAGTTTTCTGTGGATATAACGAAGCTATGTCATAAAAATGTCTATGCACATGAAATGAGTAATCAAGCATGTGTCTCTCAGCCTTCTCCTGCCTTAATTACATGACCTTTTCTCAGAGGAAGCATTTTCCACTCCTTTAATTACCTTTGGCATTCATCTCTGAATCCTCACACATTTCTCCATCTCCTTGATGAACTATGGTGACCAAAACTTAATAGTAACCTATATTACAGTAGCATGTGGGCTTCCCTCATGCTTTTTGCAATGGCATTATACTACTGATTTATATCAGTTATTAATAATAAAGCCTTTTTTGGATAATTAATGTCCCTTCCTCATCCACTTAAATTGTACAATTGGAACAATGGTTCCTAGATTATCACTGGGAAAGCTATCTGTGAAAGAATTAAGAGCTTCATTGAAATCCAGATAGAGTGGGTCATTCATTCAATGCACAGTCACCCCAACAATTCCTCCTTGTTATAGTCTGTCATATTATCAAGGAACAAAATCTAATTACTGTGGCAAGATATGACTCTCACCATACCATGGCAGTTACTTTCTAATTTCTAATGCTACTTCAGGTAATTACCTAACAACTATACAATGGATCAGACTAGTGTCTCTTCAAGCATTGATGGCACATGGTATAATTTTAATTAAACTTTAATAAGATGCTAAGCATTATGCAAGGCTCTTGGGCACATTATGGATAAGGCTAGGGTCTCTCCTTTAAATCACTCACAACTGACAGATACACAAAAAATGTAGAAACTGCTATGAGAATGCAGTAGACAGCAACCAACTCTTGGGAGGAGGAGAGAGATCTGACAATCCTTCAGAGAAGAGGTAGTATTGAGATATTAAAAAATGAAAAAGGTTTTCTTACACAGAAAAGGAGAGAAAGAAATTATAAGTGGAGGAAACTGTAAAAATGTTGGCGAATACAAGAGCTTGGTGTGTTCACAAGAGGGCAGGCACAGCCTAATGTTTCTCACCCTGGTTGAATACAGAATCACCTAGAGAACCTTTAACATTTACTCATGCCTAGCCCCAGCCCCAAGAAGCAGGTCAGGATGGGGGCTGAGCTTTGAGAGTTCTGAAAGTTTTCCAGGTCTAATGTGCAACCAGGGCTGGGTACGAGGCTAGAGCGTAAAACCAATTCAATGGAGGGCGATGGGGCAAATTGCAGGAAATAGCTAGAAAGTTAGGGTGGGCCCAATTATGAACGAGTATGTGTGTCATGCAGGAGTTTTTTGTTTTTGCTTTTGTTATTTTTTTGAGACAGGGTCTCACTCTGTCACCCAGGCTGGAGTACAGTGGTGAAAATCACAGCTCACTGTGGCCTCAACCTCCTAGGCCCAAGTAATCCTCCCACCTCAGCCTCCCAAGTAGCTGGGAGTACTTGGTGTACACTACCAGGCTTTTTTTTTTTTTTTTTTTTTAAGAGATGAGGTCTCTTTTTTTTTTTTTTTTCCCAGGTTGGTCTTGAACTTTTGGGCTCAAGCAATTCTCCCACTTTGGCTTCCCAAAGTGCTAGGATTACAGGCGTGAGTACACCTGGCCTCACGCAGGAGTTTGATTTTTATCCTACAGAAGGGAGTTCCTCAGAGTTTTTAAAGCAGAGAAACAGCATGAATAAAATCCCTCTGGAGACTACATAGATGTTAGAATAGAGATCAGAGGCAGAGACTAATTAGGAGGTTACTCCAATAGCCCAGGTGAAATATGATGAAAGCCCAAACAAAGGCACTGGACTGGGTGAGTCTTAGATACAACAGGAGACTATGGGTTTGAGATAGGGAATGTGTGTTTTTGTGTTATTTGGACAATGTACAGAGATGTGGGTTCTGTTTTCTCGGGGGCTGAATTTGAGGTATGTACAAAACCTCTCACTGGAGATGCTCAATAAGCAAATAGCTCTAAGGTTGTTTTATTTTTCCCCAAAGATAGAGTATTATTGGAGTTCTTATTGGGAACACAGCATTCAGACAAGGCTGATACACTGTGTAACTCCAGGGTACTCCATTCACATAGAACACAACGTGAAAGGTGCCCACTGGAGTTGTTAAATAAGGCAGCCTGTGTTCAGAATAAGGAATGCAATAGTCCCATCACATCCTTGGTTTACTGCTCCAGAGGCCAAACTTCAAGAGAAATATTAAAGAACATAGTGAGGCATCTAAATGAAAGTACAAGAAGGGTAGATGAAGAAACACCGGATGCTGGAAGCAAAGGAGACTTGGAAAGCCATGATAATTGTTCCAAGTGTACAAAGGATATCAGAGAGAAGGGTTAGTTACACTAGGTATGGTTCCAGAGAACAAGAACCATGACCACTCTTTGAGCTTTCTATTATTCACATTAGTGAATTATTTCCCATACTGAAAAAAAGTGAATGGTATTAGCCAAAATAGCATTAGACAAGAAGCACCAGTCAGCTCACAGTCCAATCTGAGCATATCCTAGCAGGATGTGGTTAAATACATTTGAGAATGGTATTGTTCAGCTATTCATCCTTTTTGTGGTGGCCCAAATATGATGAGTCACCTCATAATCTGAAAGTAAAGAACAAAAACTTACTGTTGCGCTGGGAAAATAGGGCGATGGACAATGCACTAGAAAAAAGAAGGGACCATGGTAGGCGCCTTCGCTGCTCTACTCCATAGCAATGCTTCTCTTCTTGCTTAGTTTACAGAACCTGATTTTACTCAGGATTCGACATACTCAGGCACAGCAGCCACCCCAGGGCATGAACTATGATAGATCTAAGCCAAGCAAAGGAATTCTACTTCCTTACTAAAATCTGTTTAGGAGTGGTGCCATGGCTCGGACTTACGAGAATGAAAGGGAAGTGAGCTGGTGAGGAAGAAGAGCTTCTGAGAAGGAATCTACTCCCTAATAAAGACAGTTGACAAAGAAGCGGCATTGAACATGGCTGTGTAAAGTGTGATATTTAGGGCTGAGGCAGAGACGGCTATGAGACATCAGCTCTAAAGATGAGAATCCCAGCTGCAGAGGGTGTATTCATAGAAAGAGGTTGAGTCCTTGATGACATCAGTGAGCTGCTGCTTGAACCCTGAAAATATATGCCTTTGGGCTTATTGTTCTACAACCTAATTGAAGGTCTCTGTTGAAGAAGTCACTGTTAATCTATCCACTACAGCTGAAAGCATTCCTGATACTATGGGCTACACCCACTTACAGTGGGCTATACTAACTTTTGTATTTTAGGTGACAAAATACAAAATTCTCTACAGGAGGTGACAGATAGACCTTTATGGTTAGCATAGTTTTGAAGACTGAAAGAGGTGTACAGCTGGAGACAAATTAGAAGTAACTATTAGCCTAATGTTCATTTGCTTTCCATTATCTGCTTCCATTTTGAAAGAAAATAAGATGCAAGTAAGATACAAACCTATTGTGGTAAAAGAATGTCCAAAAACGGCCCTCAGTATCACTCCAGGTTGCTTGGACAACTAGCTAGCTGAAGCTTTGTGACCTTGTGCAATCCAGTCATGTGCCTGTAACATGGCAGGTGGGAAACATGAAAGGATTCCACTTTGCATGACAAGTGGGGCCCAACATGGGGACCACTCTGCATGCCATCCATAGTGACATTTACTACAGATAACCACAGAGCTTCAGTCAAAGGCAACCAAGGCAAACACAGAACTCTCAAGCTGAGTTCTTTTTTCTTTTTGTGAGACAGGGTCTTGCTCTGTCTCCCAGCTGGAGTGCAGCTGTGTGATCATGGCTCACTGCAGCCTCATGGGCTCAGACAATCCTCCCACCTCAGCCTCCTGATTGGCTGGGACTATAGGCATGCACCACCAGGCCTGGTTAATTTTTGTATTTTTCGTAGAGACGGGGTCTTGCTATGTTGCCCAGGTTGGTCTTGAACTCCTGAGTTCAAGCACTCTGCCCACCTCAGCCTCCCAAAGTGTTGGGGTTACAGGTGGGAGCCCCTGTGCCCAGCCTCAATTGGAGTTCTAACAGGAAAAAAGGTTTCAGCACTCTAATGACTATTTTTAGTGTATTAATGTTAATACATCCTTCTTTGATACTTAATGGGAGACATCTACATCTACAGAGTCAGTGCTTCAAAGAAAGAAGCAGGCAAATATCAAAAATTTGATACTTGACAAGACATCACAATTCCAGCCTGAAATCTCTGAGTATATGACATTAGCATACAAAGATTTCACACTGTGTAGACCAGAGACCACATACTGGCAGCATAATATTTCACCCGTAAGTCACTCCATTGAGACCTCACTCCACAAGTAGAAGACCGTTTCTACTGCTGGGTTCTTTACAATTTGTTAAAAAAAAGAAGCCAACTATTATCTTTTCTATGGTTGTGAGGTTTACTTGCATTTGTGTGTGTGTGTGTATATATATATACACATTTCACATACATATAATATTCATATATTATAAATACATTATATATAAGTATATATGTAAATATGTGACATATTTATTTTATAAAATTATATAGGCTGGGCGTGGTCGCTCACACCTGTAATCCTAGCACTTTGGGAGGCCCAGGTGAGCATGTTGCTTAAGTCCAGGAGTTCAAGACCAGCCTGGGCAACAGGGCAAAACCCCATCTCTACAAAATACAAAAATTAGCTGGGCTTGGTGGTGCATTCCTGTAGTTAGTCCTAGCTACTTATGGGGCTGAGGTGGGAGGATTGCTGGAGTCTGGGAGGCGGAGGTTGCAGTGAGCCTAGGTCACACCACTGCACTCCAGCCTGGGCAACAGAGCGAGACCCTGTCTCAAAAAAAAATTTTTTTTAATTTAAAAAAGCATATAAATATGCATTTTTGATATACAGCAATATCTGAAATACGCTTAAGACACTTAAGTGTCAACAAAGCATCACTCAAGTGAAAAATTAACTATAAGGCCCTACGTTCAGTACTGAGATATAAGATCCACAGAGCTGTGGGTGGCAGATCTGGCCTCTGGGGACTTCTCACGCAGTTGGAGAGGTGGGAAATACACAAATGACCAGAAGACATGGACACTGGATTAAGTTCCTACATGGAGTGGAGATGAGAGTGCTACCAGTGCACAAGGAAGGAGTCACTTTGTGGATCACTGGCTAGGAATCTCAAGGAAGGCTCTGGGCCACCAATTTCTAAACTACAGCTAATTTTTCTTGTTAAGGACATGTCACTTATCCATATTTTAATCCAGGTATAAATAACAAAAAAAATTTTTTAAACTATACAAAGTTTTCCTTGTCAGTTATATTAATTTCCCACAGCTGCTCCAAAAATTTTCACAAAGTTGGTGGCTGAAAATAGCAGAAATTTATTCTCTCAGGTTTCTGGAGGTCAGAAGTCTGAAACCAGTATTCCTGAGTTGAAGCAAAGGTGCTGGCACTTCCTCCAGAGGCTCTAGAGGGAATCCATTCTTTGTCTCTTCCAGCTTCTGGTGGTTGCAAGCACTCCTTGGCTTGTGACCACATCACCCCAGTCTCTGCCTCTATGATCACATTTTCTTGTCTTCTGTTTTTAAATCTTCCTCTGTCTCTAGCTTATAAGGACTTGTGTTTTCATTTAAGGCCTACCAAGATACTGCAGGATAATCTCTCCATTTCCGATTTTTTGATTCAATCACATCTGCAAGGTCCATTGTGTCATATAAAGTAACACTCACAGGTTCCAAGGATTAGAACCTGGTATCTTTGCAGGCTATTATTTAGCCTATCACTCCCTAGCAAAACATCCCAAAGACTTATACAATCATCTAAATTACACAGCAGCAGTGTTATTCATTCAAAGTTGGGTGTTTTAGAAATGAAATCAGAAATCTGTGCTTACTTACCCAGCGAACAAGGACATTCTGTTTTAAAATATAGAATGTACTTATCTCTTTTATTTTACTTTAAGTTCCGGAATTCATGTGCAGAATGTGCAGGTTTGTTACATAGGTATACGTATGCCATGGAGGTTTGCTGCACCTATTGACCCGTCCTGTAAGTTCCCTCCCCTCGTCCCACCTACCCCACAACAGGCCCTGGTGTGTGTTGTTCCCCTCCCTGTGTCCATGTATTCTCATTGTTCAACTCCTGCTTATGAGTGAGAACATGCAGTGTTTGGTTTTCTGTTCCTGTGTTAGTTTGCTGAGGATGATGGCTTCCAGCTTCATCCATGTCCCTGCAAAGGACATGATCTCATACCATTTTATAGCGGCAAAGTATTCCATGGTGTATATGTACATTTTCTTTATCCAAGCATACTTCTAACTTTGCATAGTGAACAAGACTTGACAATTCTAGCCTGAAATCTCTGAGTATATGACATTAGCATATGGAGATTCCATGCTGTGTAGACCAGAGATGGCACACTGGCACTCTGGGGGCTGAATCCCAGATTTAAAAATAGGGAATTTCGGCAGGGCACAGTGGCTCACACCTGTAATCCCAACACTTTGGGAGGCCAAGGGCAGCAGATCACAAGGTCAGGAGTTCGAGATCAGCCTGGCCAACATGGTGAAACCCTGTCTCTACTAAAAATACAAAAATTAACCAGGCGTGGTGGTGTATGCCTGTAATCCCAGTTACTCAGAAGGCTGAGGCAGGAGAATTGCTTGAACCCAGGAGGCGGAGGTTGCAGTGAGCAGAGATCGCACCACTGTACTCCACCCTGGGACAGAGTGAGATTCTGTCTCAAAAAAAAAAAAATCAATAAATAAAAAATAGGGAATTTCCTATATAAATCCCTATTTGGAGCTTCTCTGGAAACACTGAAGGTCTAACCACCTGGGGTCCTTAGCCCTTCACGGTAATAAGAAGTGGAAGAAATGTCCGTACCTCTTCAGGCTGGGCGTGTGCTCTGCAGCTCACCACAGTCCCCATTTTTTGCCTGTTGCCACTTGCCATTTTTTTTTTTTAGCTGTCATTTTTTTGTGTGCCTTCATAGCCACTTGTTTTACTGGATGAAAAATATTTCTCTGTTCCTATGCCTATAACAAAAGTGACAAAGTAAAAGCCTGAAAAAAAAAAAAACCTTATACTTAAAGAAAAATTGGAAGAGAAGAAAAATTGTTCTTTTTTAGAAGAGAAGAGCAATTTCTTACTGTTTGACAAGCACACACCCAGCTTCCTTGAGTCTTTTATTTTCCTCCTCTGCCCTGACAGCATTTAAATTCAGCTTCTGGTACAGATAGTTAACACTGCTTGAGAAGTGAATGGAATGTAGCAGCCTGTCCATTACCTTGAGAATTAGCATGTATTTCTAACTCGCAGTATTTCTAAATTCTGCTTTGACTCCAAGAATTAACTTGGATAAATCATTCACTACAACGAATCTACACTTAGCACCCTCATATATCAAATATGCCCAAAACATGATAATTTTAGTACTTAGTATGTGCATAGTACTATTATAAGTGCTTATGCATATATTAGTACATTTAACCCTCATAATTCTACCAGGCAGGTACTATTACAATTATCCCTATTTTACAGAGAAGGAAACTGAGACACAAGTTACATGTCTAGATTATACGACTAATGTGGCAGAAATGAGACAGGAACCCAGGCTGACTGTACCAAACTTAAGGGAAAGCTTTCAAAAGATCATGAAATCTTTGGAGGATCTGAAAATGACAGGAACAGAAGTAGTACTTTGTATCTCAAAGCCCAAATATGAAAATGAATGATATGGCTATGTTCTAATTGTCTTCATTCTGCAATCAAATATCAGCGAATCCTCTGGAGCCATTGGCAGCACCAACATGCCCACAGTGGAGGCAAAGTGAGGGACTGGTTCCAGTTTCCACTCAGCACTGATCTGCTGTGCCTCGGGGCATCTCTTGGTCCTTGAGTTTACTTTTGGTGGAATTAGGGCATGGGACTTGCTCTAAGGTGGTTTCTTCCTCTAAAGCTGTGTGATTCTGTGACTCTGTATCAGGAATTGAGCTAGCATTTGTCTAAGAAAAAAAAAAGGATAAATGTTTCTGCTTTTTGCATCACATGAACAAAGGTTAGCGGAGAAGACAGTGCCACCGAAGGACCCTGTATGCTACACACCTTTCTTTCAAGAGATGCACAAGTGCCCCAGTGCCTCAGCCAGGCCCCAGTAAACATTAAACATCGATTCCTTCTCTTTCGAGCTCACATGTCACCTCTTCCAAGCCTCCTGCCCCAACCTACACATATAGACCCGAGAATGGTCCTCTCCCTTGATGCCATAGTGCCTTGTCCTCACCTCACTGCCAGCCCCTTCCCCGTGGCAATGACCTGCAGGTGTACCCTCTGCTTCAGCCTCGACACTCTCCAAGACTGCTTCATCTTTGTCTTCTCACTCCACTTGCAGTAGCAAGTCCTCAAAGATTGTTTGAAGGGCCCAAATGTGAGTTTTAGTCTTTGCTATTATTTTCTGTACCACCTTGGCTAAGTACCTCAAAATTCTCAGTGCTTCTATTTTGTCATACACAAAACAAAGATAAACTGTTGGGCCCAACTAAAAGTTCTGAAGTTCTGAAGTGGAAGAACAGTGAATACCACAGAATAGCTGGGGCAGGCAGGCAGCCTGGGCCCTCCCACAACAATGCCAAGATGACTGAGTCTCAGAGGATCACAGAAAGTCCCCCTCCATGCGGTCAGATCAGGCCTTTGGCCTTTGGGTAAGGCTGTACTCAACTACCAAAGAAAGACAGCTTTATCTCTCTTTCAAAGAGTTCCAGCAAACCTTTGAAGTCAATGTTATGATGTTCCTGGCTAGGTGACATTGGGGAAAAGCTTCCTGTGATTTGCCCCAATTCCCTCCCCTCAGCGTCAATCCTCGGTGGAGGCAAAGAACATTTGCTCATGGCCAGCAGCTCACATCAGGTGCCTTGCTCATTCACAGCCTAAAAAATGGAGGCGAGGGGCAGGGAAAATTGTAGTTCATTCTTTATTTTGAAACCTTAATCAATGAATTAATGCCATCATTACACATTTTCTAAGACAGGAGACAAAAAGTTACAGCAAACTTGGGGTTCTCTGGGAGTTGTGGTTTACCAGGCCCACTGACACCATTCAGTTCCTTAGAAGGAGCTTGTCTCCCTTTGCATTAATTATCTTACATTGAAAAGATTCTGTTACTTTCATTTATCCTCCTAGGAAAAGTGGATTATATGCAAAATCATTAGATGACCCTTCTCATGGTAATTCTGAGTTCCATTTTACCTTTACAGGTTTATAATTAGACTTCGTATTCTAGGTTTGAATGTGTCCTAACTTTACAAAAGTCAGTGAATACTGTTAATTTCTTTTAAAAAGGTACTAGAAATAGTATATCCGGGTTTATGTTTTTCTCCTGGACCTAATTCTTCTGCCTCTGTACATTTTAGCAAGCAAACCTTTTAAGCATTTTGCCTCTTGGACTACTGCTTTTTTTCTGCATAAGGAATAGCAGTTACAAAGCCAAAAGGACCTTCTTTACATGGATCTTGCTTTGTCTTTACCTTGACAGAGGAGTGAATTAAAGATGCATTCAGCTATTGCATCAACTGGATGTTAACAAGAGAAGATAATCCGTTACATGATGTGCCTTCTTCTGTGCCCCAGAAACTTCTTCATACCTTTACCATCCCTCTCCTCTTTCAATCCCAGCTTCTGAAAAAAGAACTCGTCCTGCACTAGGTCCTTAATCCCATGAGAAGCTTCCATAACTCCCTGTCGCTTCTCTTACAATATAAAAGGTGCTCACGCCTTGAACCTTAAAAAAGTTCTTCAATCACTTGCAGATGATTTTTAAACTAGGACACATAGTTGGCTTTGGTGGACTGTAAAGAACTGAAGTAAAGGCGAAATGTTAAAAAAAATAAAAAATAAAAAAACAGCCAGAAAAACAAACCTTTACCCTGCCATGTGTGAAACTGTAGATGAGCTAGAACGAGAGTCCCCAGCTTAATGAAAACTGCCGAGGGTGGCAATAGTCCTGCTTGCCTGTGTTTCAGGGGTGGGCAAGATAAGGGATAGTGAAGATAGGGGAGTGACTAAGAGCATATCACAAGTTCATGTAGATAGTAACTTTCATGATACTGGCAAATAAGTAGCTGGACGTTACACAATAATACTTTACCTTTCTGGTTCTAACGCATTATCTTTTACGGTAGTTACAAGGACAGCCACATGTTATCAGTATTTATATGCTATTACAACACATTTGACTAAGGAGCTGATCTCAGTGTAAGATGCTTTGCTAGCATGTATACAAAAAATCAAAATGAATTAAAGGAAGTAAAGGCTTAATGTAAAAATAAAATAGGGCAGGGATAAGCACGTTTTTTCTGTGAAGGGTCAGTAAACAGGATAGGCTTTGCAGGCTCTCCATCTCCGTCACAACTCCACTCTGCCATTGTAGCATGAAAGCAGTCAAAGACAATATGTAAATACATGGGCATGGCTGTGTTCCAGTACAAATTTATTTACAAAAACAGGCAGCAGGAAGGACTGGCACACAAGCCATAGTTTGTCAAGCCCTGAAGATGAGGAAATCCCCCAAATAAGCAGAAGCACTTTAGTACTCTCCATAGAGCCCTCACTTACCCCTAGGTTACAGGGCTACATACAAGCTGTGTTTAACCTTAGAATATAAGCTCTGTGAGGTCAGAAACGTTGCAATATTCACAACTGTATTCCCAGTACTCAGTTCCCAGAGAACTGGCATAGTTGGCACAAGTACGGACTCACAATAAAGACATGTTCAATGAATTAACTAATGAATGAACAACTTATGGAGCTTTAAAAGGCAATCCTGACCATAGATGATTTTCCTATACTACCACGTCCACCCTCACTGTCATCCCGTCACGCCCCACTTCTTTGCAAACTGGACAACTGTACTGGGACTAGGGTACCAAAATTATGACTCCTTCTAAAAACTTTTACACTAATTTAGGAAAAAACTTGCTTTTCAACAGCTAAGATCACATGAAGGCATGTATATCTTACATTTTTCTTACTCCCCTTTGTCTTAGTTAAATCATTCTCTAGTAAATTCTCTTTCAAAGCAAAGGCAATGTCCAAGAGGGCAAAACCATTAATAACTATCTTTTGGGAACCACAAGTTCATGCAGATAGTAACTTTCATGATATTGCCAAATACGTATTTGGGCATTATACAATAGTACTTTCCTTTCCGGTTCTCAGGCATTATCTTTTATGGTAGTCAAAAGAGCAGTCACATGTTATCAATACTTTATCACAGGTCATGCTTCACCTATAGAAAGGTAAAAAATAACTCACACTGATCTCTCCTAAAAAAACGTGTGGTTCTCATAAGCTCTGGGCCATCGTTATACATTTATTAAGTGGCTACTAAGGGTTCTTGACATGGTGGGAAAAGCACCAAATGAAAAGCAAGGCACTATTGTGGCCCTTTCATTTCAAAAAAAGTGAGTTAGGATGACAATCATCTGCTAGGAACTACAAGTTCACGCAGATAGTTACTTTCATGATATTGTCAAATATAGTTGGACATCACACTTATAATACTTTATCTTTTGGTTCAGAGGCATTATCTTTTATAGCAGCCATGATGAGCTTATTTAAAGATAAAATATAACTGAATGCTAATTAACATAGATTTGAATGCTAAATTCATTAGGAACTATGTTCAAAGCCTAATGTTGAACAAACTTCAGACAATAGAGTTAAGAATTTTTTTTTTCTGTAAAGGACCTTAATGATCACTTGACATTCTCACTCTACAGATGAGATCCAACTAAGAAGAACAGAATACTTGCTATCTTCAGAGTAGAATATTTTGAAATGTGTGAGTATAATACATGTTTTATAGCCAACTAAAGATGTATCAAATGTTCCCCACGTGCTCCTTGGTAAAAAGCATATGAATATTTTGCTAATCCTGAGCCCATATAGTTTAAAAAAAGGGGGGAGCAGATGTTTGAAGATGTGCTATCCTCAAACTCAAACATGACTTCACATGTCAACATATGTTGGATTTGATTTCAGCCTGCTCAGGTAAGTCCCACGACAAGACACTCTTCCTACCCAGGAAGACTTCAACTTTCAAAGCACAGAGAGTCAGGTACTTAATGTGCAAAGATAGTTCAGTTTCCTTGGAAGAAAATCAGGAATAGAAGCCTTCTGTTTGGGTTGAGTGTTTCCCTAAAACCTGTTGAGTAGTAGTTTTTCCTAATATTGGACAGCAGTTAACTAGGAGCAGACAGATTGAATGAAGATGCCCATATCAACCTTGGTTACCACCTTGAGGTAGGCCTGAGCTGCTGCTTTTACTTCTTTGGCTGCAATCAAAGGCATCTCTGATTTTCTTCCTGCCACAACATTTCCTTAGCATTTTAATGCAATTTGCCCCAGAAAATGATTTGTTTCACCAAATTCTTTTTACTAGGTAATTTTCTAGAACACATGTGCTTTTATAAGGAAGTTAAAACTGTATTTCAAAGGTAAGCACAACCACAAACTAAGACACAATTACACTGTAATCCCAAAACGTGTATAAGTCATCCGGCACACACACACCTCTGTTTGCGCATTCTCCCTGATTCAACCACATCAACCATAAACACTGAGGTTCACAGATAGGAGAGTTCTAATACTCTAAACATAGGCCCTTCTCAGAAAGCCACAGTCATCAAAGACCACAGGTGAAAGACAACAGTTAAATGAGATACTATTCACAGGCTTTCAGATCAACATACACAGAGAGGTCATTATATCCAGAATTCTCCCAAGGAACCACCAGGCAAATACACACACTCACATAGATCCCACAAGCAGAAAAATGCATTTTATAAGGGCAGACATCAATAGAACGGCTAGGTACCACTCCAACTCTGCAAGATCCTACAAAATGAAATGGAGGAGACTGCTGCAAGAGGAGCAGTATAAAAAAAAAAAATTAAGCAGTAGTGTTCCTGGCAAGGTTCAGATGGAAAAACAGCAACAGATCCCAGAAGCAGAGCTGCAGCCAGGAATAACCTAAGCTCAAGCCATTTTAAGTAAGGGCAGGATAATACTTACTAAGGATTCACTGCATGGTTACCCTGGTTCTCTAGGCCTCCAGGCTGAGTGTTCAGGAATTGGACTCTGTTAAGTTACTGTCAAGGGATAAGCAGACCTTTATCATGTATATGCCAGTTATGGGTAGGCACTATAGACCATCTTCACACCACAACTCGGGGGTGAAACTGGGGGGGAGCATTTTCCCTATTTTGCACATGAGATTAATAGTAGGAGAATTACAGAAGGCCACACAACTAATAAGTGGAGTCAGGCCCTTGCCCCAATTCTGCTGTACTTCAAAGCCCACAATACCACATTACCATGCATAACATATGGCTCCGGCCCTAAAGAGGCTTAAACTAACCTAAACCAATTGGAGATCAATACAGCCAGTATAATGAAGGGCTAACAAGCAAGTATCTTGAGAAATAGAAAGAGGAAATATTATAAGAGAAGTAGACTTAGGCTCCTCTGAGGACAGGTAGGAGTCGCACAGGAGAGTAAAGAGAAGGGAGGTAGTTTCTAGGGAAAGCACTATGAGCAGTGACACTGCAGTGGCAAGAAGCCTGGCACCATTAGCAGGACAGCAAGAAGACCAGACTGCTTAGAGTGCAGAGATGCATGCTGAAATGAAAAGAGGATTTTAGATAGGAAGGGAAAGGCTGATTATGATAGGCCTTGAGAAGTCAGGCATATTATTTTAGACTTGAGATAGTACATAATGGAGAGAAACTGAAGGTTGCACGTCCAGAATAGATATGATGAAGTGATCATTTTAAAGATTAGACAGGCAATAGAACACTGAAAAGACCAGAGGGATGCTTCTCATTCATTCATTCATTCAGCAACCATTTAATGAGAGCTTACTAAGAGTCAGGCTTGGGAGGCTGTTGCAGTACTGCAGGAGTGGAAGAGTGAGGACTAGATTAGAATATAGAAGGAGGGATCCATATAAAACATATTTCAAAGGTCTTGATGACTCATTGATACAGAGGATGAAGGAAATGAAGGAAAAGATGGTTAAAGATAATTCCAATGTTTCAAGATTAACATAATTTCCACTGTACTAGGAACCTCAAAAAGCAATGAGAATAACAAACAATAAAGTATAAAAAGGGCTCTGATGATGTTGAACAGTCAATAAATAAAACTGCTAAATGGCTTGTTTGATATCCTAGTAGTTCATTTACACTTAGTCTGTGGAGAAGAAACTTCAGTGAAAAGGCCTTTTCTTTGTGATTAAATGCTGAGTTCCCTTGGCAAGGACAGCAGGGGTCTACCTAATCAGACAGGCTCCAATAACCCTCCAGCACACCCCTCCACCATCTGAACCTAGATTGGTTTCATTAGGAAATGTGACGGCCTCCCTGCTGCCTGGCCACCAGTTTTGACTTTGGAGAAGGGGATAAGGCAAAGCAGAAAGGGAGAAATAAAAAGTGGGCAGAGTCACTTAGAGAATGGGGAATGGTACCGGATGTCATTTTAAATAAAGGATCCCAGTACTGCTTTCCTTTCTACATCTACTTCTAGTGTTTTACAAGTCCTGGTCCTCAAGTAGACAGGAAAGCCTTAAAGAGTCTTTACCAAATTGTAGCGCATTGTTCAGAAACTATTTTAAATGTGCATATTTATGCATATATTAACTCCCAGCACAGTTCAGCAAATGATTGAGACACAAATTCTTCTTAATAATTTATATGTTGACTACAGAAATTTAAAGCTCATTTAAACTTTATATTCGGCAATGGTGCCATTCACTATTGAAGCACACCCTGAAACTCCACTCACTGGGAAATGTGAGAAATGAAAACTGTAACTATCAAACTTCTGTTACTACAAAGAGTTCTACCGGCCAAACAAACAAACAAAAAAATTCAAACCCCACAAGCGCCCATACCTTAGAGAAATCCATCCCGCTTGTAAAATTCAGTGTGGAATTCCCTCAGCCTAGCACAGCTCCAGCAAAAGCAGGTCTTATTTAGTTGTAAGTGGAAAGGAATACTCTTCTCTGCAGAATGATGCATTAGCTATATTACATATAAGTCCTTAATGTTAGTGTCAAAGTCAAACTTTAAAAGGTTAACATTACAAAAGAATCAGTTGTTCTGGAATATCCGTCAATATCCTTCTCATAACAGCTACTCAGATTAGTAAGAAAGAAATCAGAACAGAAAGAAATCCAGTAAAAAATGGTTGCAAATAAGTACTCGAGGATTTTTGCTCAGACCCCTTGTGGGACAGCCAAGGGCCTAGTCAGGGAAATTCCGAAAGCAAGTCCTCAACGTGCCCCGCAACGAGGCTTCAAATTAGCTAGGGTCTTCCCCCTCCTTAAGACTAAAAGATAAACACCCGTCAAAATCCTCCAGGCTCCGAGTTTTCATACCAGGAAGGAGAGATCCACAGGATCGCGGAAAGAAACTATAACCCATTAGCCTCTTCCTGCGCCTCCGATCCGTCGCGGGGCCACGGCCAGGGGTCTCCCCGCCGCCCCATCCCAGCAGCTACTACAGTGACAGGTCGCCCGGCAGAAGCCCCTAAATCCCGGAGCCCCACTTACTGGCGCCGCGAACGCAGGCGGGGGCCCGCCCCTGAGGTGAGCGCAGCTCCTCGACGAGCGGGGCGCAGCCGCCCGCTCCGGAGCTGGAAATGGGGACAATCCCTGCTAGGACCGGCCGAGGGCTCCGTACAGGGACGCCCGCGAGGTCCGGCGAGTCGCACGGGCCGCACGGCGCATGGTAGTGCAGCAGGAACCCGGCCGTTTTCCAGCCTCCGGCAGGAAAACAAACAAAAGGCTGGGTGGCTTCTACTGGGGACGACCGGCCGCTTTCCCTGGGAAAAGTTACCCTGCAGCTCCCCTCGCTGGCCCTGCGCGTCCCTGCACTGCGTCCTGTTCGCCCTGGCTCGCGCGGCCGAGCCGCCAGGCGCAGCTCTGGGCCGAGGGCAGCACAGCGCCCAGGGACCCCTAACCCCCGCTGACCGCAAGGCGATCTCCGACTCCGAACGAACGCCTCGTTGCAGATCGGCTCGATCAACCATCAAGACTTAGAAATGGAGGCTGTCGATGGACGTTCTGAGCACATTAAATTAAAGATAATCGTTGTGAAAACATTTTTCTGATTTGAAAAAACGTAGTTGAGGTGGCACGACATTGTGAAAGTAATCAATGCCACTGAATTGTATTCAAAGTGGTTAAACAGCAAATTTCATGTTACCTTTACAGAAAAATAAAATGAAAACGCAACTGATTGCCTGTTAGCATTCCTTTGAACTCTTAAGAGTTTTTATGTTGTTAGCAAGTAGTTGTAAAGACTGGACTCTTAACCCAGATGGGAAACTGACTCTAGTCAGATATCCTCTACACAACAATCGTCCTCTGTAACTAGTTATAGGGAATCTGACACTAACACGTAATTTTATAACACATTGATTTATGTCATAAGTGATATTGTAGACATTACCTTAAATCATCCTTATAAGGCTAGAGCGGTTTGAATAAAGAAGTTGCTTCCAGGTCCCTGATTTTAAATTTACATAATTGTTCTAAGCCAACAGTTCTTAAACATTAGCGGGAAGCATCAGAACCACCTGGAGGACTTGTTAAAACAAACTCCTGGGCTGCACTCTCAGAGTTTCTGGTGCTAATGTTGCTGGGTCACACTGCTGTAAGCAACACAAATTTAATTAATAAAGCAGTAACCCTTTGACACTTTGTGGACTGTTCTCTGAGTTTACAATTCCCAGCTGATCATATCAGTTTTTTTCTCACTATTTTTATTTTTGAATTCTACAGACTGAAGATTGTTTTTTACTGAAAAAATCTATACCAAGACCTGAATCCTTCTCTCCTCTTGATCTTGTGGAAGAAACATGCAAGATATAAGACAGTCAAGCTTCTTTAGATTTCCTCTCCCAAATGGAAAAAGGTCATCTGGCCACTTGACATATGTATAACATTGATATCTACCTTTGTGTTTACCTATTTAACAGCCAGCCCATATGGCAAATGAAAACTGAAAATCATTATCAGTGAAAAGATAGAGACACGACAAGGAATCTAACAAGTCATATACTACTCCCATGAAAAGCAATTTCTAAAGTAAAATGATCAGTTTTAGTCAAATTGTCCAAGCAGGTCTACCTGGCAAACAAAGGTACTGTCTTGGTCTACCTTTTAGCAAGAGTCTGCTAGGCTAGTAAGTAGCCTAGATCAGTAGTTTTGGCCTCAGGAAATTATAATCCTGTAAATATAATATGAGAATATAACCTTGTAATGAGGTCTAGTGGATACTGTGGAACTGACTGAAAATAGAAAATTAGTAGCTATGAAGCATAACAGTATTTTAATGCTCAATTTATCTTTACAAATATTATTTTATTAAGCTTTAATTACTTGCTAGAATAAAAGAAACCATCTGTGTAATTGACCAGGCTATTTTAAACTAGCACTCAACATTTTAAATGAAACAGATTTGTTCCCAAACTATTTCAATACTTCATTCTCAGTATGTAAGAGTCACATTTATCATTTTATTCTATTATAAATCTTAGATTTAACCTTTCCCCCCAATTTAAATTTCAAAATTCAATTTTAAGGAGTTCATTGGGAGGAAATTTATCCTTAAAAAGACTTAAGCCCTAGAGTCTCCTTTAAAACAAAAAATTTAAATTTTTGGCCTCTTTTAAACAGTAAGGCATTTTTTATAGGTAGCTGACTTAGGGTGCAAATAAAAACACACGCATCCGAAGGGTGGATCCCAATATTAAAACATGGCAGGCCGGGCGCAGTGGCTCACGCCTGTAATCCCAGCACTTTGGGAGGCCGAGGCGGGCGGATCACGAGGTCAGGAGTTCGAGACCAGCCTCACCAACATGGTGAAACCCCGTCTGTACTAAAAATACAAGAATTAGCTGGGCTTGGGGGCGCTCGCTGTAATCCCAGTTACTCAGGAGGCTGAGGCAGGAGAATTCCTTGAACCCGGGAGGCGGAGGTTACAGTTAGCCGAGATGGCGCCACTGCAATCCAGCCTGGGCTACAGCGAGACTCTGTCTCAGCAAAACAAAACACGGCATTTGGACTTCCTTATTGTAGCTCGTTCTCTCTCCCCTTCACTCTCTCGCTCTCTCCCCTCCCTCAGCACTTTCACCTCCATTTCTGTGCCAAAGATGTACTACAATTTTTTTTTTTTTTGAGACGGAGTCTCACTCTGTCGCCCACGCTGTAGTGCAGTGGCGCGAACACTGCAACCTCTGCCTCCCGGTTTCAAGCGATTCTCCTGCCTCAGCCTCCTGAGTAACTGGTATTACAGGAGCGCGCCACCAAGCCCAACTAATTTTTGTATTCTTAGTAGAGACGGGGTTTCACCATGTTGGTGAGGCTGGTCTCGAACTCTTGACCTCGTGAGCCACCCGCCTCGGCCTCCCAAAGTGTTGGGATTACAGGCGTGGGCCACCGCGCCCAGCGGATATACTGCATTTTTAATCTCTCCAGAATAGAATGGATTAGAAATTTAAACTCTGTAAACTCGTTGAATGTTTGGAAGCCTATTAGTCCCTGGCACCACTAGAAACTTTAAAAACTCAGTAAATGTTTGCTAAATTAAAGTTATAGGCTATGAAGCCTATCAGTTTTCACAAAACAGGCAAACCCGTAGTTAAAAAGATTTAAATTGTGTAAAAGCAAAGTATCACCTTATGAACAAGTACATTCACTCAAGAAGAAATCAGGTAGTTTGGGCTTTAAGAGGTGGGGCCGAGGACCAAGTGTAAGTTCCGGTGCTCAAACCTGAGCGGCCGACTACAAATCCCAGAGTGCCTCGCGGGCGCCGTCTCCACGGCACTTGGGTTTCAGGGCCATGGAATCGCAAGCCCTTTTCGCACTGCATTATGGGATCTGTAGTGAGACATGCCTTGCGTTGGCTCTTTCCTCCTGCTGGGCGCCAAAGCGCGTCTTTTCCTCAATCTCCAGTCTGTCTGTGCTCTCAAAAACTTTAGTCGTTATAACAACTGTGACTGTTGAGAAATTTCACTGTTTTCCTGCATTCCTGGCGCGGGACTCTAGCCAGAGGCTCCGAGGACTTTGTAGCGACTGTCCCAAGCGTCCAGTTCGATGCTTCTCAGGGCGGCTTGCTTTAAGGGCCCACCCCTAAATTTGGGTTGTAAAAATTTTTGAGGTAATGCTTGTTCAAGTTCGCTTAAGTGTTCACTCAGCCCAACACGCGGGTTGGGCTTGAGGTTCGGCACCCGGGCAGCCTCACCCCCCGCGTCAGGCGCGCGCACACAGTAGGTCCGCGACCCTTAGCCCTCCACTAGGCAGCCCGCGGGGATGGGTGGCCGGGCCGCCCACACGGGCAGCACCGGCACTGCGCATGCTCGGCGCGTCGGCGCAGGTTTCCGCAGCTGAGGGGGCAGCTCCGCGGCGGCGTCCGGGGTCTCCAGTAGGGCTGACGCTCCGGTGCTCGCACAATCCCCCGCCTCGGCTGGCAACGGGCGTCCCTCCACTCCCCGAGTCCCCGGCAGCCGCCGCCACCCCAGCGCGCCCCGATCTGGCCCCCTGCCCCGCGAAGATGGCTGCCGTACGCCGGGCCCGCAGTTATTGCCGCTGCCTGGTGCGCTTCTCCGACCGAGAACTCTGCTAAGCTCCGCTGCAGAGACAGGCAGGAGTAGACACCCGGACACCCAGCACCCCTCCTCCGGGGGGCGGTGCAGAGGGGGCACGGAGAGCCCCTCGAGCGCAGCAGGCCGCCCCGCCAGCATGGTAACCTGGCCAGGGGGCTCGAGGGTGGACGCCGCGGGGCGGGAGCGTGGTGTGCAGAGGGGCCGGGCCTAGGGCTGGGGGTCGGCGGGGACTCTGGGGAGGAGTGGGAGCTTCACGGCTGCCACCCGTTAGAGGGCCCTGGCCTGAGAAGGAGTGCGTCGGGGGGCGGGGGGTGCCAACCCTGGCTTCTCCCCAGGATTCCTTCCTGCTGAGCCTCCCCAACCCCCGCCGAGCTCGATGTGAGGAGGAGGGTTTGCAGGACAGCCGGGGAAAATGTCCCTTCTCGGCTCACTGAGTATATTGAACCAGTCTCGGTCCTCTCAAGGGATTTTATCAGAAGCATTGAGCATAGATTGAGGTAAGCTGTCACAGCGCCTGAATTCGGGAGGGAGCTCTGGCAAGAGGAGACACTTGTTGATTGCTCTTCTGCGGAAAAGCCAGGCCCACCGACAGTCCCTGCCGGCACCTTGAGGAGCCCTGGGTGTAGGACGCATCTGCCCCGCGAGGCGTCATTCCCTGGGAGGATGTTGGCAGGCGGTCCTGGCGGAGTGGGGTTGGAGGGTTCGTCTCCGCGGCGTCGGTGCCGTCCAAATGAGAGACTGAGCTAAGTTGCAGAGCTTGACAGTGCAGATTCCATGAGACTGTTCCATATTGGAATACGTAGTCTCTGCCCTATGCCTTTCTTTGGTTTAGAATAAATTGTTCATCTGAGAAACTAATCTCTGGCTGGGGCTTAAAGAATCAGGGATGCAATAATTCCAAACGATTTAATTTATAGTGGACTCAAATATTTATTGCATAAATGAATGGCTGAATTTATTTTTATTAAATTAATCTGGAGGATAGAAAAGGCAATTGCCCCTGCCCCTAAACTTTCAGAAGTAGTTCTCTGACCGGGATTAAGTACTTAGCCTTTATAATTTATTAATCGCACCTGTGAAACAGGAGTAACATGATGAAGACATGGACTACTCATACACATGAGCTATTCAAGTGAAGGTGATATTTAGGTCAAACTCGATTATGAAAAATAAAAGGAAAACCTCCAGGTGGCATCTGAGGCCCTACTTATTTCAAGTAGTAGTTGAATTGACCAAATGTCAACTCAGCCGATCCCAGATATAATAGTTTGTTTTTGTGATCATACTGTCAAAATCAAAGTAAGAATGGTTTAGAGCTCCACTGTAACACAGGGGAGAAGAAAGATGCTGTCTATATTACACTTCTCCCATTTCCTTTCCTCATCCTTCAGATACACATTATCCAGATGGCATTTTATTTGTCGATTCAGCCAATATTTTTGAGTACCTATTAGCCTGGCATAGTGTGAGACTCTGGTACAATACTAGATCTTCAATATAACCAAACCTGCAAGGTGATTTATGATAAACTTTTAATCACAGAATGTCACATGAAAAGGGACCTCAGTAGATCACCATACCTCTTTATAGATGTCCCATAGACATGACAGCTGAGGCCTAGACAGGCCTTTACTACAAATCAAGCAATGTGTTTGACCTTATGGTTACAGAGGTAACTGAGATGTGTTCCTGTCCTGGATGCCTTAAATCTAGTAAATGAAACAGCCAACCTCAGTACAAATGTTGTGATAAAAGTAAGCACAAGTGTTATGGGAACACAAAAATGTTGAAAAATGCTTCTGACTAAGATGAACCCTGAGCTGAATCTTGAAGAATGAGTAGAAATAGCTAAGTGAGGAAGAAGGCATTCCAGATAGAGCAAGCAGCGTATGCAAGCCAACTGGACAGAGCAGGGGAAGCTCTTGAAGTCAGTTTAGAATGACTGCTAGGCAAGAGTTAGAAAACTAAATTACAAAGGATACCCCACAGAACTCAGGTCCCCTCGCATTACCTGTACTTAGAGTTTGCAATAATAAAGCAGACTCTTGAGAAGAGAGAGAAATACACTTCTCAGTGGGATTTATACGCTCAGTCTTTCATTACATATTTTCCTACTAATGGTGTTCTTAGTAGGAAAAGCTCCCAACTTAAAGAAACTAAAAAATAATGTATTTGACAATACATTAATCCTTAAATTTTCCATTTTTCTAGAAATTCATCTGAGTTCTTGATCTCATTTATTTCTTCACAGATGTGTGCTTTACAGTGTGCCCAGCATTTTACCATATACTAACTGGTTCAAGTCTGAAAGGCACCTCTGCTTTGAGTCTGCTTGCCAGAGATAAGATAGGAGGCAAGGCTAATTTATGTTCTGTAATATAGTGCAAGTATATCTGGTAGCTGTGTTAAAGATGTGTGTTAATATAAACATTACCCTCCCCCCCCTGGCCGCCCTGAAATAACATATGACTAAAATTTGCAATTGTAAAACTTACCATCTTTGGAACCAGTAAAATTAAATGGGTTTTATTATTATCTAGCTTACCTTGAAGGCCATTTCCCTGATTGCCACATTTCTTTACAGTAAGTGTTGAGCAAGTTTCATTTCCTAATAAATCTATTAGCTAACAGACTGAACTGAGGCAACATGCCATTTTCACTGGAAGGTAGGATTTAGTTTAATTTAGCAAACATTTATTGAGAATAAAAGGATAAAATTAAAGTCATCTGATTGAAACCTTTATTAGGCTCCAAGTCACACACAGTAATTCCAGTCTAGCTTTATTCCACTGAAGCCGATCCAATATATAAAAATTGGATTTATAGACAGATAAAATAGAAGGGGTTTCTTTACAAAAGCATTTACTATTAAAAGTCTTTGACTAAGCTTTCCTAGTACATATAAAATACACAGAAGTCATATTTTCATAGAACACATTTAATAACATGCTAGCTGTATAAAAGAAGTGACATCATCTTACGGAATATATATATATATGTGTTTTTTTTTTTTTTTTGAGACAGGGTCTCTCTCTGTCTCCTGGGTTGGAGAGCAGTGGTGCAGTCTCGGCTCACTGCAACCTGCATCTCCCAGGCTCAAGCAATCCTCTCACCTCAGCCTCCCGAGTAGCTGGGGCTACTGTGTACCACCACCCCCTGGTAATTTTTGTATTTTTTGTAGAGACGGGGTCTTGCCATGTTGCCCAGCCTTGTCTCAAACTCCTGGGCTCAAGCAGTCCTTCCACCTCAGCCTTCCAAAGTGTTGGGATTACAGGCATGAGCCACCACACCCTGCCTGGACTGTATTCTCTTAAGTGATCCATGAAGCAAAAACTATCTGCTACAGCCAGGTATGGCTGCACAAGCCTGTAGTCTCAGCTACTCAAGAGGTGGAGCAGAAGGATCTTTGGAGCTCAGGAGTTTGAGGCCATCCTGGGCTGCATAAGGAGACTCTGTCCCAAGAAAGCAATAACTATTTGCTGAACTCCATAGGACAACTAAATGTTACTATTTTCTGAAACAAAGTTGTTATTTTTAGCCACCTAACAATACATTTTAACCTAGAACCCAGTGGATTTGTTTATTCTACAGTATCAAAAAAAATTCAAGTATCAAGTTATATCTGATTGGTATCATTAAACTTACCTGTGAAGAAGATAACTATAAAGAAGCAATGTTGTATTTCATTAACATGAAACATTAGAGTATTTTCTGTTTTGGGACTTGTAGAAGTTTATGGACACTAAAATTATTTGGGCTTTTTGCCTTAGACTCAATTATGTTTGGAACATCTGTCACAGCACCTTGTCAACTGCATTCTAGAACATTTCTCCTCCTGATGGAAAATACAACATGACCTATGAGGCAGTCTTGCAAAAGAAAAAAGAAATAGCAGAATCTAATCTAGCCTTTCAAGATCCTGCCACAATTTATAGGAAATAAGAGTAAGAGGTCAAAGGAACATATTTATTGACACCTCAGCAAAATCTAGCTTCTACAGAAAAACGACCCAGTTTCATCCCAAATAAATTACAAGAAAAAAGAGTGAGGATTACAAAAGACTTGAGACATATCAAGCAATTACAATGTGGACTTTATTTGAATCTTGATTTCACAAACTGTGAAATATATGTATTTTACATATGACATCTTGAGAAATATGAATACTGTGACTTGATATTTGATCTAAGGAATTACATTGATAATTATTGAAGTTGGGTCATGAGTACTTAGGGATTAATTCTCTTTAAGTGTTTTTCTCATAAAAAGTTTTAAAGTCTTGTAGAACTAAAAAAATACCAAAGATGTTCTAATTTTATTTCATTTTTTTCTAAGAAGAATAATATTTTTCTTTTCTTTTTTCCTTTTTTTTTTTTTTTTTTTTTTTATGATGGGGTCTCTGTCATCCAGGCTGGAGTGCAATGGTGCAGTCTCGGCTCACTGCAACCTCCATCTCTCAGGCTCAAGCAACCCTCCCACCTCAGCCTCCCAATTAGCTGGGACCACAGGCGTGTACCACCACGCCTGGCTGATTTTTTGTATTTTTAGTAGAGATGGGGTTTCACTATGTTGGCTAGGCTGGTCTTGAACTCCTGACCTCAAGTGATGCTCCTGCCTCAGCCTCACAAAGTGTGGGGATTACAGGTGTGAGCCACCGCACCTGGCCAGAAAAAGAGAAAATAATTTTTATTATAGATTATCAGTAGTTATGTATATTAATGAAGAATTTGGCTTCATTTACCTAATTAGATTAATCATAAATCATTTATGAATAGTAATAGACTTGAATTGTTACTTTATATTACACAGTTGGCCCTCTGTACCTGCAGGTTCTGCATCCTGGGATTCAACTGTGGATCAAAAATATTTGGGGGAAAAAAAGCAATACAACAATAAAAAATAATACAAATTAGGAAAAATATACTACAAGAACTATTTACATGGCATTTACATTATAAGTAACCTAGAGATGACTTAAAGTATATGAGAAGATGTGCATAGGTTATATGCAAATATGCCATATGAGGGACTGGAAAACCCAGGGATTTTGGTGTCCTGGGGGCTCCTGGAACTAATCACCTGTGGATACTGAGGGACAACTGTAATTAAATTGATTTTTGGATGGATGCAACTGATGTTAAATTTGGCGGGGGGGAAATGTTAGGATTCACAATAACGTGAGTACTGTGGGTTGGAGTAGAGAATATGCTTTTCAGACTCATTTTCCTTTGGAAATTAATAGTAAGGTCTCAAGTGCCCCCTACAGCCTTGCTACTCAAAGTGGGTTCCACAAAGTGTTGACAGTATGGTACTAAATAGAAAGTGGCTGAATGAGAAATGTAGATTGCAGAGGGCAACTGGTGTGTTTATATGCCTGACATTATTTGGGTTTTCCCCCCTCAGGCAGAAGCTGAGGAAGATTGTCATTCTGATACTGTCAGAGCAGATGATGATGAAGAAAATGAAAGTCCTGCTGAAACAGATCTGCAGGCATGTTTCTTCAATTGTGTCTTTGATTTTTATTCCATTGTTCCCATACATATGCAGAAATTGATCATAATCATGGGTATTTGTAGGTTATTACTGTTTGCATGGAATTTAACTGTTTCCATACTGGTTTATAGAATACTTAAAACTATGTTATGGCTTTCTTTGTGAAAAGAAATATCAATAATGGTTGCTTGTAGTTTAACATGGGTTTAAAGTATTCAAACTAAGGCTTACGCATGACTCAAAACCCATAATCTTAAAAAGATTGATGGGTTTGACCACCTAAAAGTTTAAAACCTGTGTATAAGAAAAGGCATCATAAATAAAGTTAAGAGAAATAGCCAGCTGGAAAAACTGTTTATTATATATGGGCAGAGGATTCATCTCATTACATAGAGCACTCATATATTTGGAAGAACAGAGGATAAAAAGATATGAGTGGACTGTTAATGGCAAAATAATACAAATGGCCATTAAATATTTGAAGAGATAATTAGCCTCATTAATAATTTAATCAGATTGGTGAATAATGTGCATCGCTGTCCAAGCTGTGAGAACACTCATGCAGTGTACATGAAAATGTAAATTGGTACAGCTTTCTGGAGGGCAGACTGGTGATATGGATCAAAATGAAAAACATGCATTCCCTTGATACAGCAATTCTACTTCCAGGAAATTAATTTTAAGGAAATAGTGGGGAAAGTAAATATGCAACTATAAAGATGTTTAGTATAGCATTGTTTATCTGGAAAAACATCATACAACTTAAATATTCATTACCTGTTATTAAGTAATGATGCATCCATACAGTGAAAACACTACAGCCATTTAAAAGGATGAAGTAAATCTTTATACATTAAAAGAGAAAAAAAGTTGCTGTAACTAGTTAAGTGTGTCTCACTGCACTTGTAAGGTTAATAATAATTATTTGGAACAGCTCATCTAGTAGACATTGAATGCTGCTAAAGATTCTGCAGGTCAGAGATCTATGTGTAACAGGTTAAAAGCGTAGCAACAAAGCAGTGTACAGAATATAGAGAAAAATTAATTTAAAACATTCTAGATACGTCTTTTTTTAAAAAAAAAAAAGGAAGCCAGGAATAACATATGCATCCCTGTTAGCAATGGCTGCCTTTGGGCAGAACGTGTAACCCAGTTTGGGTTCCCCAGGAAGCAGACTAGGTGAAGATTGCTGTGCAGGAAGTTTATTAAGGAGTATTCTTGGGATCAACACCTATGGAAGGGAGAGAGGGAAACAAATGGGCAGGGAGAAGACCAGCTGCAATGCAGTCTTAATGGACTGCTTAGCCATCCTCGAGGGAGTTCTGAAGATGAAATACCCTTTCAGAGATGACCTGAGTTGCAAAGAGCCAAGACTTTATTAGCCGTTGATCAGTCATTGGGTGGGGATTGAGAGGACAGTGTGATTTTGCTGAGGCAATACCCAAAAGGGCTGACAACTCAAGTGTTTTCAGATAGAACTCTCAGCAGTTTGGGTAACAAGTTCTTTATTTCTGAAAGGGAATCTGGGCAACACACCAGAGTCTACCTTATAGGGTTCACTTTTTATGTGCTTTTAATTTTTTTTTTTTTTGAGATGGAGTCTCGCTCCATTGCCCAGGCTGGAGTGCAGTAGCACGATCTCTGCTGACTGCCAACCTCTGCCACCCGAGTTCAAGCAATTCTCATGGCTCAGCCTCCCAAGTAGCTGGGATTACAGGTGCCCGCCACCACACCTGGCTAATTTGTTTGTATTTTTAGTAGAGACAGGGTTTCACCATGTTGGCCGGGCTGTTCTCGAACTCCTGACCTCAGGTGATCCGTCTGCCTCGGCCTCCCAAAGTGCTGGGATTATAGGCATGAGCCTCTGTGCCTGGCCTTTACATTTTTGAAATAACAAATATTTGAAAAAACATTTTCTTTTTGAAATACAGAATGTTAATAGATTTTGGGCTTACCTACAGAATTTTTGGCAGCATTCTTAATGTCTACTAGATGATATAGTCATTAAAAAATTATTGGAAGCTTATAACTTCAGTCTGTAAGTGATGGCTTATATTTTCAATTCTAATTAAAATTTGGTTTTCCAATATAATTTGACTTTTGGTGTACTGACATGTATTTTATGCTAATTTTCTTGATTCTTTAAGTTTTGAGCAGAAAATTATTTTAAAAGATGTATTTAATGGATATTTAATAATTCAGAAGACAGTGATTTCTGGACTTAGAGTAATAAGTATATACGTGGAAGTAGATAGATGTTGGACATATTGATACATTGTTCCAGAGTTGAGCTACCCTTCCTTGATGAGTCCTAAAATGCTGTTCTCCCCATAGGCACAACTCCAGATGTTCCGAGCTCAGTGGATGTTTGAACTTGCTCCAGGTGTAAGCTCTAGCAATTTAGAAAATCGACCTTGCAGAGCAGCAAGAGGCTCTCTCCAGAAAACATCGGCAGATACCAAAGGAAAACAAGAACAGGCAAAAGAAGAAAAGTTAAGTATTATAGATATTGTAACAAATTACATTTTTTTTTTTTTGGCACATGGAAATTTTCACTGACACAGTAAGTAGGCATTATAACCAGACTTTCGGGACATAAACACATATCTTGTAAAATAAAAATTTTGACTAGTATACTAGTTTATATATTTCTCACAATTTCTTCTAGGTACTTTGGATGGTACCACTACTCCTGCATGGCTTTTTTCTCTGTGGGTACACTGTCTTCATTGAGCTGTCTTTTGTTAATTTATAGACCTCTGGGATTCATGTGGTTCCTAAAAGATTGGTGTCTCTGAATTTATTAACAGAACCAAAAAGAAAAAACAGAATTTTCTAAATTTATTAATAGAACCAAAAAGATTGCTCACATGTTAATGTCTTTCCAGAGGTCTTAATTTCATGCAGTATTTTGTTATATTTTGAATTGATCAGCTTACAATAATGCATTAATCATTTCCTTATTCTGGAAAATTTTGAAATATTTTCACACTGAAAATATTTTGAATGCTGTCTAACATTCATATCTCTTCTGGTACTTACTCACACAGAGTAGGCACAGCATACCATTTCATTTCTTATTCTTCTTCCATAGAGGCTGCCATCTTTTTACCATCAGATCCAAGTTTGTGTTTATAATTAGTCATCAAATAATTGGCATTACCATGATGACTTACCTTCTATCTCCTCTTAATTTTTATTTTGAAATAATTACAGGTCCACAGGTATAGGGAAGTCCTGTGTGCCCTTTAACCTCCTCCGATGGTAACAACTTGCATAACTATAGTACAATATCAAAAACGAGGAAATAGACATTGGAACAATCCACAGTTTACTTGGATTTCCTGAGTTTACAAGCACTTGTCTGTGTGTATGTGTATAAATAGTTGTTTGCAGTTTTATTACAAGGTAGCTTCATGTAACCACCACCACAATCAAGATACAGAACTGTTTTATAGTTATATACTCCCTTTCCCTAGCCATTCGTAACCACTGGCAACCACTAGTCTGTTCTCCATTTTGTAATTTTGATATTCCAAGAATGTTGTATAAGTGGAATCATCCAGTATGTAACCTTTTGAGATTGGCTTTTTTCACTAAGTATAATTCCCTCAAGATCAGTCCAAGTTACTATGTATCAGTAGTTTGTTCCTTTTTATTGCAGAATAGTATTGCATGGTATGGATGTACCCCAGTTTAACCATTTATTGGTTGAAGGACATTTGAGTTGTTTCCAATATTTGGCTGTTATGAATGGAGCTATGGAAATATGTGTGTAGGTTTTCTCATGAACATAATTTTCACTTCTCTGGGATGAAACCCCAAGAGTACAATTGCTAAGTTCTATAGTAAGTACATGTTTGATTTTAAAAGAAACTGCCAAAGTGTTTTCTAGAGTATCTTATATTAAGTTCCCACCAGCAATGTATGAGTGATCCAGTTCATCCTCATCAGCATTTAGTGTTGCTACTTTTTAATTTAATTTAATTAATTTATTTATTTATTTTAAGACAGAGTCTCACTTTGTCGCCCAGGCTGGAGTGCAGTGGTGTGATTCCAGCTCACTGCAACCTCTGCCTCCCGGGTTCAAGCGATTCTCGTGCCTTGGCCTCCCAAATAGCTGGGATTACAGGCCCCGTCAGTAACGCTGGGCTAATTTTTGTATTTTTACAAATTTGTATTTTGTATCTAGAATGCAAAAAGAACTTCCAAAACACAATATTAAAAATATTAGCAATCTAGCTGGGTGCGGTGGCTCACTTCTGTAATCCCAGCACTTTGGGAGCCTGGGGTTTCACCATGTTGGTCAGGCTTGTCTCGAACTCCTGACCTCAAGCAGTCTACCTGCTTCAGCCTCCCAAAGTGCTGGGATTACAGGAGTGAGCCACTGCACCTGGCCTTTAATTTTATTAATAGCCATTCTGATAGGTATGTAGTGGTATCTCATTGTCATTTTAATTTGCATTTCTCTAATGGCTTGTGATGTTGAACATCTTTTCATGTGCTTATTTTTCATCTATTAATATATATTCTCTCTCTGAAATATCTGTTGATGTCTTTTCTAATTGGATTACATATATATATATAATTATTTTTTTTTTTTTTTTTTTTTTTGAGATGGAGTGTCACTGTGTCACCCCAGGCTGGAGTGCTGTGGCACGATCTCAGCTCACAGCAAGCTCTGCCTCCCAGGTTCAACTGATTCTCCTGCCTCAGCCTCCAGAGTAGCTGAGACTGTAGACGTGTGCCACCACAACCGGCTAATTTTTGTATTTTTAGTACAGATGGGGTTTCATCTTGTTGGCCAGGCCAGTGTCGAACTCCTGGCCTCAGGTGATCTGCCGACCTCAGCCTCCCAAAGTGCTGGGATTACAGGCGTGAGCCACCGCGCCCAGCCAGATGCTAATATTTTTGATGTTGTGTTTTGGAAGTTCTTTATTCTAGATGCAAGTCTTTTATTGAATATGTGGCTTGTAAATATTTTCATCCTCTTAACAGGGCATTTCACAGAGCAAAAATTTTTAATTTTGACAAGGTCCAGTTTATCAGTTTTTCCTTTTGTGAATGGTGCTTTTGGTGTCAAGAACTCTTTGCCTAGTCCTAGGTCTCCAAGATTTTCTTTGTTTTCTTTTCTTCTAAAAGGTTTATGGATTTTACATTTAAGTCCATGATCCAGTCAAGTTAATTTTTATGTAAAGTATGAGGTTTAGGTCAAGGTTCATTAATTTGCCTATGAATATCCAGTTATTTTGCACAATTTATTAAAAAGGCTCTCCTTCTGCCATCCATACTAATTTTTAATGCAGGTTTTCAAAAATTTTTACTTTATATTTTTATAGGCTCGAGAACTCTTCCTAAAAGCAGTAGAAGAAGAACAAAATGGAGCTCTCTATGAAGGTAAAAATTCAGAGCCCAGGTTCATATCATAACATTTCTGAATAATGACTCTGTTATTAACCATATTTTTTTTTCTATAACTTATTTGGTATAGAACATCACTTTTCTTAATACATTCTTCCTTCAGTACTCATTGGAAATTGGTTCCAGGACCCTTTGTAGATACCAAAATGCTCAAGTCCTTTATATGAATGGTGTAATATTTACATATAACTTACTTATTATGTAAATAGTTATTATACTGTATTTTTTTTTTAAATTTGTATTTATTTTAAATATTTTTGATCTGTAGTTGGTTGAATCAGAGAATGTGAAACCCATGAATACAGAGGGCCAGCTATATTTGAAATTGTTTTTTAAAAAATAAAAAATAGAAATTGTTTTTCTATATAACCTGTCTTTTTGCAAAAAAATATTGCTGGGAAACATCATCATGTTGGTAGGATGAGCAAAATAACTTTTTTTTACATTTAGCTTTAGTTATTCTTCATTAATAAAGTATTTAAAAATTATTCATTTTAAAATATGCTCTTTTTATAGGTGAAAATTGCTTCAGAGGATGGGAATATAAAGGATAAATTGAGGAAAAAATACATGTTTTTCTTTCTAAGTTCCAATTTACATATTACCAACAGAAATATGTGGTAATGGCCGGGCGCGGTGGCTCACGCCTGTAATCCCAGCACTTTGGGAGGCCGAGGCGGGCGGATCACGAGGTCAGGAGATCGAGACCATCCCGGCTAAAACGGTGAAACCCCGTCTCTACTAAAAATACAAAAAATTAGCCGGCGTAGTGGCGGGCGCCTGTAGTCCCAGCTACTTGGGAGGCTGAGGCAGGAGAATGGCGTGAACCCGGGAGGCGGAGCTTGCAGTGAGCCGAGATCCCGCCACTGCACTCCAGCCTGGGCGACAGAGCGAGACTCCGTCTCAAAAAAAAAAAAAAAAAAAAAAAAAAAAGAAATATGTGGTAATATATGTGTCAGCTTTGTGTCTTTTATTAACCCAATAGAAATGTGTAAATAAAGTGATAGGACTATTTGCCATATTAGGTTTGTAATTATGCTTTCCTTTTGTGATAGTAAAGATAATAATTGATGCATAGGAAAAATCCTTGTGCTTGAATCGTTTGAAAATGCCCCAAAACTAACATCATTCAGAGTTACTGCATTTATATGCAAGTTTCTTCTAGTGATATTTTTCTTTAGATTTTTAGAAAGGCCCAGTTGATCAAGTCCCTGTGCAGCCTTCATTGGTTTGTGAAATTCGCATCTCCACTTAGTGTATGGTGTAATTCATCCAGAATAATAGAACATGGCAGAATATATTGAATCATAAACTCCTTTGTAGGGAAAAAGAACTAGTCAGCCTCTACAGCTCCAAGTTCTACTGGTGTATCTCTGTGGGGAGAGTTATTGAATATTACAGCTCTAAACTACCTGTCTAGGAAATTTGTAAAAAATAAGTTTTGAAGATTACTTAGGTAAATAAGAGGCAGCTGGGCTAAAAGAAGTTAAATTTAAAGGATAATTTAAAAACAAAAACAAAAACTATTCTTTATTCCACCCAGTAGGAAGCATTTAATTTTCCTCAACTCTGTGTCTTAGAAAAGTTTGCTTAGAAGTGTTTTTGGCCAGGCATGGTAGCTGACACCTCTAATCTCAGCACTTTGGCAGGCTGAGGCGGGAGGATCGCTTGAACCCAGGAGTTCAAGACCAGCCTGGGCAATATAGCAAGATGTTGTCTCTACAAAAAATTTAAAAATTAGCTGAGTGTGCTGGCTGGGGCATGCCTGTAGCCCCAGCTACTCAGGAGACTGAGGTGGGAGAATCACTTGGACCTGGGAGGTGGAGTCTGCAGTGAGCCAAGATCGTGCCAACTGCACTCCAACCTGGACAACAGAGTGAGACCTTGTCTTAAAAAAGAGAGAAGTATTTTTGTTGGCTATAGCAATTGCATCTTCAGAGCCCAAAGAAAGACAACTATTTAAAAATCATGATACGTAAGAGGGTGAGGAAAAATATGGGAAGGGCTAATATATAAGAGTAAAATACAACATCTTAAGTTTAGGGAAAAGTTTCTTTCTGAGCATTAAGGTTTGGAAATAGTTTTGTGTCACTGAACTGCTGTTGCATGTAGAAAAACAGAATTTGGCCGTTTGTAAAGAAAGTTACCAAATTAAACCACAGTTAAGGGTAATCAAAGGAAATGACAAAAATGTGTGGTCACAGCTAATTTAGCTTTATTTCTTCTTTTAGCCATCAAGTTTTATCGTAGGGCTATGCAACTTGTACCTGATATAGAGTTCAAGATTACTTATACCCGGTCTCCAGATGGTGATGGCGTTGGAAACAGCTAGTGCGTATATAATTTGATAGATAGTAATGCATAGAGTTTGTTAAAGTTAAGCATCTTTGCCCTGTTGACTCTTAAGATGGTGCTAATTCTGTTGAGCTCTATACTCTTTAGTATATCTTTGTTTATAAAGTTGTAGAAATTTTTTAATTAGGGAAATTGCAAGATAACACATAGAAATGCACCTTTTAAACAGATACAAAAATAAACAGATACAAAAATAAACAGATACAAAAAAACGGTTTAAAAAAATAAAAGCAGTAGTTACTGAAAGGAGTAAATTAAAGGACACATTTCAACTTTCTGAAACCTATTTGAAGTAGAAAGTTTTAAAATGTAATTAGGCTAAATTTGGCAAAATATTAATAATGGTTAAAATTGAGTGATGGGTACATGGGAGTTTATTACACTAGTTTCCTTACGTATATGTTTGAAATTTTACATTTTAAAAAAGGCTTCTAATTAGGAAAATGCTGAACTATAAAAGATGTTATTATTCTCTTAATGTTTTTAGTAAAACATTAAAACTCTAACATTTATTTAAAAGCACAGGTGCAGAATATATTCCTAAAAGAAATCATGTTTGAATTGTATAGTTGCCACTGCATCAAAGCCATGAAGTAGCATTGGTTTTATATGGATAAAGATCAAGAAAACTTATTTTTAAGGCAATACTTTTGCAAGACAATTATAAAATTGTTTTGGCTTAATTGCACTATCTCCCAAAACTCAATTTGCTGATATTAGAAGAGAAGGGAGTCTGTACCCATGAGAGAATGTCAGGTTAAAAATAGACAGTACAGAGAAAAAAGTTTTGGTAATGAAATATTATATTAGCTATTATATTAATATATTCCCTCTGTCATGAAATAATTGTCACCTTTATTGATAACATATGCTTATTGCCAATGTTTTTTAACTGCATATGGTATTAACACTTAAGCTTTGGATAAGTCATATTAAAAACATTCCCAACAAGGTCAATATTAATAGCCTGTTTAAATTTTCAGCTAATAATATTGTTCACCAAATTAGAGTTAACAGTATGAGGTAGTTCATACTTAAAATGAATCACTTGGGTTTTTTCTAAACCTTCTTTAAATTTGGGTAGAGTCGTTTAGACTCAGCTCTTAGCCAGTTTTATAAATATGTGCCAGATGCTGTTAAGAAAGATTGTATTAAAATATTAAAGAGGCATTTCTTTTCTTTCCCATTTTTTATACAAACCCAGACGCTATGAAAGTTCTTTAAGGATTCATCTTTTTTTTTTAAATAAGATCTGATAAGCCCTAAAAGTTTGCCTTTTTTTTTCTTTCCTGTAACATGTTTGTAGAATAGCCATTGAGTCCATCTAGCCTCAACCACACTTATATTTTGTTGTATTACAAAATGCCCTTCCTGGTTTTTTTTTTTGTTTTTTTGTTTTTTTTAAGTCTACATCACTTGAAACTTCCTGGTTTTCTAACTTCGCCTTCATCCAATCCTCTTTGTAAGTCTGATCATCTTTAAGGTTTACTTCAGTAAAAATAGAAAGCTCATTTTTCTAGCACCATTCACTACACATTTGTGTATACTGGTAGATGATTTGTGAACCCTAAGATGTTTTCAAAGTAGGTATTTTCCTCTCTAAAGGTAGGCTGATAAGGCAAATCTGTTAGAAAACCCTTGGTAAGTAAGTACCTCAGATGACGTCTGTAGATTTGGTTTTTATCCAGTTAGAATAAATTAAGGTTAAAGAACATACTACGTTAAGATTTTTGAAACCATTTGAAAGCTTGCAGTAACTCATAAAATCTCTACTTTACAATAAAATTAGTTAAATCTCAACACCTGTATCCAAAAATTCTAATTCTTTCTGGATGATAATTACTGAAGCTTTTTTCTTTGAAAAACTTGATACAGTATTCCTTTGCAAGACAGGATAAATTCATCACATTTAAAAATGTATCACATGTTGAATAAGCTTTAGGTGACTTTTTGTAAAGCAAATTTGAAAATGCTATGAAAAATCAGTTTCTAAACTGTACGCTTGTAGACTGAGGCACTTAATTTATTCACCTCCCTTTTTTCAGCATTGAAGATAATGATGATGACAGCAAAATGGCAGATCTCTTGTCCTACTTCCAGCAGCAACTCACATTTCAGGAGTCTGTGCTTAAACTGTGTCAGCCTGAGCTTGAGAGCAGTCAGATTCACATATCAGGTGTGAATACTTGTTTTTCATAACTCAGTGAGAAATATCTTAACCTTAAAGATTTCCAAATTTATAAGGTCAGATAATTTGCCAGATAACTGCTGCTTTAGTTCAGAATATGGTGGAAGATCTAGTTATAATTATCATTTGCATATACTATTAAGCTGTTTTGTGTTTTGTTTTGTCTTGTTTTGTTTTTTGAAATGGAGACGTGCCCTGTCACCCAGGCTGGAGTGCAGTGGTGCAATCTCGGCTCACTGCAACCTCTGCCTCCTGGGTTCAAGCAATTCTGCTGCCTCAGCCTCCCAAGTGGCTGGGATTACAGGCGTGTGCCACCACACCCAGCTAAATTTTTGTATCTTCAGTAAAGACAGAGTTTCACCATGTTGGCCAGGCTGGTCTCGAACTCCTGACTTCATGATCTGCCCACCTTGGCCTCCCAAAGTGCTGGGATTACAGGCCTCTGAGGCACTGCGCCCAGCCCAGTAGTAAGCTGCTTTACAATCTGAAGCAGAACAGTTTGTAGTGCTGTTGTTTAAGGATGCCATACCTTTTTCAGTAAAGATCTAACAGGGTAAGTCTGAGTTGTTGAGGTAGCCCTAAGAAAACTGGAGGAATACTGGTATCATGAAGCATTTCAGCCATGTTGGACAATTGTCCTGAGACAGACTGAATGTTTAGGAATTAATGGATTTTTGTTCGGGCATGGTGGCTCACGCCTGCAATCTCAGCATTTTGGGAGGCTGAGTTGGGAGGATCACTTGAGGCCAGGAGTTCAAGATAAGCCTGGCCAACATGGTGAAACCCCACCTCTACTAAAAATACAAAAATTAGCTGGGCGTCGTGGCGCATGACTGTAGTCCCACCTACTTGGGAGGCTGAGGCACGAGAATTACTTGAACCCAGGAGGCAGAGGCTGCAGTGAGCTGAGATTGTATCACTGCACTCCAGCCTGGGCAACAGAGCAAGAACCTGTCACAAAAAAAAAAGAAATTCATGTATTTTTAATATGTTAAATATTGTTTGGTTCGGGGCTTTTTCAGAGGAGGACAATTAAAAGTTTTCAAGGAGATGAAAATAACTTTAGTGTTAATAGATGCAATATGGATCACACACACATAGATTATTTTCCTAAAACATTTATTTTAATATGTCTGGCAAAATAATCTTATGAGGGAAAAGAGTGCTTTATAAAAAGTAGCTTCAGATCTATACTGAAAAAACAAAGATATTTATGTCTTGATGTTAAGAACCATTATTATTATTGAGTAGCTAAATACATTCATGCTTTAGCTCTGAGCAATACAGAGGGTGTGATTATAAATTTCTAGGAAGGTATAAATGTACTGGGAATGTAGTTGTGACAATAGAATGACATAGAGGAGAGTCACTGAAGGATGATTTTCTTTTGCAGTGCTGCCAATGGAGGTCCTGATGTACATCTTCCGATGGGTGGTGTCTAGTGACTTGGACCTCAGATCATTGGAGCAGTTGTCGCTGGTGTGCAGAGGATTCTACATCTGTGCCAGGTACTAAGTTTTTGTTTTTGTTTTTTAAACAACTGAGGCAATGGTGAAAAGAAAGATGGTCCTTTGCCAATCCTGATAAAATTACTTGATTGGTGTTCTGAGTTAAAGCTTAGAATAAACAAGTTTTGCTAAGCTGTACTTAACTTTCTCAAATAACTTAGAATTTAAAGGCTAGAATATGCTAGGTTTCTAGGGTATAGAATAATATGTAGGACAGATGTAGTAACCCATACTACTACCATAGAGTTTACATGCTAGCTTAACTGATTTGGGAAAAAGAGTTATATTAGAAAAATATATTCAAGTCATTTTTACACTAACTGTAAACTCATTGTGGTAATGGTTTAGATTAAAACAGCACTAGCATTTTCTTATGGCTCATTAAAAGTTATTCTATATTTTGAAAATTTTGCTATGTGTGGGAAAGGACTCTATTCAATAAATGGTGCTGAGATAAGCGGCTAGCCATGTGCAGAAGATGGAAACTGGATCCTTTCCTTACACGACACACAAAAATCAAATCAAGATGGATTAAAGACTTAAATGTAAAACCTAAAACTATATACTTAGTCCTTATATAGAATTTTTAAAAACAACTTGTTCTTAAAATTCAGATGCATTATTTTTAAATTAATTCCATTTGGAATCTTGTAGTTTTCATAAAATATTTGAATTTCTTGAAGACTCTTTTTCACAATTCTGTGTGCTAGTATATTTAACAAGTACCTATTAAACACCTAGTGGATTGCCACTAGAGTCTCTAGCACTGTTATGTCAACCTAAATAATAAGCAGATAGACTCTCTAAAAGACATTTATTTGAGAATAATACATTGCAATGGGAATACACATGCCATAGTAAACTATTCAGGGAAACAAAAGTTTTTAAAGGAAAAAATGAGGATTACATAATTGTTTTGAAATACTTAATCCTTGACTACAAAGATCAGTAACAAGGGGGACGCCAGTCTGAGATTGGACAGACAGTTTCTTGGGCAGATGTCCTTGCAGCAAAAATATTTTTTGTATAAGGCTGTGATGGCCTTTGTGCAGAGCTGTGTTTTTTATAGTCTTTTTTGTTAACCAGTCATAGAAGCCTGAGAACCTTCTCTTCATGGCCTTCCTCAGCTCTCTTTGTCAGGGTTTTCTTAACATTAGTGGCTCCATTTTTATTTTAACAACTTTCACATTTTCCCCTTTTGATCAGTATCTTTCTCTGATCAGTCATCCTGTAGTTAGGTTTTGACATCCCATAGTACCAGCATAGACCAGTCCTGGTTTCTAGTCTCATCCCATGTTGGGGAGAATGATTAGCAACTAGGAGTCCGTGTCAAAATGCTTTTAAGCCACATTTGGGCAAGAAGGGACGTCTGAAGGGAATGACTCTCAGGCTGTGTCTACCTGGATTCCATTATTAAGTTTGATTTTTGTCTATTCCATAGTCTTTGTTACTCAAAATGCTGGGCCAGCGTTATTGTTAGGTGTGGTACTTCTGCAGAAATTTAACAAGTAACAAAGTTAATAGTAATATGACAATTCCAATTTGCATAATGGTTTTGAGCCATGAACCTAGGCTTAAGAACAACTAATTGAGTAGACCAGTGACCACAGGGAATTAGGTGAGACCATGTAATCATGCTACCTGTTTTCTTATTTTGTGTACATGGGTCTCAACTTTATCAGAGGGATTTATCTAGGTACAGCATGTAGTACTAGCAATAGCACAGATATTTTCTTTTTTAACCAATGAATACTAAAGGATTTCTTGGGTTAGGTTCTGTTAAGTTACCAGCAGAAGCTATTGATTATGAAATTTCAATTACACCATTATCCTGTCAAGTGAAAAAAGTAGCATTAAGTGGGGGTAAAAGTCTTATGATATGGTTCTGATGTCATGGGAAAAGCTGTCTACAGCTTTCACAAAAACATCAGATTCTCCTCCTGATTTATGTTTGAATGTCTCTGGTCATGATATTGTTGTGTGGCTCATATATCAGGCATGAGACTTGTTTCTTAAAATTTGAATAGTTTCAGCTTAAAGGGCTTTACGAACAGAAGCTTTTGTTTTTAGTTGGCGTGTTGTAGTCCAATCCTGGAGGAAACTAGGAGAATTCATCAAACAGTCCGGTGTACGTGTGGATAACAACAGGTGTATTGCAGTTTTTTTTTTAAGAAACGTTTTTTTCCTACATTGATCATATAGGAATTTCAGATTTAAAAATCTCTTGAGGCTAGGAAGTCAAAGAGAGGTAGACTTTAGGCTTCACTTAGGGTCTTAAGGTTCTTGGGCCTGCTAGGAAGTGACAGGTTTTACTCACGATAAGGCTGAGAACTCTTAAAGCCGGATGTTTTATGCACATTCTTAAATATGACATTTTCAGTCAAAGCCTTGGTAATATAACTAATGTTTCTAATTGTATCCTCATATAAAGGGATTAGATTTTTATTGAACTTATATAAATAAAAATAATATGAATAGTTTCTGAATTTTGGAGAAATCAAGTAGGGAGAAAAAGCAAATGGTTCCACCTTGGTTCACAAAAGTCTTCTAACGTCATAAAGACATTCTCTTCATCATTTACATCAATTTTATGTAATTTTTTATTATGCTTGATCTTTATTAGCAGTTCAATGAACCCATGAATTTATTAGAGTTCTGGAAATTTTTATTTAGTCCATTGATCTTAAAGTTAGCAAAAATCTTTGTTCAAGAGTACTGCTAGAGTCTTTTCCATAAACAGCAGTTTTGGACTGTAGCTGATTGCAAATGTTTTTAGAGAATTCAAAATAATAATTGTGATGACAAAAACTTAGAATAGCCATGTAAAATCTGATGAAAGTTCTCAGTTGATGAGGGAATTTAGTTATTTCTAGTACATGTAGCATTTTAAGATAACCAGAATCATGACTGACACTGTCACATCAGGACTATCAGACTTTTATATAAATTTCATCTAGTCTTTAGAATACTCACATTAATAACATCTATACAAATATAACTTTAGAAAATATTTGACATAATAGAAATTTATAACTAATAGCATACTAGATTTTTATGAGTTTACATAGTTTTGGAACATTTATATCAATAATATACCCATAAATGTAACTGAAAGAGGATCTAATACTTATTATTTAACAGTGCCTCCCATACAGTTTACCAAGTGAGGTTAATCATTTGATATATCTACAGGATGAGAGATACGTTCTTTGAGGCTTTCCAGGAGCCCAACTAGAAAATCCCAAAGTTGGCTGGGTGTGGTGGCTCACGCCTGTAATCCCAGCACTTTGGGAGGATGAGGCGGGTGGATTACCTGAGGCCAGGAGTTCGAGAGCAGCCTGACCAACATGGAGAAACCCCGTCGCTACTAAAAATACAAAATTAGCCGGGCGTGGTGGCTCATGCCTATAATCCCAGATACTTGGGAGGCTGAGGCAGGAGAATCGCTTGAACCCGGTAGGCGGAGGTTGCGGTGAGCTAAGATCGCACCATTGCGCTCCAGCCTGAGCAACAAGAGTGAAACTACATCTCAAAAAAAAAGAAAAAGAAAATCTCAAAGTTAATTTTAGATTGGAAAGCCTTAATTTAGGATCTTGACTCTGGGGAAACCTGCCAGAGATGTCAAAGGTTCAAAACATTTGATCAAAACAAAATTGCTGGCCACTGTGAAGTTACTTATTTAACCATACTGATAATCAAAAGATCTTAAAAGCAATGCAGAAAGTTACATGGATGTAAAAGCCTTAATCCTTTTAAAGCTCAGTTTTCGTAAGTAACCAAAAACCTAATAAAGCACAGGCGTTATATTGATAAAACAATAAATTTTTTTTTTAGGCCAGTTGCCAAAAAGATAAAGAAATACCTTTTATAGGGTATTTGCTTCTCCATGTGGGAAACCTGTTTAGATAACTTGTAAGTTAAACCTGATTAAAAGGGTACTTGAATTTACTTAGGGACAGGAAGTATCCAGGGTTATATGTCTACATTAGAGAGGAATATAAACAAGAAAACTAGTAACTTGAGCAGGAGAATACATGGCTCTTAAATAGCATAGGAAGTTTCCTGGTTACATGGAGTAATTCAGATGTCACATAAAGCCAAGAGTACAGAATCAAGTTATATTGGAGGAAAACATTGCTCTTCTAGACCTTTAAACTAAACATTTCAGGCCGGACATGGTCACTCATGCCTGTAATCCCAGCATTTTGGGAGGCCAAGGTAGGAGGATTGCTTGAGGTCAGGAGTTCAAGACCAGCCTGGACAACATCTCTACTAAAAAAGCAAAAAAATTAGCTGGGTGTGGTGGTGCACGCCTAGCTACTTGGGAGGCTAAGGCAGGAAGATGGCTGAAGCCTGGCTGCAGTGAGCTATGATCATGCCACACCAGCCTGAGTGATGGAATGAGACCCTGTCTCAAAAACAACAACAACAACAACAACAAACACAGGTGCAGTGCCTCACACCTATAATCCTAGCACTTTGGGAGGCTGATGTGGATTGATGGGTTGGACCCAGGAGTTCGAGACCAGCCTGAGCAACATGACGAAACCCCGTCTCTATGATAAAATAGAAAAATTAGTTGGACGTAGTGTGTGTACCTGTGGTCCCAGCTACTCAGGAGGCTGAGGCAGGAGGATCACCCGAGCCCAGGAGTTCAAGGCCATAATAAACCGTGATCATGCCACTGCACTCCAGCCAAGATGACAGAGTAAGATCCTATCTCAAAAAAAAAAAAAAAAAAAAAAGAGATAAACATTTCAGTGTCAGGCTATTAACAGCAGAGCTAGAACTGGAGGGAAAAAATTAAGAGGAGTTGACAAAAAGGTTGAAAGAGAGAGTTATCACCCTAGCCAAGCAAAAAGATACACTCTTTCAAGGGGAGAGAGAACAGAAGGCAATGGTGTATGACCTGCAAATCATGTGCAGGAGTGGTACAGCAAAAGTTGAACTTCTGATATAAATCTGAGAAGCTTCAGAAAGAAAAATTTTACCTTGAGAAGTGAAATTACCATTCTGAGTGAAAAAGACAGCATTTCCAACCTGGAACTAGGGAAATTAATTAGATCCCAGGAAGAAATAGAAACTGTAGTTTTGCAGATGGCTGTTCAACAGATTTTAGAATTTAAAATCAAAACCTCTTATAGTTTTATTAATACTAAGAGCAAATTAATACTTTAAGAAAACTTCATTGTTCTAACAGAGGACCAAGTTTTTTAGTTTTGTATTAGTGTATTTCTTATAGCAAAGCTCAATCTTTAGAAAGACTTATAAACAATTCTCTTCAATTATAGCCAACTTGACCACACACAAAATCTTTTATGAACCTTATCACAACTTATATTGATGACATGCTTGGACTTTCTGCTCTGTTGTATACCTTCCTCTTTCTTAACCAGTCATTTTACTTTAGGACAAAAATCTACCATACAAGATTCTTTTTTATACAAAATTATTCTCTTTTTCATCTTTTTTTAACCAAAAATATATCCTTGTAACTTTCTTCACATCTCTGTCTCCTACTTACTGATTTGTTTCTTATGCCATATTTTGAAATAAACTTTAAATAACTTCCAAATTACACAAAATTCTTCATTATTTAATCTTGGTTCACATGTCATAAGCAGTGAGTTTTATCTCAACATGAATGGAAAAGTCAGCAGATTCAAAGTGTGAAGAAAAAAAATAGAGAACTTAGACTATATATATTCTATAGTTGCAGGTTTTTGAATGATGATAATTTGAGCTGTAAATTTTTCTTGATGTAATTTTGCCCATCAGTTTAAAAATGTGCACAACAATAGGCTATAAGATGTAGTCAGCTGGAATCCCAGAAAACCTGGCATGTTTTAACATTTGAGAATCCCATTCTGTTTCTTACTACTCTCTCCAGAGGAAAGAAAATTCTGCAAATCCTGTCAGAGAAAGTCAGGAGTTTAGACCTGTGTTTTAGGTGGTGGTGACTGACCTAGTGGTTTGTCTTTTTTTTTTTTTTTCCTTTTGAGGACAGTCTCACTCTGTCGCCCAGGCTGCAGTACAGTGGCACGATCTTGGCTAATTGCAACCTCCGCCTTGCGGGTTCAGGCGATTCTCCTGCCTCAGTCTCCCGAGTAGCCGAGATTACAGGCATGCACCACCACCGCCTGGCTAATTTTTGTATTTCTAGTAGAGACGGGGTTTCACCATTTTGGCTGGCCTGGCCTCTAACTCCCAACCGCAGGTGATCCGCCCACCTCAGTCTCCTAAAGTGCAGGAATTACAGGCGTGAGCCACCGCACCTGGCCCTAGTGGTTTTTTTCTTTCTTTCTTTGTTTTTTTTTTTTTGAGACAGAGTCTCGCTCTGTCGCCCAGGCTGGAGTGCAGTGGCGCAATCTCGGCTCACTGCAAGCTCCGCCTCTGGGTTCACACCATTCTCCTGCCTCAGCCTCTGTAGCCCTAGTGGGGTTTTTTTTTGTTTGTTTTTGTTTTTTTTTTTCCAGGCGGAGTGTCGCTCTGCCGCCCAGGCTGCAGGTGCAGTGGTGCCATCTTGGCTCACTGCAAGCTCTGCCTCCCGGGTTCACACCATTCTCCTGCCTCAGCCTCCCCAGTAGCTGGGACTACAGGCGCCCGCCACCAGGCCCGGCTAATTTTTTGTATTTTTTAGTAGAGATGGGGTTTCACCATGTTAGCCAGGATGGTCTCGATCTCCTGACCTCGTGATCCGCCTGCCTCGGCCTCCCAAAGTGCTGGGATTACAGACGTGAGCCACCGTGCCCGGCCAGCCCTAGTGGTTTTTAATTAGCCATCTTCTGCCCACCATTCAGAATCTTTATTTTTGCTTATGGAAGATTTTCAGAAGAAGCAAGGGAAAAGAGTCAAACCAAATCAAAAACCAAAATAAGAACATTCACAAATATTTTATCCCAGGCATGCAGATCAAACAAAATATTAAACTGAATGCACAGACCAAATCAAAAGTAAATTCACCAGAAGACGTGAACAGAATGTAAATGCTGTAGAAACCAAGAATACCCAATCTAAAAAGACACTTTTCTTTACACCAGAAAGGACTTACCAGGAAAGACAAAAAGTTTATCATCTCAAAAGGGATGTATGGTCCTTTATTAAGGTGACCTTATCCAAACCAGATCCCAAATGATATCAAGAAGCCTCTACCAAAAGGAAGGAGGCTCAGCCTGAAAGAAGATTCACCAGGGCAGAAAAGGCAAGCCGTGGAAGTAGAGTGCTCAGAGCACTCAAGTAAGTACTGCACACTGGTTCCAAGAATCTCTGATTCCTTCAGTTAATGATCTTTTCAGATCCCGCTTCTGACACTTCTGTATTTCAACCTAAATAACAAATGCCCAAAAGTTATTTGGGATTAGAGCATCACAATGGGAATACACATGCCATAGTAAACCATGTGCTTATTCAGGGAGGTAAAGGCAGGCAGGTTTTTAAAGGAAAAAATGAGGATTACATAATTGTTTTGGAAATAATTATCCTTGGCTACAAAGATCATTAACAAGGGTAATGCCAGTTCAAGTTTGCACAGGCAGTTTGCTGGGCAGATGTCCTTGTAGAAGTATTTTTTGTATAAGGTTTAATGGCCTTTGTGCAGGGTTGTGTTTTTTGTAGTCTTTTTTGTTATCAGGCATACAAGCATGAGAACCTTATTTTCATGGCCTTTCCCAGCTCTGTCAGGATTTTCTTCACATTCATGATTTAATTTTGATTTTGACAACTTTCATAGTTATTCCATTAACTTGTAATTGTATGTGAGAAAATACTATAAAGAAGGAATTGGGCTGGTCTGAGTGCAGTGGTCGTTTACATCTAATTGATCACAACCAGTTACAGATTTCTTTGTTCCTTCCCCACTCCCACTGCTTAATTTGCCTAGCTTAAAAACAAAAACAAAGAAAGAAAGAATTGGTTAAGCAAATATTCAGGAATAAAACTTCATGTGTCATCATAAAAGTAACTTTAAAAGCAAACATTTTAAATATACATTTTAACATAAGTTTGAGGGGACTTATCTTTTTCAATCTGACACCGATCTAAATAGTTTTTGCTTCATTTACTTATTTATGAATGAATGAACAAGACAAGGTCTTGTTCTGTCGCCCAGGCTGGAGTGCACTGACACCATCATGGCTCACTGCAGCCTCAAACTCCTGGCCTCAAGCCACCCTCTTGCCTCAGCCTCCTGAGTAACTGGAACTACAGGCATGTGTCACCATGCCTGGTTAATTTTTTTTTTCATTTTGTATTTTTGCCTAGTTAATTAAAAAAAATTTTTTTAAGAGACAGGGTCTTGCTATATTGCCCAGGCTAGTTTTTACATCTTTAAAACTGAATACTTAGCTGGGTGTGGTGGTGCACATGCCTGTAGTCCTAGCTGTTCAAAAGGTTAAGGCAGGAAGATTATTTGAGCCTAGGAGTTCTGGGCTCTAGTGCACTATGCTGACTGGGTGTCCACATTAAGTTCAGCATCAGTGTAGTAAACTCCAAGGAGCTGGGAGCCACCAGGTTACCCAGGGAGGGGTGAACTAGCCCAGGTTAGAAATGGAGCAGGTCAAAACTCCCATGCTGATCAGTAGTGGGATCATACCTGTGAATAGTCTCTGCACTCCAGCGTGGACAACATAGTGAGACCTCATCACTTTAAGAAAAACAAACCCTGAATATTTTAAGTTAGAGATGGAGTTAGAAATACTTTTAGTTATAGCAGAATCATGTCAATTTTTAGTACATCTTTTACTTAGCTTTTTGCACACTTTTTTTTTTTTGAGACGGAGTCTCGCCCTGTCCCCTAGGCTGGAGTGCAGTGGCACAGTCTTGGCTCGCCGCAACCTCCGTCTCCCAGGTTCAAGCAATTCTCCTGCCTCGGCCTCCTGAGTAGCTGGGACTATAGGCACCCACCACCATGCACAGCTAATTTTTGTATTTTTAGTAGAGACAGGGTTTCACTATGTTGGCCAGGCTGGTCTCGACCTCCTGACCTCGTGATCTGCCTGCCTTGGCCTCCCAAAGTGCTGGGATTACAGGCGTGAGCCACCATGCCCAGCCCCTGCACTAATTTTTTAAACAAAGTCCTGTTGGTGCTCCCTTCAAAATTTATCTCCAGTCTGACCATTTTACCACTTCTGCAACAACCCTTCTGACTCAGCCACTGTTCTGTTTGGTTTGGGTTACATAGTGGCATCCTACCTGGTCTTCCTGTTTCCACTCTTATACCACTAGACCATATTCTCCATAAACCACCAGAGTGATCTTTTAAAATAAAAGCATAAATTATGTTCAAAACCCTCCAGTGGCATCCATCTCATGTAAATAACCACTCCTTCCTACAAGATGCCACCTCACCTGCCCCGACTGCCTCATCATAGTTTCCTCTGCACAATGCCCACTTTGCCACAGCTGTGTGCTCCTGCTGGCTCTTGGATGAGCCCACCAGTCACACTTCTGCCTGAGGGCCTTGCACATGCTCTGGTTGCTGCCTGAGATACTTATCCCCATCACTATGATCACCTTCCCAGAGAGGCATTTCCTGGCCTCCCTATTTCCTCACCACCATCATTTCTGTCTGCTGACTCTACTTTGTCTGTTGGTTGATTTTTGCACTAAGCGTACTACCAGAAGCTTTCCTCTCAATTTGCTTTCCCACAGTAAAAGAGCAGGGCCTTTGCCTTGTCCATTAGTTTCTCCTCAGAACAGTGCCTCCCAGGTGTTCAACAAATACTTGCTAAATAAAAGATGGCTGATAGCAAAAATATTTATGTCTATGTATAGGGACTTAGTTTTTATTGACATTGTGCTTTTATTCCCTAGAGACCCTGAAATATGGCGTCTGGCCTGCTTGAAAGTTTGGGGCAGAAGCTGTATTAAACTTGTTCCGTACACGTCCTGGAGAGAGATGTTTTTAGAACGGCCTCGTGTTCGGTTTGATGGTAAGTTGGATTCTGTAGAACTCAGCAGAAATACTGATCTATAATGCTGATTTTTATAAATACGCCGTTTAAATTTTCTGTGATGAATGTGAGTACTGTAAGCATGTTTAAAGGAAACCACAGTAAATATAATGCTGGGAATATCTGAATATTATAATTTTTAACTTTTTAAAATTATTTTCATAGGCGTGTATATCAGTAAAACCACATATATTCGTCAAGGGGAACAGTCTCTTGATGGTTTCTATAGAGCCTGGCACCAAGTGGAATATTACAGGTACAACTGTAGTACACTGAGTGAGTGGAAAATTCTCTCTCTCCATGTATTAGTTAAATGGACATCTGTTCTTTGTTGCTTTTGATTGACCCGCAAAATGGCCCTCAGTATTTTTATCTAGTACTCAATGTAGGAATTGCACTAAAAAAAAAAATAGGCTAATATAAATTACAGAATTTCTTCTGGCCTCTTTTAGATTTCTTCTTGTCTTTTGCCCTGGGTGTATTTACTTGCCTTTTCAAATAGCTTGTGCTTTTATTCCACCTTATTGCTTGCCAAATATTATTGTCATTTAGAAAAAAATAGACATGTTAACCGTTGTGTGTGGCTCTCACTTTGTTTGAAATTGTTGCTTTGGGAAAAACACAGAACTTTAATAAAACAATATTTGACTTTTATTCAGTGAGTAAAACTTAAAAGTTCAACAGTTTCCCCTGAGGAAGATAAAATATCTTTGGTTCTTTGTTGCTGGACTAACAGGTAGTCAGTAATATTTGTTTTAATGTTTTAGCAGTTCTTTAGCCCGTGGTATTTCAGTGTTGGTTTCATAGCTATGAATAGGCATAGGTACTAATAGATAAGGACATATTTTATACTTTGTGTGGGGGGTGTGTTTTGGTCTTCCTTTTCTTATTACATAGGTACATAAGATTCTTTCCTGATGGCCATGTGATGATGTTGACAACCCCTGAAGAGCCTCAGTCCATTGTTCCACGTTTAAGAACTAGGAATACCAGGTAGCATTTGTTTTTTAAATGGCTTTCCATCCAGTCTATGTTTTATATGGTTCCTTGCAGGTTAAAGTAATCCAGTGCTTCTTTCACTTAATACTGGATGATTTTAAAAGCAATCATTCAGGGTCTTAGGAAAAATACCAATTTCTGGGCTTTTCCTTAGAAAATCTACTTCAGCAGGTCTTTGGAGCCTTGGAATTGAGTTTTACTCAATCCTAGCTGATTCTTTTCAAGCAAGAGTAAACACTGTTGTAATTTGTTACTTCTTAGATTACTTAAATCCACTTAATAACTGATTTAGATTCAATTTGTTTTTTTTTTTTAAGGACTGATGCAATTCTACTGGGTCACTATCGCTTGTCACAAGACACAGACAATCAGACCAAAGTATTTGCTGTAATAACTAAGAAAAAAGAAGAAGTGAGTATACGAGGTGTAATTAATAGTTTTCTTATCTTAATAGCCTATTCATCCAAGCAGTCTCGATTAGAACAACAACAAAAAAAACCCTTTCTGATTATTTATACTGTTATATAAAATGTATATTAACTTCTAGCAATCACTGAAGAAAGCTGGAGAGTTTTCTAAAATGTTGTTATTTTTTATTGGATCAGCTTTTTTGTTTTTTACCAGATAGTTTGTTTTTTATATATGAAAATGTAAAGCTGAAATCTCTTGTGAAATAACTAGTAAAATTATACCTGAATATGTTTTTGGCTCTGCTCATGTCGAATCACAGGGGATTTTTTTTCCTAAATTAGCTCATATAGATAATTCTTTCCATAAGGATATTGTTAGAACTTCAGTTTCTACTGGAAATAACCTAACTTCAGATAATTTTCTTCTTCCTGTTCTTAAAAAAGGAAAAAAATGCCAAGCAAATATGATTACTGACATTATTACATTCTAGAGTGCTTTAAATTGTCCTAACAGATTGGTAGCCTAATTTTTTCACCTTTCTCCATATGCACGTTTTCAATCCTGGTTAAAAATTGTTATATGTACCCAAGAAGCCAGTTGTATGGTATTTGGAATAAATATTAATATTTACTTGTTGCCTTTATAATTAATACAGCTTTTGAAGGATATTTCTCTTGTATGAAATTCCCCCTTCTCTAACATCATATGTCCAGACAGGGCAGAGTTTCATCTGCGAGTCCTATCACCTTGTGGCCACCTGTTGCTGGCGTCTCCACTTCCCTCTGATGGGCTCCTGGAGCCTGGGCAGCAGCAGCCTGAGAGACAGAGAGAGTTGCTTTGACTGTGACTGCAGGTTTCCTGAGGTCAAAATTGGGAATTTGGAAGGCCTTAGTTGCTCAGGTTTTATCTAATTAAAAGAGTTTAGGAACTCCCATGTAGAATGTCAATTTTCTCTTCAGAATATGATGAAATATTCATAGTGTTTACATTTTTTTGTTTTTAGCAGCAGTATTTGCAGAAGTGTAATTCTAATGAACCTTGTCACAGCTGTTTGCTCATTTATTTTACTGTTATTGCAAAAGATAAGTTATACTCTGTGCTTTTTCAGCATCCTTCACCAATTTATCACTTTCCCTCTTAAAAAATGTCCAAGTGTTTTCCAGTAGAAGGAAATACTAGGCTTAGAGATAGGAGATAATAATTTTACATCCCATCTATGTAATGTTGGTTACATAGTAGTTTTACCTCCCTGGATCTTCATTTTTTAAGCTAGTAAATAGAAATAATGCAATCATATTTAACACATGAGGTTATTATGATGATTAACTGAGATGATGATGATGGGGAAAAAAATCTGATATTTTTAGAGTATTTAACAGTTTTTAAAGCACTCATACATTCTTGTGATAGTCAAAACGACTCTTTACTGCATGCAAATATTATGTTACTTTTAGTGTCACTGTTGCATACTATTTCTGTAAACATAGAAGTGAGGTAAGGTTTCATTATAACTTATGCATCTTTTCTTTTGCAGAAACCACTTGACTATAAATACAGATATTTTCGTCGTGTCCCTGTACAAGAAGCAGATCAGAGTTTTCATGTGGGGCTACAGCTATGTTCCAGTGGTCACCAGAGGTTCAACAAACTCATCTGGATACATCATTCTTGTCACATTACTTACAAGTAGGTGAATGCAATAAAAATAACAAGGTTACACTATAAATGTATACTTCGTATCCAGCTTAAGAATTTCAGATATGTTTCTAATTTCTCAGAGTTAACACTACATTACAAACTAAAACCAGTACTACTACAAACTACTACAAACCAAGAAAATGGCCCAAACGAAAAAGACTAAGCATGCTTGAGGAAGCAGAGCATCTGGAACACTCATATAGTACCCATTGGAATGTGAATTGGTACCACCACCACTTTGGAAATGAAAGTAGCATTCCATGGGAAGAATGGTACTTAGTCAGCTGTGAGCTGTCCATGTATGACTTAAAGCCATTTTAAAATACCAGATCATTTTTCTTTTCCCACAGTTACCATTTTTTGCTTTATTTCCATTTGTTTTATCCTCAGGGATTATACACTGATTTAATAAAATTGTAGTTAGGAAAGTAAGTCTACTAAAAAAATAAGAGGTATTCCAAAGCCAAATTTGTTAGGTGATTCCTATTTAAAACTCTTTGTTCTATGCAGTAGCATTTACCTGTACATCATAATCAGTGAACTGAAGAGGGGAGGTATGAGAAAGGAGCCATACAGAAATATATAAAACTTAAAAAGGAACCAGGGAAGTGAAATATCAAGTCCTGTGGCAATTAAGGTTAGCTCTTGTTCAATTTGAAAGAATATTGGTACATGACTGAAGGCTCTTCGTTCTGCTTGAATCTAAAATTCCGAGAGAGAAGTTTTGAGGTCAGCTTCCATTGCCTCTTTGCAACCTTAACCACATTGTTGAAAACTGTGTCACATTTCCACTTTACCGATAACTTTTCCCTGCTCATTTGGAAGGTCCTGACAACAGAACGTTTTTCTTTCTCATCTTTGCCTACAAATTCTACTATATCTCCTTTTTGCTTCTCTCTCTAATGCTGTGGGATTTTTTTTTTCTACTTTTCAAAGAAAGAAACCTGAGCAGGTGTGGAGGCTTATGCCTATAATCCCAGGACTTTGGGGGGCCAAGGCAAGAGGATCACTTGAGGCCAAGAGTTTGAGACCAGCCTGGGCAAAACTGGGTGACCCCATCTCTACAAAAAATAAAAATATTTGCCGGGCATGGTGGTATGCATCTTGAAGTCCCAGCTAATTTGGAGGTTGAGGTGGGAATATCATTTGAGCCCAGGAGTTCAAGGCTGCGGTGAGCTATGATCACACCACTGCACTCCAGCCTCGGTGATAGAGCAAGACCTTGTATCAAAAAGAAAAAAAGAAACCAAACCCTGAAGTAGAGCCAAGCAAATGAACAATGGATGGTTATAGTTTATACTTGACCCATTAGAAAAACATTGTTTATTTAGGAGAAAAAAGGACATTACCAGAGGCATTATTTGTAGCTGCTAATTATCACATTGACTTCCTTGTAATATTTATAAAATCACTTGAATTCTCTGCTTTCGTTTGTCTCTCTCAGTGGTAGCATAACTTACCACCTACTTTCCCTCCCCCCTGCCTATAATTATGCTGTTGATCATGCAATTATTAAATAATCAAATTATATTCTAGGAATATAGTTATTTCTGAAACATTTTAAGAAGAACCTAATGTCTATAGCTTCTGACTTAAAAATTCTATCTTAGGAATCTCTGAAGGACATCAAAATCACATAATTTTTAATTGAGAAATAGTAGACACAACCTAAATCTCCAATTAAGTAAACTGTGGTACAAGCAGACAGTGAAATATCATCCTGCCACTAAAAATGGTTTCTGAAAAATAATGATGTGGGAAAATACAAATAATTAAATGAAATAAAAAGAATTACTAAGTTTGATCTCAAGAAACACTAGAAAATATCCTTCATATGGCTCTGAGTGTTGGAATTGTGGTGATGTTTCTGTATACATTTCTAAATTTTTCGAGTTTTCTACAATATGCCTATATTATATAGAATTTCCTAAGATGAATTAAAAATAAAAAAGGCTAAAGCATAGAATAACCTTCCCCAAACACACAAGGATTTTAAATGAATTGAAATTTCCTCATACTAGTAATTTTGTGCTTTTTTTTTACAGATCAACTGGTGAGACTGCAGTCAGTGCTTTTGAGATTGACAAGATGTACACCCCCTTGTTCTTCGCCAGAGTAAGGAGCTACACAGCTTTCTCAGAAAGGCCTCTGTAGAGCCTCAAGTCCAGTCCTCTATCACTTTTGCATGAATTAAAGTATATAGCGCAAAAGAGCACCTAAGTTATAAATGTGTGTGTGTGCGTGTGTGTGTATATATATATATATATATATATATATATATATATATATATATATATATGGAATTGGAACTTATTTTAAATTGTTGGAGTTCTTTTAAGAAGAATATAAATTGATTATTTTTTTTATTTAAAGGGATAGTTGATTCCTGGGGTGTTTTGAAATTAAGTTGGAATTAAGTTGCTTAAGCATATTTATGTTGTGAGAAACCTTAATATGAGGTTTATCATGCCCTTTTTCAAGCAGATTTATGAGCAGATTTCTGTCACATAAGTCGTCTTCTGCTTGAGTATCCTAATATTTCAATGCATCAGGGGAGCGCTCCACTGGATAAGCATTTTATTTCCCGCATGGCATAATGTTTTTGCACTAAAGGCTCAAAGTGTGAGAACCTGTTCTGGATTTGTTTGAAATTATTTCACCAATAAAGATCATAAATAAATGTTTCTTTCAAGAAAATATATTTGGATGGCCTTTTTAAAGTAACAGGATATTTAATAAGAGTCCTAGATAGCCAGCGGAGACTTTAAGAATCATTGCCTCTAGCTGGGTGTGGTGGCATGCACCTGTAGTCCCAGCTATTTGGGAGGCTGATGCAGGAGAATAGCTTAAGCCCAGGAATTTGAGTCTGGGAGTTTGAGTCCAGCATGGGCAACATAACAAGACCCCATCCCTTATTAAAAGAAAAAAAAATAATTCCTCATTTCATCATTGGTCTTTATATGTAGCCACAAACACTGACCTCATGTAGGCACCTTACCAATATATGACATTAAGTGAGAGTGAATCCCTTAGGACTGGAACACTTCAAGCTCAACCAACTGACTCAGTTGTCATTCTTCACAAAAGAATAGTAGAGGATCATGTAAACCTGAGCCTAACTCTTGTTCCAGTATGAAAGTTGGGGGAGAGCACCAGCCACCTAGGAAAACTGTATGTTACCTTTTTACTCAAAGGAGTCCCCCCTGCCCAGTAACAGTCCTATTAGTGTTTAATTTCAGAGTTTGTGTCTGGTAGACCTCTACCTGATTCAGATTTGGTTTTGTTGTTTCAACCATAGTTAGAGACAAATTCTCATGTACTTTCAGAAATCAATATCTGCAGCCACTGTTACTTTTAATTGACATTAAGAGACACTTCATAGGTTCCCACAATTCAGTATGGGATAGGCTTTTTAAAAAGCACATACAGACCAGGCGTGGTGGCTCATGCCTATAATCCCAGCACTTTGGGAGGCTAAGACAGGCAGATCACCTGAGCTCAGGAGTCCAAGACCAGCCTGGGCAACATGGCAAAACACCGTCTCTACAAAAAAAAAAAAAAAAAAAATTAGCCAAGTACAGTGGGGCACACCTATAGTCGCAGCTACTTGGGAGGCTGGGGCAGGAGAATTGCCTGAGCCTGGGAAGTGGAAGTTGCAGTGAGCCAAGATCGTGCCATTCCACTCCAGCCTGAGCAACACAGTGAGACCCTATCTCAAAAAAATAATGATGATAGTACACGTTATGTTAAAGGTGAAATGTGCATACAGAAGGAAGAGAGTTGGCCAGGTGTGGTGACTCACACCTATAATCCCAATACTTTGGGAGGCCAAGGCAGGAGGATTGCTTGAGGTCAGGAGTTTTAGACCAGCCTGGACAACATAGCAAGACCTCATCTCTTCTAAAAATTAAAAAAAAAAAAAATAGGCATGGTGGTACACACCTGTGGTCCCAGCTAGTTGGGAGGCTAAGGCAGGAGGATCACTTAGCCAGGAGGCTGAGGCTACAGTGAGCCAAGATTGCACCACTGTGCTCCAGCCTGGGTGAGAAAGCGAGACCCTGTCTCAAAAAAGAAAAAAAAGAGAGGTTGGCCTTTTGTAGCAATCTGAGAAGTGTGTTTTTCAAGTTGGAAAGGAAGGAGAAAAGCAACTTGCCTAAGATAAGGTAGCTCTTCATGATATGACTGTTATTTCTGATATACAAATAAATAGAACATGATTAGGACATAGTCAAATATAGCTAGAAAAATATATTCCTAAGGAAAGTGAGATTTGAGGAGTCCCTGTTGTTCTGCAACATCCCTAGATTGAATGATCTGTTGCAGATGGTGGATACCAAGTTCAAATTTAAAGATTTCTTTGTAAGCAGTAAAGTGACTTTCACTTATTTAACTTAGAACTGGAAAAAGTAACTTTTTTCCAGATTACATTTTCTGTATATTTGTAAAATGCAAAAGCAATATATATTTGTTGTGAGAAAATTAGAATATACAGATAAAATAAAATTTAAAAAAACACCCAAAGATAACCAGAAGAAAATTTTTGCTATGTAACCTTTTTCTTCTGGTCTTTGCAAATCCTGCCGTAGAAACTTTTTAACTTCAGGAGTGTCCTTCCTTTGCTCTATTAGGACATTACAGAAACCAATACTATGAAAAGCTGACAGCAGTATCTGGATTAACTTTTTAAAAACAATGAAAGCATTTTACAGAAATTACATTTCAGATCGTGCTGGAACTGTGTTCAGAAGATATCCTCAGAGGGAATCTGGCCTGAGCACCATCATGTTTAATTGCCTCCTCCTGTCTTGCATTTTCCTCCCAGCCCCCTTCCTACCCCTTAGCAGAGGGCCAGGTGAGGGTGCTTGGGGCCCATGGGGGCTGGGAGTGTAGACTTCAGTTACACCCCCAGCCCCCAGGGGAAAGCATTAGCCTTGAATCCTCAATCCCAGGCCCTCTACTAACCACTCTCAACCTATGGTATTTATCTTTTGATTATTCTGTGCATCTATAAAAATGGGATTATATTGTACAGAATGCTTTGTAAGCTTTCTCTCCCCACATAAGAATGCCCTGTAAGCATTTTGTTAAATATTTTTAATGACTTTAGAGTCCAACTTTATACTCCTCTTTACGCATTTTGGTTTTCTAATTTAATGGTAGTGTAAACGTTTTTGGAATAAACATTCCTGTGGCTAAATCTTTGCATACTTCTTGTATTATTACTTTAAGATGTTTCTAAGAAGTAGAATGACTGAATCAAAGAGTGAACATTTTAAAATATCTTAAAATATACATTTGGTAAATAATGTATACACTGTAGAAAAACTGGAAAATAGATGAGCAGACAGAATAAAATGTAAATTACCTGTAGTCACCTCATCCATTATTCACTTTTTGATTTTAATCATCCTGGCCTTTCACATGTATGTGTGATTTTTCAGTCATACAGTGAAACACTTCCAGTTCTGTCTCCTTTATCTGATGCTTTCATGCTCTGGATCTTAAAACCTGGCCAGTCATTTCCCCAGTGATGGATGCTGAGTGTCAGCAACAGCTCTAGGTAAGTTGGCAACCATGACATGTATGGGCTAAGGCTTGCAAGGCTTCTCTGGCCACACAGAATCCAATTGCAGTCAGAGCAGAAACAGAAGCCAAGGCGATGCAGTGGGATCCCAGTTTCACAGTGACCATCCATTGGTCACTGTGACCAGTCACGATAGCCTCCACATCCAAAAAGTGATTTCAGTCTTTGGTTATGTATAGTGAACAACACCTGCACATTTATCTCCACTGTCTCCTGAAACTCCACTAAAATAGTAGTAAAGAAATAGGGCTGGGTGTGGTGGCTCATGCCTGTAATCCCAGCACTTTGGGAGGCTGAGACCAGGGGATCACTTGAGTGAGGGCAACATAGGGAGTTTGAGGGTAACATAGGGAGACCACTGTCTTTCAAAAAAAAAAAAAAAAAAAGAAAAGACTTAAGTCCTTCAAGACAGGGAGGACAGGAGAGGTGCTGAAAGCAGACAGGACAGGTTAGAATTTGGAAAATAGAAAGCAGGTGGGCAAGTGGTAAAGTGGCATTAAGCATGGGCTGTGTGTTGAAGTGCTAGATCCACGACTGAGTTCGAGCAAGTTAGTTAACTCTCCATGTCATGATAAATTAGAGGAAATATTATCATAATACCTACCCACAGAGTTGAAAGGAGTAACAGATAACACTCCACGTTAATTGCATAGGACAATGCCTGACTGAGTTGGTGCTCAGTAAATAGCAGCCATTATATGTATTATAACTGTTGCTGTTCCAGAGAGATCTGAGACCTCAGCCAGAAGCAGGGGAAGCTAAAAAGTGCAAATCAACTCAACTGGCCTCCCATGGAAGGTAAGGTACCACATGGAAACAGCAAGACCCTGCGGGAAGTATCCCCAGCCAACTCCCAGAACTCAAGTTGTCAGGCTCACACCATCAGGCAGGAAAGTGGAGGCTTCCCCTCTAGGAAAAGACCCCTTCCCACAAAAAAAAGACCTACGGATACTGACATTTAGGAATCAACAGAATAGGTCCTCTCCCACGCCTCTCAGTCAGCAAGTACCACCTACCCACGTAGTTTCTAGTTAACATCGTAGTGGCTCCTTCTTGGCTATCAATGGACAAGCAAGGAACACCAAGTATTTGAAGACAAAGTCTAAATGAGTGACAGAGAATCAGACTTTTTAAATAAGCAGAGAAAGGGGACATGATGGAAATAAAAAAATGCAGGTAGTAGAAGAAATCTGAAAAACAAAATTCTATTTCTTCAAAGACATGGAAGAAGAAACAAGAACAAAAGGCTATGAGGAAACATTGGAAGTCAGAGCCTTTGAATAATACTTAATGTGATAGTGAAATATGTTTAAATGTCAGATGACACATAGAATGTCAAAGCTGGAAGTTTCCCTAGAAGTCACTTACTGACCAACTATCCCCATGTGGAGGTGAGGAAATGGGGGCTCATGAAGGGTGAAGTTGTTTGCCTCAGGTGGTATAACCAGGACCCTCACAAATTAAAGGCGTGTATTCATGCAGAGGGCCTGGCAGTTGTAAGCACTCAGTAAATTCTAGTCTTAATAATGTTTATTAAGAACTTAGATGTTACTGCATGATCTTACTTATTTGTAAAATCTAAAAAAGTCAAACTGATAGAAGAGAGTAGAGTGGTGGTTACCAGGGGCTGGAGGGAAGGGTGGATGGGGAAAGCAGAGATATTAGTTCAAGGGTATGTAAAGTTTCAGCTAGGAGGAATACATTCTAGTGATCTGTGGCATAACATGGTCACTGTAGTTATTAACAATGCATATGTTTAAATGGCCAAAAGAGCATATTTTAAATGTTCTCACCACAAAGAAAGGATAAGTATATGAGGTGATAGATACGTTAATTAGTCTGATTTGCTCATTTTGCAATGTGTACATGTATCAAAACATCACATTGTACTCCACAAACATGTACCATTATTTGTTAATTTAAAAATGCAGAGAATCAAGAACTTATATGTTCAACCTGGGCAACATAGACCTCATCTCTAGAAAAAATAAAAACAAAATTGGCCAGGCATGGTGGTACGTGCCTGGAGTCCCAGCTATTCAGAAGCCCGAGAAGTGGAGGCTGCAGCGAGCCAAGATCACGCCACTGCACTCTAGCCTGGGTGACAGAGTAAACCCTGTTTTCAAAAGAAAGAAAGAAAGAAATTATATGCAAGTAATAATAAAGTTGTTTAAAAACTTTGAGAGATTATGTGTTAAGTATGGGGCAGAAGGCCTTCTTTTATATGGATTATCTCATTTGTGCTCACAACACACAGGTATTATTGTTCCTATTTTATAAATAAGAAATTTCAGGTTAAGAGAGTTTAAATAAACTTGTCAAGCTCATCCTGGTTACTGAGTAGTGGAGCAAGGCTAACTCCAGAATGCTTTCTCATAGCCAGAGCCAGGAGTAGAGTCCAGTTCTAAAGAAATAACATCAAAACTCCAATATGTTACAATTCCCACTGGAGCTTAGACCAGCGCTGCCCACTAGAAATATAATTTGAACCACATATGTAATTTTTAAGTTTCTAGAGCCATTTTTTTATTAAAAAGGTGAAGTTAATTTTAATAATTTATTTTAATCCAGTACTATCCAAAACAGTATCATTTTGACACGTACTCAATATAAAAATTACTAATGGGATTTTTTTACACTTTAAAAAATTCTAAATCTTTGGAATCTGGAGTGTAATTTACACTTCCAGCACACTTCTACTGGCTTAGCCATGTTCCAAGTGCTCATAGCCACATGTGACCAGTGACTACTGTAATGGACAGCGCAGCCATCAACCAAGGGGTACATCATAAGAAAGAGAGTCAATGGATGGTGTGTGTCAAGTTCAACCTCACAGTTTCTCTCCTTGTGTAATTGGCATAGGGATAGGTAAGCCGAGCAGGGAGCTAATACCCAATTAATTGTTAGGCTCAGTACCTATGTATACTTCTCCTGATTCCACCAGAAGGTGTCCCTTGTCTGTCTCCAAAATATTCCACATTGCCTCTATCCCAGCAGTTATCACATTCCATTTTAATTCTGTTTTTACATGCGAATGCCCTCCATCAAACTGTGGTTGAGGACAGGGTCCATTTCTTTTAAATCTCTGATTCCAAAGCACCTCTCTGTTGTGAACATGAGATAAAAGGATCCCTATAAAGCACTGGACACATTTCATGGGCTCTTGATGCTCTATTGGAAGAAACTAACAAAAGCATCCTTTTGTCACTAGGTGACACTCTTGTCCCAGCCTTTTTGTTTTTGCTCTTATTCTTCATAGTGTTAGGGGGAGCTGATTTTCACATTCACAAGAAAATAGGAACACCCCAGATCTTTCTGACTGACTTTCAAAGCTGCAAGTGACAGGATCTAAGATTTAAGGTGTATATTCAAACAGAAATGCCATTTTTGTGACAGTGCCCTAACTCCTGCCATGCCAACTCTTCAGCAAGTAGCCCAGAAATCTCAGTTTTCTTGGCCATTGTTTTTTTTTTTTTTTTTTTTTTTTAATCTGGCCAGTTTGTCCTGGCTGCATGAGGAAATTGAATATCCTGATTTGGAATGAATAGGAAAGGGATCCTGGGATAGTATCTGAGGTTGGGGTTGTTGAGATCCAGAAGAGGGGCCAACCTGTCCCCATTTGACAAGCAAGTGGCCTGATTTGTGACTCTCTTGAGAGGCCCACAGCCCCTCTTGCTGTGGTCTAATGCTCAGTGCAGAGTTTTTGGGGGATCACTGTTAAATCCACTCAAGGCTTCCATATTTGCACCTTCTTCTTATGAATCCAGTAAATATCTAGCAGCAGAATTGAGATTCAGAAAACTGTGCAAGACTATCCTAAGAATGCTGGCCAATTCTGGACATGGTGTGCATGTGTGTGTATGGTAGATTGAAGAAGGATAGTGTGGAGATTGCATAAGCAGCATAGGCTTCTTTTGCTGAAATGGCTTTTCTGTGCAGACTAACTTTTCCTCAAGTCCTGGAAATACATCCAGCCCAATTTATTGTATTCAGGCCAAAGGAGCAGTAAGTTGAAACCTGCTCTATAAGTAGGGTGATCAAATAGTCAATTTATTGTCAAAATCAGGACACTTTTTAGAGGAAAGAGTAGTGTTTTTTTTGTAATTGCACTGGAACAGCAAGCATAAATCGGGAGGCTCCTGAGCGAACTGGGATGGATGGTCACTATACTCAAGGCATGGCCAGTGCCCTACATTTGGCTTTTTGTCAGATGTAACTCAGAATGAAGGTTATCCATTCTTTTCTGGCTATTTTTCTTCCTCTATAGAAGAGAAGAAAATACCAGCGGTGTTTCCTAGTGTGTGACGAGTAGAGTGACGATTAGACCTCACTAATTTCCATGATTTTACCAGGAAAACCACTTTGCAGAAGGGTCCAATGTATCTGTTGCCCTGCACTGGATTCTGAAGTCCCTCGGAATGCTCACTGACTTCTGCATTTGGCTAACAGAGGCTTTAGTACCAGGAATTCCCAACAGCTTAAAAAAGTGAATCCATATCAGATAACAGTTTCTACTTTTCTCATGATCTGTTCTTTATTCCCATCTGATTTCTTTAATGACTAGCTAATTTCCTCCAGGCCTGGACCTATAATCCCAAATTAATGTGGACAGTTGCAGAGAGATATCTTTCTTTGCCTTATAGTTTGTATGTCTTTGAAGTGTGTAGCTAAAAGCAAAGTCTCCTCTCTTTGCTTGTTCCTTCATCCCCAACAGGGGTGTGTACCTCTGCACTATCTCCTAGAGGAGTGGATGTATTTTGAGCACTGCGATATAAAGAGCCAACTGCATGGTGTGGTGCAAAGACCACAAACTGGGTCAGAAGACATGAGCTCAGTGAACCTAGCACAGATCCTGACCCTAGCAGATACTCAGTAAATGTGAGCTGATTCCCAATCAGATCATTATAGTTAACCATTGCAGTGGAGGGAAGACTTCTGTGGCTTCTACCAACACTGTGTCAGAGGAGTTCTTTGCCTGGGTGCCCCCAATTCAAACCTAGTAGATGCTAGGACCATTCAGAGCAAGTGAGAACTACCAACACTGAGGCCTCTACAGATCTTTCAGCTTTGGATCTTTCAGCTTTGGAGCCTTTAAATCTTAAACATGATTCCTTTAGGTCCCTGGGGACCTGAATAAGAAAGAATCATATTCTACCCAGACATGAACGAGTAAGGCCTTCCTCTAACTCAGAATTTGACAGGAGAAGTAGGGAAGTATCATAAAACAGTGGACAGAATCCGGACTTTGGGGTTAGATAGCCCTGGGTTTTTAGTTGTTTTTGTTTGTTTTTTTTGGAGATGGGGTCTCACCCTGTCGCCCAGGCTGGAATGCAGTGGCGTGGCCTCCTGAGTTGAAGGGATTCTCTTGCCTCAGCTCCTGAGTAGCTGGGACTAGAGGGGCACCATGCCCCGCTAATTTTTTGGTATTTTTAGTAGAGATGCGGTTTCACCATATTGGCCAGGCTGGTCTTGAACTCCTGACCTCAGGTGATCTGCCTGCCTCAGCCTCCCAAAGTGCTGGGATTACAGGCATGAGCCACTATGCCTAGCCAGCCCTGAGTTTGAACACCCACCCTTACCAGCATCTACTTAGTCAAAGTCACTTACCACCTGGAGCCTCATTTGTAAACTGGGGATAATGAAAACTACCTGCAGGGTTGCTATGGCAATAAATACTACAGATGTTAGGTCCCAGCACATAATAGGCTCTCCATATGGAATCTATTATTATCTAAAAGGACAGTAACACTTAGGGTCAGTTGAGAAAATAGCTCTGTACTAAGAAGGGACCAATGACTGGGAGATGCCAGAAAGCAGACTCTAAAATCATAAATCTCAAAACAACAACCCTAAGACTGTACTTGTGAGCCATTTCAACTATGTAGTTTATAGGAGCAATCCCTTTACACTACAGCAAGTTAAGCTTCAACTTAAATCAATGGCTGGGCTTGATCCATTGGTAGTGGTTGTCTGAAGTGCTGGTTAAGAAATATTCTGCTGCTGAGTCAACTCAGTAGGGATGCGTGCCATGGCTGACTGATCAGCGATGCCTGCTCTGGGCACAGGATTGGGAAGCAGAGGCAAGTATGCCAAATAGTTACCCTGTGTTCCTCACCCACCAGCGGATGAGACTGCCCTTAATACAGGAAAGAATTTGCAAGTCTAGAGTAGCACTCAGGCTTTGGGTAGCTTAGGGGAAATAAATGAAAGGTAGTGATGCGCCAAAGACTGATGCAAATAGGAAGGTTTGGGAGATTGTGGGAAATCTTGATAGTATGTAGGCAAATTTCAATGATTTCCTAACCCTACCCAGGAGCAGCCCCACAACAGTAGTCAAAAGGGCCTGAGCAATTGCCTCTAAGAGCCAAGAGAAAATTCTGAATATTGGGAAACCCTAAGTCAGTCCACAGAGCCTGAGTTAAAGTGCAGGAGGAGATGGGAAGCACAACAGAGTATAAGGTAAAATTAAAGCAAATGCCCAACCTTGTCTTTGGAAACATTCGATTAAGAAGCAGTAGCTTGGGCCGGGCGCGATGGCTCACACCTATAATCCCAGCACTTTAGGCCGAGGCTGGTGGATCACCTGAGGTCAAGAGTTAGAAACCAGCCTGGCCAACATGGTGAAATCCCGTCTCTACTAAAAAATAAAAAAATTAGCTGGGTGTGGTGGCGCATACCTGTAATCCCAGCAACTTGGGAGGCTGACGCAGGAGAATCGCTTGAACCTGGGAGGCAGAGGTTGCAGTGAGCCAAGATCATGTCATTGCACTCCAACCTGGGCAACAAGAGCGAAACTCCATCTCAAAAAAACAAACAAACAAACAGAAAAACACTAGCTTGGAAACAGCCAAAATGGTCGAGAGCAAGAAAGCCTTAAATGTCCCACAAAGTAATGCTCCTTCCAAAAATCTAATGGCCTTCCTGTAATTGCTGAATGACGTCTCAATACATCTGTTTTGAGAGCTCTAATCTTGAGCAGAATTGAGTAAGAAAAAGTACAGCCTGTTTCTTTCTTAATGATAGAGTAGAAAAGATGACCTTTATAGAGGTCATGGAGATTATAAATAGCAAATTCCTATTCCTAGCCCTGCGTGCCCCCTGCCCCAACTCAACAAGAAATAGCAGCATTTGAAGCAGACCTTCTGAGTTAGGAAAAATAATCCTGAAGAACTTGAAGAGTCAGGAGAAAAGTAAAGATCAAGAGCCTTAACTTTAAGAAAGAACAAGTTTTGGAACAGGCTCTTCTTCTCCTACCAAGACTGTCATTAAGCAGGTTTCTCTTGACGTGAGAACAGCTGCTCATGTGGCCACTTTGTTGCTTGTACCCTGAGGGCCAGCTGCATGAAGGGGCATGGTACAGCTCTCCCCCTAATCTTTTTAAGTTTTTTTTTTTTTTTGTAAATCTTTTTAATTTTGGTACCATTCCTACTGAAGTCTTTCTGAGACAGCCAATATTCTTTTGTCTTTTCTTCCTACATTTTCCAATGGCACAGCAGACTGGGAAGCACCTGTGAGTTTTTCACATTTTTTGGCAAACATTAATATATCAATTCTGGCAAATGCAGAGAGGCATTAAAAGAAATTTGGAATTGCCCATAAACTTACCATCAGAGATAACCACTGTTTACTTTCACTAGCTTAGTATATATCATTGACTAATGGGTGCCCCGGTCATCCTTCTCCATACGTGCTGTGGGACATTGGTATGTTAGGAAGGGGTTCTTAGTGTCTCCTTGCCACTTTCTCACCAGGAGCAGTACTGGCAGGGTTTAGGATGGGGGAGGCAGAGGAAGGGGACAAAAACGGTGATCACTACAATGCTGAGAAGTGGGGGAATGGAAAGTATTTGTGAGCATGGTGTAAATTTAATGCATTATGCTTATAGATGTGGCAACACTAATGGTTGAATGGGGGAATAATTTGGTGACAGTCTTCTCTGATGCATTCTGGCAGGTGGAGAAGTATTTCACTGTTTGAGAAACATTGTTTTTCACGGTTTAAGAAACATCTTTCAAAGCCTAATTTCTTTACTCCTCAGGTGTCAAGACCTTTGTTTACACCAGATCAATTGTGCAAAGTTCCCTGCAACCTAGAAATGAAGCAATTATTTCAAATCTATTTATGGGACACAGAGGACACACAGTGAGATTTTGCTGATAGTGCCTTTAAATCTGAACCTTGGGTCCCACCCCTCTGCCAGGCCACGTTTGTCTAGGTAGGCAGTGACTGCCCAATTTACCTGGATTGGTAGGGGTGATGGGGGAATACAGAGGAAGAAAGACTCATTAGATGCTGTTCTAAGATTAGCTCTAGTTCCTGATCATTGGAACAGTCTTTGGAATTCTCTGCTCAGTCCTGGGAAGATGTTGTCAAGGGGATAATTGTCAGAATGGTGCAAACACTGCAGGAGAAACAGTAGATACACTCACCAAAAAGATAAGGAGGTGTTTTCTGGAAAGATGGCCCCTTTGCAATTAGTGACTATTCAAAATTAAAACTACCTCCTTTCAGTTACCCAAGTAACTGCCATTCATAAATGCCTGAGTTGTGGTTGCATTTACCCGTGTGCAGAGAAACTGACCACAAGACTTTCAGGACTCAGAGGACTGAATTGAGGGGTGGCTGCCTCTCAATGAGGAGTCAGAGGAGCAGGGTGTCTTCCTCAGGACTCACCAGGAACAATAGGACCCATGTGATGAGATTGGGCCCACCTGGACAATCCGGGCTAGCCTTCCCATCTGAAGGTCCTCAATGTAATCACATCTATAAAGTCTCTTCTGCCACGTAAGGTTTTGTCACAGGTTCTAGTGGTTAGGATGTGGACATCTTTGAGGGACCATCATTCTGCCTACCATAGCCATGACTTCCTGGGTATAGCAACACTGCTCAAACTCTATGCCTCCACTTCTAGGGATCTGGACACAGGTCATGAGCTCAGAGTTTTTAGAAGATGGTGTCACTAGGGTAGGTATTAATATTAACCTCAGCACAATACCAGCAGTTTGGCACCCATGATTATCCCAGCAAGCTTCAGACATCTAGTCTTCCTTCAGGCATCTGTAGACATTTGCATTTTGGCACTTCCATCAGCTCCCAAACCCTTTCCTCTGGCTGGCTCAGAAATACCTAGCGCCATGCTTGACCCTCTGGTAGGGAGGTCTAAAGAAAGGTCCACCCCCATTTTATCCCTTCCCCTCACTTTCCACCACAGATAACAACCCAGATGGATGCAGCTGGTGTGTCTTCCTGTTGACAAACACCATGGGGAGTGAGTTGTGCCAATTCTCTTGCCACATCCACGTTATGTCTCCCCTGACTCCTCTGTAACTCCCTCCCTCCAATTCTCTCCTCATGACAAAAAACCTGGGACTGCAGACTGGCTTATGAAAAATGTGGATAACAATGTGCAAACAGATGGGTGTGGTGGTTTATGCCTGTAATCCCAGCACTCTGGGAGGCCAAGGTGGGCAGATCACTGGAGCCTAGGAGTTTGAAACCAGCCTGGGCAACATAGCGAAACACTGTCTGTACAAAAAATACAAAAATTAGCTGGCCACAGTGATGCCCACCTATAGTCCCAGCTACTCAGGAGGCCAAGGTGAGAAGATTGCTTCAGCCCAGGAGGTTGAAGTGGCAGTGAGTGGTGATCACACCATTACACTCCAGCCCGAGTGACAGAGCAAGACTCTGTCTCAAAAATAAAATAAATAATGTGCAAACACTCACACAGCATTTTCTATGTGCTAAGTGCATTATTCACATTAACTCATTGAATCATTGCAGCATCCCTGTAAAGTGGGTGTTATCACCTTTTCTTAAAAGTGAGGAAACTAAGGCACAGAGATATTTAGTAACTTACCCAATGAGTGGTTATGATGGGATTCACATCTAGGTAGGCTGGCTCCAGAGCCTACACTCTGTCCCCAATGCTAGCGTGCCTCTAGACAAATATAGATCCAATGATAATATTCAGACCATCACTGGGAGGTGAAGTGCTTTCTCCTACCTTCCTAGATGTATTTGCAGTTTTAAAAAGCACAGAGAGTGATGCTATGTGTCACACGAGTACACCCTGCCCAAGGGAGATGGATTCAGACTGGGAGCCCATGGGTAAAGGTTTGTTCTGGTTCTGCCATTTTGCTGGCTGAATGATTGTAGACAAATAATAGATCATCTCTGAGTCTCAATTTCTTTATCTGCAGAACGAGGATGACAGTCACAATACCAAGCTCACAAGGTTCTGGTGGGGAATGACATTCCTGATCTCATTGGATAAAAGTGTTAAAGTATTATTCACTACCTAGAGCTAAGGTCATTTGTTTTCTTTTTGTTGAGACAGAGTCTCACTCTGTCACCTAGTCTGGAGTGCAGTGGTGTGATCACATCTCACTGCAGCCTTGACCTAGCTAAGGTAGTATTCTTATTAGAGCATGGGATTCAAGCTTGTTGAGCATGAATCTGAGACAGAGAGCTTGTTGGCCCTCCAAGCACAGCACTGGGCAGCCTCTGTTCCTTCTGCATATAAGGCCACCTCTTTATTTTCATTCACTGCCACTGACTGGGTCAGGACCTCACCACCTCTAGCTTGAACCTATAAAACAGTTTCCTATCAGATATTCTTCCTGTACTCTCGCCCCTTCCCAATCAAAACGCTGGCATCAGGTTAGTCTGAGGCACAACCTTCCTCTGTTATCCACAAGTTGTGACCTTCTAAACTTTCTACAGCCTGCTGTCTCTGGCAAGGGTGATGAACTCAAACACCTGTGAAGGTCCAGAGGACACCACAAGTGAGTGAGGTGGACCAGGTGTGCAGGCAGTGGCAAGCCAGACCCTGTGTCTCTTGCCTGAAAGGGAAGCGGCTACTCAGCTTCCGTTCGAAGATTCTCTATAAGGCCTGACCTTCCTATTTTTAAAGAGAAGCTGGAAATCCATGTTGTTTGTGAAATGTTGTATGCTTAACCAAACTCAAGTTTAAAAGGAAAAAAATAAAAACACGATACAGGTCAAACAAAAGCCATCTGCAGGATGAGTGGAATCGGCCAATTTTTGACCCTTGGTATGCAGGTTAAAGCCCAAATAATAAACTTTGCATTCTAGGTCTGTACAGGTTTGACACTAACCTACCTTTCCAGCTCGCCTCCTGCTCCTCCTCCAGGTCTGCTCCTAGCCAAGAATAGTTCTGGTTCCCAGGACACCCAAAGCCCCTCCCTACCCCTGCCCCTTTGCTCTGCTGGCATCTGGAATGCTCTTTCTCTCACCTTCCCCACCCTCCAGCTCCTCCTGGAAGTTCTACTATTCCTCCTGGAGGCTTTCCACAGTTTAACTCCAGCCAATGAATGATTAAATAATTACACACAATCTACTCCCCCTGGGCCTCCAGGGCACTCTCAAAGAGCTCTGTTTCACCTGTGTTTACTTTCTACCACATCCTGGCCAGTGCCACACCTCAGAAGGCTTCAGAGAAAAATTGTGACTAACTGACTTGTGTCACTTCTCTCCTACTAAATCATAAGCAAGTTGTCTGCAGAGCCCCCCACTGCCAGCTCCTTGCCCCAGCTCCTCCCACCACCACCATGACCCAGGACAGCGCCTTATAGGTCCCAGATGACTGTCAAGGCTTCTTGAAAGCTTTGGCTCTAAGGGATTAAACTGGAAGACTGCAGCTGATTAACTCACTAGGTTTAAATTAAGTTCTTGGGCTTGCTGCAAGCAGAGCAAAACTCTCCCGTCTCTCTGCAGCCCCTTCTCAGGCCTCTGCTCTCTTTGTGGGCATGGCCAGTGTCTCTTAGCTGCATCCTGGGTCACTCAAGGTCTCAGGGTAGGAGAGCTGGATGTACAAATCACACCCTCATCCTCCTGGGGGAGTGGATCCAGGTGCTGGTGGAGGGATGCCAGCATCACCTGGAAGCAGAAAGTTATGCCCTGAGGGAGCTGTCCCTTGTTTGACTAATCCAAATTAATACCACTATTATTGTCTTACAGTGTTAGGGCCATGAGAGGCCATATAGCCATTTAGACTGAAGGAGGAAACCGAGACCCAGAGAAGCATGATTTGCCCAAAGACAGGGTAAGGGTGAACTCTAGATAGGATCCAGGACATCTAACTCCAACTCTGGAGACTTTTTTCCACTAAGCCAAAGATTTGCTGCTATCATTTGAAGTGTTCTGATAAAAACACAAGTGAGATATCTCAAGACTACATTTTTCAGACACTCCATCTCACAGCTGTGCAAAAATGGGCTGCCGATTTGTTTTTGTCCTTTCTGCTTCTGTGAATGTGGCATTTGGAGTGTGACATTTGCTGCTCCAGCCACTTCTGATCTCAGTGTAATTTCCTTAGCTTAGGAAGATGCGTGGTATGTGTCTGTGTGCTTGTCCCTACATTTCAAACTCCCTGGAGAACATGTGTCGCAGAAGTAGACAAAATGAGAAAATAATCACTGGTAGTTTGCTGCAATGTCTCTTGGTCTGTTCTCTTTCTCAACCTTCCTAAGTTTGTAGTTGGGACAGACTTCTGCAACAAAGGACAGATTAACAAGAGAACAGTCCAGCTTATCAACACGTACAGGACACATCGCGTGGGAGAAACCTCAGTGAAGAGTTAACTCAAGGCAGTGTTTACGAGTCTGCCATATATAGTATGTCTAATAAAGAACAATAAATTTCAGAGAAGTGACAAGACAAAGGAAAGTAGTCCTGGACTTCCAAAAATGGGAAGCTATGGGAAGGTAAATATATGGGCAAACACTAATGGAGTAAAGTCTGCTCACAGGTCCCTCTGGCACCATCTCTGAGCTGATCAAGGGTTGTCTCCAGTAATGAAGAATGTACATCTTATCTTTAGGTAAGAAAAGAGACAGGGAGGATAAAAAACCTTTTGTCTCTGTAAATCTCTGTCCTGCTTTTAGGCAAGCAAAGGGAAGACACAGAGCTCCCCTGCATCTTAATTATCTTCAGCTCAACAATCCTCTTATTTTGAGGAGGCATATTCTGGTCTCCCACAGTTGCCATATTTCCCTGGGAACATTCAAACGAGGAATAGCTGCCATGAAAGTCAAGAAAAGACATTTTGGGAGCCTCTCCAAACCTATTCTGGGTCAGAGGCTGCCTGGTTTAAGAAAAAAGGGAGAGAGAAAAAAGGAAAAGATAGTTTACACTTACACTACTTTTTCAAAATAAGAGATTATTCTGTTTATTCTCATGCCCATGATGGGAATCTCTGCTGAAGAGTAAGTCAATGGAGGAAGGCATCTATTGAAGCGCTAAGACAAGATCATTACCTTCATTTTACAGATAAGGAAACTGAGGCTCAGGGCAACTCAAACTAAGCACCTACTATGTGCAGGTTGTGTTTTAAGGACTCTATATTTATTTACCCAGTTAAGATTTACAGTAACACTATGAGGCTAGTGCTAGTATCATCACTCCCATTGTACAAGTGATAAACTGTGGTTCAGAAAGAACTAATATTCCCAGGAGCATTTAGTTCATAGCTTGACAAAGCCAGGATTTGGACCCAGGTGGTTGTACTCAAAGCTGATGTTCAAAATCATTCATCTGTTAATTTTTAGTCAAATGAATGGGCCAGGCACTGTGCTAGGTTCTGCAGATACAAAAGTGAGTGAAATAGACACAGTTCCTGCCTTCAAAGTGCCTCCAGCCTAGCAGGAAAGAGACTGTCAATAAATTATATAAAACTGAAAGGGATCAGAGTGTATTGCCTTAGTAAAAGGATTGTTTTGAGCTGAAGGCAACTGGGAAAGAGCAGACTGCAGAAAGGCTCTCTACTTTTCCCTATTTGCTTAAAAGCAGGGCATATATTTTTCTTTGTGAAGGTGTTCCCCTTCCCTCTCTCATACCAGGAAAGGCAGAATAACTCTTAGTCACCAGAGATAACTCTAGACTCTTTTCATCCCAAAGATGACCCCAAAAGGAATCTATAACACAAACCCTACTAAAATAACACTTACCTTCCATTAGCTTCCCCATATATTTACCTTCTCACAACTTCCTGCCTCTAGAAGCTCAACTGCCTTTTCATTTGTCTTGTTAGTTCTCCAGAAATTCATCGCCCTTTGTTAAAATGGTATATACACCTCCAACTCTGACTATGTCTTTGGGATTTTCATTTCATTTCTCTGAGGTACCTTACATGCCCATGAAATAAACTTTTTTCTCCTGTAATTATGGCTTTTGTCAATTTAATTTCCAGGGCCACAGCTGCAGAATTGAAAAGCATAGAGAAAAAAGTTTTTTCCCTCCCCTACAAAATCTCCTGGCACTTAATCCTATGCCCTTTCTAGTTCATGATGTTGATATCACACTCCTGAGTCAGCAGTGAATGACATTTCCGAGATTGTTTGTTCCATCCTCAATCCTCATGTGCTCCTTTTACCCAAACCTGACCTTCTCACCACTCTGTCTGCCTTCCTAAATGGGCTTTATTTTGTGAGGTGAGGCTTGAGATCTCAGTCTTCATGGCCAGCATTTTGTAGGTTTCTTGGCAGCATCTTTCAGAGTCAGTAGCCCAAAGCAAGCTGTGGCCCACATCTCATCAACATTGTGATGATGTGGCCCAGCCAAGGGAAACCAGAAGCCAGAGAGAGAGAGACAGGTTCAAATTGTGTTTTGTTTACAATTTCTTAGTGACACAAACAATGCCAAGCTTTGATGGTTTCTAAGAAATGGCAAGCATTTCTATGAAAGCTATCATTTAAAGTCAGCCGTTGACCTCTGCTCATGCAAAGCATGTTTCCACATCTAGGCCCAGATTTCTTTACCTCAGCCCAGAGTGCCATGTCTCTATCCTAAGCCCTGGCGCCTTCTGCTACTACAGAAGCAATAAAATCCAGCCAGAGATACCACAACTCTAGTAGATTAAACAGGCAGAGGGAGACAGAGTGACAACTGATATGCAAATGTATGTGTTTATTGGAACCTTGGGGATACCACGGAATGTAAAGAATTCTTATTTCCAAGTATTACAGAGGGGGCTTTGCTGGGCCCTAATGGTGGGACCTAGGTAAGTGTCACTGGATGTTGTGAGCACATACCTGGCCACAGTGTCTGAGTCCCTAAGCACTGTGTGACAGGTGTAACCCAGGTGTGCCTCAGGCTTACCTGCTTGAATGTCAGTTACAGTTAGTCACTTGGTAGTTACCCTGAAGTCTACTCCACCTGCTATGTAGCAGTCCATCTTTTTTCGGCTTCTTGAGCCAGGGAGCCCTGCAGTTGGTCAGGAGCTCTACAAGAGTGAAATCAAATCCTTCCATGGCTAGGATAAAGGTGTGTACAAATATGAATGAGGGACTTGAGAAGGGTGGGGGAGGATTGCAGGAAGTGAGGCTATAAGGAGGAAGAGTGGGGATCCTAGGGGGAAAACTCCATGACTGCTAAGGAGTATGGTGGAAAGGCCAGACTCAGCACCGAGACCCAGATCCTCAAAGAAACTCTGAGGGCAGCACACCCCAGACACCACTCTTGCCACAGACTTGGGTCTTCCGGCCCAAGCATCTCTGCAGTGGGACTCCCCTGGGAACAGTTGTGTGTGAAAAGGAGAGGGTCTGCCCCTATTCTAGGAGAGATTGCTGAGTACTGGTGACTAGGAGCAGGTGGTGAGGTAGCCAAGTGCTGATGCTTTACACCCTAATGGTGTCAGAGCAATTGTTGGAGGTATGCACTTCTCCTTTACGCATGAGCAATTCCTCCCCCTTCCAAAGGTTTTGGACATCATTGAGCTTTGAGGGAACGTCAGCTTTGAACACAACTACCTGGGTCCAAATCCTGGCTTTGTCAAACTGTGAACTAAATGCTCCTGGGAATATTAGTTCTTTCTGAGCCACAGTTTATCACTTGTACAATGGGAGTGATGATACTAGCACTAGCCTCATAGTGTTACTGTAAATCTTAACTGGGTTAATGAATATACAGTCCTTAAAACAGAACCTGGCATGTAGTAGATGCTTAGTAAATGTGAACCACTAGCTAGAAAATAAGCAGGGCCAGTGTGATGGAGTGCCCATAAAGCACCCCCCGGTCCTAGCATATCTCAGCATCCTGCTAAGGTAGACTTTCCATCCAAGTCCCTCCAGGCCCAAATTGTTGTCCCACAAGGGCCCCTACTAGGATACAGTCATTAAATCTTTCAAGGGTAACTCGTTCTGACCTTTAGCAGAAAACTGAACAGAGAGGATAGTTTTCACAGAAGTGGAGGGTAGTTCTCACACAACCCTGTGGGGAAGGTTCCGGGGTCCTAAGGAAAGGACACACCTAGATTGGCTCCAAGAGAACACAGATGGGGACTGTGCTTGTGAAAAGAATTTTTTTATTTTTTATTTTTTGAGACGGAGTCTTGCTCTGTCACTCAGGGTGGAGTGCAGTGGCGTGATCTTGGCTCACTGAAACCTCTGCCTCCTGGGCTCAAGAGATTCTACTACCTCAGCCTCCCCAGTAGCTGGGATTGCAGCCGCATGCCACCATGCCTGGCTATTTTTTTTTTTTTATTTTAGTAGAGATGGGGTTTCGCCATGCTGGCCAGGCTGGTCTCGAGCTCCTGGCCTCAAGCGATCTTCCTTCCTCAGCCTCCCAAAGTTGTGGGGTTACAGGTGTGAGCCACTGTGACCAGCCATGAAAAGAATTTTGAAAGAAGATAGGAGGCCAGTGGTTGTACCAGTGAATACCCTCACCATCAATGTATATTAGAGTACCTGGCCACCAGGCTGTATGGTCAAAATCTTGGATTGTTGCTAATCTGGGAGGTGAAAAAAGAATCTTAATGTAGTTTTCCCTTGCATTTCTGTGATTATAAGGTTGAATATCCTGAAAAGAGTTCAAAAGGGATACTGAAGTAGGATATCAAAAATAAACTTACGTGATTCACACGAATGTATTCCAGGCTAGCCCTTTATATATATATATATATATGTTTTATATGCTCTCATGTATATATATATATATATATATATATATATATATATATATATATATGCTCTATTGTGTATATATATATGTATATGCTCTTATGTGTGTGTATATATATATATATATATATATATGTATGCTCTATTGCCCAGATACTGGTCTATTGCCCAGGCTAAAGTGCAGTCACACAATCATAGCTCGCTGCAGCCTCAGACTGTTGAACTCAAGCCATTCTTCACCTAGTGTGCCACCACACCAGGCTACTTTTTGATTTTTTGTAGAGAAAGTGTCCTCCTATGTTGCCTGGGCTGGTCTCTAACTGCTGTCCTCAGGCAATTCTCCTGCCTGACCTCCCAAAGTGCTGAAATTACAGGTGTGAGCCACTGTGCCTGGCCTCTAGGCTAGCCTTGAGCACAATTACTTGCAGCAGCAAATACCCCTGCCATTTCCTCTTCAAGCAAAGACTGCCTTGAAAAATTTTCCCAAAATTGAAAAGAAAGGTGTCTGGGTACCCCATCCGCCCACTCAAACACACATACACGAGGCAGTATTGCCTGGTTTGAAGGCTCGTACTCTTCACTAACCATTACTCATACTATCTCTTAGGCATCCTTGTAAGTTACCTCCTTGTATCTCACAGCTCAGTTTCCTTGTTTGTTAAGTGAGGAAAACAACATGTTCTTCGTCATCATTGTAAGGATTAAATAACTATATAAAGCATTTGGCACAATGTCTGCCACACTCCACACTCTCAATAAAAAAGTATTAGAATATTTAACCTCCTGTCCCAACTGCCATAAAAAACGTTCAGCATCTCAAAACGGAGTTTCAAAAGCTCGGGGACTTGAGTTCCCCAAATGAATGTTCTCCATCTCTCTTATGTTCAGAGCGAATACCAATGGGTCCAAACAGCCTGGAAAAAAACAATCCTGGTCTATCGAGGGCATGTGAAGATTCTGGACTGACAGGGAACTAGATACAAGTGATTTACTATCCTCAGAGAAGAGGATAGCAATTCTGTTTTTGTAGTACTCACAAAGAGAAAAATGCTGGCATGAAGTCCCACAAAGGGAAGGTGAAGAAACAAGAACACTCAGGCTTTTAAATCTTACCCTCCATCAGCTCCCAAAATCTTATGTCTTTAGATTACAATCCAAATATCATTTTATTTTAAACCAAAAGGAACACAGGTGCTCTGTGACAAATCAAAAATCCCAAGGCTTAGCAGGAAATGTTTAGATTCCAAAATCACTTTTTCCTGGCAAGGCAAAAAATAGCTAGGAAAAGAACTCTATGGGGATGTGTCTTCTCTCCTGGTCAGAAAAAACTGTTGTGGAAGTGGCTTCTATGTAAATATTTGCAGAATGAGCAAATAAACCACTAAAATCACCCAGGGCCTGCCACATTCTGTCTTCCCAGGACAATGCTCTAAATTTAAGGGTGGGACTCTAGTCAGAATCTGAACTTTATTCTTTCTGTTTTGAACATCAGAATTAAAGTTTAGAAGTTGGTTCTGCTTTTAAAATTTGTCCCATTTTTTTTCCCCTTCATCGTGACATTAAATTGTTTAGTTTCCACTGTTTCTCCCCCAGTCCTCCCCTCTCCCTACTTTTGAAGGTCTCTCTCTCTCTCTCACTCATCCCAGGAGGTTGGAAGGACCCATTTGGCCACAAAGACAGCATTTCCACCTACCAACCCAGCCCAGATGTCTAAGTCCAGCTTAGCTGTGACCCCTCCTTGTGGACTCCATGGCAGAGACAGGTGGACAAAAGCAATGACTGTTAAGGTGCCATCTGGGGTCAAGGCCACATACAGTCTGGCAGCACCTCAGCCAATTGCCTTCACCCCTATCCTACTCCATTGACAAGGCCAGGAATATCTTCTCCCTTGCCTGTCTGAGCTTAGTCCTCTTCATTTACACATTTCCTAATTAAATAGTACCCACAAGTGAACAGGAAAGCACTCCCCTAAATGGAGGGCCATTAGTGTCCTTGGGATCAGCTAATATGTCAGTAGTTGTTTGTAGAAAAATACTGAATAGTAGCACAGCTGTTACTATTTATATGTAAACACAAACGGTGGCTGGCCGTGGTGACTCATGCCTGTAATCCCAGTGCTTTGGGAGGCTGAGGCGGGAGCCTCCCTTGAGCCCAGGAGTTTGAGACCAGCATGAGCAACACGGGAGACCCCTGTTTCTACCAAAACAAAACAAAACAACCTCCACAAATATTACTAATCATATGCAACTAACAACATAAGCTATTAAAAATATGTGTGACCAGTTTACATTAAGATAAGTCCATCTAGTGATTTTTATTTCATTTTTGGATCAAAATCATTTGTACGTGGTAAAAAAATACGATAGTACACACAGAGTTTATGCTAAAAATTATTGCCCCTCCCCCAATGCTCCCCAAGACATGGCAAATTTAAACCTTTTCTGACTTTGGTTTTTCTGAGGTAACCCTGATCATTCTAAATCACATGCTTATTCCTCAGTTTCTTAATGTATCAAATCTGGATCTCTATTGATTGCCCAGGATGAAAAATGGGGTTTACCTCACTTGTGTTTTTGCTCCTTTCCCTGTCTCTACCTTCTTCTTCTTGACGTTTTGCAGTCATATGCTGTTGTATGATTATTCTCCATGCCTCTACTAGACATCTTTGCAACTTAAAGAAACATTAAATCACTGTTTATTATTCCATCCTTAGCCAGTGTCTCTGGATACCCTCCCACACAAAAATGTGTTGACCCTACCCAAATCTTCTTCCACTTTTTTTCTCTTTTGCCTCTGTCAACTACATCTTTACCACAGTGACATTCTGTGCTGGAACTATTATGGGGTCTTTTGTATTTTATCTGCAGTTAATTAAAAAGTTGGAACCCAATAATTATGTCTACACAAGTGGCTTAGGACACAGCTACATAGCAGCAAGGGCCATCTTTTCTTATCTGTGGCTTTAAAGTTTCCAGCATCAAGATCAAATGTCAGACAGCCTTCACTTCAGAGTGCCTTTAGACCTTCACCTCCAAAATGCAACAATACAAAATACTTTATTCTCGGGAACAAGTACCCAAGTTGAAGCCTCAGTTCCCCTAGAATAGTTAATTCAATTTCTCTTGAGGCAAGTCTTACTTTTAGTATTTTTATTATTTTTTAACTGTTTGTATTCCCTGGGATGCATGTTTGGGTGAAGTCCTAACTGGTAGCAGTTGATCTGCAGAAAGACTTTCAAGTATTGGTCCTGTTTCCGGTGCCCATCTCTCCTCATTCCTACCCTTCAGCTCAGTGACATCAGCCCGCAGCCTTTCCAGGGTCCTGCCTTTCCATTTCACTTCTCTGGGGCTCCTCATTGTACATCAATATACACTTCATCCACTTCCCATCTCCCAGAAATTTGTCGACGTTTCTGATGCACTCATTATCCCCCTTATGTTCTCTTGGCTCATTTTTTTATACTTCATTACTGACATTTAAGATCTCCAGCAAAGGCATACATTTGGTCTGCCACCTTAAGCTAAATAATAAATGACTTTTTATACTAAATAGGCAGTGAAACAAGTCCCTACTTTGGATATTTTATTCATACTACGTTTTTATTAAGATCAGAATAATAGTCCCAACAGTGGTTTGTTGTTGTTGTTGTTGTTTGAGATGGAGTCTCGCTCTGTCACCCAGGCTTGCTGGAGTGCAGTGGCACAATCTCACCTCACTGCAACCTCCACCTCCTGGGTTCAAGTGATTCTCCTTCCCAGCCTCCCAAGTAGCTGAGACTACAGGTGCACACCACTACTCCCAGCTAATTTTTGTATTTTTAGTAGAGACGGGGTTTCTCCATGTTGGCCAGGTTGGTCTCGAACTCCTGACCTCAAGTGATCCACCCGCCTTGGCCTCCCAAAGTGCTGGGATCACAGGTGTGAGCCACTGTGCCCAGCCCAACTTTTGATTGGCCTTTGATACTTCTTTACATTTGGGCCATTCTGAGGCAGTTATGCACACTGAGCATCTCTAGGAGCCTGGCATTGAGCCAGGTGCTAAACAGGAAATGATTTACACATACAAATCAAGACAGTATCAAATATAATACATTTTAGTGCTGTAGTAATATCCATGTTCCCATTTTGTTTGCCTTTCATATTTTTTATTTCCTTTTCTCTTTTCTTTTTTTGAGACAGAGTCTCGCTCTATTGCCCAGGATGGAGTGCAGTGGCACGATCTCAACTCTCTACAATCTCCACCTCTCGGGTTCAATCAATTCTCCTGCTTCAGCCTCCCAAGTAGCTGGGATTACAAGCATGAGCCACCATGCCTGGCTAATTTTTGTCTTTTTAGTAGAGATGGGGTTTCACTATGTTGGCCAGGCTGGTCTCAAAGCCCTGACCTCAAGTAAGCCACCCACCTTGGCCTCCCAAAGTGCTGGGATTACAGGAGTGAGCCACCATGCCCAACCCCTTTCACATTTTTCTATTTGTATTTTATCTTAACCTTAACAGGTTTGAATCCTTACACTCAGGATTCAATGTAATATCCTGTAACATTTTCTAGGCCCAAGTGTCTTTCTTGCCCTCAGTCAATGCTCACTAAACAGAGCAGATGCCGTTTTGCCTGGCAGAGCAGCCCACATAAGCACAGCACCCAGGATGAGAGCATTCTTAGGTGCTCCGTGAAAATTTGTTGAATGCAATACTCATCTGAAAAAAGTTCCAAAAAGACAACCGGAAAAAAGAAAGAAAAAAATTTTTGAAAAATATAAGAACATATCCAAGAAATAAAAAATATGAATGATTATATTAAAAGCCACTGGCCGGGCGCGGTGGCTCATGCCAGTAATCCCAGCACCTTGGGAGGCTGAGGCAGGTGGATCACAAGGTCAGGAGATGGAGACCATCCTGGCTAAGACAGTGAAACCCCGTCTCTACTAAAAATACAAAAAATTAGCCAGACGTGGTGGCGGGCGCCTGTGGTCCCATCTGCTCAGGATGCTGAAGCAGAAGAATTGCTTGAACCTGGGAGGCAGAGGTTGCAGTGAGCCGAGATCATGCCACTGCCCTCCAGCCTGGGCGACAGAGCGAGACTGTCTCAAAAAAAAAAAAAAAAAGCCTCAGGGCCTTATACAATGAATAAAAAATGAAAAGGCCCATTCAAGCCTTATTGTCATGAAATTTCAAGTAACGAGAAATAATTAAACTATCTGAAAGCTCCTAGAGAGAAAAAGCAGGCCATGTTCAAAGGACCAGAAATCTAAATGATATCCAGACTTCTCAACAGCAGCTCTGAATACTAGAGGACAGTGGACCAGTAACTTCAGATTTTTGAACTTTTTTGAGACAGTCTCACTCTGTTGCCCGGGCTGGAGTGCAGTGGCACGATCTTGGCTCACTGCAACCTCTGCCTCCCAGGTTCAAGCGATTCTTCTGCCTCAGCCTCCCGAGCAGCTGGGACCACAGGCATGGGCCACCACACCTAGCTAATTTCTTTTTTTGTATTTTTAGTAGAGATGGCGTTTGACCACATTGGCCAGGCTGGTCTCAAACTCCTGACCTTGTGATTCACCTGCCTCGGCCTCCCAAATTGCTGGGATTACAGGCAGGCATGAGCCACTGCGCCCAGCCTTTTTTCTTTTTTTTGGACAGAGTTTTGCCCTTGTACCCCAGGCTTGAGTGCAACGGAGCGATCTCGGCTCACTGCAACCTCTACCTCCCAGGTTCAAGTGATTCTCCTGCCTCAGCCTCCCCAGTAGCTGGGCCTACAGGCATGCGCCACTACACCTGGCTAATTTTGTTTTTGTATTTTTAGTAGAGACGGGGTTTCACCATGTTGGCCAGGCTGGTCTCGAACTCCTGACCTCAGGTGATCCACCCACCTTGCCCTCCCAAAGTGCTGGGATTACAGGCGTGAGCCGCTGCACCTGGCCATTTTGTATGAAAATTACTTTCAACCTGCATTTCTAATCTCAGGTAAACTCTGTGCCAAGTCAAAGAACAAAAACAAAAACCAAGTATGTGATTAAGACATTTCCAGGCATTCAAGTGCTCCAAAAATGTATCTCCCATGGATCTTTTCTTAGAGAACTAGTAGGGTGTGTGCTCTACCAAAATGATGAAATACACCCAGAATAAGAAAGACATGAACCCAATCAAGAGGGGAGGAAAGTAAGCCCAAAGATGAAGGAGCAACAGGATCAGACAGCAGCCTGCCCACACTTGTTCAGAGATAAAAGGCTCCAGGAGTTGCTGGGGGCTGGGGATCCCAGAGGGAATTGACTGCAAAAGGCACAGCAGGACTTTTCAGGGGAACTGCCATGTTCTATATCTTGATTTTGGTGAGGTTTCATTGTATACAATGACCACATGTACAGTGTTCAAAACTCTGTAAAATGAGTGGAGTTTTTTGTTTGTTTGTTTTTCGTTTTGAGACGGAGTTTCGCTCTTGTTGCCCAGCCTGAAGCGCAATGGCGCAATCTCGGCTCACCGCAACCTCCACCTCCCCTGTTCAAGTGATTCTCCTGCCTCAGCCTCCTGAGTAGCTGGGATTACAGGCATGTGCCAGCACGTCCGGCTAATTTTGTATTTTTAGTAGAGACGGGGTTTCTCCATGTTGGTCAGGCTGGTCTCAAACTGCCAACCTCAGGTGATCCGCCCATCTCAGCCTCCCAAAGTGCTGGGATTACAGGCATAAGCCACTGTGCCTGGCTGAGTTGTGTTTTATTGTATGTAAACTGTACTTCAATACAACTGATCTTTGTAATTTGCTGGAAGAATGCATGATCTAGGCGGAGAGTGGTGCATATGTCCTAAATCCTAATCTATAGTCAGAAAACAATAGACATATAAAACTAAAAGATGTGTAAGCACATTCTCTAGTAATACAGAGGTAACTACTAGAAATAACTCAAGGAGTTAAAAAGCGGAAACCTCTTGGAGGGGTGGGAATAGGACTTGGGAGTAGAGACAGCTGTTGTTCATAGTAAGCTTTGTGATGCCAGCTGACCTTTAAGCTACGTACATGTTCTTACTTTGATAAATATCAATATAATAGTTTTTTGGATTTTATTTATTTATTTTTATTTTTTTGAGACAGGATCTGGCTCTGTCACGCAGACTGGAGTGCAGTGGCACAATCATGGCTCACTGCAGCCTCAACCTCTTGGGCTATAGCAATCCTCTTGCTTCAGCCTCCCGAGTAGCTGGGACTACAGGTGCACACCACCACACCCAGCTAATTTTTAAAATATTTTTTAGAGTCTTGCTATGTTACCCAGGCTGGTCTCAAACTCCTAGGCTCAAGCGATCCTCACACCTCGGCCTCCCAAGGTGCTGGAATTAGAGGCATGAGCCATCATGCCTGGCTAAGATTATAGTTTTTGAAAGTGAGAAAAGGTTTGGAATAACAGGATGCCTAGTCTGGTGGAGGTAAAATGTTTGCAATACCCAGAAAGCTTTGGACCAACAGGAGCTAAAGTTTCCTTCAGACAGTTACTGTTTATTTAGCTCTTTCATTTCATTTAGAGTGAGAATAAAGAAATGTATTACAGCAATGAAAATAACAAATTACAGCTACCCTCTTATGGATACAATGTTGAGCAGAAAAGGCAAGATCATAAAAAAATGTACACTAACTAGATGATAGCTAGACTGGTGTGTTCTTATGACAATTGAGCTCTATGCTATGAGCTGTGGATTCTTCTATATGTACATTACACTTCAATTAATTCTTTAAAGTATACCATATGATTCTATTTGTTAGGCTCCCCAAAAAGACCACACGAAACTATAGTTTAGGGATACATACAAAGGTAGTAAAAATGTAAAGAGCCAGTCTAGTGATCACCTTTGGGATACAGGGAGAGGGTTGTGGATGGGATTGAAATCCACAGTAAGGGGAACTTCTGCAGTGCCAGTAGATCCTATTTCTTGGTCCAGATAGTGTTTACACAAGTATTCACTTTACAATTCTGCTAAACTGAATATATAAGGTTTTTATTGATTGATTGATTGAGACTCTGTCATCCAGGCTGGAATGCAGTGGCACAATCATGGCTCACTGATTTGATAAGCATCGACCTCCCTGACTCAAGTGATCCTCCTGCCTCCAAAGTAGCTGAGACTACAGGTCCAAGTAGCTGAGACTACAGGTATGCATGATGACATCCAGCTAATTTTTAATTTTTGGTAGAGACGGGGTCCCGCTATGTTGCCCAGGCTGGTCTTGAACTCCTGGGCTCAAGTGATCCACCCGCCTTTGCCTCCAAAAGTGCTGGGGTTACACGTGTGAGCCACCATGCCTGGCCAATATATAAGTTTTATATATAGTCTTGTCACTTAGACAAATGAATTTAGAAGATTTGAACAAATCTAAATGTTTATCAATAGGGACTATTTAATTATAATAGTCATGTAATGCATAATGCATCATTAAAAATGAAGCAGCTGTGATCCTATATGCTTATAAGAACTTAATGCTCAAATTGGCTCCTAAAACGACAAAAACTATGTTAGAAATGAATCTGATATGATACCACTTATGTCATCTCTCTCTTATATATATATATAAATATATTTTATATATAAAAGATATGTGTGTATTTTATGTAATGTATTTCATACACATTACATATAATTATATATATGCAGAGAACATTTCTAATATCTGGAATAATAGACAAGAAACTAGTCAGTGTTGCAGAGGGGAGACTAGAACTAGGAGACTTCTTTTTTTTCACTTTTGAATTTTGTATCATGTGCATCTGTTACTATTCTAATAAAGGAGAAGGAATAATTTATTTCAAAAATACTTGTTTATTGCATGGTTCTCTCCAGATTTTATGTCTAGGCTTACTTTTATCATAAAGTACTTCAGCAAAGAAGAGAAACTGGCATTCAAACATGGCCGGCCAATCATTGCCAGGCTAATTGCACAAGAGCTTCTCCAAGCAAATATTTCTCACCTATTACAAACCCCACATTGATATAGGTGCCACAAATAATAAATGGGATAAAACAGAAGCCCCTGTGCAAGGGGAAGTCAGTGAGGAAGAGGGAAGGAAACAAGAGGCAAGGAGACCACGCACATCACTAGTGTTTCTCTTCATATGGCAATTTAACATTGCTGTTCTTTGTCTTTATGAAAAATGGGGTTAGGTCAGGTTCCTTGTCATCACAAGTCTCAGAAATCATCTAGAAAACATATATTTTACACACTAGTCTCACAACTAGACAACATATTCAGTACTTCAGTGGTAGAATCTTCAGCTTTTCACACCTTAGGCAGTTCTTCCACCATCTATTTCTGTTTCTTCATTCTCAGTTCCCAAGAAGGCATAGATCAGGTCCTAGATAGGTTAGCATTTCACATGTCTACTCCATTTCATTTGCAACAATGACAATGAAAACCCAGCATGCAATGTGGCTGAGGTGCTGGGAACCCCAAACAATGTGGGGGAAAAAGCAGAGGGCACTTCACACCCCAGACGGGACAGGTTTCCATTCCTTACTGAGGGTGGAAATACTAGAGTGGAGGAGAAGAAGCCAAAAAAATTACTCATGTGAAGAAAAAAGCCTTGTCAGCCGGGCACAATGGCTCACGCCTGTAATCCCAGCACTTTGGGATGGTGAGGTGGGCAGATCACTTGAGATCAGGAGTTTGAGAGCAGCCTGACCAACATGGCAAAACCCTGTCTCTACTAAAAATAGAAAAATTAGCCAGGCGCAGTGGCAGGTGCCTGTAATCCCAGCTACTCGGGAGGCTGACGCAGGAGAATCACTCAAACCCGGGAGGCAGAGGTTGCAGTGAGCCGAGATGGCGCCACTGCATTCCTGCCTGGGCAAAAGAGCAAGACTCTGTCTCAAAAAAAAAAAAAAAAAAAAAAAAAGAAGGAAAAAAGAAAAAGAAAAAAGCCTTGTCTACTGCTTATCATGATTCTCATTTATCTGTGGTTATGTTTTAAAAATTATTTCCTAAGGAAATTCTTTCAGCCCTTCCCCATTTTTGAGGGGCTGGGGTGCACATAGTGAAAGATTTGGGTCATCTCAAAGGACACAGGTTCAGAAGCATATCATTGTTGCAGTGATCCAAACCCAAGTATGTCATTTCTTCCTCAAAATCCCATTTGCTGCTCTTGCTTGGCAGTGAATATTGCTGATGAGGATGAGAGGCGTAGGTGAAGAGAAAGGGGTCTTCTTGAGGTGAATGGTATGCAGGAGACTGGACGTAGCTGTTAAAATCCACATGTACTTTCTCTTCATAAAGATTACCCGCTGGATTTGGCCATAATGGGGGACAGCCAGTTTTGGCTGCAGGTGGCTCCAATGGAAGCTGCTGGTAAAAGGGTTCTGAAGAGTTTTGGGAAGGAGAGAAGCTGCAAGGCCAGCTGGTCAGAGGAAAAGGATAATTGGAATAACAGTTGTCAGCAAGATGATTTCTCCCCAAAGCAGCATTTTTACTCCACGCTTGTAGATCGCCATGATCAGAGTAGACTCCGGAGGCAGAAGGAGGAAGCAGGTCTCCACTACTGTAGGTTCTGCTACTGGACAATTTGCGCTTTTCATAGAGCTTCATGGGGTCCACAGTGGAAGTCTGGTCAGTCAGATCTGTGATTCCTCCCAGACCATAACTCTTGGAGAAGGAAAAGCAATCATTTAGTGAGTTCTGCTGAGGAGTGTTAGCTATTAAATGTCCACTGTAACTACCAGGCAATTGGACGCCTTCCTGGAAAGACCAAGTTAAAGGTAAACTCCCCTGACTTTGTGTTTCACCTGGAAGAGACTGGAAAGGAAAGTGAAATGCTCGTGTTAATAAGTTAAGCAAATCAAAACCACTGCCATAGGCACCCATGAGTTACTCTGTACAAATAAGAGCTCCATCAGATTTTCCTCATTCCTTACACATTAATACTTGACGCACAAACACATGCAGCGGCTTGACCACAACCACGAAACACTTGAAAAAAGCAAAGGCTGCCTCTGTTTCCATGTTAAAGCTTGCTAACCAGTAAGAGCCAAATTTCCCTACATTCAGTAGAGACATGAGTGTGTTTAAGATGTTTCACACTCAAACACAAATCTGATATCCTAATTGCTTTTTATTTATTCTTTTTTTTTTTTTTTTGAGATGGAGTCTCGCTCTGTTGCCCAGCCAGGCTGGAGCGCAGTGGCACGATCTTGGCTCACTGCAACCTCTGCCTCCCGGGTTCAAGCAATTCTCATGTCTCAGCCTCTCAATAGCTGGGATTACAGGCGCCTGCCACCACGCCCAGCTAATTTTTGTATTTTCAGTAGAGATGGGGTTTTGCCATGTTGGCCAGGCTGGTCTCGAACTCCTGACCTCAAGTGACCCACCTGCCTTGGCCTCCCAAAGTGCTGGGATTAGAGGCATAAGCCACAGTGCCTGGCCTCTAATTGCCTTTTTGAGAAACTTATAAGGAACTATTTACAAAATATCAAAGTATAACTTCAAAGATTTATATTATACTCAGCACAACTCCCAGGGTCTCTGTCTCTCAACATTTCCTCCCTTGACTATTCTATTTCTTAGTGCTGGTTGGAGTGTGAGAGACCATGGTTGCTATTGTTTTTTAGTTTTTCCTTTCCTCAAGAGATTTTTCTTTGAATTCGTGGGAATTTTGTTGAACCATAAATCAGACCTCTAGAACACGAGTGGTACATTCATTTATTTTTCTAAATGGAGGAGGTATATTGTTCTTTAGTTAATCGTTAAAAAAAGGATCTGGTTGAGAATTAAGTTATGCTCTTGTTTAGGTAAAACTACTAGCTGTTAAGGGGATACTTTTAGGGGGTAGAGAAAAAGGGCTGTGACCAGGTAGATTGGATGAGAGACTGAAATGCCACTTGACTTGTCCCATGGCTGGGAGAAAGGATGAGGAAATAGCCATTTGGGTTTGGGGGGCTTGCATTTCCCTACAACAGATCCACATTACAATTTTTTTAAATAAAGTACATTTACAGCCTCTAGGGATGGACCAGTTCCATCTCTGTTCTCCCAAAAAGAAATGTGCACCTTTGAACAGTAGAAAAAGTATAGGAACTACTATCAATATTAAACAGACAAATGCAAAAAAACCTATGATCTGCTGCCCATAAAGCAGTGGACTTCACATCACAGTTTGTCTATAGGGAGTAGCCTCCACTCCACTATTGCCACCCTGGGACAGCTATCATTTTCGGAAACTGCTTGCTTATTTCATCTTGGTAGAGTGTGCTAAGAAAACAATCTGTTTGGGGACGTATGGAAATTCAGGAGGGCGGGGAGGGGGCAGGCGGTGAAATGCATAAGGCTACTATTTTGTGGAGATTGTTTCAATTGTTTTTGGTTCTTGCCAAATATAAGTTAAGTGCTAATTCAAGTTTCTCTTTGTAATTGTAGTAGGGAAGATGATTCTCCAATTACATGGACTTTATGGTTCCCAGCATGCTACAAAGATGGTAGAAAGTAAGAGTAAAGCCTCAGATTTAATTTCTTTAGCAGATGCTTGTTTGTAGATGAGCCTGATAATCCATGATTTCTGGCTTTCCTGCGTCAGCAAGGGACCCAGGAAATCTACCGCCCCCAGCACAGGCGTGGCAAGCTACTGCATGTATTGAACATACATAATGAAGGATTACCCTGGTCTCTGTGCTCCCCTTCAGGCTCAATGAGACGGAGGAAGGTGCTGTGTTCACTTTCTTCATGGCTCTTCTTGCCTCAGCTTCTAACTTGGTTTCTGGTTTTGGATGATCATGCTCTCCCTTTGACTTAAATGAGACAAGGAAGTAGAAAGGAAATGATATAACACTAACTAGACTGTGTTTCATGGTGTATCAGTTTTTATTTACTGTGTGTCCTGCCCCGGGGGTGGTGTTGCAGTTGCCTATGGTAACCAGACTGGATGAACCTCTGAAGGCGCTCCCAAGCCCACCATGCTCCTGCCTGCCTGCCTCTCACCCACCCAGCAAAGCCATAATCACAGTGCTAAGTAACACTTACTAAATGCTTCCTGTGGTATGTGCCAGACACAAATAAACACCCTGTGTGCCTTATATCTCATTTCATCTTCAGCACAACCATTGAGGTACACACCATTATTATCACCCCCAGTTTACAGAACAGGAAACTGAGGCATGGAGTGATTACGCCAGCTGGGTAACCTCCTCTAGAAGTGAGGGACCTAGGATTCCCCTACCTGGAGCTGGCCAAAGCTGAGAGTCAATAGTTAAACATTCAGGAATTTTGTAGGCTGATTGTTAAAAATGACTGCTGGCTTGAAATCAGCCACGGTGAGAATATTTCCATTACAGAAGTTGGCAAATGCTACAAATCAGGACATTTTCTTTTTGGAGAGCTGGTTTACCAGCATCCCACTAATTCAAACCCAGGCAGTCTGAGTCAGGGTCCATTCTTCACCACTGTTGGTGCCACTGCCCCATTAGTACTCTTACACATTCTACAGAAAACTGGGACGTGGAAGAGGAAAATCACCTGCTCAGGTTTAAAGACCGAGTAAAAAGTCAGAGCTGGTGTTCAAACTCAGATTTGCTGAAGGCTACCAGCAGCATGCAGCATGCGGCATGCTTAGAAGCACTGTGCTAACCTCAGTGTGACTAGATTAGCTGCCACTTCTCCTGAGAAGTAGAAGCAGAGACAGGCAGCTCCCCTTCTAGAGCTCCCCAGCACTTCAAACATCTATTAGAAGTGCAGGGGACAGATACTTGCTCTCTTAGAGTGTGAGCCCTCGGGGATGGTGCAGGATCTCATTCACAGGTGCATTTCTAGCCTCTGGTGAAACTCCTCAGTAATGAAACTCTCACGTAACTAACTCAAAAATCCAACCTGGAAAAATATAAAGCGTCCGTCGTGCCTCCAGAAGTTGGTGACCGGGAAGCCCCCATGACCTCGGCAAGGGATGAGCTTCAGAGGCCCGTCACAGTTGGGACAGCGTTTCCCTACAAAAGAGCAGAGGAAAATGACCACACCTGGCTGAACCATGTCGGTTGTTGACTCCTGTGCAGTCTTGAAGATTTTAGCCCTGACTCAAGGACGGCAGAGTATAAATCTGGGCAGAGTTTCATGGGCTGAAATCCACTAGATATTACCCCTGACCCTCAGAAGCCTGGCCACTAAAATGGCCCACATGGGTCTCACACATGGATAGGGGAAGTGGTTGCCTACCAAGTAGGATATTTCACAGGTCAAGGCAGAGCTCTTCTGAGCAGAAAACCCCTCCCTACTTATTTAGTGATATTTGAAATTCTGACCAGGCACAGTGGCTCACACCCATAATCCCAGCACTTTGGGAGGCCAAGGCAGGCGGATCCACTTGAGGCCAGAAGCTCGAGACTAGCCTGGCCAATATGGTGAAATCCCATCTCTACTAAAAATACAAAAATTAGCTGGGCGTGGTGGTGCACACCTGTAGTCCCAGCTACTAGGGAGGCTGAGGCAGGAGAATCGCTTGAACCTGGGAGGTGGAGGTTGCAGTGAGCCGAGATGGCACCAATGCATGCCAGCTTGGGTGACAGAGTGAAAGTCTGTCTCAAAAATAAAAAAGAGAAGTTCTTTCACTTCACAATTAGAACTAAGGGTCAAGGGGCCAAGCTACATGGGAGAGTGAATGCAGCTACTACATTTTCACAGAGGTGTAAATGACTGATACCAGGTCCTGACCTAAGAGCAAGTTTTTAAAACAAACTACTGGGAAAAATATAAAGTAACTTGAGGTTTGAAGTGGGCAATGTACAGGGCATGCTGAATGTATCTATTTCATAATCCAGTGAATGTGTTTTAGAAAATGAACAAATATCTCAGCACGTGATTATGATGTGAACCTAAATGAATGGAATTGAGTCTAACCTTTCACAGCTGCCACTCCACATTAATGCACACATTGAGATCACTTAGGGACCCACAAGAAGTCCAGTGGCAAGTCCAATAAACTACTTTCTTCTAAATTTTACATGGGTCATTGATGAATTAACATTAACCCCTGAAGGGATACATTTTTCCTTTTATTTTTGGATGGAGTCTGTCACCCAGGCTGGAGTGCAGTGGCACAACATTGGCCCACTGCAACCTCCACCTTCTGGGTTCGAGTGATTCTCCTGCCTCAGCCTCCCGAGTAGCTGGGATTACAGGCACACACCACCACACCCGGCAAATGTGTGTGTGTGTGTGTGTGTGTGTGTGTTTGTGTGTTTTAGTAGAGATGGGTCTTCACCATATTGGGCAGGCTGGTCTTGAACTCCTGACCTCAGGTGATCTGCCTACCTCAGCCTCCCAAAGTGCTGGGATTGTAGGCATGAGCCACAGTGCCCGGCCATTTTTCCTTTCTTTTTGGAGATAGGATCTCACTCTATTGTGCGGCCTGGAGTGCAGTGGCTCCATTATGGCTCACTGCAGCCTTGACTTTCCAGGCTGAAGCAATCCTTCTGCCTCAGCCTCTGGAGTAGCTGTGACCACAGGCATATGCAACCACACCCGACTAATTTTTAAATTTTTTTGTAGGGGTTGGGGTCTTCTTATGTTGCCCCGGCTGGTCTGGAACACCTGGCCTCAATTTATCCTCTCATCTTGGCCTCCCAAAGTGCTGAGATTACAGGTGTGAGCCACCACACCTGCCATCTTCCCTTTAACAGGAGCCTTCAGTCCAGTGCCTTAACCCAAGGAGGCATTTTTGATGGTGGGTGCTCTGGGTATGGCAGATATGTGGGGTCCTTGCTGGAGCACAAGGGATCTGGTTGGTTCCGCTCCATATGCTCCATGTCAGAACAGCCTTGGCTGCCACTACACTCCAGGGTGATGGTTTTGCCCTTGGGCGGTGCTGGGACACAGTGACCCATCTGGCAGGGGCATCTGAGGGATGCCAGCTTTTTTGCTGGTGCCACTAAGCTCTACTCACGCTGCTGCTTCTGCCGGGCCTTGTCACAGATGGCAGGTCTCAGGTAGATCTTGCGCCCCTCCTCTGCGAGACAGTCGCGGCCGCACACCACCACACCCAGGCAGGACTTCTTGAGGATGCGGGAGTTGTGGTTGTTGGTATTGCGCATGGCCCAGCTGCTCAGGTGCCGCTGCGCATTCTTGTCCTCCGAGCTGTAGATGTGTTTGGCATAGGAATCTGGCCACTCCTGGAACCAGTCGGTTTTTTTCACGTTCTGATAGAAACACAAAAGATACGACTATACTTTAAGCTAGAAAACACAGCTGTCACCCACTGTGGAGTGAGTAGATAGGAAGGATGTTTTGGCATTCAGGAGCTGGGCAAGAGACCTTTGGCAAAAGCCTCCCTACATTTAATTCTGACAGTGGGATCAGCGAGCCCAGCACAACAGTGGCAACTGAGTGCTGTGTCTGTCAGGCATTCAGCCGCTGGACCAAAATAAATGATAGCCCCTGTGAGTTCCATCTGATTGACACTTCCCTAGCCCTCAGTGACACAAGAAATGACCATTTCTCAGTAGGAATTTTTGAAGGTTAAGTAATGCTATGCTCTTACACAATAACTATAGAAAACAGGGCCCAGTGTGGTAGGGTGTGCCTGCAGTCCTAGCAACTCAGGAGGCTGAGGTGGGAGGATGGCTTGAGGCCAGGGGTTCAAGACCAGCCTGGGCAACACAGCAAGACCCCTTCTCTAAAAACTCAAAATAAACTGTGGAAAACATTGTGGCGGGATAGTGAGATAATGTCTCGTACCACTCTGTGGTTATCTTACTGGGAGTCACACAGGTTTATGCAATGTCGCCAGAGATAAGCAGTGGGAGGGATGAAAAGCCCTGGTTCAGAGAGATCAAAGAGCCACTTTCTTCCCCAGAGATTTTCTTCCTTTATCTTTAACCCTACGTTCACGTGCCTCAAACATGACAAGGGAGTAAGAAAGAGCTTGTTTTGACTGAAAGCGTCTCTGTTATTGCCCAGGATTGGCGCTATGCCCTGTGTATGAACATTTGACTAAACTCTCCTTTAAAACATCACAGACAAGGAGAGTTGTCATTCAACGGACAAAGTTTCCATTTGCAAGATGAAAAGGTTCTAGAGCTCCTTTGCACAACAGTGTACATATAGTTACCACGACTGTACTATGCACTTAAACATGGTTAAGATGGTAAATTTTAAGTTGTGTTTTTGACCAAAATAAAATAATAATTAAAGAAAGGCCAGGGACACCAGACACTCAGTCCTTATAGCATACATTATTTTGCTCTCTGTGCCTCTGTTTCTTCATCTGTAATGTAGGGATAATGAGACCTGCCTACCTGAAGAGTTGTTCTGAAGATTAAATATGATTATATATATTAAATACTTAGCACAGCACCTAGCATGCTGTAAGCTCTAAATAATTGTTAGTCACTGATGCTGTGGCTCATATTCCTAGGCCCTACATTGGTGCACAGATGCTGCATTTGACAGACCCTTCCTTGTTCTTAGAATGAGAAACAGCAAGCAGTGTCAGCACTCAAACTTAGGCTGTGCCCATGCCCTACGGCTTTCAGAGACTTAGCATGGTGTAAGAACATTTTTCATCTAGACGGTTCTAGAAGGTGAAAATAGAAGATTCTAGAAGGTCCAGAAGAAAAGACTAGGCTGCTTCTTCTTTGCTTTCCCAACCAGAAAGCACAGCCCACAACATAAAAAAAAGACAAATTTTAGAAGAAAAAAGTAAATGTCAGTGTCAGGATTGACGGGCATTTACTGAGTTAGAATTCAAATTTAGAACGTGCCAAAGAACTTTGTAACTTGAGACTCTGGGCAAGTAACTTTGTCTTTAAAGCCTGTTTTGCTCTTCTCTAAAACTGAAACATTGATTAAAACTGCCTCACAAAAGTGCTGTGAAGAGCAGATGTGTTGTAAACTATAGATTCCATATAACGATACTTGTTGAATGGAATGTCATGGGGCCTGAGGTGGTCTGAGGAAATATAAATGAGAGGTTTTAGGTACATGCAGGGTAGTACTGTTTAGTGGTTAAGAGCTGCAGTGTGCAAACTAGGGCCCATGGGCCAAATCCTGCCCATTGCCTGCTTTTGTAAATAAAGTTTTATAGGAACACATCTATGTTCATTAACTGAAGTGTTGTCTATGGATGTTTTTACACCACCGCAGCAGAGACTGTATGGCCCACAAAGACTACAATATTTACTATCTGACTCTTCACAAACAGTCTGAGATTGCTGGCTGTAAGCTTGGACTCTGGAGGTACACTGTCTTTCTGGATATGAGTCTTAATGACATTCTTTTCTTCTCAGTGCCTCTGTTTCCTGCTCTGTAAAATGGGGTAACAGGAGTACCCCACAGGGAGGTTTTGAGGACTTACTAAATTAACATACACAATGCACTTAAAATAGTGCCTCACACGCAGCAGGTTCCACCTCAATGTTAACTGTTATTCTACCAGATCTGGAACTGCCCTCAGCCAGTCAATGTGGTTGTAAGAGTCACTGGCTTTTGGGAGAGAGAAGACCCAGTAGAGGTCACTTCATGCTTCATACCTTGCCAAGCCAAATGCAAGATAAGAGTCCAAGTCCCAGCTGGGTGCAGTGGCTCACACCTGTAATCCCAGCACGTTGGGAGGCTGAGGCAGGTGGATCACCTGAGGTCAGGAGTTCGAGACCAGCCTGCCCAACATGGCAAAACCCCGTCTCTACTAAAAATACAAAAAATTAGCCAGGTGTGGTGGCGGGCACCAGTAATCCTTGCTTCTTGGGAGGCCGAGACAGGAGAATCTCTTGAACCTGGGAGGTGGAGGTTGCAGTGAGCCAAGATCATGCCACTGCACTCCAGCCTGGGCGACAAGAGTGAAACTCTGTTTCAATAAAAAAAAAAAGAAAAAAGAGTCCAAGTCCCTATAAAATAAAAGCTTAATTGGTGCACCTCTTGTTCCACAACCTTCCTTCTCAGGGCATGACAGTGGCTAGCCCTTTGTGTGCTATGCTGTAACTACTGTGGTTTGGGAAGGGGGAAGGGTATAAATAATAGGAGGGTGGCATCTGGAAAAGTTCCCTGTGGTCCATCAGGCAGCTGCAGCAGAGATTCCCGGATGGCCAGGCCAGGATGCTGGTTGGACCATTTGCTTTTTCCAGACTGTCCCTCTCCTCCCCAATTCTCTGGTAATTTTGGGCTTGCTGAGACTCAATGCCCGGGGTGAGAGAAGCTCCCCAGGCAGCATGCCTCCTGCTCTCTCCACCCACCTTCTCTTCCCTTCCTTCCTTCCTTCTTCTGGCCCAAAGCTGCAAACAATGATGTCTTGTTTTCTGTCACAGAAATGCCATAGAAAGCATAATAGAGTATTTTATCTTTTGAAATAATAATGTAGGTTAAAACATTAAAATGTCTACTTTTGGCCAGGAATAGCGGCTCACACCTGTAATCCCAGCACTTTGGGAGGCCAAGGCTGGAGGATTGCTTGAGTCCAGGAGTTCAAGACCAGCCTGGGCAACACAGTGAGACCACGTCTCTACTAAAAAAACAAAACAAAACAAAATTTGAGTGTACTTTCCTCTAATATTGGACTGTAAAAAACTACTGGTGCACTTGAATTATTCCAGTATAAAACACAGTTGTCAGGATAGCAGAGATGAGGGCAAGGTAGACTTAGAGGAAAGCTGAGATTTTCATGCTTTAAAGGTGAGTGGCCACTTTAGGCTGGTCAGAGCCATAGATCCCATGAACCAGAAGGAGCGGAATGTATTTGTGAGAACATCTCAGATGTTCTGATTAAAGCAAAGACTCCTTGCCTGTAGAGGAAGAGATGATCTTTATCATCCTTTAAGCTTTTTTCTGACAGTCCCTCCACTGGTACCTTAGTTTTCCAGTTCTATTAATAATGCAGTAATGGCCAGGTGCAGTGGCTCACCCCTGTAATCCCAGCACTTTGGGAGGCCAAGGTGGGTGGATCACTTGAAGCCAGGAGTTCAAGACCAGACTGGCTAACATGGCGAAACCCCATCTCTATCAAAAATACAAAAATTAGCCAGGCATGGTGGCACATGCCTGTTATCCCAGTTACTCAGGAGGCTGAGGCAAAAGAATCGCTTGAACCTGGGAGGCAGAGATTGCAGTGAGCCGAGATCATGCCGCTGCACTCCAGCTTGGGTGACAGAGTGCTTTGTCTCAAAAAAAAAAAAAAAAAAAAAGCAGTAATAATTTGGACAACGTATGGACTGAGAACATTACTAGGAGTAAATATACTCACATCAAGCTAGTCTCTGGGCCATTTATTCATGCCTAGTCTTTGACCTGGACATTTAGTAGGGTCTTTGATGTCTTTTTACACTGAAATTAAGAGAAAACCCAGATCTCAATAATGCAGAGGAACCCAAGTGTCAGATGGATGACTGTGATTTCTGAAACCTGTTAAACCAAGACCTCAGAGAAGTAAAATTTAATAAGAAACAATAATCATTTCTTCATCATGTTTAGCGAATCCCCACAAAATACTTTCTTCTTTTTAGATCCTTTGTTTGTTTTAATTTCTAACTTTTCATGAGTAACTCTTTGTTTTTCCTCTTAGTTAAGAAGTTTATAATTGAAAGGGAATATTTCTGAGGTTTCCAACATGTAGACCTAGCTAATTTGTATTTGATTATCTCCTGGGTAACATCACTGGGGGGTTAACTGATATTTCTATGACTTCTGGGTATAATTTTTTACTAACAGATTTAATCCTCTAACTCAATCAAAATTTTTGTAGCTCTATGCACTTCTAGAACACCCTTCATACTCACCTCATTCTAACTTATTCAACTACTTGAAGTTTTCAGAGGTTATCTGAAGAAATGAAGTATGTATTGTTATATAAAACTAATCAATTAAAATACAAATTCTGAAATAAAGTATCAAAAATATCTACATTATCATATGATCATATTATGAAATTGATTTTCTTTTGGAATATAGTCTGCTCTTGCATAAAGTAAATATCTTCCAGGTTTTCATTAATTATATAAATAGCTTATTCATTACTTATAAATAAATATTTCTAAATAGAACAGGAATATCAAACAAACATACTTTAAAGCAAATTATATAGAGGTACAAAAATCAGATATTATGGAAAACAGGAAAAAAAACCTTCAACCAATGTTTTGATTTACATACAACTTTTCAGGAACTTATCTCTTCTGGGCCAACTGGAAATAAAACTCCAAGTGTTACCAAGGAAAAAAATTGAATTCAACAAAATGCTTTTGTGTTTGTTCAAGAATTACTCCTTAGGGCAGGCATGGTGGGGAATGTCTGTAATCCCAGCTACCCAGTAGGCTAAGGCAGAAGGTTGCTTGAGCTCGGGAGTTCAAGACCAGCCTAGGCAAGATAGTAAGACCCCCATCTCAAAAAAAAAAAAAAAAAAAAAGGGGGAATTACTGATTACTCTTTAGACTAATCCTGGTATTTCTTAGTCAAGAGATCAAGACTCAGGACAGGCCAGGCGCGGTGGCTCAGGCCTGTAATCCCGGCACTTTGGGAAGCTGAGGTGGGCAGATCACGAGGTCAGGAGATCAAGAACATCCTGATCTTGAAACCCCATCTCTACTAAAAATACCAAAAATTAGCCAGCCATGGTGGCACATGCCTGTAGTCCCAGCTACACGGGAGGCTGAGACAGGAGAATCGCTTGAACCCGGGAGGCAGAGGTTGCAGTGAGCTGGGATCACACCATTGCACTCCAGCCTGGGCGACAGAGTGAGACTCCGTCTAAAAAAATAAATAAATAAATAAAATAAGACTCAGGACAAAGTTCCTTATTTACTCTGAAAACACTAAGTTATGCCAAGTTACCTCAGCTTTCAAACCCCGTCTGTCTTCTCTTTTCGCTTCCCTTTTCCCTCCACCCAGCTAAGCAAGGGACCTGCTGCAGGGTACCAGCAGATGCAATAATGCTCCTATCTGTATCACACCAGAAGCACAGAGTGGCAGAAGAATTCTGGTCCAAATAGCAGAGGCCCCAGTGATCATGGGAGCCCATATAGGTAGAGCTCTCAGGGAAGTTCAAATGACCCTTGAGGTCAAGGAGAATGTCTGGCAAAGGGGGCAAAGTCACAGGAATCCCCATCAGAACAATGACAACGTGACCTGCTCATACAGGGGATAATAATTGACAAGAAATCCACAATCTGGTTTACCTGTTAGCTCCCTAGCACCAAGACACATCTGAGTACTACAACTGGCTTGTTCTGATTACATGTGGCCACATGGATTCACAGAGAGAGCTCAAATATTCATGTTTGATCACAATTTGGGGCTTATCTTTTGCAGAGACAAAGGAAGTTTGGCTGGCTAAAATCATAGTCCAGGAATGAACTAATCAGAACTGTGGCCCCTTTGCAGTTGACTTTACTATTCTATACTAGAGAATGTTCTCTCTACCAAAAAAAAAAAAAAAAAGTACTTAAACCTTGTAATTTTGTGAGTTAATGGCTTGGGGTGGCTTTGGCCATGGGTTTAATTTGCAAACTGCTCAGTGTGTAGGAACAAAATGATCCAGGGTGTTTGCTGGCTGTGGTGCTATTGGCACAACCTGAACTGAGAGAAACTGGCTGGTATTTGAAACAGAGTGGATATTCTCCTCTTGCTAGTGAAATGGGTACTATTTAAGAGAAAAAGGAACTGAATTTCTTCCCAATTTTCAACCAGAAGAAAATAATTCTTAGAGATTCAAAGTTCTCTCAAGTATTACAATCAGTACTAATGAGAGTGTGACACTCTCCAGGACCATGTAATCCACATTTTAAATCAAGACTAAATCAACACCAGACTTTTGCTGCTTGGATCAAGCAAACCTTAAAGCAATTAGATTTCACCTTTCCAAGTACAAATAATGACATAAATAATAGATGGTTGATCTAATTTTTTTTTCCTCTAACCTTACACAAACTCTTCTGGCCTTGCTCCCCATGCCAGAGTCATGTTGAACTGCACACTCCTTTCAAACTCCTCTAGCATTTTTCTACATGGCATTGATTCTCTATTTAGGCAGTAATCTTGTTCCACTAGCCCAGAAGATCATGAGCATTTCCACAGAAGTTAACATAGCTTAATGGCCCCAGTATCCCTGAGCCTACTACAGTGTCTCCTGCATTTAAGTTTCTCAAAAATGTCTGATATCTTAGTAAGGACATCACTGCTCACTGTTGTCAAAATTAACCCATAAACCTTGATGTATCTGAACTAGTTAAAGACACATGGAGTTTCTCAGACCAGAAGATGCAACTGGTATTTGGGTAATCATTTTGAAACTTGAAGGGCCGGGTGCGGTGGCTCACACCTGTAATCCCAGCACTTTGGGAGGCCAAGGTGGGTGGATCACGAGGTCGGGAGATCGAGACCATCCTGGCTAACACGGTGAAACCCTGTCTCTACTAAAAATACAAAAAATTAGCCGGACACGGTGGCAGGTGCAAGTAGTCCCAGCTACTTGGGAGGCTGAGGCAGGAGAATGGTGTGAACCCGGGAGGTGGAGCTTGCAGTGAGCCGAGATAGTGCTACTGCACTCCAGCCTGGGCAGCAGAGCGAGACTCTGTCTGAAAAAGAAAGAAAGAAAGAAAGAAAGAAACTTGAAGCCCGGGTGCAATGGTTCATGCCTGTGATCCTAGTATTTTGGGAGGCCAAGGTGGGCAGAACTCTTGAGTCCTGGGGTTCGAGACCAGCCTGGGCAACATGGCAAAACCCCATCTCTACTAAAAAGACAAATAATTAGTTGGGTGTGGGGTGCACGCCTGTAGTCCCCACTATTCTAGAGGCTGGGTTGAGAGAATCACCTAAGCCCGGGAATTCAAGGCTGTGGTGAGCTATGATTGCGCCACTGCACTCCAGCTTGGGTAATGAGAGTGAGACCCTGAAAAAAAAAAAAAAAAAAAAAAAAAAAAAAAAAAAAAAAAACAGAAAGAAAAAGAAAGAAAGAAGGAAGGAAGGAGAGAGAAAGAAACTTGAAACTTGAAGCATGTGAAAGGATAAACAGAAAAGGAATTTTCCTACGTGTTGTATAACTAATAATTCTGGCAAGAATATAAAATTATGAAATATAAACTATAAATGATCTAGATCGATGGGACAGAGAGTGAAATTAGAGAAATTTATAATCATAACAAGCCATTGCATTTGATCCTTTAAACCACATTTGTTAAATGCCAAAAAAGGTAGTCTGGGGAACATCAACCCCTGAAGGGCTTCAGGAAAAAAGTTTCATGGTCAAAAATAAGTTGGGGTAATACTGCCTAATACAGCCTCCTTCGGAGAGCCACCAATGCACAGGATGGTGAAAAAGACTCCAAGCCTGCAGTCAAGAAATCTGTTTATCCTTGTTGAACTTCGTATTGCTCTTTTTCTTTCTTCACAGTACCTATTAAAATTCCATGTAACTTGTACTCTACAGAATATATTTAGGGAACACTATTCTAAACATCTTAGAGACTGAGGCAGGATATGTGGAGAATTCCTATTTTCATTCTACAGGAGGTAACTAAGACTTAAGAAAATCAATTTCTCCAGGCTCACACAGATTCTAAACAATGGAGCCATTCATTAATGAATTCCATATTCAACATTTGTTGTTTCATACACGTCAGGCACTGTGCTAGGCACAAGGCTGACATTTCTAGAATTCTAGACTATTAGAACTAATAGGTACATACCAGACCATTTGGCGCAACCCCCTCATTTTCAGAGAGGAAAGGAAGTTTCAGAAAAGGTAAACAACTCAAGGATCTCCAAAAAAAAAAAAAAAAAAAAAAAAAAAAAAAAAGGAGATGGAACTAGAATTCAAATCTGGGGCATTTTTCTCCAAGTCCTGTACTTTTCATAATACACCCCTCTGTCTCTGGATATGCTCACACAATATAAACAATATAAAATCTAATGTCTGGAAATCTTTCCAAGAGCTCAAGTGTTTCTTGGTCTGATGACAAAGCTAGCATTAAACCCAGACGAGGATGGTATTCTCTCTACTCAGAAAATACTAAGGAATATTTGCATTTTAAATCATTTCCCCGACATATTTAACAAATTGGAAGACAGCTATTTCCGTGAGCAATCTTAGTACTTTTTAATGAACTATAAATACATTTCTAAAACCAAATGTGCATTTTTTGCTATACATTTCTCAGTTTAATGTCATGGGTAGCTGCAAACACTTTCATTTTTGGAAATTCATGTTGGAACATGAACTTTTATGAGCCTCAAGTTTCCCTATAGGAAAGAGGTCTTCATCTCTTGTTTATGGATCTGATGAAGAATCCTGTCCCAGAAAAAATTGCCAGTTAAGACACAGTGTCACCACCATTTCATGGGGTTCTCAAACTCACTAAAACTCTTGCTCTAGAATGTGACATTGTAAAGTCTTCTACATATCTGTTTACTTCAACTCTTGATTTCGTGTCTCTCCAACTTCTATTTGGGTGTTGCAATCATGAAGTTAGAAAAAGGTGAAAATATGGGTCCTGGAGCCAAGAGAAATTAAAGTTTACTTTAAAGTTTCCCTACAACAGTGACAATAATTGTAATACTAATTAAGAGCAACAACAAACACAAATCCCTAAAATCGATATTTGCATGATTTAACTGTGGTTTCTAGAACCATTTGTAAATGGATGGAAAGTGGGGCACACTTTCTGTTCTCCAGCTCTGTCCCAAGATCTACGAAGAGAGGATACAGATGTGGGGTCGGGGGTGGTGAGAGGGGTAGAGGGGGTGGGGTTGGAAGTTAAGGAAAAGCATAAAGAGAAACAAAAGGAAGTCTTCGTTAGAAATTCTGGAACAGTTACAAAGATAGAGGAATCTCTATTCCCTCTCCCCTGCTTCTGATAACTCAAATTCCTTATTACCCAGAATCAGGCAGACTGGATTGACTTTTTCATGACTTGGTACTGGTGGTGTCCAGTCCTAGCCTTCTAGTCACCTTTTCAAACAACTTCTAGTGAGAGCATCTTAAATGTTAACAAAGGAAGTCAAAGAAGTAAACAGTGATACATGTTGAAAATCAGTATTCAACAACCAATGTGTGCCTATAATTCCAGCTACTTGAGAAGGTGAGACGGAAGGGTTGTTCGTGGCCAGTAGTTTGAGACCAACTTGGGCAACATTGTGAGACCCTCCTCTCAAAAACATTTTTTTTTCAATTAGCCAGGAGTGGTGGCACATGCCTGTGGTCTCAGCTTCTAAGGAGGCTGAGGCAGGAGGATCACTTGAGCCCAGGAAATTGAAACTGCAGTGAGCTATGATGGTATCACTGCACTCTGGCCCAGGAGACCAGGCAAACCCATCTAAAAAAAAAAAAAAAAAGTCAGTTGCCAAAGAAAATGTGAAATGAAGTCACTATTTCAGTGCATGTATGGTATTTCCAAAATAGGAGGAGAAGAGGCCAGGCTGTTTATGCCTGTAATCCCAGCACTTTGGGAGGCAGAAGCGAGTGATTGCTTGAGCCCAGGAGTTCAGGACCAGCCTGGGCAACATAGCAAAGCCCTGACTCTACACACACACACACACAAGTACAAAAATTAGCTGGGTGTGCCTGTGGTCCCAGGTAGGCAGGGAGATCACTTGAGCCCAGGAGTTCAAGACCAGCCCGGGCAACATGGCAAAACCCCATCTCTACAAAAAATACAAAAATTAGCTGGGCTTGTTGGCGTGTGCCTATGGTCCCAGCTACTTGGGAGGTTGAGGTGAGAGAATCACTTGAACTCGGGAGGCTGAGGCTGTAGTAAGCTGAGATAGCACTACTGCACTCCAACCTAGTTGACAGAGCCAGACCCTACCTCAAAAAAAAAAAAAAAAAAGTAGAGGAAGAAGAAAGAAAAGAAAAGAAAGAAAGAAAGAAAATGAAAAGAAAGAGAGAGAGAAAGAAAGAAAAAAAGAAAGAAAGAAAAAAGGAAGAAGGCAGGAAGGCAAGGCAAGGCGAAGGAAAGGGAAGAAAGAAGAGGAAAAAGAAAAAAGGAAGAAGAGCATGCTGTATTCCACAAGAGAACAATATCATCTGGATTCCAGCACATTCCATTTAGACATGAATCTGAGTTAAAACTATCACTATAGCAAATAAGGTTGTATGAGGACTTGTGCATAACAAAGAGTCAATTTATGGCCAAATAAATCATCACGGATTTTATCATACTGTCTAGCCAGAGTGAGTGCAACCTGAGTTACGCCAACTTTGAAAGAGAAGGGAAGTAGAAATTTCTTTGCATCAGTCTCTAAGTGTGGGAGTCTGGTAAGTAAAGACACACTCAAATCATAGGTCTTGCCATCTCTTCTTAAAATCCCTCAGTCGGCTGTCTAGCTGAAACTCTAGGGGAGAGGAATTTACCCAGCTGGAATCCTCACCAATTTCCTTCCAGGTCTCCGCATGTTAATAGTCAAGACTTCACAGCCCAATGTTGAAGGCAGATTTTTATAGCAAGTACATACCTGTGGCAGTTTCACATCATTAATATCCCAGCTTAATATCTCTTTGTCTTCAGAATCAAAGTCGTCAGGTTCCATGATAAGGTCAGGCCAGCCAAGGTTTTCACCTATTCGACTCCCCTCAGAAATGCTTGAGAATTTTGTTCTCAAAGGTTCTTGATATAGCTGGATCGGCCCACTCAAGCACCTTGGACCAGGAGATTGTTTTCTAGGGCTAAAAAAATAAGTTATATTAGTATTGGCCATTAAAGAGATTTAAAAAAAAACCCCAATGCTCCTCTGCCAGAAAAACCTGTTTCACTGACATTTTTGCAAGTACCAACATACTAGTAAAAAACAAAACATAGGAGCCATAAGTGATTTTACTTAAAACTTGGCCATCGGGAATTAGAAGCGTGTGATCACTGCTTTCACCCTTGGGTTTGGGCTTGCTTTCTCATTGCAAGATCCAGGTTGTGAAGGCCTTAGCAGAGACAGTTGTCATCTGTAACCAATGGCTAGGACTTTTCCTGCTAGGGCAGGAGGATACTGGCTTGGAGTTGTTTCCATAGAAATGCCTTTATAAATTAGCTAATGTGTGGTTGAAGCTGCAAGAGGGGAACATCACACTGAATTTATCTAGGAAAATACATATATGTTTTATATATATATATATATATATATTTTTTTTTTTTTTTTTTTTTGAGATGGAGTCTCACTTCTTCACCCAGGCTGGAGTGCAATGGAGTGATCTCGGCTTACTGCAACCTCTGCCTCTTGGGTTCAAGCAACTCTCCTGCCTCAGCCTCCCCAGTAGCTGGGATTACAGGCATGTGCCACCACGCACAGCTGATTTTTGTATTTTTAGTAGAGATGGGGTTTCACTCTGCTGGCCAGCCTGGTCTCGAACTCCTGACCTCAAGTGATCTACCCGCCTCGGACTCCCAAAGTGTTGGGATTACAGGCGTGAGCCACCGCACCCGGCCAGAAAAAAAATATATTTGAAAATCCAAATCACTGTAAGGATTAGGTTTGGTCTCTGCAATAAATCCTGTGCGCACGATATATCTTCAAATATTATCAACTAATATGCTTATATCTGATTAATCTGAAACAGGGTTTCTTAAGTTTGGCACTATTGACATTTTGGACCAGATAATTCTTTGTTGTGGGGAGCTTTTTTCATGTTGTAGACTGTTTGGCAGCATCCCTGGTCTCTACCCATTAGGTGCTAGCAGCCTGTAATCCCAATACTTTGGGAGGCCAAGACACATGTATCACTTAAGTCTATGAGTTCAAGACCAGCCTGAGAAACATGCAGAAACCGTGTTTATACAAGAAGTACAAATCACTAGCTGGGCATGGTGGTGCACACCTGTAGTCCCAGCTACTTTGGGAGGCTGAGGTGGAGGATTACCCGAGCCCAGGAGGTTGAGGCTGCAGTGAGCCAAGATTGTGTCACTGCATGCCAGCCTGGGTGACAGAGTGAGACCTTGTCTCAAAAAATAAATAAATGAATGAATGAATAAATAAATAAATGAATGAATAAATAAAAGTTTGTTCAAATGGCATTTCTTCCCTCACGAGAAATAGTGCTCTAATTTCTAACTATAATTGGTTAAAGGAGGTTTACCAAGAAAAAAAGAAAGAAAATTTGAAGTGTTCTACCCTGAGGAAAAAAATGAATAATTTTGCAGATGAAAGCTACTTGTTAGTACGATATGAAGTGAAACATGTTCACATGTATAACATTTCATTTATTGGTACTCTTATAAAAACAAGAGACATAATGATGTTATGTAGAGCTATTTAATAGCGAACTCAAACTATAAGGTAGATTAATAGTCTAAGCTTTGGCGAGACCCATGAACTCTTTTCTTTAGTTTTTATTGTTTTTTTTTTTTTTTTTTTTTTAATGGAGTCTTACTCTTATCACCCAGGCTGGAGTGCAGTGGCGCAATCTCAGCTCACCATAGCCTCCACCTCTGGGGCTCCAGTGATTCTTTTACCTCAGCCTCCCAAGTAGCTGGGATTACAGGCACGCACCACCACACCCAGCTAATTTTTGTATTTTCAGTAGAGATGGGGTTTCACCATGTTGACCAGGCCGGTCTTGAACTCCTTTCCTCAGGTGATCCATACGTCTCTGTCTCCCAAAGTGCTGGGATTACAGGCATGAGCCACTGTGCCCGGCCTGTTCTTTAGTTATTTAGTGTTATATAATCCTAATACTTGTCAATCACTGAACTCTACCAAGGGAAAGTGTATGTATATAAAAGACCGTTGACCTGAACATAAGAATGAAGTTCCTTTTTTCTTTTTTGTGTGTGCTCTAGATGTCCAGAGAAATTTCTCTAGTAACAAACTATAGAAATGATCCCTGAAAGTATAGTCTTTATAAATAAAGTTCTTGACCATTAAATGACAAGCTAATCAGAGTCTCTTCCTGTCTGTTCCACATACCCATACTGAGCTACAACCTAGTGGTTGCAGAGCACGAAGTTTCTGTTCCCCAACTGAATGTTGATTTTCAAGACTAAATCCTCATGGATTTTAAGTAAAATTCTATGTTTAGGAAAGAAACATTGTGTTACTGAAGAAATGATGCCGCAAATTGACTCTAATTCAAAGGACTTAAATAACAGGTATAGAAGATGCAGATACCAAGCAGCAGTTCCGTGTACTTACCCTGAACAGTAACGATATTGTCTCTGATGGTGCAAATTTTGTTATAACTAATTGGAATAGATCTACTTTTTAAAAACCTTGGCAAATAAGATTCATATTTTCAAAAATCAAAAACATTGTTATAAAGCCTAGGCAATATAGACATAATTATTTTGTTTTTAAATTAAGGGAAGAATAATAAAGAAAATTTTATTACAGAACAACTATGTTACATTTTAGATTTTTCTCTCGATATTAACATTTGCTAAGCGAATGAGCATTAATTTAATATTTCCCTAAAAGTTAAGAACAAAACATAGAAAAGAAGAAAAAACCATTTTACAGCCCTTAAGTAAACTCTGTTTTCCTCTTCTAGGATTGAAAAACTACACTTGTCAAGACTCCTTTTTTTAAAGCAACTTGCGCAAAGTATATTCAATTTTCATCATTTCTACAGAAAAATGAACTAGAACAAATGAAACCCTGTAGGAATAGAGTGGTCGTTGCCACATCCCTTACATTTGCCTCTCCACGGGATTTCTGGCTTTCTTACCTTCTAACTTCTTACGGAGAAGCAGACAGCACTGTGTCGTGAAAATCTTACTGCTGGTTCAAGTCCCAGCAGGCTCTGGTCATTTTCTGAGCAGACGCTGTTCCCTATTCCAGGTCAGGGTACACTATGCTAATGAGTTCTGGCAATGGTCCAATCAAAATCTAGATGCTCTAGGCTCTGGATAGGTAAGAGCAGCCTGGGAGTCACTTAACCAGCCTGATTCTTCCCAGAATGCCAGCAATGTGATGAATATTCTATGATGTGTCTCTGAACTTCCCCCTCCCTTTATGTTATGAGGACATTTGAACTAAAATGGACATTGAAAAGAACCTCATAAGGAAGTACAGATGTTTTTCTTCTTGTGATGTTACAGGTTGGGCCCCAGGCAGACGATTCACAGTAGGTCCTAATTCTCCCACTATTTACCCGGCAGGTAATAGTTCTCTCTCATGTGTGCAAGAGAGAGAAGACAGACAGACAGAGATAGAGAGATATTATGGTGAGGAAATTTACTGGAATAGACAGTGGATAGCCAACATCCTCTATACCAGAAATACTGAAATGCTATCTTAACCCTAGCAATAATGTCCCACTAATTCTAAGTGTTCTGATCCCCTAAAAATATACAATTCTTGGCCGGGCGTGGTGGCTCACACCTGTAATCCTAGCACTTTGGGAGGCCGATGTGGGCGGATCACAAGGTTGGGAGTTCAAAACCAGCCTGGCCAAGATGGTGAAACCCCGTCTCTACTAGAAATACAAAAATTAGCCAGGTGTGGTGGCGAGCGCCTGTAATCCCAGCTATTTGGGAGACTGAGGCAGAGAATTGCTTGAACCCGGGAAGCGGAGGTTGCGTGAGCTGAGATTGCGTCACTGCAGTCAAGCCTGGGTGACAGAGCGAGGCTCCATCTCAAAAAAACAAAAACAAAACAAAACAAAACAACAAAAAAAAACGAACAAACAAAAACCAATTATTTCTTCTAGAGATACCCTCAGTGCTATTCTTCCTTTTAGAGACATCCGCAGTACAGCCTAAATCAGTTCAGTTCATATGTTTTGTTCTAGGTAGTCTGCCAGGCCTTGGCAACACAAGAGAGAATGAAAGCCATTAAGAAGTTCATTCTAGTAGAAAAGATGATTAAAGCTACTAAATAAGGCCGATTTAATTTGATGTATAGAATAAAAGTAATATAAATGAGAAGGCTATTAAGCTGGAGGGAGGAGAACCAAAGGAAACCCACCAAAATAATGCTCGATGAGCCTTTTGAAGGACAAATAGATATTTATCAAGGCGTGAAGGACTGGAAGAGGGTGTTTCGGGGAGTGACAATATCCTGGACAACATGACGAGGGATCAGTACCTGTCAGGAAGGTCCAGACTTTCAAGGATGAGGCTTAGGAGGCAGAGATGAGAAGGCGAGAAGGCAAAAGGCTTGGAAAGCCTCATAGTTGCATTCGGCGGCCCCTAATAGATTTCTCATTCGTCTTTCAGTTCATGAACAAATTCCTTTCCTGCCTGAAGTTTAAGACCCTGCTTCATCTTTTTTTTTTTTTGAAACGGAGTTTTGCTCTTGTTGCCCAGGCTGGAGTGTAATTGCACTATCTCGGCTCACCACAACCTCTGCCTCCCGAGTTCAGGCGATTCTCCTGCCTCAGCCTCCTGAGTAGCTGGGATTACAGGCGCACACCACCACGCTCGGCTAATTTTGTATTTTTAGTAGAGATGGGGTTTCTCCATGTTGGTCAGGCTAGTCTTGAATTCCCGAACTCAGGTGATCCACCCGCCTCGGCCTCCCAAAGTGCTGGGATTACAGGCGTTAGCCACCACGCCTGACCAACCCTGCTTGATCTTATTGTACTTTATCTGGCCAGTCTTGGTCTCCTCTCTGTAATCCCTTTGTTGGTCAGGAGGACATTTCTCCATCCATCAGATACATTGTATCAGGACAAAGCCTAAAATTATGCCAGCTGGTGAAAGAGGATGTCTACAGGGTCTAGGTCCAGAATCACAAGCGGAGTAAAGAGTGGATTTAGTGTCGACAGGCAATAAGTCAATCACTGGCACACCTGTTGTGCTTATTCACTTACTTAGGTCTATTCTCTAGTGTATTTTTCACATCCATATATCTGAACCCTGTCTACCCTTCAGGATCCCCAAAATGCCACCTCCTTATGAGAGCTTCCCACACTATTCAAGAACACATGATTCCTCATTTCTGTGATGCTCTTTTGTTTCTTTTTTGAGACAAGGTCTTACTCTGTCACCCAGGCTGGAGCACAGTGGTGTGATTATGGCTCACTATGGTCTCGCTTTCCTGGGCTCAAGTGATCCTCCCGCCTCAGCATCCCAAGTAGCTGGGGCTACAGGTGCTCACCACCACGTCCCGCTAATTTTTGTATTTTTTGTAAAGATGGGACTTCACCATGTTGTCTAGGCTGGTCTTGAATTCCTGGGCTCAAGAAATCGCCTGCCTTGGCCTCCCAAATTGCCGGAACTACAGGTATGAGCCACGGTGCCTGGCCATGTTGAACTCTTAACTGTGAATTATATGCTGTCTTGTATCACTTGGATCTAACAGTGTTTTTAAATTACAAAATAAATTCATGATTTATAAAAAAGTCATATTCTCATCTCCCATAGGTTTCCACTGTTAACATGTCAGGCATGTCCTTTCAAACTTTTGTTTTCCCATATCTTTTTGTTCCCATATAGAACAAAAGATATTATTTTTATTTGCAATCCTATTTTACGTGATATTGCCTTTAGTTGTTTTGTTTTGTTTGTTTGGTTGATTGGTTTTGTTTTGCTTTTTTTGGAGATACGGTTTCCCTGTGTGGTCCAGGGTAGACTCAAACTCCTAGGTTCAAGTCATTCTCCCCACTGAGCCTCCCAAGCAGCTGGGACTCCAGGTGCCCGCCACCACATCAGGCTATTGCTTTTCATTGTTGATGAGTGTTGGTTCTGGCTCCCCAGTGAGGCTGCTAGTTCTTTCACGGCCAAGTTGGGATCTTCTACTTTCCCTCTCCTCATAGAAAGACTTGCTGAGTTTCCAGCAGCAACATCACAGCCATCCTTGTCCCAAGCACCAACCCTACTCGGACACAGGAGGGCGCTGAGAAGCTCTGCCTTCACACTCTGATAGAGGTGTGACATGATGTCCAGACTAGTAAGGGTATTTTTGCTTTCTTGAGGCCAAGGTCCCAACTTATTACCCAAATTCTCCTAATTGTTTTTGTTTTGTTTTGTTTTTTGACACAGGGTCTTGCTCTGTCCCCCAGACTGGAGTGCAGTGGCACAATCTCAGCTCACTGTAGCCTCCTCTTCCCAGGCTCAACCTATCCTCCCACCTCAGCCTCCCAAGTAGCTGGGACCACAGGCACATGCTACCACACTCAGCTAATTTTAAAAACTTTTTGTAGAGACAGGGTCTCACTGTGTTGCCAGGCTGGGCTCGAACTCCTGGGATCCAGTGATCCACTGCCTCAGCCTCCCAAAGTGCTGAGATTATAGGCGTGAGCCACCTTACCTGGCCAAATTCTCCTAATTGGATCTCTGTCATTGTTATTAATAACAATAATCATAGTAGCTTCCCTTGACTGCACATTTACAATGAATCAGGCGCCATGCTTAATCACCTGTCTGTATTATCACTCTTGATCCATACAGCATCCCTATCAGATAGATACTATTTTTATTATGCCTCCTTTGTGGAGAAGGAGATCAAGGCTCAGACAAATAGCTTTACACAGAAATGTAAGTAGCAGAGCTGGGGTAGAACTCAGAGACATGCCTGTTGACCACGGTACTGCATGAAGAGCCCTATGTGTTCAGCATCTGGAGTCTTTGTCTCCACTCCTATAAAATCTGAGTTCTACATCACTCTTTCCACCCTGTGCCTCCTCCCCTAGAGACAGGAATCCTGCCTTAAGCCAGGTGGCTAGAGGCCCTATTACTTGGTAACTGACCTCAACCACTAATGATTGGATTTCTCAGTATCTCTACTTTTGCATTCCCTGACACTCTGAGGCCTGCCTATTGAGATCATTCTGGTTTTTTTTTCATCAATAGTGGTGCTTTAGGCATTTTAAGCAGGATAATTATTTGGGTCAGACTGTCCCATGCACAGAATTCCCAGACGCAAGATGCCAGCAACATCCCAGTCACAATATCAACCATAACCCACACCTTCATATTTCTACATGTTCGGGAACCAGGGAGGGAGCAGTATTGTGCTGCCTTTGGTTTGGGGTGACCATGCCAGACTCTCAGGGCTGACAAGTTTGCCTAGACTATTGCCTGCGGTTTCCAATTCACAGCCTAAAAGATACCTTGTTCTACCTAATGGATGAACTTCTACACTTACAGTTCTATCCTTCTGGTATCTACCCTATCTAGTTTCAGCCATTTGCCCAGTTCTTCTACTGTGGACTTTTTTTTTTTTTTTCAAGACAGAGTCTTGCTCTGTCACTCAGGCTGGAGTGCAGTGGCGCAATCTCGGCTCACTGCAACCTCCGTCTCCCGGGTTCAAGCGATTCTTGTGCCTCAGCCTCCTGAGTAGCTGGGGCTACAGGCGCATGCCACCACGCCCAGCTAATTTTTGTATATTTAGTAGAGATGGGGATTCGTCATGTTGTCCAGGCTGGTCTCGAACTCCTGACCTCAGGTGATCCACCCACCTCAGCCTCCCAAAGTGCTGGGATTACAAGCGTGAGCCACTGTGCCCAGCCATTCTATTGTGGACTTTTATTTATCATTTATTATGTATCCGGCATTTTTCCAAACATTTAGTTCTCACAACCACTTCATGAAATTAATATAAATTTTTAGTTGTTGTACATATTTGCTGGGTACATATGATATTTTGGCTACATGCATAGAATGTGTAATGATCAAGTCAGAGAATTTGGGGTGTCCCTCACCTTGAGTATTTACTGTTTCACATGTTGGGAGTATTTCAAGTCCTCTCTTCTAGCTATTTTGCAACATACAATACATTGTTATTAACTATAGTCATCGTACTCTGCTACTGAATATATTAAGAAATATATGGAATGCTTCACTGACTTGCATGCCATCCTTGTACAGAAGCCATGCTAACCTTCTCCATATCATTCCAATTTTAGCGTATGTGCTAAAGGGAGTACTGGTATTATTAAGCTATATAAGTATGAAATTAGTATAAGGAAACCGAGGCACAGAGAGGTAAAGTAGCTTGATGTTTACAAGGTGGTGTAACCAAACTTTTGGCATCAGCAAATTGACATAGGTCAAAGGAAAAATATGAACTGGAGAAGAATGATGTTAAAAGTCATTTCCTTCGTGGGAGAGTATGTCTATCTAACATTCTGATCCCTTCTGGTGTCAACATTCCCCTGCCTCCTTACCTCACCATTTTTTAGGAAATTGCCTTTCCCCCAAGGCTGTCCATTAGAACGTTCTGTCCCTTCTGACATAGAGCCTGACCTACTCAGTCTTTCCCTGGAATTTTCCAAATTAGAGGTGGAGGAATTGCTCTTTCATCTCAGATGCCAAATTGTAAGCCTGACCTCAGTCTTGCTGATGGTCATCTCTGCTGCACATGGCAGAATCTGAGAGAATGGAGACAAGAGATGAGCGATGGAAAAAGGAAGGAAGGAGGGAGCACTGAACATAGCCAAGCCCGAGGCCAGCTCCAATCCTCTCTGTTCCAGTTATGTGACCCAACAAATATCTTTTATGCTTTCATTCCTTGGAATTGGGTATCTCCAACTTACCCCTATGAGAGATCTACTAACACACTTCCCACCCTCCTAATCTAGGTAAGCCTACATCTCACGCAGATTTCAAAGTAAAACACTCTCCTTTTCATTGATACTTCAATGAAAGGAAGTGGGCATCAAAAGTGACTTCTCTGACACTGCTTAAAATTGGAAAATTTTCTGTCGTGTCTCACTGGAATCAATGTGCAGGACACAGGGAATAGTCATTGTAGGCCTCAGTTTACACCTACCCAGCACGCGCAGTTGCTAAAGCAGGTAATCAAATCACTTTTCTGTGTTGTGTAAAACTGAACTTTGAATTTTTCCTTTAGGGTTTCTCAATTTGGAAGCCATTCATGGCTCTCATGCGGAGTTTCTACAAGTTCTGTATTTACTTCAGTGCTCAAGACCAAACTGCATCATCTTAAATTGGATGCTGAGCTGTATCTGTTCTGAGAAACAAGAAGTGTTCTCTTTCTAAATCTCTGGGCAGACAAGACAAGCCTGGATGACTGTTAAAATCCCTAGATGATTGTGGGAATGTTCCTGGATGTCATGGTCCTCTTTGGAAAATATTGTGAAACTTTAAAATACGTAATTATAAGACTTGAAAACTGTTTTACCAATAGAAACTATGACTAACATATGTATATGCAACATCAGAATCATGAACCATGAACCCAAGAGTCAACCCCAAAAAAGGAAAACATAAAAAACAAGCTCCCAAATTCACAGTGGTAGATTATTTCCAATTTCCTGTAAATACTTGGCTGTCCTTTTGTTTTGTGCTAAAAGGCAAAAAATGGGGTGTCCTATAAGTTAATAAAAATGCAGCTAAAAGCAGAATTGATTCCATTTCTTAAATAATTTTACAAACTGGGAAATCAACAACAACTTTTTAAAACTTAAAAACCATGACCAAACAAAGCTGGAATGTGATCCTACCATTTCCATGAGGCAGTAAGCTACCCCACCCTGGCTATTTTTCATACAAATATTATTTATGCTAAAATATAATGGGTTGAGCTGGGCGCAGTGGCTCACGCCTATAATCCCAGCACTTTGGGAGGCCAAGGTGGGTGGATCACCTGAGGTTGGCAGTTCGAGACCAGCCTGACCAACATGGAGAAACCCCATCTCTACTAAAAATACAAAATTAGCTGAGCATGGTGGCACGTGCCTGTAATATCAGCTACACGGGAAGCTGAGGCAGGAGAATCGCTTAAGCCCAGGGGGCGGGGTTTGCAGTGAGCCGAGATCGCGCCATTGCACTCCAGCCTGTGCAATAAGAGCGAAACTCCATCTCAAAAAACAAAACAAAACAAAACAAAAACAATATATATACATACATACATATATATATATAATGGGTTGTTACTCTTACTTGAGGTAAATTAATATTTCAAATTATTTTTTTCTAATTTCTAACATGCTAAACATAGAGATAGCCATATAAGTAAAAGCCGTTTGAGGTCCACATGAATTTTTAATAGTAAAAACTGGTCCTGAGACCAAAAAAGGAAAAGTTTGAGAACTGGTGCCATAAAGTACTAAGTACTAAATTTTTTTTTTTTGAGACAGAATCTCACTCTGTTGCCGAGGCTGGAGTGCAGTGGTGCGACCTTGGCTCACTGCAACCTCCACCTCCTGGGTTCAAACAATTCTTCTGCCTCAGTCTCCCAAGTAGCTGGGATTACAGGCAACTGCCACCACGTCCAGCTAATTTTTTTTAATTTTTAGTAGAGATGAGGTTTCACCATGTTGGCCAGGCTGGTTTCAAACTCCTGACCTCAAGTGATCAGGTCACCCTTGTCGGCCACTCAAAGTGCCAGGATTACAGGCGTGAGCCACTGCACCCAGCTCTAAGTACTAAAATATTAAGCCCTGATCATCAAAGCAGAGGGCTGTTTCTGATGATATTCAGTGCTCTGAGTGCAAACTGCCCCATCTCCTGCCTTCCATGGGCTCCTATCTCCGGACTAGAAAGACACAAGAATCAAAGGGAGGAAGACAAGGAAATAGAGATGTTGTCGGTGAAACTGCACACTATCAATACCTATATGACAAAACATCTATCAATGGGAGGGAGGCCCTGCCCACAGCAAGGCTTTGAGACACCCAAGACTGATTCCAATAGACCCCACCATTCCCATAGTCCAAGCTCCTACCTATCATCAGTGGAGGTGCCCAGCACAGCCCATAGGAGATGGCATCACCAAGGGCAACCGAGGTATCTCCTTTGGCAGGCCATTGAGACCTTAGCAACCAACATCACCAAAGAGGGCTACAACAGTAGAAGAAAAGGGTGGATGCTATGTGGTAACTGAGAAGGCTCATTGCCGAGCACATAGGAGATATCCACTGAAGACAAAATTTAAAATACCTGGAACAGAGATGAGGTCCTGAAGGTAGATCCTAGAGCCAGCAAAATACAGTCTAAAACTCCTAATGTCACCCCAATTTAAACTCTGAAGCCTGGTTAAATTACAGGTTAGGTGTTTACAATTAAAGAATACTAAGAAAAATGCTTTAAAAATGGCATATTGGCCGGGCATGGTGGCTCATGCCTACAATCTCAGCACTTTGGGAGGCCAACGTGGGCAGATCACTTGAGGTCAGGAGTTCGAGACCAGCCTGGCCAACACAGCAAAACCCTGTCTCTACTAAAAATACAAAATTAGCTGGGTGTGGTGACATGCACCTGTAATCCCAGCTACTTGGGAGGCCTAGGCAAGAGAATTGCTTGAACCCAGGAGGCAGAGGTTGCAGTGAACCGAGATCATACCACTGCACTCCAGCCTGGGCGACAGAGTAAGACTCCATCTAAAAAAAACAAAAACAAAAGTATCTTGTTATTTGCATGATGGGATTACAGATAAAAATGTTTATTTCCTTTTTTATATTTCTCTGTAATTTTCTAAATTTTCTATAAGAAGCATGCACCCTTTTTAATAATGTGATACTTTTTAAAAAATCAATGGTACAAAGTAAAAATATGTACTATTTATATGGTACCTTATAGAAGTAGTGCTTAATTTTTTTGGTCTCAAGATCAGTTTACACTCTTAAAAGGCTTTGAGAGCCTCAAAGAACTTTGCCTATGTGGTTATATCTGACAATATGTACCATATCAAAAATTAGAATTAAAAAAAGTTTTAGGCCGGGTGCAGTGGCTCACGCCTGTAATCCCAGCACTCTGGGAGGCAGAGATGGGTGGATCACCTAAGGAAAGGAGTTCAAGACCAGCCTGACTGACATGGTGAAACCCTGTCTCTACTAAAAATACAAAAATTAGCCAGGCGTGGGTGGTGTACGCCTGAAATTCCAGCTACTTCGGAGGCTGAGGCAGAGAATTGCTTGAACCCTGGGAGGTAGAGTTTGCAGTGAGCTGAGATCGCGCCACTGCACTCCAGCCTGGGTGACAGAGCAAGACTCTGTCTCAAAAAAAAAAAAAAAAAAAGAAAAGAAAAGAAAAAAGAAAAGAAAAAATTTTAACAGATTTTAGATTATTAATTAATTAAAACAATAGTAACAACACATTACATTTTAACATAGATAACATTTTTCTGGAAAATATTTTATCTCCAAAAGAATTAATGCGAAGAGTAACAATGTTTAACATATTTGCGAAATCTCTTGAATGTCTGACCTATTAGAAGACAGTTGGATATCTTCCATCTCCTTCTGCATTCGATCTGTTACAAATATCACATGTCCCATAGCTTCTGGAAACTCTGTTGCATACTTGTGAAGAAAGGCAAATAGGCCAGGTGTGGTGGCTCACACCTATAATCCCAGCACTTCAGGAGGCTGAGGCAGGAGGATCACTTGAGTCCAGCAGTTGAGACCGGACTGGGCAACATAGCAAGACCCCGTCTCTATAAAAACTACAAAAAGTTAGCTGGGTGTGGTGGCACGTGCCTGTGGTACCAGCTACTTGGGAGGCTGAGGTGGGAGGATCACATGAGCCTAGGAGGTTGGGGCTGCAAGGAGCCATGATCATGCTATTGCACACTGGTTTAGGCAACAGAGTGAGACTCTGTCTCAAAAAATAATAATAATAAAATAAAAAGAAAGGAAAATAACATCTTAATATTATCATAAAAGTAGTTTTGATCTTGGGGCCAGGTGCAGTGGCTTACACCGGTAATCCCAGCACTTGAAGGCCCAGGCAGGATTGCTTGAGCCCAGGAGTTCAAGACCAGCCTAGGCAACATGACAAGACCCTGTCTTTGCAAAATATACAAAAGTTAGCCGAGTCTGGTGGTGCACACCTGTAGTCCTAGCTACTTAGGAGGCTGAGATGGGAGAATCACCTGAGCCTGGGGAAGTCAAGGCTGCAGTGAGTTGTGATCACACCACTGTACTCCAGCTGGGGTGACAGAAAGAGACCAAAAAGAAAAAAAAATAGCCAGGCATGGTGGCTCATGCCTGTAATCCCAGCACTTTAGGAGGCCAAGACGGGTGGATCACTTGACGTCAGGAGTTCAAGACCAGCCTGGCCAACATGGTGAAACCCCGACTCTACTAAAAATACAAAAAATTAGCCAGGCATGGTGGTGCATGCCTGTAACCTCAGCTACTCGGGAGGCTGAGGCAGGAGAATCCCTTGAACCCGGGAGGTGGAGGTTGCCGTGAGCCGAGATTGCGCCACTGCACTCCAGCCTGGGCGACAGAGCGAGATTCCATCTTAAAAAAAAAAAAAAAAAAAAAAAGTTTTGATCTCGGAAACCTCCTGCAAGGGTCTGGGGAGCCCCAAGACTCCCTGGACCACAACACTGCTTTATGCTTTACAAAATACAAATACATTCACAAATTTCATTCAACGCTCCCAAAAATATTTTAGTTGGGCATGTTTTGAAACAGATGAAGAACCTGAGATTTAGAAAGATTAACCAGTTCATCCAGATCACATGCTCAGATTTCTGTGTTTATACTCTGAATCTAGGACTGGATTCCAGATAGCTACGACATCTCCCCTGTAAAAGCTTTTTGATCACTCACCTTTACCTAGATAAGCAACTGCCTGGGACACTCAAAGAATTTTTACACAATGATTAGAATAGCTAATATCTTAACTCTAGAATGTGGTAGAAAAATAGAGATCCAAAGAAGTTACATAAAACAGAGCATGACAACAGAAAAAAAGCACAAGTCTTGGGAGGCAGTAGCCCTGAAGTCTGGATGCCAGTCCCTCACTTGCTGTGTGACTTGAGACAGGTGGCTTTACCTCTCTGGGCACTAGGATTGCCTAATCTGAAAAATGAGCTGATGATCTCTTACCAGCCTGAAGGCATGGGCTGGATCGGATGATTGCCCAAGATCCCTCCTAGTGGAAAGGCTGTCATTTACGAAAAAATCCCAGTCATTTAGAAGGCTAGGAATATAATTCAACTGAGATGGACTCTCCTCTTGAAAGTGTAGTCCCTATGATTTTGCCATTTTCTCTAATGTAATATTTGGAATTTAGGATTTATTGAAAGAAATTTTAGTCACCTTTTCTTTAACTCCTTCAAATTTTGTCCAGAAAACTCAGGCTTGAGAATAATTTCAGCCTTGAAATCACTTGAAAAACTGGTATGTAGGAATCCAGTGCAATTCAACACATCCCACAAGTGTACTGAGTGTTTACTGTTGTGTAGCAGATGTCATGCACACTTCATTTTCTTTCCTTCTCTTTCTTTTCTTCTTTCTTTCTTTTTTTTTTTTTTTTTTTTCTGGAGTCTCGCTCTGTTGCCCAGACAAATACACTGGCGTGATCTTGGCTCACTGCAACCTCCGTCTCCTGGGTTCAAGCAATTCTCCTGCCTCAGCCTCACGAGTAGCTGGGATTACAGGCGCATGACACCACACCCAGATAATTTTTGTATTTTTAGTAGAGACGGGGTTTCGCCATGTTGGCCAGGCTGGTCTCAAACTCCTGACCTCAGATGATGCACCCACCTCGGCCTCCCAAAGTGTTAGGATTACAGTCATGAGCCACTGCGTCCAGCCACTTGATTTTATTTCTAAGCTTTTTCTTCATTTTTTTATTATGGTAAAATATACACAACATAAAATTTACTCTTTTAAACGTTTTTAAGTGGCAGTTCAGTGGCGGTAATTACACTCACATTGATGTACAACCATCATCACCATCCATCTTCAGAACTTTTTTATCAGCCCAAACTGAAACTCTGTACGCATTAATAATAACTCTCAATCTCTCACTGCCCCCTTGTCCCCAGCCCCTGGGAACCACTATTCTACTTTCTGTCTCTATGAATTTGCCTATTCTAGGTATCTCGTATAAGTGGATTATATAATATGTGATCTTTTGCATCTGGCTTATTTCACTGAGCAGAATGTATTTAAAGCTCACCCATGTTGTAGCATGTATCAGTACTTCATTCTTTTTTTTTAAGTGGCAAAATAAAAATCACATAATACTATGTTAAACATTTTTAAGTTCGGTAACAATGAGCACATTCACACTGCTGTGCAACTATCAACACCGTCTATCTCCAGAACTCTTTTCATCTGTAAAACTGAAATTCTGTCCACTAAATATTAACTCCCCTTTCCTCCCAGCCCCTGACAACCATCATTCTACTTTATGTCTGTAGGTACCTCATATAATCGGAATCATATAGTATTTGTGTTTTTGTGACTGGCTTATTTCACTTAACATAATGCCCTTGAGGTCCATCCATGCTTGTAGCATGTATCGGAATTTTCTTCCTTATTAAGGTTGAATAACATCCCGTTGTAGGTATATACCACACTTAGTTTATCCAGTCACCCATGGATGAACACTTGGGTTGTTTGTACTGCATTTAATTTTTTAAGCCTTCATTTGCAGATTAGAGCAACTCCTGAAAACTGTTGGAAGTACAATCTAGTACTAATATAATGTGCTGTACACAGGTAAAGAAAAAAACAAAATAGAGTTAATGGCAGTAGGCATGAATCAGAGAAGTATGCACTGAGTTATTTCAAGTTTGAAAAGGAAATTCCAGCGTTAAAAAAAAAATGAAGCCAGATTTTTGTCTGTTGTTTTTCTCTCTAAAGGGATGTTACTAAATTGTAAGTTTCATAAGGTCAGAGACTGTACAACTTTTAACTGCGCATTCCATATTACACCTTGCAAAGTTCCTGGAAAACACCATTAACTTATCTATAAATACACCAGCATAGCATACAATTAAGAAATATCTTCATCTAAATTACCACATTTGATTTTACGACAACCTGACAAAATGGGCAGGGCAAGTATTTGTGCAATCTTATGGACAAAGAAGCTGAGGATCTCAGCCATTAGCTCATTTCCAGGCAATGTGAGAGCAGGGACACCAACAGAAGTTTGTAATGCCATTCCCAGCTCTGTCCCTCTGTTTTCCCATCTCTCAGCAGTGGTGAATGAGCATGTGAAGTCACTTCCTAAGTATAATTTCATTTTAAGACACAGAAATATAAGCTAGACAACATCTTAAGGTCCTTCTGATCATGAAATTTTTTTGTGTGTGTGACAGAGTCTCACTCTGTCACCCAGGCTGGAGTGTAGTGGTGTGATCTCAGCTCACTGCAACCACTGCCTCCCGGGTTCAAGCGATTCTCCTGCCTCAGCCTCCTGAGTAGCTGGGATTACAGGCATGTGCCACCACGCCCAGCTAATTTTTGTATTTTCAGTAGAGATGGTGTTTCATCATTGTTGGCCAGGCTGGTCTTGAACTCCCGACCTCAAGTGATCCATCCACCTTGGCCTCCCAAAGTGCTGGAATTACAGAGGTGAGCCTCTGCACGCAGTGATCATACAATTTTATGTGACAGTTTCCCTGAGAGCAAATACTTATTTTCGAATATGAAGGTATGTTTATGTGAGATCAGGCCTACTAACATATATTTAGAAAATAATAAAGTGACCTCAACTTCTGTGAAAGACCCTGCAAAATGAGAGAAAACCAACAAAAAGGGACAAGGAAAGGAGGGGGTTATATAGGTTTGATAGGAAGAACATTGATCGCTCTTTGATTCTTGTGCTTAGTTTAGAAAAGGTAAGTATTAAATTGATTATAGGTATGATGATTGGTTCAAGCAGGATTACCTAGAACAAAATTACGAGTGCTCTTTGAGTGCTCCAGCCTTCTTGGGTTTCCTCTCTGCAGATCCTTGGAAGGCACCTTTCTCAGCTTTACTCAGGGGCTCTATACTTTCAAGCTGCCCAGTATGCCCAGCCCTCTGATGCACCATCTGAGCCCTCTTCACAGATAAAGCCCCACCCTCTGTTTCCTCATGAAAACTTGCCTACTTAGAACTTCCGGTTAAAAATGACAGATTGTTCACACACATTCATTTCCCCTCCTTCCCAAAACCCTGCTAGAGTAACTGTAAAACAGTGTAAAATAGTGTTAGGCATCACACTGATCAGGCAAAAGTTAGAGGTACTCCCCCTAAGAACTGGAACAAGATAAGGATGCCCACTGTCACCATTCCTATTCAACATAGTACTTGAAGTCCTAGACAGAGCAGTCAGGCAAGAGAAAAAAATAAAAGGAATCCACATTGGAAAAGAGGAAGTCAAACTATTTCTCTCCACTGGTTATATAATTTGATACCCAGAAAGCCCTAAAGACTCCGCCAAAAGACTCCTAGACATGAAAAACAACTTTAGTAAAGCCTCAGAATACAAAATTAACATACAAAAATCAGCAGCATTTCTATACACCAATAACATTCAAGCTGAGAACCAAATCAAGAAAGCAATCCCATTTACAATAGCCACAATAAAATAAAATAAAATAAAATAAAATAAAATAAAATAAAATAAAATAAAATAAAATAAAATAAACACTTCAGGATACATCTAACCAAGGAGGTGAAAGATCTCTACAAGGAGAACTAGAAAACATTGCTGAAAGAAATCAGAGACAACACAAATGAATGGAAAAACCATTCCATGTTCATGGATTGGAAGAATCAATACTGTTAAAATGTCCATATCCCCAAAGCAATCTACAGATTCAATGTTATTCCAATCACATTACCAACATAAGTTTTTTTGAGACAGAGACTGGCTCTGTTGCCCAGACCAGAGTGCAGTAGCGTGATCATAACTCACTGCAGCCTCGACCTCCCTTGCTCAAGCAATCTCTCCTCAGCCTCCTGAGTAGCTAGGACTAAGGTGCATGCCACCGCACCCAACTAATTTAACAATTTTTTTTTTTTTTTTTGAGATGGAGTCTTGGTTTTTTGCCCAGGCTGGAGTGCAATGGCACGATCTCGGCTCACTGTAACCTCTGCCTCCTGGGTTCAAGCAATTCTCCTGTCTCAGCCTCCCGAGTAGCTGGAATTACAGGCATCTGCCACTACGCCTGGCTAATTTTGGTATTTTTAGTAGAAACGGGGTTTCACCATGTTGGCCAGGCTGGTCTCGAACTCCTGACCTTGTGATCCGCCCACCTCGGCCTCCCAAAGTGCTGGGATTACAGGCGTGAGCCATCGCACCTGGCCAACAGTTTTTTTGTTGTTTTTTTTTTTTTTTTTTGTAGAGACAAAGTCTCTACAAAATGTTGCCCAGCTGGTCTTGTACGCTTAGGGTCAAGAGGTTCTTTCACCCCAGCCACTCAAAGTGCTGGGATTACAGGTGTTTGCCACCAGGCTCAACCACGGTTTTTCACAGAATTAGAAAAAAATAATAAAACTCATATGGAACTAAAAAAAGAACATGAATAGTCAAAGCCATCCAAAGCAAAAAGAGCAAAGCTGGAGGCATCACATTACTTGACTTCAAACTATACTACAAGGCTATAGTAACCAAAACTGCATGGCACAAAAATAGACACACAAACCAATGGAACAGAATAGAGAACACAGAAAAAAAGCCACACACCCACAACCAATTGATCTTTGATGAAGTCAACAAAAATAATCACTAAGGGAAAGGATACCCTATTCAATAAATGGTGCTGGGAAAACTGGCTAACCATATGAAGAAGAATGAAACTGGACTTTTACCTATCACCATGTACACAAATTAACTCAAGATGGATTAAAGACTTAAATGCAAGACCTCAAACTATAAAAATCCTAGAATAAAACCTAGGAAATACTCTTCTGGAGATTGGCCTAGACAAAGAATTTATGACTAAGCTCTCAAAAGCAAATGCAATAAAAACAAAAATTGATAATTAGGACCTAATTAAACTTCTGCACAGAAAAAAAAAATTAACAGAGCAAACAGATAACCTACAGAATGGGAGAAAATATTTGCAAACTCTTCATCTAATGACAAATATCCTGAATCTAGGAACTTCAACAAACCAATAAGAGAAAACCAAAATAACCCCATTAAAGAGTGGGCAAAGAACATAAACAGACGCTTCTCAAAAGAAGACATACAGGCCGGGCATGGTGGCTCATGCCTGTAACCTCAGCACTTTGGGAGGCTGAAGTGGTGGATCACTTGAGGTTAGGAGTTCAAGACCAGTCCAGCCAACATGGTGAAACCCTGTCCGTACTAAAAATACAAAAATTAGCCAGGCGTGGTGGCACATGCCTGTAATCCCAGCTACTTGGGAAGCTGAGGCAGGAGAATTGCTTGAACCTGGGAGGTGGAGGTTGCAGTGAGCCGATATCACTCCAGCCTGGGCGACAGAGCAAGACTCCATCTGAAAAAAAAAAAAAAAAAAAAAAAAAAAAGACATACAAGTGGCCAACAAACATGAAAAAATGCTTGACATCTTTCACTAATCGAGAGTTACAAATCAAAACCACAATGAGGCCTGGCACGGTGGCTCACGCCTGCAGTCCCAGCACTTTCGGAGGCTGAGGCGGGTCGATCACTTGAGGCCAGGAGTTCGAGACCAGCCTGGTCAACATAGTGAAATCCAATCTCTACAAAGCAAAAGTCAGCAAAGAAAACCCACAATGAGATACCATCTCACACCAGTCAGAATGGCTATTATTAAAATATCAGAAAATAACAGATGTTGGCAAGGTTGCAGAGAAAAGGGAATGTTTATATACTGCTGAGAGGAATGTAAATTAGTTTAGCCCTTGTAGAAAGCAGTTTGGAGACTTCTTAAAGAACTAAAAATAGAATTACCATTTGACTCAGCAGCCTCATTACTGGGTACATAACCAAAGGAAAATAAATTGTTCTACCAAAAAGGAACCTGCGCTCATATGTTTATGGCAGCACTATTCACAGTAGCAAAGACATGGCATCAACCCAAGTGCCCATCAATGGTGGGTTGTATTTTTTAAAAAGTGGTACATATACACCATAGAATAATACACAGCCATAAAAAACAATGAAATTATATTCTTTGCAGCCACATGGATGCAGCTGGAGGCCATTATTATAAATGAATTAATGCAGAAACAGAAACCAAATACTGCATATTCTCACTTATAAGTGGAAGCTAAACACTGAGTACACATGGATACCAAGATGACAGCAATAGGCTGGTGCAGTGGCTCACGACGCCTATAATCCCAGCACTTTGGGAGGCCAAGGCAGGTGGATCACCTGAGATTAGGAGTTCAAGACCAGCCTGACCAATATGGTGAAATCCCACCTCTACTAAAAAAACAAAAATTAGCCAGAAATCACTTGAACCTGGGAGGCAGAGGTTGTAGTGAGCCGAGATCGCACCACTGCACTCCAGCCTGGGTGACAGAGTGAGACTCCATCTCAAAAAAAAAAAAAAAAAATGACAGCAATAGATACTGAGGACTCCAAAAGAGGGGAGGGTGGGAGGAGAGAAAGGGCTGAAAAACTACCTATCAGGTACTATGTTCACCACCTGGGTGATGGGATCAACAGAGGCCCAAACTGCAGCATCATGCAATGTAACTGCACATGTAACAAACCTGCACATGTGCGCCTTGAATCTAATTTCTAAAAAAATAGTATTAAGCACCCCCCCGAAAAGAGGCTAGAGGATCACAGTGGAAGAAAGATTTCAATGAATTTTTGAAAGACAAAGTAGACACCAGAGGAACCAACTTAACAAGGGAGAATGTTACAACGTAAACAGAGGTAGAAATGGAAGAGAAGAAAGCCAGTTGGCTCACAGACTTAGTGCCTGGATTTCCCAAGTACCACGAAGGAAAGACTTACATGACACTAAAGCACTGGCTGAATGTTGAAGGGCTGAGCAGTTGGGTCATTCTCCTGTATCCACTCATAAGACAATAGCCCTCCCCGACCCGTAAGAGATCTGAGGATTGTTCTCTTGGGAAGCTGAATAACCAAAGCTTTGGATTTGGAAAAGTTCTGAATTTAGGGACATAAAGAACAGGGAAGGCCAGGCATGGTGGCTCATGCGTGTAATCCCAGCACTTTGGGAGGCCAAGGCAGGCAGATCATGAGTAAGGAGTTCGAGACCAGCCTGGCCAACTTAGTGAAACCCTGTCTTTACTAAAAATTTATAAAAATTAACTGGGCATGGTGGCGGGTGCCTGTAATCCCAGCTACTCGGGAGGCTGAGGCAGGAGAATCGCTTGAACCCGGGAGGCGGAGATTGCAGTGAGCCGAGATCGCGCCACTGCACTCCAGCCCAGGCAACAGAGTGAGACGCCATCCCCACCCCACCCCCATAAAAGAGAAGGTTGGGAAGAGCACCAGACTGAATTCAGCACGATGAAAGTCTCCTAATAAACTGTGGGGACCACAGTTCTTTTCCCCATCCTGTCCTCAGAAGATCAGGGGTAAAGCCTGCCCTGGACACCACTGCTGGCTGTAGGAAATGAATGATCCTTCTTTTCTGCAAAAATGGAATGGCCTTAGAAATAAGAAGTACAAATAGCTTAGGGCTCCCCCATGAAAAGGGTGGCTCACTGATTGATTCCCTAATAGGGAACCCACTAACTCATCAGTAAGTCCCACATAGAACTTCAAATCTGCTTATTAAAAAATGACCTCACTGTCTTAAATAGGAACAAACAGTCCAGGAAGACTACACATTTGGGAAAAGTCTCCAACATAAAAGAGATTTAAAATCAACCAACTAACTAAGCCTTGGAGGAAAGAGAAATATTGCAAGAAGATGCAGCAATGATGCCATTAAGGTCCTTGAGAATGGAGCAACTGAGATACAACAGGGGAAAAAAAAAACACAAAACATCAGAAACCAAGAAAGGGTTCTGGGAAACTGAAACTGTAAATATAACAGTGTAAATAAAAAATTCATAGTAAGTAGGGAAATTAAATCAGGGAATTCCACCAACCGGAAGATTAAATAAAAAGTCAAAGGGGGCTGGGCACGGTGGCTCACGCCTGTAATCCCAGCACTTTGGGAGGCCAAGGCAGGCAGATCATGAGCTCAGGAGCTCGAGACCAGCCTGGCCATCATGGCGAAACCCCATCTCTAATAAAAATACAAAAATTAGCTAGGCATGGTGGCAGGAGCCTGTAATCCCAGCTACTTGGGACGCTGAGGCAGGAGAACTGCTTGAACCCGGGAGGTGGAGATTGCAGTGAGCCGAAATCACACCACTGCACTCCAGCCTAGGAGACAGAGCAAGATTCCATCTCAAAAAAAAAAAAAAAAAAAAAGTCAGAGGGAAGAAACACAGAAAACAAATTTAGAGGATCAGGGCAGAAAGTCCACTCAGCTAAAATTAAAAGCTGCCCACGAAATCATTGAAAGTGGAAAAAAGAAATGAATGAAGTGATACAATACATTTTCTTGATGGACATGAGACTCCAGAATGAAAGTTCTACTGAGTGCTCAACACAGTAAGTGAAAAAAGACCTGCCCTGGACATGCCACTGTGAAAGTTCAGGACACTGGGAATCAAGAGAAAACATTCTTAAACTCCCAGAGAGAAAAAGGAAATTATAAGCAAAAGGTGGGAAATCAGAATTTCACTGGATTGTTCAAAAGCATCAACTTCAGAAAATGAGAAGAAAATGGCGTAATGCTTCCAAAATTCCAAGGGAAAAGTATGTTCAACCCAGAGCTGCTAGAGTGAGCCACGATTCTGGAGTGACCCATGTCAGTTAAGTGTGAGGGAAGAATAAAAACATTTTGAAACATACAATGGCTTTGAAAATTCACTTTCTGTGCACTGGAAGCTACTGGAGGATATGTTCCACCAAAATGGGGGCAAGTGAATGAAAAGAAAGCATTCCAGAGAGCAAGGAAGAAAAGCTCAGGATGTTCCAGCAGGGCAGGAATGCAGAAGGCCATATTCATGAACAAAGAATCTGGGAGAGAGGTCATGATGGTTAATTTTTTTTAAGCTATGATGATTAATTTTATGTGTCAACTTGGCTAGGCCATGATACCTAGATATTTGGTCAAACACCAGTCTAGACATTGCTGTGAAGGTATTTTTAGATGAGAGTAACATTTAAATCAGTAGACTTTAAGTAAAGCAGATTATCCTCCATCACGTGGTCTCATTCAATAAGTTGAAGGCCCTAAGAGCCTTCAGAGACTGACGACCCTCAAAGAAACAGAAATTCTGCCTCTAGACTGCCTTTGGAATGAAGCTGCAGCAGCCGCTCTTCCCTGGGTCTCCAGCCTGCCAGGCTGCCCTGCAGATTTTGGACTTGCCAGCCTGCACAATCATGTGAGCCAATTCTTCAAACTGAATTCCCCTCTCTCTCCACCGCCCCCACACACCCTCACACTGCTCCCCCTTCCCACAACACATACTCCCTTAGTTCTGTTTCCCTGTAGAACTCTGACCAGTACAGAAGTACATATAGGAAAAAAATGGAAAGCAAAGCTTTGTGAATATAGAAAATATTATTGCTGGGCATTGTGGCTCATGCCTGTAATCTTAGCACTGTGGGAGGGTACGGCTGGTGGATTGCTTGACCCCAGGAGTTTGAGACCTGTGCAACATAGTGACACCCCTGTCTCTACAAAAAATACAAAACTTGGCTAGGTGCAGTGGCTCATGCCTGTAATCCCAGCACTTTCGGAGGCCAAGGCGGGTGGATCACCTGAGATGAGGAGTTCGAGACCATCATGGACAACATGGTAAAACTCCATCTCTACTAAAAATACAAAAATTAGCTGGGCATGGTGGTGCATGCCTATAATCCCAGCACTTCGGGAGGCCGAGGCGGGTGGATCACCTGAGGTCAGTTCAAGACCAGTCTGGCCAACATGGCAAAACCCTGTCTCTACTAAAAAATACAAAAGTTAGCCGGGTGTGGTGGTGGATGCCTATAATCCCAGCTACTTGGGAGGCTGAGGCAGGAAGAATTGCTTGAACCCACAAGGCGGAGGTTGCAGTGAGCTGAGATTGCACCACTGCACTCCAGCCTAGGCAACAGAGTGAGACTCCATTAAAAAAAACAAAAACAAAAACAGAAAAAAATACAAAACAGTGTAGGGCATGGTGATGCATGCCTGTAGTCCCAGCTACTTGGGAGACTGGGGTGGGAGGATCACCTGAGCCTAGGATGTTGTGCCTGGGCAACAGAGTAAGACTCTTATCTCACAAAAAAAAAAAAAAAAAAAAAAAAAAAAAAAAGAGAGAGAGAGAGAAAGAAGAAAAGAAAGGAAGGAGGGAAGGAAGATCATTGCTCAATGTGTGTCAGAGAGTCACAAAATTAAATTAATTATGGATACATTGAAAAGCAGGTAAATGAAAAAATGAGGCAATTATTAATTCCAGGAAAAACAAAGAATCATATCTTAGCAATGAACAATATTTGTCAAAGTAGTGTAAATGCCAACCACTAACTAACGAAAATATTTATGTAATTACCTTGGGAGGGGCAAATGAATCAGTAAAGTCTAAAACTAACAAATTGAGAAACACAACATGAGCATATTATTCAGAAACACGGAGATAAATGCTTAGGGAAATTCCTAAAAGAGATAAGGATAATTTTCTGTGGGTGTAGGGCTATGAGATAAGAAAAGGCAGTTAGCTGGCCAGGCGTGGTGGCTTATGCCTGTAATCCCAGCACTTTGGGAGGCCGAGGCAGGAGGATCACCTGAGGTCAGGAGTTCGAGACCAGCCTAGTCAACATGGTGAAACCTCATCTCTACTAAAAATACAAAAAATAGCTGGGTGTGGTGGTGCATGCCTGTAATCCCAGCTACTCGGGAGGCTGAGGCAAGAGAATCACTTGAGCCTGGGAGGCAGAGATTGCAGTGAGCCAAGATCACGCCATTGTACTCCAGCCTGGGCAAGAAGAGTGAAACTCCATCTCAAAAAAAAAAAAAAAAAGAAAAAGAAAAAAAAAGAAAAGGCAGTTAGCTATCTGCAGTTTTTCATGACAAGCCTTTTTCACTACTCGAATTTACATGCAGGTATTGCTTTGATAAAAAAAAAAAAATAACTGAAAAATATTTGCCCACTTGTAGCTCTGTCTCTTTTGGGCTGTAGTGTCAGGTAACTAATTTGATATATTAGCAAAGTAAAGCCTGATATATTGTCTAGCCCTATCAGATAATTTACTTAATTTTTCTTTTCTTTTTCTTTTTTCTTTTTGAAACGGAGTCTCGCTCTGTCGCCCAGGCTGGAGTGCAAAGGTACGATCTCGGCACACTGCAACCTCTGCCTCCCGAGTTCAAGTGATTCTCCTGCCTCAGCCTCCTGAGTAGCTGGGATTACAGGGGCCTCCTACTACGCCTGGCTAAGTTTTGTATTTTTGGTAGAGACAGGGTTTTACCATGTTAGTCAGGCTGGTCTCGAACTCCTGACCTCAGGTGATCCGCCCACCTCCGCTTCCTAAAGTGCTGGGATTACAGGCGTGAGCCACTGCGCCCGGCCAATTTACTTGATTTTTCAAGGGCTCCAATACTTCTATGCTAAAACGACTAATAGTAAAAATTTTAATCAACACAGGAAATTAGTGTGAAGAGTGGGGAATATTTGAGGTTTCCGAAACCAAATCACTGGGCAATGCATACATTATCCAGAGCCTAGAGCATCATGGATTCTCAATTAACATCTAATGGGATGTGTGACAGAAGAGCACAAAACTCATTACCCTGAGTGTGGTACCCTATCTACGGGATAGGATATTGGGGGCAGTGTGGACCCTTGCATCTAAAATATTTCCTGCATTTGTATTCCACAGATGCTTGAAATTCAATGATAATTTCATTTCATTGGTCCTCAAGGGTTTTTTGATATTTAGAGTTGTCTGCTAAGATGGGAAATTTCTCAGGAAAGGAACACCCCTTAGAAGGGGGTAATTTGCTTGTTACTGAGAATAAGAAGTGAACCAGGTATGGCAGCTGTGCCCATAATCCAAGTCACTTGGGAAACTGAAGCGGGAGGATAGCTTGAGCTCAAGAGTTTAAGTCCAGCCTAGGCAACATGGCAAGGCCCCCGTCTCTAAAAAAATAAAATAAAATAAGAGAAAAGAAATTTCTATTAAAAACTTATTTTAAAAATAAGTAAAATAGAATAAGAATGGAAAAGTGAAGGGTAGGCAAGGGCAGAGGTAATGGCCACACAGGACTAGCCTTCGGCTTGGTCATCTTTTCTACCAGTCACCAATCCAGGGCACCGAGAAAGTCCAGCAGCGCCTGAGCCTGCTGCACTTGCAGTAGCAGGGACTGGCCGGGAGATGGCAGCCCTGTCCCAGGTCGGGTGGTGCCTCAGCCGCAGTTCCTGTCACGGCCATCGGGAGGCAGTGCAGGAACACTCACTGATGTGTAGCAACTCAGCCTAAAAAGCAGTTTTTATTATAATACATTGCTGCTGTGATAAGCACTCAGCAAATATTTGTTTGAGTGAGTTGACTCTATGTCAGTCATTAAGATCACTCTCTTGAATGCACCCTCAACACCTTTGCAGGTACCACAATCCTGGGTCATCACTTTAAACCCATGTCCGTGAATGTTACCCTGTATCCCCGCCGTCCGTTCATTCTCACACTGTTTCACACTTGCAACTCACTCAGCTAAGCTCCGACACCTCACTCTGCTCATGGCCTTGCTTTCCAGTTCACTGAGAAAACGAAGCAGATAGACGGAACTTCACAGCGCCCTACCACGACCACAGGTCGGCCTTCCTGCCAGCGAAGGTAGGTGAACTGTCCTGGCTCCTAAGGGCAACCCTTCCCGTGCCCTAGGTAAAATCCCTTCTCACTTCCACGGAAACATGACTCCAGAAAATTTTCACGACCTTTTCCCCCACGTCATCAATTTTCCTTTCTCTACTAGCTTATTCCTATTAGCACAGAAACCTGCTGTTATCTATCCCATCATTATTTATCATTCCTCTTGGGCCCCAATTTTCTATCAGCTATGACCCTATTTCTGTTCTTTTTTCCAGTAATTCCTGGGGTTTTCCATACTTACTGATATTCACCAACTCCAAAGCCTTCCCTGCTATTCTCGGCTACACCCACTGTAATCAGCTTTTGCTCAGACCGTTCCAAAGGAACTTCTCTTGACCTCTGCATCACTTACATCCATTAGTCAACCCTGTCCTCATCTTCACTTTATCTATAAACAGCACTTGATTGCTAGCTCCTCACTTCACCGATCCTCAGGGCACCATCAACTGGCTTCTCCTCCCCTCTTAGTTCTTTGTGGAGTCTGCCTTTTCTCCCCAATCTATCCTTACCAAGTTGTCTAAGGCATGGTCCTTGCACTTATTTATACCTCTGGCTCAGACAGAAGTCTGAGCTCCATACTCAGCTCAGACAGAAGTCTGAGCCCCATACTCAGCTCAGACAGAAGTCTGAGCCCCTGAGCTCCATACTCTGATACCTAACTGTTCAACTTCTCTGCATGACCATTTAATCGGCCCCCATACTGTTATCCTCATATTCCCCTGCTCTGCCCACAGTCTTCCTGTCTCAGTTAATGGCTACCCATCCTTCCAGGCTCTCAGGCCAAAATCACTGCAGGCATCAGTGACCACTTTATTTCTCTCACACTCCATATCAGCTCCCTCAGGAAATCCTGCTGGCTGTACCTTTAAAATATATTGGGATTCAAGCCGGGTGTGGTGGCTCATGCCTGTAATCCCAGCACTTTGGGAGGCTGAAACAGGTGGATCACTTGAGGTCAGGAGTTTGAGACCTGCCTGACCAATATGGTGAATCCCCGTCTCTGCTAAAAATACAAAAATTAGGCTGGGCATGGTGGCTCATGCCTGTAATCCCAGCATTTGGGGAGTGTGAGGTGGGTGGATCACCTGAGGTCAGGAGTTTGAGACCAGCTCGACCAATATGATGAAACCCCGTCTCTACTAAAACTATAAAAATTAGCCAGGTGTGGTGGCATGCACTTGTAGTCTCAGCTACTCAGGAGGCCGAGACAGGAGAATTGCTTGAACCCAGGATGCAGAGGTTGCAGTGAGCTGAGATCACGCTTCTGCACTCCAGCCTGGGTGACAGAGCGAGATTCCATCTCAAAAAAAAAAAAAAAAAAAAAGAAAAGAAAAGAAAAAAAATACATATATATGGATTCTTACCATGTCTCACCACCTCCACCCACTACCACTCTGAGGTAAGCCATCAATATGTCTCCCCTGGATTACTCAATAGCCTCCTAGGTGGTCTTCCTACATCTCCTCCAATTTGTTGTCAATTGAGCACCCAGAGTGACCTCTTTTAAAAAGGCCAGACCATGTCACTCCTTTGCTCAAAACTATCTATGGGCTCCCCACATTAGTCAGAATAAAAGCCAAAATCCTTGAAAGACATGCAAGATTCTAGACCAACAAAGTCCAATCAAAACAGGGCATTTTACATTTCCCAGGAGTCACCATGGAAAAGTAAAAATAAACAGATGAAATGAATTGTAATAATATATTCATTTAACCCAATATCACTAAAACATTATTTTGACATGGAATCAAAATTAAAATTGAGAAAAATTACAACTAATTCTCATTCAAAGTCTTTGAAACATGATGTATTATTTAATCATGCAGCCAGGCTAGGCGCAGTGGCTCACACCTGTAATCTTAGCACTTTGGGAGGCGGAGGCGGGTGGATCACCTGAGGTCAGGAGTTCGATACCAGCCTGGCCAACATGGTGAAACCCCATCTCTATTAAAAATACAAAAATTAGCTGGGTGTGGTGACATGTGCCTGTAGTCCCAGCTACTTGGGAGGCCAAGGCAGGAGAACTGCTTCAACCTGGGAGGTGGAGGTTGCAATGAGCCGAGATCATGCCACTACTGCACTCCAGCCTGGGTGACAGAGAGAGACTCCATCTCAAAAAAAAAAAAAACAAAAAGCCATGCAGCCCATGTCAATTTGGACTAGCCACATTTCAAGTGCTGAGAGCCATCTGTGGCCAGAGATGACCATATCGGGCTATACAGCCAGAGACCACATTTCTCAGATCATCTGTCTGATCATGCCTTCAGCTACCCTCTGCCTGGCTCACTCTGCTCCAGCCAGGGGGCATGCCTGACACTCTGCACTGCCTGTTCCCTCTGTCTCCACTGCTCTTTCCCCCAATATCCATAGAGCTGCCTTCTTCACATCTTGTCATCTTTGCTCACATGGTCAACCTGTTTAAAGGATAGCCACCACACGTCCCCTTCTGACACTCCTAATTCCTCTTACACACCCTATTTCTCCCTCTAGCATTTAGTACCTTCTAAAAGACTGTATATTCATGATGTGATCTCTGTTTTCTCACACTAGAAGATAAGCTCTGCAAGGGAAGGTGTCTATTTTGTTTGGCAGTATGGGCCCGACACTTACAACAGTGCCTGGTACATAGTTGGGCACTCAATAAACACTTCTTGACTGAACAAAGTAATGAGAGACTAAATCAATCTTCCCAGAGGGTTTTCAGGTCAGGGCTCAGAGCCAGTGTCTCACATAGCACAATAGCAGCAGTGACCTTGGTGTGATTGAAATGGGAGCTATTTTGTTTGTTAGTAATCACTGCAAGAAAGGGCAAAGCTAGATTCAATGCAGCAAGCATTTTCTGAGTGTCCACTGTGTGCAAGGCTGTAACTTTCGTACATGTCTGCAGGAGCCATCACTAGGACATAGCCTCACCTTCGGGCTGGTACTAGGTTTCCTCTGTGCAGCTCCGGAGAGCAGCCCCAGTGTCAAAAGCATGAAATTGATAGAAATTGATTTCAATTTTTTTGGAAAGAAGAACTTTTGAGTAACCAGCTCCATTCAAAATGAATTGGACTGTCTTAAGAGGTGCAACTATTGTCCCAAATCTAGAAATAAATATTACTTAGAAGATATGGGCACTGAGAGGGAGGTTAAATTAAACCTCATAAGCCAACTCTAACTTTAATATTCTAAGATATTAGCCTACATTTTGATATAGTAGAAATAGTATGGGTTTTAGTATCAGGCAGTCTGGGTTTGAAATCCTCTTCCATCCATCACTTAGCCTGCTTCTGGTTAGCCTTTTCTTTTTCTTTTTTTCTTTTTTTAGACAGTCTTGCTCTGTCACCAGGCTGGAGTGCAGTGGCATGATCTCGGCTCACTGCAACTTCCACCTCCCGGGTTCAAGCGATTCTTGTGCCTCAGCCTCCCGAGAAGCTGGGACTACAGGCACATGCCACCACGCTCGGCTAATTTTAGTATTTTTAGTAGAGACAGGGTTTCACCATGTTGGCCAGGATGGTCTCGATCTCCTGACCTCATCATCCTCCCGCCTTGGCCTCACAAAGTGCTGGGATTACAGGCATGAGCCACCGCGCCCGGCCCTGGTTAGCCTTTTGCATATGTTACATTTTTTTAGAATGGTGCCTATCCCCAAGGATTTTTTTCTAATATCAGATGAGATAATGTATATAAAACTGGCTTCCATATGAGTTGACATATAATAGAAAATAAATAATAAACTTTACTTGGAAAATTTTCTCCTAGGTTCCAAGATTTCCAAAATTTTTCAAGGTTTTCCTTTAAAAAAATAAAATTCTGATTTCCAATGGCAGGGCCTGGGGAATGGGTGATAGGTGCCATGTCCGGCCTCGAAGGCGGGAAGAAGAAGCCCCTGAAACAACCAAAGAAGCAAGCCAAGGAGATGGACGAGGAACAAGAGGCCTCCAAACGGGAAAAAAAAGGAGAAGCAGAAGAAACCCAGGAGCTAAAAGTGAAGGCCAAGGCTGTAGGGAAGGGCCCTCTCCCTGAACATGGGTGAAATCTGGCAATCTCCATCTCTTTTCCTATCAGTAACAAGAACAATCACTACTCATAAGTGTTAGGTGCTGTGTCATTTAATCTTTGCAAAAGGCCAAGAGATGTTGGCCCAAATTAGTCTCATTCACATGAGGAAACTGAGGTTCAGAGATGCTAATTAACTTGCCCAAGGCCAATATCTGGGTAAATGGCCAAAGCTAGCCTAGGAGATTCCTAAGGTAGTCTTTCACTATTTTGTACTAATTAATTCACTCAAAAAGTGTTTATTAGCCAGGCATGGTGGCTCATGCCTGTAATCCCAGCACTTTGAGAGGCAGAGGTGAGAGGATGGCTGAAGCCCAGGAGTTTGAGACCAGCCTGGACAACATAGGGAGGGCCCTATATCTATAAAGATTTAAAGATTAGCTAGGGCATGGGGGTGTGCTCCTGTAGTCCCAGCTACTTGGGAAGCTGAGTCAGGAGGATCACTTAAGCCCAGAAGGTCAAGGCTGCAGTGAGCTGAGATCATGCCACTGCACTCCTGCTTGGATGACAAAGTGAGACCCTGTCTCAAAAAAAAAAAAAAAAATATATATATATATATATATATACACACACACACACACACACACATATATATATACACACATACATATATATATATAACATATATTACATATAGATAGATAGCCCTCCTAACTGTGCCAGGAGCTCTGTGCAATTGAAGACACAGTTGTGCACAAACGTCCTCTCTGCCCTCTGGGAACTTAGTCCCTAGGGTTAGGCTGGAGAGTTCTTGACAGTCACCTGTTCCCTTTCAAGAAGACTTTGCTTCCCCTCCAGTCTCCATAAGAATGTCTGTAGATACTTTGGTTTTCTGCTCCTCTGGTAAGTCTGTAGCATTTTCCTGAAATTATTTTATCTTATAATTATGCAAATAACTTACGGAAATAAGTTGGAAAGATAATTTTCCATTTGTGATTGGATGCCAATGGATATTACTTTTTCCTTTTTTTCAGATAGAGTCTTGCTTTGTTGCCCAGGCTGGAGTGCAATGGAGCAATCTTGGCTCACTGCAACCTCTGCCTCCCTAGTTCAAGCGATTCTCTTGCCTCAGCCTCTGGAGTAGCTGGGATTACAGGCACGCACCACGCCTGGCTCATTTTTGTATTTTCAGTAGAGTGTTTCATCATTTTGGCCAGGCTGGTCTCGAACTCCTGACCTCAGATGATCCGCCCGCCTCAGCTGCCCAAAGGGCTGGGATTACAGGCATGAGCCACCGTGCCCGGCCTACTTTTTCTTTTTTCGTTTTTTCTTTTTCTTTTCTTTTTTTTTTTGAGACAGAGTCTTGCTCTGTTGCCCAGGCTGGAGTGCAGTGGTGTGATCTTGGCTCACTGCAAGCTCCGCCTCCCGGGTTCACACCATTCTCCTGCCTCAGCCTCCCGAGTAGCTGGCACTACAGGCGCCCGCCACCACGCCTGGCTAATTTTTTTGTATTTTTAGTAAAGACGGGGTTTCACTGTGTTAGCCAGGATGGTCTCAATCTCCTGACCTGGTGATCCGCCTACCTCGGCCTCCCAAAGTGCTGGGATTACAGGTGTGAGCCACCGTGCCCGGCCCTACTTTTTCTTAAGTGGCCGCACATCACAGCCTAACATCTTCCAGAGCAAACTGTAATTTGGAAACCTAACTTCTCTAAAGATCCCTCCATGTCCTCCCTTGACTTCCAGTTTGTTTTAAAATCCCAGTCACATCCTGTATATACGATGTGGAAGGGGAACGTGTGCACACTTAAGCAGTGCAGAGTCCTTAATTAGTAAAAAATGTTGGCTTGCTCCTTCCGTCTCCTGAGGGGCCTGAACCTACACCTCTCCCTGTTCAGGTCACTGACCAAGGGCTTGCTGACCTATCCCTTAGCCCTCCTTAGAACAACCTTACAGTACCAACCACACCTACCCAATGCATATTTTAAGGGCTCAACCTTCCCCTTTTCATTCAGTCTGATTTTACTCATTTGTTTTAGAAACAAAAAAGCAAAAAAGGCTGGGTGTGGTGGCTCATGCCTGTAATCCCAACACTTTGGAAGGCCAAGGTGGGAGGATAACAGGAGTTGAAGACCAGCCTGGGCAACACAGTGAGACGCAGTCTCTACAAATAATTTTTTTTTAATTAGCTGGGTGTGGTGGCGTGTACCTGTGGTCACAGCTATGCTAGGGAGGCTAGGGATCGCTTGAGTATCAGGAGGTCAAGGCTGCAGTGAGCTGTGATGTGTCACTCACTGCACTCCAGTCTGAGTGACAGAGTGGGACCCTGTCTCGATAAATAAATAAATAGGAGGAAAAGCAGAAAACATGTCCTATTTTCTTAAAAAAAATTAAAAAGCAACCAGAAGACTAAGAAGGCCTGGAAAAAAACTCACCACAATTTTTCTAATCCCAATTCATATGATTCTATAACACACATAAAACAGAGATATAGTTAATGCTCCAAACCCCTGTAGCTACATTACACAGGGCAATAAAACCATGAACCATGCACTTGGAATGTCTTACTTTTAACTTTGGAATAAAAAGGCTCAGGGACTAAGAGAAATGTGTTTTAAGTATTTAAAACACTCATATTCAGATATGCCAAATGAGATGGAGATGTACTGATTTAATTGATTTTGCTATTTTCTTTACAGGAAGAGGGGGGCGCTATTAAACTAGTGGTACTAAATTTCTTAGCATAGTGTTCAAAGGCCTCCCTAATCTAGAGGACTTTGCCAGCCTCTGTGGGTCCATAGATCACCCTAGATTGGAATACTCTTGATAATAAACTTTATTTTGTGTTCCTACACAGTCCTGGTCATATGATAAGCATGCAGTTATTTCAGTCATTTTATGGTATTATCAATACACTATCCATGTAGACGAACCTCTGAACCCTCAGTTCCTTGAATTCCTTACCTCCAATGATCTTGTCCACCACCCAATGCCTCACACTCACCCCCATGGTTGGAACCTAAACCTTATCAAGACCAGTAACTGCAACTGGTCATAATCTCAAAGTCAAGCGTTCAATCCATGCCTCCCACCTTCTATCATTTCAGATCAGCCTTTCCAGTAGCCTGGTAGCCCTCTTCAAAAATCTTTCCCCAACTAGAACCTCAAATCTATTGATCCTCTAACTCATAACACTCCCTCACCTGCTTCATGTTCTCTCCCTTCTAACCATGGGACACTAATTTTTATACCAAAAAATTATTGTTTGTCTGAAATTCACATTTAAGTAAGCATTATGTTGTGTTTTGTTTTGAGAGACAGGGTCTATGATGCCCAGGCTGAACTTGAACTCATGGGCTCAAGCAATCCTCCTGCCTCAGCCTCCTGAATAGTTAGGGCTACAGGTGCATGCCACCGTGAGCAACTATTCTTTATTTTTATCTGCTACATCTGGCAACCCTGCAATCATTATAATCACTCCCTTACATTAACTCCCAACCTCCTTGGCTCCCTCTGACTTGAAACTCCCTCAGCAAAAGCACAGCTGAGGTTAAAGCCCAGCTTCCTGACCACTCTGTGTCCCCCTCATTGCAGCAGACTGTGGCTGGGGGAAAGCACAACCCTGCTGGGCAGGTCTCACTTTAAATTCACAGCAGCAGCCCTTGAATAGGGCCTTCCTGCTGCCTGGTGAATCGTCCTACTTAGATTCCCCTACTCCATTTACACTGTATTTCATGCCTGTGCCAATTTCCTCAAATCTTCTGTATATTCTCCCTCATCCCCATCCTCGGGGTCCTACTTCACTGAAAAAACCGAAGCACTCAGGAGAATTTCCTGATTCCCCTCACCACATCCGTCCAACTTGTTTGTACCCATCTATGTTAACTTCTTGTCCATGACGTAGATCAGGGTAGGCAAACTATTGGCCCTGAGCCAAATCCAGCCCATTGCCTGTGTTTGTACAGCTGGCTAGCTAAGGATGGTTTTTACATTTTTAAATAGAGGAGAATTTTTTTTTCTTTTTGAGACAGGTTCTCACCCTGTCTCCCAGACTGGAGTGCGGTGGTGCAATCTTGGCTCACTGCAACCTCCGCCTCCCAGGCTCAAGCCATTCTCCTGCCTCAGCCTCCCGGGTAGCTGGGATTACAGGCATGCGCCACTACCACCCAGCTAATTTTTTAATTTTTGGTAGAGACGGGGGTCTCACCATATTGGCCAAGCTGGTCTCGAACTCCTGACCTCAAATTCAAATGATCCACCTGCCTCGGCCTCTCAAAGTGCTGGGATTACAGGTGTGAGCTACCACACCCAGCCTGAGGCAAATATATTTTATGACATGTGAAAATTATATGAAATTAAAATTTCAGCAATCCTAAATAAAGTTTTATTGGAACACAGCCATGTCCATTCATTTTGTATTGCCTATGTATTGCTTTAGAGCTGGGACCATAAAGTGGTTTCAATAGAAACTGTATGACTCACAAATACTAAATCATTTACTATTTGGTTCTTTATAGAAAAAGTTGGTGGGCATGGAGGCGCACGCCTATAATCCCAGCACTTTGGGAGGCCTAGGCAGGAGGCTGTCTTGAGCCCAGGAGTTTGAGACTAGCCTGGGAACATAGGGAGACCCCATCTCTACAAAAAATTTAAAAATTATCTGGGCGTGGTGGTGCATACCTGTAGTCCCAGCTACTCAGGAAGCTGAGATGAGGATCACTTGAGCCCCAGAGGTTGAGGCTCTAGTGAGCCTTGATTGTCATGCCACTGCACTCCAACCTGGGCAACAGAGCAAGATCCTGTCTAAAAAAGAAAAAAGGAAAAGTTTGCTGATCCCTGCCATAGACTATATGCTCCAATCCAAGGCCAATAATTCGCATCCCTCTCCACTATTCAAGGATATTGCCCTACTAATTCTACCTTATCCTGTGTCATCATTTTTCATTAGCATACCAAAAGGCTGTTATTTCTCCAATCTTTTTTTTTTTTTTTTTTTGAGACAGAGTCTTGTTTTGTTGCCCAGGCTGGAGGGCAGTGGTGCAATCTCAGCTCACTGCAACCTCCACCTCCTGGGTTCAAGCGATTCTCCCACCTCAGCTTCCCAAGTAGCTGGGACAACAGGTGTGCACCACCATGTCTGGCTAATTTTTGGATTTTTAGTAGAGACGGTGTTTCACCATGTTGGCCAATCTGGTCTCGAACTCCTGACCTCAAGTGATCCGGCTGCCTCGGCCTCCCAAAGTGCTGGGATTACAGGCGTGAGCCACTACACCCAGCCTATTTCTCCAATCTTTAAACAAAACAAACTCTTCCTTGGCTTGCCCCTGCCACCATCAGTGAGTGCTCTTTTTGGCAGCAAAAAAATCCCTAAAGAATAAACTGTACTTGAGGTCCACAATTCTCCAAATTTCTCTGAAAACATTCTCCATCACTACCGAAACTGCTCGCTAAGTTACCAATGACCCCCACATGCTAAATCCCACAGCCATTCTTGGTCTCCTCTCATCTTACCTGATCGTTGGGCAGGCAGCGTGTGACACGGTGGCTCACTCTTTGTGCTTCCAAGCACTTTCTTCGTGCTGCTTCCGAGACACCACACCCTCTTGATTTTTCTCCTCGATCCTGGATGCTTCCTTGTCGTCTCCTTTCCTTGTTCCTCTTTTTCCGCTCTTATCACGGGAGGGCTCCAGGACCTCTTGCCAGACTCTTCTTGCTTTCCCCTTCATAGACTCTTTCTGTCTCACCCTTTAAATTATCTCTGTCATGCTGATGACTCCCAAATATATGCCTGCAGCCCAGACCTCACTCCTGAGCTCCCTGCTTCACTGTTGAGCCCCCTACCTGTCGTCAACACATGAGCATCTGTGTTGCTCATGTGTTGAGCTCGTGTGTTGACAACTCAAAATCACCATTCCAGGAACAACCGGGGCGTCTGCACTTGATTACCACTCTCTACTTTCACCCCCGACACTGTAGCCCCTGTCCCCTCAAAGGATCACTGCCCCTAAGGAAAGTATTTCAACACTGTGATGTGATTTTTTTTTTTTTTGAGATGGAGTCTCACTCTGTCGCCCAGGCTGGAGTGCAGCGGCGTGATCTTGGCTCACTGCAACCTCTGCCTCCTGGGTTCAACCGATTCTCCTGCCTCAGCCTCCTGAATAGCTGGTATTACAGGCACCCTCCACCAAGTCCAGCTAATTTTTGTATTTTTAGTAGAGACGGGGTTTCACCATGTTGGCCAAGCTGGTCTCAAACTCCTGACCTCAGGTGATCCATCTGCCTCGGCCTCTCAAAGTGCTAGGATTATAGGCCTGAGCCACTGTGCCCGGCCTGTGATGTGATTTTTAAGATTTCCTTTCATAGGCAATTTCCAAGCAAAGCTTAATTGGACCAATCCACCACAGATCACACTGCAGATTTTCCATGTTAACATTGTGGATGATTTTTAATCAATAAACGCTGGAGATTTCTTCTCACCTGTCTCACCACTTGCCCAAGCTGCCAAAAACCTGTGGTTCTGTGTGCCAGGCCTTCACTTTGCAGTAAAGGATGGAGTAAGGGAACTCTGTGGGCCTCAGAAGGTGGGTGCCAGAGAGGGGGCTGCAGGGCTTACCAGTAGGCAGCCCCACCTGGTCCAGGGGAGCTGGAGGCAGAAGCAGGGTCTCTGTCCTCATGACTCTCCGGCTGACTTTAGGCCCTGAGGGGCGTGTGCAGAGCTCAGGGCTCCTGTGTGAGGGAGGACGTTCTTGACTCTGAGCCAGGTGAAGCCAGTGTGGGGGTGCTTACAAATTCGAGCAGTAAGAGAGGAGGTTCTGGGAGCTTCCAGCCCAGGATAGAAGCCTCCATGGCTTCTGGCAACTGGGTGTCCAGACCCAGGTAGTAGGGTAATTTTGGTGACAACAATGTGCCCGTCCCATTGAGTGTTACACCCCTGAATGGGTGAAAGACTCAGGGCTAGGCCTATGTGACCTGATGTGAAATTTCTGTCAAATAACAAAATTTTTAAGTGGTTTGCTAGGATTATTTCTATATTGAAAGTTTCTGGCTGGGCGAGGGGGCTCTCGCCTATAATCCCAGCACTTTGGGAGTCCAAGGCCAGTGGATCGTTTGAGCCCAGGAATTCAAGACCAGCCTGGACAACATAGTAAGACCCTGTCTCTACAAGAAATAAAAAAATTAGCCGGGTGTGGTGGTGCATGCCTGTAGTTCCAGCTACTCAGGAGGCTGAGGTGGGGGGATCACCTAAGGTTGAGGCTGCAGTGAGCTGAGATCACGCCACTGCACTACAACTTGGGTGACAGAGTGAGACCCTGTCTCAAAAAAAAAAAAACAAAAAAAACCTTCTAATTATACTTTAAAAACTACTAAAGGTTCAAATTGCCCCCTAAAAGACAAAACAATATTCTAGTCGAACACTGAAGTCCAGCTTCCTCTCATCCCCAACCTGTCTTCCTTCCCTCAAATACTGGCAACCTGTCCTTCCTTCCTCACAGTCCTACATCCTTGTAATCATCTTTGGTCACTCTTTCTCTCAAGCTCCACCTAGCATCTGTGAGGACATTGTGTTGACTTTGCATTCACAGTGAATCCAGCACCTGACATTTCTCACCCAATCTCACCTCACCTCATCAGTCTGAGCTAGATGACTACAATCCTTCCTAATAGTTCTCCCTGCCTCCTCCCTTGTCTGATAGTCTCCTCCCCACCAGAATAATCCTTTCAAAAGGACATCAGATCCACACCCTGCAGTGGCTCCCCACTTCCCTCAGAGCCAACGCCCAAGTCCCTTAGACCGCTTCCAAAGCCCTTCTTGATCTGGCAGGCAGCCCCACCAGCCCTCACCTCTTCTGCCCTGTCTCCTGTCATTCTCCCTAACTCACTCAGCACAACACATTGGCCTCCCTGCTGCTCAGGAGACAGGCCTGTCTCCACCTGGAGACCTTTGTGCTGGCTGTTCTATCTACCTGGAATGCTTTTCCCTAGATAGCTGCTAGGCTCACCTCTTCATCACCTTACAGTCTACTCAGATGTCACATTTCAGTGTGACCTACCCTAGCCTTCTGACCCGTCAGCCATACCCACCATCTGACATCACTCTATCAACTTGCAATATATTATACAGCATATTTACTTATTATGCAGTTTAATAGAGCATTATCTTTACAAGGCAACATGTTTTTATCTATTTTGTTCATTTTGATTATTTTGGTCCAAGTGCTTGGAACTAAAAAGCATTCAATAAATATTTGTGGAATGAATGAATTGAATATCTACTTGTTAAACGACTTCACCTTCATGTTTTTACTTAATTTTTCAGCCACCTTGAGAGTTATGTGTTACTCCATTTTACCTATAAAGACAGCAACCTTTAAAAAGTTTAAGTAACTTATACAAATCACAAGTTACTAAGTTGAAAAGTGAAATTGGGGACCAAGGTGTTCTTTTTCACCTCATAACTAGTGTCGTTTCCAGGCTCTCCATGTGGCTGCGTCCCACTTTGGTATTTGTGAGAATCAAAGGAAAGTCAAGTTCATTCACACCAAATTTCTTTCTTTTTTTTTTTTTGAGATGGAGTCTCCGTCTGTTGCCCAGGCTGGAGTGCAGTGACACAATCTCTGCTAACTGCAAGCTCCACCTCCCAGGTTCACACCATTCTCCTGCCTCAACCTCCCAAGTAGCTGGGACTACAGGTGCCCACCACCATGCCCAGCTAATTTTTTGTATTTTTTAGTAGAGACAGGGTTTCACCATGTTAGCCAGGATGGTCTCGATCTCCTGACCTCGTGATCCGCCCGCCTCGGCCTCCCAAAGTGCTGGGATTATAGGCGTGAGCCACCGCGCCCGGACGTTTCACACCAAATTTCTGTAAATCAAGGCAGAACTTCCCAAAATAACCGCTAAGGAAAAGTTAGAAGTGGGCACTTACTCATAATTATAAATGCATTTGTTCTTAAAATAATTCACACATTTAAATAACAGAAGTTTAAAAGTATTAAAATAGGTAGAAATCATTAAAAAATATATAAAGAAGTAAACATATAACAAATCACTTGCTTTTATCAGGTTTAAATATATCCTTGATGGAGTTGTGGTTAAAAAGAATCAAGATGAACTTCATGGGCCTGGCGCGGTGGCTCACTGCTGTAATCCCAGCACTTTGGAAGGCTGAGGCAGGTGGGATCACCTTAGGTCAGGAGTTCGAGACTAGCCTGACCAATATGATGAAACCCCGTCTCTACTAAAAATACAAAAATTAGCCAGGCATGGTGGCAGGTGTCTATAGTCCCAGCTACTTGGGAGGCTGAGACAGGAGAATTGCTTGAACCCGGGAGGCAGAGGTTACAATAAGCTGAGATCGCACCACTGCACTCTATAGAGCCTGGGTGACAGAGCGAGACTCTAACAACAACAACAACAAAAAACAAGAACTTAATGAAGTCTGATTGGAGGTTCAGGAAAAGTGATGGTTTTTTTTTTTTTTTTTTTTTTTAAGAGTGAAGGAAGGCGAAAAGAATAAACCAAAAAAAGTCATCTAAATAATTTGGACAGATGACATTCCCTAGTCTGCTAGAGGCTGCTGATCTCAGAGAATCGTCCTTTGTTTTAAAAAATCTAAAGACTATTGCCGGGCGTGGTGGCTCACGCCTGTAATCCCAGCACTTTGGGAGGCCAAAGTGGGCAGATCACCTGAGGTCAGGAGTTCGAGACCAGTCTGGCCAACATGGTGAAACCCCATCTCTACTAAAAATACAAAAAATTAACTGGGCGTGGTGGCGGGCACCTGTAATCCCAGCTACTTGAGAGGCTGAGGCAGGGGAATTGCTTGAACCAGGGAGGCAGAGGTTGCAGTGAGCCAAGATCATGCCACTGCCCTCCAGCCTGGGCAACAGAGTGAGACTGTCTCAAAAAAAAAAAAAAAAATCTAATGACTATTTAGCCTTTGTCTTTGGGACAACTAAAGGCTATATAGTCCAAATAGAGATTATCTTTACCTAGAATAGAAAACCGGAACAAAACCAGTAGAAAAGCTATTACCTTCTCATCCCAGGGCCTGTCAACCTAAAACCCAAGCTCCTCCCATTCCTGTGCCTGGAAAGCCCTCAGATTTGCATCAGAAACTTTGGAGAAGGTTTCCTTTGGTTCACATGGCAAACTGAAAAGTGGCTGTGCTAAAGGGTACACTCATCCCACCAATCTGTAGATATGGCTTTAATTAATTTGCCCCAAGATTTATGGGAAGAGAGGAAGGAGACAGTTTTTTTGTTTTTCTGTTTTTTGCTTTTTTTTTTTTTTTGAGACAGAGCCTCACTCTGTGGCCCAGGCTGGAATGCAGTGGCGCGATCTCAGCTCACTGCAACCGCCACCTCCCAGGTTCAAGCAATTCTCCTGCCTCAGCCTCCCAAGTATCTAGGATTACAGAAGCCTAGCGCCATGCCTGGCTAATTTTCATATTTTTAGTAGAGTCAGGGTTTCACCATGTTGGCCAGGCTGGTCTTGAACTCCTGACCTCAGGAGATCCACCCGCTTGGCCTCCTGGAGTGCTGGGATTACAGGTGTGAGTCACCACACCTGGCCTGAAAAGGACAGTTTTATGTGTCACCATGACTTCCCATTTAAAATCAATATAAAAACTGTAGCATCTCTGCTGGTTAATCATTAAATAAAAGAAGCATTACTGGTATAGCAATATTGGTATGATGCATTTTTAAATCACACGCTGCAGATAACTGATTAAGTGCTGTCATTGCTCTAACAATGCAATGTACAAAAGGATAGCCAGGACACTTCGCAGGGCCTCAAGAGCCTCCACCTGTATTTCTTCCTCATTCCTCCCAAGTTTACTTGTCGCAGGTAGAAAAAACAAGAGGCGGCTGAGGGCGGTGGCTCACGCCTGTAATCCCAGCACTTTGGGAGGCCGAGGCAGACAGATCACCTGAGGTCAAGAGTTCAAGACCAGCCTGGCCAACATGGCGAAATCCCGTCTCTGCTAAAAATACAAATATTAGCCAGTTGTGGTGGCTCACGCCCGTAATCCCAGTTACTTGGGAGGCAGAGGCAGGAGAATCACTTGAACCCGGGAGGTGGAGGTGGCAGTGAGCCGAGATCACGCCATTGCACTCCAGCCTGGGCAACAAGAGTGAAACCCCATCTCAAAAAGAAAAAAAGAAAAAGAAAAAACAAGAGACAACCACCTAAATAACCCAATGGAATAGGAGGGTGTGGGGTCAGGGCCATTAAGCCTGAACTGCCCCACCTGCCTAAGATAATTGCATTTGAAGGGATCCTTGAAATGGTTAAACACACAAATTTTGGAGAAGAATTTAAGTGATTTCCAACCTGGAACTCTGTAATCCCAGCTACAGGCAGGAGAATCGCTTGAACCCGAGAGGCGGAGGATGCAGTGAGCCAAGATCGCGCCACTGCACTCCAGCCTAGGCGACAAAGCGAGACTCCGTCTAAAAAAAATAAAAAAATAAGCCGGCCGGGCGCCATGACTCACGCCTGTAATCCCAGCATTTTGGGAGGCTGAGGCGGGCTGATCACGAGGTCAGGAGTTGGAGACCAGCCTGGATAACATGGTGAAACCCCTTCTCTACTCAAAATACAAAAATCAGCCGGGCGTGGTGGCAGGCGCCTGTAATCCCAGCTACTCGGGAGGCTGAGGCTGGAGAATCACTTGAACCCGGGAGGCAGAGGTTGCAGTGAGCTGAGATTGCGCCACTGCACTCCAGCCTGGGTGACAGAACAAGACTCTGTCTCAAAAAAAAAAAAAAAAAAAAAAAAAAAGCTAAAGAGAAGCCGGAAGTGCTTCCTCTGAATGAAAAGGTGAAAGTTCTCAGCTTAAAAGAAGAGGAAACCATCGTATTTTGAGGTTGCTAAGATCTGCAGTAAGAAGGAATCTTGTATCCCTGAGATCGTGAAGAAAGAAAAAGAAATTCATGCTAGTTTCGTTGTTGCATCTCAAACTGCAAAGCTCACAACAGTGTGTGATAAGTGCTTAGTTAAGGAAAAAAAAAACATTGAAATGTGTGGGTGGAGGTCATAAACAGAACTGTGTTCCGCTTGATGGCGATCAGGTTCAGTGCTATGGGCAGTTTCAGGCTCTGAACTTATCCCCTGTGGATAAGGGAGCGGGAGGGCTACTGTCATCCCTTTTCAGGAATCAGTTGCAGAAGAGATGTCTCTAGAACTCCTCCCACCAAGGTGAAGCTCCACCAAAAGCACCAAGAACCATAATACTGGTATGTCTGATCTGGTTTTGTTTTTGTTTTTGTTTTAGAGACAGAATCTCACCTGTGACCCAGGCTGGAGTGCAGTAGCTCACTGCAGCCTAAAACTCCTGGGCTCAAGAGACCCTTCCAGATCTCTTGGGACCGTAGGGTCCCAAGTAGGACCACAGGCATGCACCACCACACCCGGCTAATTTTTTATATTTTTTGTAGAGACAGGGTCTTGCTTTTGTTACCCAGGCTGTGATCTGTTTATTAAAATATGTCACTAGAGGTTAGAGCTACATCTCCTACTATTCTGCCTAGTAAGCATAATTAAGTAAAATATTCACTAAGTATAATTAAGTAAGTATTCATTTAGTGAAATAACTGAGTAGGAATCTAAGAACTAGGTTCCAGCCTAATCTATACCCAATGTGTAAGATATTACATGGGATCTGATCCTTAGCAAATGTCTTTATATTGATCCACAGTAGATCAACAGAATATATTTTTTAAAGACCTGTTCAAAGTTTTAGACAACTAGGGCCAGGCGTGGTGGCTCATGCCTGTAATCCCAGCACTTTGGGGGGCCGAGTTGGGTGGATCACAAGGTCAGGAGTTTGAGACCAGCCTGACCAATATGGTGAAACCTCGTCTCTACTAAAAATACAAAAAAAATTAGCCGGGCGTGGTGGCACATGCCGGTAATCCCAGCTACTCAAGAGGCTGAGGCAGGAGAATTGCTTGAACCCAGGAGGCGGAAGTTGCGGTGAGCCGAGATCATGCCACTGCACTCCAGCCTGGGCGACAGAGGGAGACTCCGTCTCAAAAAAAAAAACAACAAAAAAACACAAAACTAGATCATACAAAGTTAAAATATAACTTTCTTGAGAGTCATGATTATATTTAGCAACTTAAATCATTGCCACTGAAAAGCTTGGCTTCAGTTTTAAGCAACTAATCTAAAAGCTATGGCACAGAGCTTGCAAGGTGTGGGCTCTAAAGGGTTACATTACATAGCTAAATCATATAGTTGCTTGGCTGCCTTTATGCTAGACATCAAGTCAGGCAACTGGAATTCAACTCCTGGCAACCCCATTTACTACTTAGCTCTTGGACAAGTCACTTAATCTCCTTGCATTTCATCTGTAAAATAAAAATGATAATACATTCCTGCCTCATTCCACCACTAATGTAGGTGGAATAACATAAGTATGCAATAACTCTAAGACTCTAAGGCTCTGTGAAAATGTTAGTTATTTTTAACGTAAACTACAATAATGGTCAAAATGGCCAATATTGGCCAAAGCCACACAGGATCCTTCCCAATCCCTTGAAATCACCTTCTGATAACATTGTATATTATTATATTTTATATATTTCTAGTAGATGGACACCCACCTTCCACCCTCAAGTACACCCCAGCGCCTGTTGTTCACCACCTAGTGTCCATGTGTTCTTGATGTGTAGCTCTGACTTATAACTGAGAACATGCAGTATTTAATTTTCTGTTCCTGTATTAGTTTGCTTAAAATAACGATCTTGTTCTTTTTTTTTTTTTGAGATGGAGTCTGGCTCCATTGCCCAGGCTGGAGTGCAGTGGCACGATCTCGGCTCACTGCAAGCTCTGCCTCCCAGGTTCACGCCATTCTCCTGCCTTAGCCTCCAGAGTAGCTGGGACTGCAGGCGCCCATCACCACGCCCGGCTAATTTTTTTTTTTGTATTTTTAGTAGAGACGGGGTTTCACTGTGTTAGCCAGGATGGTCTCTATCTCCTGACCTCGTGATCCACCTGCCTCAGCCTCCCAAAGTGCTGGGATTACAGGCGTGAGTCACCGTGCCCAGCCAATCTTGTTCTTTTTTATTGGCTGCATAGTATTCCATGGTATATATGTAACCACATTTTCTATCTTTTTTTTTTTTTTTTGGAGACAGAGTCTCGCTCTGTTGCCCAGGCCTGGGCGACAAGAGTGAAATATGTCTCAAAAAAAAAAAATTAGCCAGGCATGGTGGAACATGCCTGTAGTTGCAGCTACTAGGGAGGCTGAGGCACAAGAATCATCTGAACCCAGAAGGCAGAAGTTGCAGTGAGCCGAGATGGTGCCACTATACTCCAGCCTGGGCAATAGAGCGAGACTCTGTCTCAAAAAAAAAAAAAAAAAAAATAGAAAATGTGATTACATATATACCATGGAATACTATGCAGCCATAAAAAAGAACAAGATCATGTCTTTCACAGCAACATGGATAGAGCCAGGGCCATTATCCTAAGCAAACTAATGCAGGAACAGAATATTAAATACTGCATGTTCTCAGTTATAAGTGGGAGCTACGCACAAGAATACATGGACACTGGGAGGTGAACAACAGGTGCGCTAGGGCATACTTGAGGGTGGAAGGTGGGAGCAGAGAGGGGATCAGAAAAAATACCTATTGGGTACTATGTTCATTGCCTGGGGACAAAATTTTCTGTACACCAAACCCCTGTGACACACAATTTACCTATTTAACAAACCTGCACATGTACCATAAACCTAAAATAAAAGTTAAAAAAATGGGAGAAAGAGAGAGAAAAGAATCTGGTAAAGCTTTCTTTTTCTTTTTTTTTTTTGAGAAGGAGTTTCGCTCGTCGGCCAGGCTGGAGTGCAATGGCACCATCTCAGCTCACTGCAACCTCTGCCTCCTGGGTTCAAGCAATTCTCCCACCTCAGCCTCCTGAGTAGCTGGGATTACAGGCGCCTGCCACCACCATGCCCAGCTAATTTTTTTTTGTATTTTTAGTAGAGACGGGGTTTTGCCATGTTGGCCAGGCTGGTCTCAAACTCCTGCCCTCAGCCTCCCAAAGTGCTGGGATTACAGGCGTGAGCCACTGCACCTGGCCTCTAGGTGTATATACTTCGGTAAATAAATATTGATATTCATATGCATTAAAATCCTTGGAAGAATAAAAAAGAAACTTGTTTTAGGAAGGGAATGCTGGGTAGATGGGGGACAAGTGTAGAAAGAAACTTCACTCTGTAATTTTCTCTTAGTTTTTTTAGACATAGGAATGAATTACACATTCAAACATTTTTAAAAATAAACAATTTGGCTGGGCGCGGTGGCTCACGCCTGTAATCCCAGGATTCTGGGAGGTCGAGGTGGGTGGATCACCTGATGTTAGGAGTTTGAGACCAGCCTGACTAACATGGTGAAACCCTGTCTCTACTAAAAATACAAAAAAAATTAGCCAGGCATGGTGGCGCATGCCTATAACCCCTGCTACTTGGGAGGCTGAGGTAGGAGAATCAGTTGAACCTGGGAGGTGGAGGTTGCAATGAGCCGAGATCGCGCCACTGCACTCCAGCCTGGGCAACAAGAGTGAAACTCCGTCTCAAAAAAAAAAAAAAAAAAAAAAAAAAAAAAAAAAATAATAATAATAATAATTTAAATATGAAATGAAAGTAACTCTCTTCTAAAATTCTTATAGTGTGGTTTCTTGGTGGCCACCAAAACCCTTGTCACAACTAGCTCTGGGAGTTGAAGATGTATAGGAAGATAAGTGGTTTATTTTGCTATTTAATCAACTTTAAGTCTCTAACAAGTATACTTTGATTTAATGAAAATGGCAACTCAGCAAAGGATTTAGGGCTGTAATTCAGGATGAAACAAACAGGTTGTGATGAGGAAACTCCCCTGCCTGAGGGGTGTCCTGAGAGGGTCAGAGGCTCCAGTCTAGTGAGATAGGAAAGGAAATGCATTTGCCAAAACGGAATTTAAATTTTTTTTTAACTCTTATTTTAGATACAGGGGATACATGTAGATTTGTTACATGGGTATATTGTGTGATGCTGAGGATTGGGATACGGATGATCCCATCACCCAAGTAGTGAGCATAATTTTTCAAACCTTGTCCCCTTTCCTGCCTGCATCCAAAATAGAAATTTGAAAATAATTCTCCACACACTGCAGTGGATGTTGGCAAGGGAACACCATTGTTTCCTACTTAACCCTTGCTGGATGTGTTTAAGAGTTCTTACCAGATTGCTGGCAGCAAAAACACTAATGTATTCATTCATTTACTTAGATCAATACAGTCCGATTCTTTGCCAAAACCCCTGTGTTACTGCTTGTCCTGTCTCTCGAACAGGGTGTTCTGGTCAAATCAAGAGGAGATCAAATGTCTAGGCCTTCACTTTCAGCAGCTGGAACTGAGTTGAAAAAGAGAGACTGCCCTCTGAAGCGAAATCACAAAACAAAGGTGAAAGGAGAAGGCCATCAACAAAAGAAAAAGAGAAGCTGAATTTATTATCTTTTTGTTTTTCTCCCTGAGGCAATGGAAACAGATAGCAGAGGCGTGGCTCTCCAGGCGACTTCTGTGCTTGCCTGGTCAGCACATACAGGGCATTCTTCCTAGCTTCCAGCCTGCTCTGCAGAGTCCTCCCCTCCTTCCTTCCTCCCAACCTCCCTCCCTTGCTCTCTTCCTTAACTCTTGGCTTCATTCTGGGTTTTTTTGTTTGTTTGTTCTAAATTCTGTTTGCTCTTCGTTCTGTTTTTTCGTTTGTCCTAAAAGTCAGGTTTATTAAAATATAACTTACATAGAGTGAAATTCACCCTCTTTAGGTGTACAGTTCTATAGTTTTATAACCACCCAGATATAGAGCATTTGCATCAAGACATAGACCATTTCCAACTGGGTATGGTGGCACACACCTGTAGTCCCAGCTACTCGGGAGCCTGAGGTGGGAGGATGGCTTGAGCCCAGGAGTTTGAGGCCGCAGTAAGCTACGATCATGCCACTGCACTCCAGCCTGGGCAACACAGTGAGGCCTCATCTCTCAAAAAAAAAAAAATTTATAATAAAAATAAAATATAACAAATTAAACTTAGCTACAAATAGTTTCGAAACTGCTCTCTGGGAAACAGTTCTCCACCTTTGACATTTAATTTTATAATAAAAAAACATTTCCATCACCCCTCAAAATTCCCTGTGCCTCTTTGCAGTCAGTTTCAACAGATGGTCTCTGTTCAAAGTCATCTCTGCTGCTTATTGATTTTGTGCTGTGGACAAATGACTTGGCTTCCCTGTGCCTCCGTTTCTATATTTTTTAAGTGGGGATAATGATACAAACTAGTTCATGGGGCTGTTGTGAGGAGTAAACACTCAAAAATGACTTGTCATCATCATTATTGTGTGCATAGTTGGTGCTCTATAAACAACAGTTTGTCATGTGGGCAGGCACATGCTGAAACATTGGTCTGTTGCATACTTGCTTCATGTTCAAGAGTCTGGCACCAGCATACAGTTGGTTTTCTCTAATTCATAGGATTTTATGATCCCAGAACTGATGGGTACAAGAAATTAACTAGTCCAGTCCCCTGCCTTCCATGACAGGATAAAATATTGTTGTTCTCATCTTAAAGAGTAGCTCACTGGGCCGTCAAAGGCAAATCTGTTCACCTAAGGGGTAGAAAATGGAAGATTTAATGGAAAATGAGAAAGATCAGGCAAGGGATACATTGCTCAAGGTAATCATAACAGCTAAGAAATGCTAAAGGAGGAACAGATTTCAGATTTCCTGCTTCCAAATCTAGAGCTCTTTTGACTACATTGTAGCATTAATAGATGTATCCTTTCTAGATCTTTGGTTGTAGTTAGTGACAGTAACTGTAACATTGAGCAAAGACTAACATTAATAGATGTATCTTCTCTAGATCTTTGGTTGTAGTTAGGGACAGGAACTGTAGCATTGAGCAAAGACTAAATTAACATTAATAGATGTATCTTCTCTAGATCTTTGGTTGTAGTTAGTGACAGTAACTGTAACATTGAGCAAAGACTAATATTAATAGATGTATCTTCTCTAGATCTTTGGTTGTAGTTAGTGACAGTAACTGTAGCATGGAGCAAAGACTAAATTAACATTAATAGATGTATCTTCTATAGATCTTTGGTTATAGTTAGTGACAGTAACTGTAGCAAGGAACAAAGACTAAATTAGAAGGGGAAAACTTGCAAGGCCAGTTTGGACAGTTCACTTCTGCAGCAGTTCATTTGCTGTCAGTTTTGTTGTAGTCTTTTTTCCTGCCTTTCCCTAGTAAATATTTCCAGTAGAAAGAGAGAAAATACAGCTTGAGCAACATGGCAAACCCTGTCTCTACTAAATATATAAGAAATTAGCTAGGCACAGTGGCGCACGCCTGTAGTCCCAGCTACTTGGGATACAGAGGTGGGAGAATCACTGAGCCCAGGAGGTCAAGGCTGAAGTGAGCCGAGATCATGCTGTGGCACTCCAGCCTGGGAAACAGATGTGAGATCCAGAAAGAAAAGAAAGAAAGGAAAAAAAAAAGAAAGAAAAGAAGGAGGAAGCAAGGAAGGAATATAAGAAAGAAAGGAAAATAAAAGAAAAGAAAGAAGAGAAAAGGAAAACAAATGCAGGAGGTAGGAAGGAAAGGAGAGGAGCGGAGAGGACAGGAGGGGAGGGGAGGGGAGAGGAGGGGAGGGGAGGGGAGGGGAGGGGAGGGGAGGGGAGGGGAGAGGTGGCCAGTCGTGGTAGCTCACGCCTGTAATCCTATCACTTTGGAAGGCTGAAGCAGGAGGATCCCTCGAGTCCAGGAGTTCAAGACCAGCCTGGGCAACATAGGGAGACCCTGTCTCTATTAAGAAAAAAAGAAAGAGAAAGCATACTTTTTCCTGCTTGAATATCTGTATGAGTAGCTATGGGGCTGTGTTCAGGCCTGGGAATGAGTAGTCTGTCACCCACATACCTGAATCTCTACCTGTGGGGCCAGACACTTTAGGATACCGTAGGATGTATTATCTTCAGGAAAACACCACCTGATCACCCAGACCTAACCCTAAGGCATGCGCGCCTTACCTTTCCTGCCCCCACCAGCCCTAGCACCTGAAAAACAACTTTGAGAGAGTTTTTTCTCTTCAGCCAAGCACCCAATTGCTTCATTAAAGTGCAAACAGACCCTAAAAGAGGTATGACAATAATTGTACTAAGTAACAATGACTCAGTGTTCCTCCAGTCATTCTGATTAAATTTAGGAGAAGATCCCTAACACTTGTTAATTATCCTTTTAACAAAAGATCCCACCCTTCAGCAGGCAAAGGTATTAAACTAGATTTAAGAATACTGTTTTATTTCTGTGGTATTTATTTTAAAGTTACTTTCTATTTGTGGCAAATACTTTTCATTTTACGATGTCATATAAATTTTCCTTTTTTTCTTAATTTTTGAGACAGAGTCTCACTGTGTCGCCCAGGCTGGAGTGCAGTGGTGCGATCTTGGCCCACTGGAGCCTCCACCTCCCGGGTTCCAGCGATTCCCCTGCCTCAGCCTCCCCAGTAGCTGGGATTACAGTTGCACGCCACCACACCCAGCTAATTTTCGTATTTTTAGTAGAGATGGGGTTTCACCATGTTGGCCATGCTGGTCTCGAACTCGTGACCTGAAGTGATCCGCCTGCCTCGGCCTCCCAAAGTGTTGGGATTACAGGCGTGAGCCATCGCGCCGGGCCTGAATTACTCTTTGTCTATTGCAATTCCTCTGTCTTGATGAATCAGCTGTGTCTAGGCAGCAGGCAAGGTGAACCACTTGGGCAGTTACAAGTACAGTATTTAATATTTATCACATTACATTTTCTTTTTCTTTTTTTCTTTTTTTGATATGGAGTCTCATTCTGTCACCCAGGCTGGAGTGCAGTGGCTCGATCTCGGCTCACTGCAACCTCTGCCTCCTGGGTTCAAGCGATTCTCCTGCCTCAGCCTCCTGAGTAGCTAGGATTACAGGCTCACGCCACCACGCCTGGCTAATTTTTGTATTTTTAGTAGAGATGGCTTTTCACCATTTCGGTCAGGCTGGTCTTGAACTCCTGACCTCGTTATCTGCGCACCTTGGCCTCCCAAAGTGCTGGGATTACAGGCGTGAGCCACTGCACCCAGCCTCACGTTACATTTTCATAGCTAGCAGGGTAATGGTGGAGTTATTGGCACTCAGGTCACATTCTAGGGAATGTTTATTGGGCAATCTCAATGGCACCGCAAGCTAAATGACTTCCAGTGTTTCTCGTCTTTGTGCTTTCTTCATTGCAACCTTTGCCCAAGACATCTGTTTCTTCTGGATCACCCTTGTACAGCCACTGATGGAATGATCTTCTGAAAGTGAATCTTCAGTAGACACATTGGCCACACCATCTTTGCCAGCCATCACATTGCCCAGGTCTCCGACATGCCTCTCTTGATCCTTTGGGCCACCGTGTTTTTTGGTTAGAGGATTAAAGTGCAGATCAGCCTTGTTTATTAGCTCCAAACTGATGGACGTGGAATCTATGCTGAACTTTAGTCAATCCTATAATGCGTCCCGATACCACAGCTCGCCCATTTTCCTTCTGTTTAAAGTGGATGGTGCCAGCACGAGGCCTTAGGCCTCCAACATGCACACGGCCCTTGTTGTCATGGCTTTTGTGGGGTATGCTCTGGTCCAGGCTCTGAAGGCTGTGACGGAATTTTGGCTTAACTTAAAAAAAATACTTTATTTATTTATTTATTTATTTAGAGATGGACTTTCACTCTGTTGCCCAGGCTGGAGTGCAGTGGTGTGATCTCAGCTCACTGCAACCTCTGCCTCCTGGGTTCAAGCCATTCTCCTGCCTCAGCTTCCCAAGTAGCTGGGATTACAGGCACCCCCCCTACCACGTCTGGCTAATTTTTTTGTATTTTTAGTAGAGACAATGTTTCACCATGTTGGTCAGGCTGGTTTCAAACTCCTGACCTCAAGTGATTTGCCCACCTTGGCCTCCCAAAGTGCTAGGATTACAGGTGTGAGCCACCGTACCTGGCTAAAAATCAACTTTAAATTATAAAATAATGTAAGCAATTTACAGAAAGTTTGGGAAAGAGAGAAAGAGAAGGAAGGAAGGAAGGAAGGAAAAGAAGGGAAGGAGGGAAGGAATGAGGGAGGGAGAGAGGGAGCGAGGGAAGGATGGAAGAAAGGAAGGGAGGAAGGTTTGTTACATGGGTATATCACGTGATGCTGAAGTCTGGGATACTAAAGGAAGGAAGGAGGGAGGGAAGGAAGGAAGGGAAGGAAGGAAGAAAGGAAGGAAGGAAAGAAAGAAGGAGGGAAAGAAGCAGAGATGGAGGGAAGGAAGAAAGGAGGGAAGGAAGGAAGGAAGGCAGGCAGGAAGGAAGGAAGCCATACACCTTCCATACATTCATATCATCTATGATCCTATTCACATTCGAGGAGAGTTCACTGGGAAGGGTCTTTAAAAGTAAGGCCCCTGGGATATAAGAGGCATGGCAGGTATATCTTATAGGGTAAGAGGGAATAAAACTAGGAGAGAGACATCCTGGAACAGGTCTGCATTGGAAGACGGGAGGAGGAGAGAGAAGTGTAGGAAGGTTGTGATAAGAGGAAAAGAGAGACTGGGGAGGCAGATGAGAGATTGTTAAGGGCACCATTCCCTAAATTAGCCAAACACAGTCATGTCTGGGTGATCCTGGAAGGAATTATTTGAAGAAACATCTGTCATCTAAGTGCCTAATGGCCAGATATGATCTTTCATTTTCAAGGACCAGGGACACTTTCTGGGGAAGATGAGGACTAACCACAATTCATAAGTGGGCAACAGAAATGCTGATTTATGAACTTCCAGTGGAAAACGTAACTCTCAGGTTAAGGCATCATTAGATATCATGCTGCGGTCAATGCCTTCGAAGTCACATCTTAAGCAGAATAATTATTTGTTGGCCTCCTGCAAGAATCCACCCTATACAGGGACCAAAAGTTTTCATAAGTTGCAAATCTCTCCCAATAGATGAAATTAAAATAGAGTTTGAAAGCTCCTCAGTAAATGTAGTATCAGAACACAGAGTTAGAATGTATTGAACATCTATGATGTGGCTAGGCATGGTGGCTCACGTCTGTAATCTCAGCACTTTGGAAGGCTGAGGTGGGTGGATCACCTGAGGTACGGAGTTCAAGACCAGCCTGGCCAACTTAGTGAAACCCCATCTTTACTAAAAATACAAAAATTAACTGGGTGTGGTGGAGCACCCCTATAATCCTAGCTACTCGGGAGTCTGAGGCACGAGAATTGCTTGAACCAGGGAGGCAGAGGTTGCAGTGAGTGGAGATCACACCATTGCACTCCAGCCTGGGCGACAAAGTGAGACTCTGACTCAAAAAAATAAAATAAAATAAAATAAAAAATAATAAAATAATAATATATTGAACATCTACAATGTGTCAGGCATTGTAGAAACTAATTATAATGTGGTAAAAGATGGACAAAGTCAAGTACTTGCAATCTAACCGAAGACAATAAAATAGATGAATAAATAAGACTATTTCAAATTTTCAAATAGACATGACTTCTATAAAAACAGAATGTTGAATAGGACGAGGAGAGAGTCAGAGAAATTGTGTGTATGCTTGTGTGTGTTTTGCGCGCACCTGTGTTATTTCTTTCAATTGGGTGATCAATGAAGGCTTCTTTAAGGAGGTGAAATTTGAGTTAAGACCTGAAGAATCAAAAAGATCCAGAAAAAGGTCTGATGGGTGTGGCAGGAAGCATTCAAAGTACTGGGCAGTGCGGAAGCAGAGGCAGATGGAAGTGAGAGTTTGAGAGGAACTGAGAGAAGGCCTGTGGGTTGGAGGGTAAGAATGCAGGGGAGAGGGAGACTACAGTTAAATGTTTAACGGAAGGCATTCAGCACGACATTAGACTCTTTCAGTTCAAATCCCCACCCAACCACAAACTAGTTGTGTGACCTTGGACAAGCTAGTTAACTTCTTTATGGATCGATTGCTTCATCTGTAAAGGGGTGAAATCAGAGGTAACTACTTCATGGAGCTCCTCTGAAGATGACGTGAGATAGTCTAAGTTAAAGTGCGGAGCTTAGGCATATGGTTGGTCCTGAATAAGCATTAGATGTTGGCATTAATGTGTCCATCTCCACAACAGACTCTTGTCCACTGAGTAGGATTCCCTCCCCGCAGAAACGTACTTGGATGGGTGCTGCCAGTTTAGCGTCTTCGACTACTTAGTCAAACTTGAGACGTGTCAGAGGTCTGCAAACTATAGCTCCCTGGGCAATTCTGTAAACCTTCAAGTTAAGAAAAATGATTACATATGTAAAGGGTTGGAAAAAATCAAAATAAGAATACATGTATTTTCTGCTTTTATTTAAGGTGCAGGGTGTACATGTGCAGGTTTGTTATGTGGGTATATCACGTGATGCTGAAGTTTGGGATACAAATGGTCCCATCACCCAGGTAGTGAGCATAGCACCCAATAGGTAGTTATTCACCCCATGCCCCCCTCCCTCCCCCTTTCTTCTAATAGTCCCCATTGTCTATTGTTCCCATCTTTGAATATGTGTACCTATAAGTGAGAACATGTGGTATTTGGTTTTCTGTTCCTGCATTAATTTGCTTAGGATAATGGTCTCCAGCTACATTCACGTTGCTGCAAAGGACACAGTTTCATTCTTTTTATGGCTGTGTAATATTCCGTGGTGTATATGTATCACACAAAATCAGAATATTTTGTGTGTGTGACACAAGAAAAATTTATGGAACTCAAACTTCAGTGTCTATAAAGTTTTATCAGAACACAGCCACAGCCTTCACTTATGTCTGTGTATGGCTTCTTTCTTGCTCCAACAGCAGAGGTGGGAAGTTTCAGCAAAGATCTCATGACCGACAAAACCTAACGTATTTACCATCCGACGCTTTACAGAGAAAGTTTGCCATCGTAGTTAGGAGGACAGGTTTTTGGAGACAATGGAGTTACCTGGAGCCTGAATTTTCTTCTAAGAAAATGAGTGTAATAACAACGCCCTCAACAGGTTGCTATGCGAATTAAGAACATTTGTCCCGGCCGGGCGCGGTGGCTCACGCCTGTAATCCTAGCACTTTGGAAGGCTGAGGCGGGCGGATCATGAGGTCAGGAGATTGAGACCATCCTGGCTAACACGATGAAACCCTGTCTCTACTAAAAATACAAAAAATTAGCTGGGTGTGGTGGCGGGCACCTGTAGTCCCAGCTACTTGGGAGGCTGAGGCAGGAGAATGGCATGAACCTGGGAGGCGGAGCTTGCAGTGAGCAGAGATCGTACCACTGCACTCCAGCCTGGGCGACAGAGAGACTCCATCTCAAAAAAAACAAAACAAAACAAAACAAAAAAAGAACATTTGTCCCACAATCTGAATTCAACAAATAGTACCCATTGTTTTGTTGTTGTTGTTGTTGCTGTTTGTGTGTTTTTTGAGACAGTCTCTGTTGCCCAGGCTGGCCTGCAGTGCTGTGATCTCAGCTCACTGCAACCTCCACCTCCCCGGTTCAAGCTCAAGTGATTCTCCTGCCTCAGCCTCCTAAGTAGCTGGTATTACAGGCGTGTGCTAACACCCAGCTAACTTTTGTATTTTTAGTAGAGACAGGGTTTTGCCACGTTGGCCAGGCTGGTCTCAAACTCTTGGCCTCAAGTGATTTGCCTGCCTTGGCCTCTCAATGTGCTTGGATTACAGGTGTGAGCCCTCGCACCTGGCGTAGTACCTGTTGTTTTGAAAATGAAGAAGACAGTGATGATGATAATCCTATTTCCCTACCTGACAGTCCACTGTCTGGTTGATAGCTTTCATTTTTATGTAGATTTTTCCTATGGAAATGTTGAGGCTTAGAAAGTGATACCTCAAAATAAGACCTCAAAAGCAGCCTGAAGCAAAAGTTTCTCTCTGACCTTCTCCTGCCCTGCTGTCTCTGGCCCTTCATTCTCCCCTGAGGCCAGCCATAGAAACTAGAATCCCTCTTCCCCAAGGCCATAGAAACCAGAACTTCTTTTCCCCCAAACCAGCCACAAAACCTAAAAATACTACTCTAACTTTCCTCCTGCCCCTTCTGTATAAGAACTGACTATAAAGAAATTATCTGACCCACCTTACATGTTTGTAGGTCATAAGACCCCCATTCCAGAGAGGGTCCTGCCCCACACCCAGAAGGAAGGAATGCTGCTCAGAGAGGCCAAGAGGAATCTAAACAGAAGGGCTTTGCTGGGTTTCCCCGCTCAGCCTGTTAGCTTTAGAGCACGCCCTTTTTCTCCAGTTATATTTCCACAAGGCTGTTGATACTTTGTTGAACCTAACCATAAGAATGAACAGTTTCCCTTGTATCTTTGTGCCTTCATTCTGAAGGGTCTTGTGTCATATAAAAGTATGAAAAAGTAAATTTGTATGCCTTCTCGCCTATTAATCTGCCTTTAAAAAAACAGAGATGGGGGTCTCCCTATGTCGCCCCGGTTGGAGTGTGCTGGCTATTCACAGGCATGATCACAGTGCATTACAGCCTCATACTCCTGGCCCCAAGGGATCCTCCCTCCTCAACCTCCTGAGTAGTTGGGACTACAGGTGCATACCACTGTACCTGGCTGTAATCTGCCTTTTGCCAGTTGATTTTCAGTGAACCTTCAGAGGGTGAAGGGGGAGCTTTCCCTTGCCCTACGGGAACATAATCTTTCCAATCTGGAAGCCAGTCTTTTTTTTCAGCTCACTTTGCATATATGTATGCATACTACTAGCTTAACTCCACAAGGGCAATATTTTCCCTTCACTTATAAGTTCCTTTTTTCATTGTATTCATTTTTCAAGAGTCACTGCCACCCAAGAAGAATCCTCCTGGTGCTAAAAAACCTTTCCAGTTCCATTGTTCATTGTAAATTTCTACAAGGATGGACATATTCTATATTTGCATGTTCTATATATTTCATTTTTCTTTTCTTTTTTTTTTTTTTTGAGATGGAGTTTCACTCTTGTTGCCCAGGCTGGAGTGCAATGGCAAGATCTCGGCTCACCACAACCTCCACTTCCTGGGTTCAAGTGATTCTTCTGTCTCAGCCTCCTGAGTAGCTGGGATTACAGGTACGTGCCACCACACCCAGCTAACTTTTGTATTTTTAGTAGAGATGGGGTTTCACCACATTGGCCAGTCTGGTCTTGAACTCCTTACTACAGGTGATCCACCTGTGTTGGCCTCCCAAAGTGTTGGGATTACAGGCATGAACCACCGTGCCCAGCCTTGTTTTTTATATATATATAATTTTTTTGAGTCAGAGTCTTGTTCTGTTGCCCAGGCTGGAGTGCAATGGCGCAATCTCAGCTCACTGCAACCTCTGCCTCTCGGGTTCAAGTGATTCTCCTGCCTCAGCCTCCTAAGTAGCTGGGATTACAGGCGCCTGCCACCATGCCTGGCTAATTTTTGTATTTTGAGTAGAGATGGGGTTTCACCATCTTGGCCAGGCTGGTCTTGAACTCCTGACCTTGTGATCAACCCACCTCGGCCTCCCAAACTGCTGGGATTACAGGTGTGAGCCACTGCGCCTGGCCTTGTTCTATATATTTCTATATTTGCACGGTCCAATACCATGGGCCCTGGTCATATGTGACCACTGAGTACTTGAAATGTGGCTCGTTCAACCAAGGAAGTTTAATTATTAAATAAGTTTGGTTAATTTAAATGTAAATAGCCATGTGCAGCTAGTGACCACTATATTGGACAGGTCAGTCCTATATGATTAGGTTACTTGAGTGCTTATGAAAATTAATATACATAATATACACTAATATACATAAGCTGTCTTCAGAGTTATTGTGCAATTAATCATGTTTATACAAGGATGACAGCTGTTGAAAAGGCAGCTCAGTAAGCCTTTCTAGAGATGTGCTACTTAAAAATCTTGTTTTGGGATTAAGATAGTAAAAGATCCATTTCATTTCTCTTCAATGATGCAACATCATTTTATTTTAAATCCAATGATTCCTGAAACATAAATACCCAAACATAACTCAATCAACTCTTCTCTCCTTCTTGGATTTGTACAGATTTGAAGAGCCCTTTGAACTAGCCACACAGGCACTTTGGGCCTTGACATCACTTACATCATCACCGGACTCCAGGTTCTCAGGCATGGCTTTACTCTGCCCTTCCCCACAGTGCCTGGCAGACAGCAGGTGTTCCCTTAAGAAAGCAGGAAGTGTGAAGAAAACAAACGGCTTGTTTTACAGAGCTCTGAATTTATTCAAAGTATTAAAAGATTTTGCTCTACCCTCCAAAATATTTTACAATTAATAATAATCAAAACTAGGCCAGGCACGGTGGCTCACACCTGTAATCCCAGCACTTTTGGAGGCTGAGGTGGGTGGCTCACCTGAGGTCAGGAGTTGGAGACCAGCCTGACCAACATGGTGAAACCCTGTCTCTACTAAAAAATACAAAAATTAGCCGGGCGTGGTGGCGGGTGCCTGTAATCCCAGCTACTTGGGAGGCTGAGACAGGAGAATTGCTGGAACCCAGGAGGCAGAGGTTGCAATGAGCCGAGATCACGCCATTGCACTCCAGCCTGGGTGATAGAGCAAGACTTTGTCTCAAAATAAAATACAATAGTAAAATAAAATAATCAAAACTGTTGTGTATTTTGTCAGCCACTGTATGAGTTGCCACTTCCTTTTCTCACTCAGCACCAGCCCCTGCCTCTCCAACTCTTTCCCCCGTCTCTCTGCTCTCAGTATTGCTATAAGATTGTTTATAAAACCCTCCTCTTCTCTCTCCGCAAGCCCTGCCCAGAGTGGCTTCTCCTCTAGTTCTAGGCCCAGGGCTGCAGGTGAGGCTGACTGGTGAGATGGATGCCTGAGGGGCAGAGAATGCTTTGACTTCTGGGGGATCGGCTCACTAGCTTTTTTATTGGTTGAGTGGAGAATTATTGTCCTTTTTGTCCTATGGACACCTGCCCAGAGTCAAATATTTGGTTTGGGGTTTTTGGTACTCAGAAAATGATACCCCAAAATATGGAACTAAAGAGGAAGCCTCAGGCTGGGCTTCGTGTCTCCTGCATGTAATCCCAGCACTTTGGGAGGCTGAAACAGGAGGATCACTTTAGGCCAGGAGTTAGAGACCAGCCTGGGCAACATAGTGAGACCCTATATCTACTATTAAAAGAATAAAAAGGCCGGGCGTGGTGGCTCCACGCCTGTGATCCCAGCACTTTGGGAGGCCGAGGCGGGTGGATCACGAGGTCAGGAGACCGAGACCATCCTGGCTAACACGGTGAAACCCGGTCTCTACTAAAAATACAAAAAATTAGCTGGGCGCAGTGGCGGGCGCCTGTAGTCCTAGTTACTCGGGAGGCTGAGGCAGAAGAATGGCGTGAGCACGGGAGGCGGAGCTTGCAGTGAGCCGAGATCGCACCACTGCAACCCGGCCTGGGTGGAAGAGCGAGACTCCGTCTCAAAAAAAAAAAAAGAATAAAAAAAGAAGCAGCCTCAACGTCTCTCTGACCTGCCCCCTTCCTATCTCTCTGATCTTCTGTCTCTCCTCCTAAAGTGCAGGATGAGACCATTCTCTGAAGTTCCCTTATCGTAGAAATTGGGCCCCTGAAGAGGAACATAATTATCTTCAATCCCTTCCCTGAAATTTCTTTTTCCTTTGTTCTTTTTGTTCTTTTTTTTTTTTTTTTTTTTTTTTCGAGACAGGGTCTTTCTCTGACACCCAGGCTAGAGTGCAGTGCTGTGATCACTGCCCACTGCAGCCCCAGCCTCCCAGGCTCAAGTAATCCTCTCACCTTAGCCTCCTGAGTAGCTGGTACTATGGGCACATGCCACCACATCTGGCTAATTTTTAAATTTTTTGTAGAGGCAGGGTTTCACCATGTTCCCCAGGCTGGTCTCAAACTCCTGAGCTCAAGCGATCTGCCCACCTCAGCCTCCCAAAGTGCTGGGATTTCAGGTTTGAGCCACTGTACCCGGTTTGAAATTTCATTAATCAGAGAAGATTAAAACTCATATCACAGAGGAAGAGACTGTGCCAAACCTAGAGCCCAGAAAAATTGTCCTAAACCATTGTTTGTTCTCCAGTCCTGTTCAATCCCCAAAGAAAACTATTTACTCACCATTCTCGGAGCACTGGGTCCATTCTTTCCCCCTGAAAATCATTTTCTCCTGCACCTCCCATCTCCCCTTCCCCTATGAAGAAGGGCCTATAAGCACCTGCACCCTGTTGGGTCACTGGGCAATCATTCTCTTGTGATTCCCCCATGCTATGCATGCTAAAATAAATTTTGCATGCATTTTTCTCTTACTAATCTGCCTTTTCAGCAAACCTTCAGAGGATGAAGTAGGGGCTTTTTCTCTTTTTCACTACAGGGTTGCTCTGCCTCTTCTCTGGTTTCCCTAGGCATGGGTTCATGACAGCTGAGTCTGATGACTGTACCAAGTATCTGCTTGTGGATGTTAGGGACAGCACAAATGGCACATGACTAGAGTGCAGCTTGATCGAGCCCCAGCTCCTCAGAGCATGGACAACAAACCCCCAGGGGTGAAGTAAACTTTTTTTTTTGAGTTGGAGTTGACTCACTCTGCTGCCCAGGCTGGAGTGCAGTGGAGTTATCTTGGCTCTGGTCTCGAACTACTGACCTCAAGTGATCTGCTCGCCTCGATCTCCCAATGTGCTGGGATTACAGGCGTGAGACACTGTGCCCAGCCATATTTTGATTTTTTGATAGGCAAAGCCAGAATCAGTCAGGGCCATGAAAGACAGGGACATGGGAGGAAAGGTCTAACCACTTAGCTCTGGGGTGAGCAATGCCCCTTCTGACATCCCCTCTTTCATCCCCTACTTCATCCTACAGGTCCCAGGATGATTCCAGAAAGGAGGAAGACAAAGAAGAAAAGGATTCTGTCATGCTGATGGGAAAAAGACAAATGGCAGAGTGCTCAGGGCTAGGAGAGGCCTGCTAGAATTTGTAGCTGTCACTGCTTCCCTGTTCTGTGTGGAAGGGTCCTGGGGCCATGAACCGGTCGCTCAGAGGCTTCATCAGCTCCACTCCTTGCCCTTGACTAATAGAGGACCACATGGTTCTCCAGCTCTTTGCCTGTCATCTCCACCAAGCTCCAGGCATCCTCATCCCGCTCTAAGCCCGGCTGGTAGTTGCTGTCCATGTCCCAGGCAAAAACACGTCCATCACTGATCACAGTTTACCCTACAGAGGCCCAAAGCCACTGAGGAGACTGAGAAGATGGCACCAGCCTGGAGATGAGGGTGGGCATGTTCTTCTCCTTAGCACCCATGAAGGCCCACCGTCTATATTCAGCCTGGCCCAGGCTGCATGCTTTTCCTTCTGAATCCCCGAAGACTGTATGGTGCTGGCCACCAGAGAAGCCTACCTGGACTTGGTAGAGTTCTTTTTTTTTTCTTTTTTTTTTTTTTTTAGACGCAATCTTGCTCTGTCACCCAAGCTGGAGTGCAGTGGCATGGTCTCGGGTCACTGCAAGCTCCGTCTCCCTGGTTAACGCCATTCTCCTGCCTCAGCCTCCCAAGTAGCTGGGACTACAGGTGCCCACCACCACGCCCAGGTAATTTTTTTTGTATTTTTAGTAGAGACGGGGTTTCACCTTGTTAGCCAGGATGGTCTCAATCTCCTGACCTTGTGATCCGCCCGCCTCAGCCTCCCAAAGTGCTGAGATTACAGGCGTGAGCCACTGCGCCTGGCCTGGACTTGGTAGAGTTCTTGAAGGATCCCAGGTTCTGGGGTATGAAGCAAGATTCTGTGCCTGGGGTTCCAAGCTGATGGTTGTTGAAGAGGCCAAAGCCATATTCTGTGTATGTGCCCTTTATAGGGGATGGAATGGTGAGGCAGGTGCTACAGAAGGGCATCAGGTCCCAGCTTCCCCTGAATTTCAGCATCATATCTGGGGGACCAGGAATCATGCCCTGTCGGCCATCACGGTTGGCACATAATTCAAGCACAAGGCCCAGATGGCCTTGCTCCCACAGCACAAGGTATCTAGGTCACTGTCAGCTGTCAGCATCACCAAGTGGCCATTTCCTGAGGCCAACTTCACCGTGGGCATGTCCAGCTGCACTTGCACAATCATCATGCTCTTCTTCATGGGATCTAACAGCCTGATCACACTGTAATTGTTCTGGAAGCAGCCTCAGAGGAAGACATGGCCATCTTCTGTGAGGACCACTATATGACTGTCTCCTGCTGACACCTGTATCAACTTCTCTTGCAGTTCCACTTTTCCGGGGACCATCTCTGAGACCTCCACTGATGCGTCCCTTCCCACGGCACCCTCCTCATTGCAGCCGAAGCACTAGACCTGGCCATTTTGCTTAGACATAATATGGTGTGCCTGTCCCCAGCCTCAGCCTACACAGCATCCTCTTGAACCAGCACCAGCGCTGGCTACTTTTTCTTTTGAATGTTTATTATGCAAATTGGGTCATTCTTGTGATACCCAACTAAATCAAAGTAGAAAGGACAGGTTGGAAAAGCATCAGGGCACATAGCACTGATCCAATAACTGAATTCTCCACAAGCCCAGCTGCTGCAATGGCCTGCTATAGGTAAGATCAGTTTTACCCAGTAGCTGCTGAAATGCCCTGCTGTGACTCTACGACTAGCTTTACCGACTACTGTCACTCACCAATCGGAGCTTGCCAGCTCCCAAAATCTTCTCCAGTGCCAACGAGCTTTCTTTCAAAACCATATGTAATATTTCCCTTTCTAATAAAACTCCTAACCTTCTCTTTGTCCTTCGGACACACTGAAGACCACCCCATCTGTGTGTGTGCACCAAATTGCAATTCTGTGATTCCTAAGGAGAAATATTACATTTAGAGATTTGTCTTTATATTTTTATTTTGACTTTGACGCTCCCTGTCACACTCTCACCCAGCTCCAGTGAGCCTACATTGCCCTGGCCCACTGTCAGCACCAAGCCTGGTTCAGTTTTATGGGACCTCTGTGAGACTGAGGGATGAAGAAGGTGGCCCCGTCAGGTTTTCTGGTCAGGAGGGCTCAGCTGTGGGGGGAGCTAAAAGCATGGCAAGGAGGCAGTGGATCTCACTGTCTGGGTACAAGTGTCCTTCACCTTCTTGCTTTTGGGGATGAAATCTTCTGGGAGTGATCTTCTCTTAGTTATGTACTTGGGTGAAATATTCCTGTCCTCAGCACAGGTTGACCTCAAGGAACACCAGTGCTCACCAGCAGGGCCACCAAATACCCAGAACACATCCTCTGCAGGCCTCGTCCCAACGCTGGATGAGATGAGAAAGGGCATTTATAAGTTCTTAAATGTTTTCTTTTCTTTCTTTCTTTCTTTCTTTCTTTTTTTTTTTTTTTTTGAGAGGGAGTCTCATTCTATTGCCCAGGCTGGACTGAAGTGCCGCGATCTTGTCTCACTGCAACCTCTGCCTCCCAGGTTCAAGCAATTCTCCTGTCTCAGCCTCCCTAGTAGCTGGGACTACAGGTACCTGCCACCATACCTGGCTAATTTTTGTATTTTTAGTAGAGATGGGATTTCACCTTGCTGGTCAGGCTGGTCTAAAACTCCTGACCTCAGGTGATCCACCTCCCTCAGCCTCCCAAAGTGCTGGGATAATAGGAGTGAGCCACCGCGCCTGGCCTCTTTTCTTTTTTTTTTTTTTTTTTGAGACAGAGTCTCGCTCTGTCACCCAGGCTGGAGTGCAGTGGTGCGATCTTGGCTCACTGCAAGCTCTGCCTCCTGGGTTCACGCCATTCTCCTGCCACAGCCTCCCAAGTAGCTGGGACTACAGGTGCCTGCCCCAACTCCTGGCTAATTTTTTTTTGTATTTTTAGTAGAGTCGGGGTTTCACCATGTTAGTCAGGATGGTCTCGATCTCCTGACCTTGTGATCCACCCACCTCGGCCTCCCAACGTGCTGGGATTATAGGTGTGAGCCACCATGCCTGGCCCTTTTCTTTTTCTTTTTTTTTAAATTGAGACAGGGTCTTGCTCTGTCACCCAGGAGAGAGTGCAGTGGCACGAACATGGCTCACTGCAGCCTCAATCTCCCTGGCTCAAGCAATCCTCCCACCTCAGCCTCCTGAGTAGCTGGAACTACAGACATACACCACCACACTTGGCTAATTTTTGTATTTTTTGTAAAGATGGGGTTTTACCATGTTGCACAGGCTGGTCTTGGACTCCTGGGCTCAAAGGATCCTCCTGCCTCAGCCTCCTAAAGTGCTGGGATCACAAGTGGGAGCCACTGTGCCCAGTTCTTAAAGGTTTTCCTACTTAAGCTTTCCAAGTCTTAAAAATGCCTGTGACTACTGAGTACTCTCCCTCTCCTATCCATGCCCAGCTTGGCAAAAGTTAGTTCTACTTAAATAAACACATTTACACTGTTACAGTTTCTTTTTATTTGCTTTTTGAACAAGTTTGGATTGTTGTATGCTATCTGGAGACAACCTGGCAATATATATCATCAGGGGTCAAATGTTCTCCTAAATTCACTGCCTTCTTTTTCCTTTTATTCTTTTCTTAAAGTTAAATTTCTTTTTATTTTTTAAAATTAATTTTTCTAGAGACAGGGTCTCACTGTGTTGCCCTCTTCCCTGACAAGAGGTATCAATAAACAAAGTAGATACAAATCCCTGTCCTCAAGGAGCTTACATTCTAATGCCTCTAAGGGTAACATATATAAGGTCAAGCCTCTCATATGACACCTCATGCTAGTAAGGTTTTGAATTTATAAACGTTTGACTGCAGAATGCACTGAAACGTAGGGAGAGCTTGAAAGCTTCTTAGGGGTGTTTAGTGCAAACTAGATACCAATGTGAACCACAAGAAATATTGAAGTGGAAGCTGTTACTTTGTGTATAACACGCTATTTTCACCATAAGTGTTTTCTAGAGTTTAAGTTTTTGTTTTTTTTTAAAGCATCTTTACGATGATATTATAGGAAGTATATGAGAACAATAGGAATGGCCACCTCTATCCACTGCCCACACACCTCAATCCAATGTGGTTTTTTTGTTTTTGTTTTTTTTTGAGACAGAGTCTCGCTCTGTGCCCAGGCTGCAGTGCAGTGGTGCAATCTCAGCTCACTGCAACCTCTGCCTCCTGGGCTGAAGCTATTCTCCTGCCTTAGCCTCCTAAGTAGCTGTAACTACAGGTACACGCCACCATGCCTGGCTACTTTTTGTATTTTTAGTGGAGATGGGGTTTCACCATGTTGGCCAAGCTGGTCTTGAATTCCTGACCTCAGGTGATCTGCCCACCTCTGCCTCCCAAAGTGCTGGGATTATAAGCATGAGCCACGGCGCTCGGCCTCAATCCAATTTGGAATCAGGGAAATAGGACTTACTGCCCTGAAGAGTCAAACTCTGTACTGAATAAGGGAGATATGAAAAGTCAGTAGATGCTGCTAAGTAGGCTTTTTAATTGCATGGACACAACTAAAGAATGAATGTGTGAATCAGAAGGAAAGGGACTTTGATCAGCAATGGCAGTGAGGGAAAGAAAAGTGAAAGAAGTAAATGTTTGCTGTTCAGTGGAAGGAGAGGTGCCAGGCACAGTTTCAATCCTCAAGGCAGGTGTTGCCAAGGAAGTTTTAGAACATCCTTTGTGGATTGGCTTTTGGAAATGGTTCAGTACCGAAAAATATTTGCTGCTATTGAAAGATAAACTTAGGTACATTAAAATTTTAGAGAGTTTAGAGTATAAAGTTATAGTTAGTAGGAGGAAGAACAAGTTCTGGGTTCTATTGCACAGTAGGGTGACTACAGTCAATGACAATATACTTCAAAATAGTTGGAAGATGGTCAGGTGCAGTGGCTCACACTTGAAATCCCAGCACTTTGGGAGGTCGAGGTGAGCAGATCACTTGAGGTCAGGAGTTCGAGACCAGCCTGGCCAACATGGTGAAACCTGTCTCTACTAAAAATACAAACATTAGCTGGGTGTGGTGGCACATGTCTGTAGTCCCAGCTACTCAGGAGGCTGAGACAGGAGAATCACTTGAGTAGCTGGGACTACAGACAGGGTTTCACCATGTTGGCCAGGCTGGTCTCAAACTCCTGGCCTCAAATGATCCACCCTCCTTGGCCTCCCAAAGTGCTGGGATTACAGGTGTGAGTTATAGTGCCTAGCCAGCTATTTTAAAATATACAAAAAAGTATTATTGACTATAGTTACCCTGCTGTGCTATCAAATACTAGATCTTATTAATTCTATCTATTATTTTGTACCCATTAATCATCCCCACTTTATCCACTCTTCTCCCCACTACTCTTCCCCGCCTCCAGTAACCATTATTCTACTGTCTCACTCAATGAGTTTGTTTTAATTTTTAACTCCCACATATGTAAAATTTGTCTTTGTGTGCCTGGTTTACTTCACTTAACATGTTGTTGCAAATTACAGGATCTCTTTTTTATGGCTGAATAATATTTCATTGTGTATATGTACCACATTTTTTTTATCCATTCATCCGCTCATGGACACTGAGGCTGATTCATGGGAGTGCAGGTATCTCTTTGATATACTGTTTTTTTTCCTTTGGGATATATACCTAGCAGTGGGATTGCTGGGTCATATGGTAGCTCCATCTTCAGTTTTTTGAGGAAGCTTCTTACTGTCCTCCACAGTGGCTGTCCTAATTTCCATTCCCACCAACAGTGTACAAGGGTTCCCTTTTCTCCACATCCTCACCAGCATTTATTATTGCCTGCCTTTTGGATAAAAGCTGTTTTAACTGAAGTGAGATGATACCTCATTGTAGTTTTGACTTGCATTTCTCTGATGATAAATGATGAGCATTTTTTATATACCCACTGACTATTTGTAATGTCTTTTGAGAAAGGTCTATTCAGATCTTTTGCTCATTTTAAAATAAGATTATTAGATTTTTTCTATTGAGTTGTCTGAGCTCCTTATATATTTTGGTTATTAATCCTTTGTCAGACGTGTAGTTTGCAAATATTTTCTCTCATTTGGTGGGTTGTTTAGAAGAGAAGGTTTTGAATATTCTCACTGCAAATGAATGACAAGTGTTTGAAGTAATGAATATGTTATTTATCCTGATTTGATCATTACACAATGTATATATGTATCAAAACATTGCACTGTATCCTATAAATATGTACAATAAAGTGCCAATTAAAAACAAAATAAAACTTCTTTTTTTTTTTTGAGACAGAGTTTCGCTCTTGTCGCCCAGGCTGGAGTGCAATGGTGCAATCTTGGCTCACTGCAGCCTCCGCCTCCTGGGTTCAAGCAATTCTCCTGCCTCAGCCTCGCAAATAGCTGGGATTATAGGTGCCCAACACCATGTCTAGTTAATTTTTGTATTTTTAGTGGAGATGGGTTTCACCATGTTGGCCAGGTTGGTCTCGAACTCCTGACCTCAAGTGATCTGCCCACCTTAGCCTCCCAAAGTGCTGGGATTACAGGTGTGAGCCACTGTGCCCAGCCAAAATAAAACTTGTTAAAATTGTTTTTTTTTTTATTTTTGAGACAGAATCTCGCTCTGTTGCCCAGGCTGGAGTGCAATGGCATGATCTTGGCTCACTGCAACCTCCACTCCCAGGTTCACGCCATTCTCCTGCCTCAGCCTCCCAAGTAGCTGGGACTACAGGCACCCACCACCATGCCCGGCTAATTTTTTTTGTATTTTTAGTAGAGACGGGGTTTCACTGTGTTAGCCAGGATGGTCTCAATCTCTTGACCTCGTGATCCACCCACCTCAGCCTCCCAAAGTGCTGGGATTACAGGCGTGAGCCACCGCGCCCAGCCCTAAAATTGTTTGAAGATTTTATTTGAGCAGATAGCAATGCATGAATTGGGTAGCACCAGATTGCATGTGGTTCAAAGGTGCCACCAAAGTGGGATCAGGGAGGAAGACTTTTATGAGGTGAAGGCAGAAGCAAGGCAGATAAAACATTTCATTGGCTGAAGTGAACAAGCCTTATTTGGATCATTCTGATGGAAAGTTCCTAAGCTAAAGGCTAGTTGGTAGTTTCTGATTGTTTAAGCTTAAGTTTCATTTTACTATTTATACTGAGCAGGATTTCAGTTTGTTTCTGTAGGAACCCAGGGTGCTGGAGCCACCTCAGTCTAATGGCCTCCAATTAATAGTTTTAACACCTCCTGTGTGAATATTCACCAAAATGTCCACCCACAGGGAAGGCTCTTAGTAATGAGGTTGAAAAGATGCCAGACACTGGATTCTAATCCAGATTCTACATTTACCAGCTGTGTGGTCTTGGGCAAATGGATTTAGTAACTCTGTGCTTATGCATCTAAAATGCAGACAATATTAATACCTTCTCATAAGGTGTTAGTGAGGATTATATGAGGAAATAAATACAAAGCCCTTAGAACAGCATCCAATACATGGTTAGTGCTATAAGTATTTGCTATTATTAATAGTAATGTATGTCAGGTACTGTTTAGTGGAGCTTACACTCTCACTGTGAGGGGATGTTGGGAGACAGCCAACAAACAATCGTAGTGATTAAATTGTATAGTATGTAAGACTATACATACTTGCATATGTAAAGTATGTAAGGGGACTGGTAAAGGTAAAGGAGACTGGAGTGAGAACTGCTCAGTTTCCCATCTACATTAACATTCTCTTATCACTGGGCTGTCTTCACTAACATAGCTTTTCTATTCTGTCTTCATCAATATAATTTTACTACTCCAGGAAACTCTTGCCCAAGAGATACAATTGCATGTAACCTTATCATTTCTTCCAGGAACTTCCCAAAATACCCACTTAAATGAATGGTTTGATCAAAGACTGTTGACTCATCTCAAATGCTGGTTCATCTCAAACCTTCACCTTGCTCTGTCTACCAACTCTAAATTATATCATAATTTTATGCAATCCTAAGCAAGCCCCCACAATGAAAGATCTGCCTTAAACCTGACTCAGATACCTCATAAACATCCCAACTTCACCCCCTGTGGGCTCCGAGACTATCAAGGTAGTGCACACTCTTTCTGTCTTATTGTAGTATGAATGTAGTCAGCTTTGTCTTATCAATAGGTTGTTTCTGTGATAGTTTTTGAAAGCCAGCATTTGACAGGGATACTTTGCAGTTTTAAATATAATCATCAAAGAAGGCCTTGACAGGGTTCAGGACATGCTACCCCAAAGTTTGACACTTTGGCATTTGAGAAAATAACAGAAGCAGAAAGGTCCCTCTGCCCTCCTCCCACTGTTCTCCCCTGAAACAGGCCATAGAAGAACTGTTTGATCTTCCTCTAAAGCAGGTCATAAGGCCCTCCATTCTAGAAAGGTCCTCCCTATACCCAGAGGAAATGAATGAAGACACAGAGAAAAATCTGATCAAATAGGCCTTGCTAAGTTCCTCCCAGTTAATTACCATATCCCTTTGCTCTCCAATCATATTTCTGCATGACCCTCTACAAAAATACAGTTTTCCCTGTTTCCCTAAGTCTTTATTTCTGAAGTCTCCCATGCCATGTTAAACTTACATTAAGTATATTTGTATGCTTCCCCTGTTGGTCTGCTTTTGTTATAGGGGTCTTTGTGATGGGAGAACTTTGTGATGGGTGAGAAAATGTTACTTTTTCTCCCTTACAGCCTCCTTAAGAATGTGGTATTTGGACAAAGACTCAAAGATAGTGAATTCACCCTAGGTATTTGTAGGGGAGGGTGTTCCAGGAAGAGAGAATAGCCAGAGCAAAGGCTCAAATGGGGCCAAGGCCTGTCTTGATTGTAGCAGAGTGAACAACGCAAGAGTCATGAGACATGAGGTCTGAGCTTCTGTGTGAGCCTGGATGTGTGTGTATGTGGAGAAGCTATTCATGTAGGGTCTTGCAGCCAAGAATATGTTTATATATGTTTCCCTAAAATTATGCCTGATAACAATTTTCTCTTTCAGGAGATTACTTAGATCCAAACCAACCTAGTTTTCATTTCTCTTGGCATTTTGTCCAGCTTCCTGCAAGCTGCAGCTCCTCAGAATTTCCCCACCACTACTACCTTATTTTCTTTGCACATTTAGCTCAGTCCTGTCTCCAAGAGCATCACAGCTCTGTCATTTGAAAAGCACTTAGTGAGTTTGGTGGAAAACTAGGAATTAATACTATCACAGAAGCTGAAAAGTAGTTTCAATACAAAGAAAATGGTTACAGTCAAGTCCCTTGTAGGGCTGTGTCAGGCAAGCATAGTGTCCTTTGGTTATAGAAGAACTAACAAGTTACTTTTCTATTTGACAGGAGCATTTCATTAACTTTAAAGAAACGAGGGCCTGTGGAGCAAAAGATAGAAACCAGCAAGCCATATTGTCTAGAATTAAATGGTTAAAACAGAGAAAATAACCACGAAATGAAAGAAGACTGGGCATCAATTGAAAAGACAGAAAGTCTAAAGGTTTTTTTAAATAGGTAACTTAAATGTATTTAAATATGGTTAAATATTACATATTAAATATGGAACAGAACAACACTGATGACTGACAGTTTGGCTGGTTCTAATAAAAAGATCTTAGTCTAGTTTAATAATTAAAATCTTATTTTGACTGATATGTTCATTACTGGTTCAGTGAAATTTTAAAAGGGTCACTTTCATCTCCAAATACGCTGACCTGGAACATATCTGATCTGGGTAATATAAGACTCATCCCAGAAAGTTCAATGGTAAGAAGGTTAAAAAAACATTCTAGCAATTAACTGTCAGAAAGTTTCACAAAGGCCTCTGGGCAGAAAATCTAATTATATCAGATAAAAATGCAATGCTATCAAGAAGAAAAAAACAATGTTGATGATATAGACTGAATATTTGTGTCCCACCAACGTTCATATGTTGAATTCTAATCCTCAATGTGATGGTACTAGGAGGTGGGGTCTTTGGGAGGTTATGAAGTCATGAGCAGAGTCCTCATGAATGAGATCCTTGTTCTTATTAAAGATACCCAAGAGAGATCCCTGCCCCTTCTGCCATGTGAGGACACAGCAAGAAGATGTTTATCTAGAAACCAGGAAGTGGGCCTCACCAGACACCGAATCTGCCAACGCCTTGATCTTAGACTTTCCATACTCCAGAAATAAATTTCTGTTGTTTAGAAGTCACTCAATCTATGGCACTCTGTTACAGCAGTCCACGCGGACTAAGACACTTGATATATCATATATATCATATCATATGTATCATATAATCTTTGGAAATATAACTAAAGAAATTCCTCTTGTTTCAAAAGAACAGAAAGCAGACAGGTGGTTTATAAATACTCTATAAAACACAAGAACACCATGAGGAAATGTGATACATCTTAGTAGGGGCCAAACATGGAGGTGGTCTCCTTGAGAAAATATCCCCTGCATGTTCCAGACAGACCGAATGGCCAACCCTGTGTCTCATGGGTGGCCCTCTGGAAGCACAGTCCACATTACACTGACATTACCTATTTATGTGCTTGTGTCCCTAGTCAGAGTGTAAAGTCAAGGTCAGAGCCTGTGTCTTACTCATTTCCCAGCATCTAGCCCAGTGCCTGACCCATGATAGGTATCCTGCAATGGGAGGGGAGCTGAAGTGAGTGATACTGACAGAGGTTAGTTAGGGGAGGTCTTGTACTTCTCTTGAATCTTTAACCTACCTTCTTATTGACCACAAATTAGAAGCATTTATGTAAAAAAGAAACTTCCAACAATTATATTCACGTTTTTCTTTCAGCTTGCTTATGGGCAAGTATTTCTAATGTAGAAACCTAAAAAATTTGAGGCATTCTAATACCTGTTAAACATACAACTACAGACCAAATGATTTGCTATATTTTTTTTTGCAGTCTAGTTGAGGTGTCTATATAATGAGCAGAATGGGCTCCCGAACACTGGACAGTAAAATAATTAAGAGCTGGTCTATGGTATGTATATATGTATGTATGTATTTATTCTGAGACAGAGTCTCGCTCTGTCACCCAGGGTGGACAGCAGTGGTGTGGTCTTGGCTCACTGCAACCTCCAACTCCCAGGTTCAAGTGATTTTCACACCTCAGCCTCCCGAGTAGCTGGGCCTACAGGTGTGCACCACCACATCCGGTTATTTTTGTAATTTTTGGTAGAGATAGGAGTTTCGCTATGTTGGGCAGGCTGGTCCCGAACTCCTGGCTGCAAGTGATCTGCCCACCTCAGCCTCCCAAGTGCTGGGATTAAGGCATGAGCCACTGCACCTGGCCTATGAGTCTTTATTGAGGGCCTGCTCTGTGCGGTTTTCAGTACTAGGTATAATATGACAAGATAAAGTCCCTGACCTTCATGAACTCACACTCCAGAAAATAAATGAATAAAATTTCAGATAATACGAGCTGTGAAGAGAAAAAGGAGTGACTTGAAGGAAGAGGTATGACAGGGAAAAACTCTTGAGGAGTTGATGTTTGGCTGCGACCCAAGTGAAGAGGAGGCAGCCACGTGATGACTCGCAGGAAGACCATTCTAAGAAGAAGGCCCAACAATTTTTTTTTTTTTTTGAGACGGAGTCTCGCTCTGTCCCCCAGGCCGGAGTGCAGTGGCACGATCTCTGCTCACTGCAAGTTCCGCCTCCCGGGTTCACGGCATTCTCCTGCCTCAGCCTCCCGAATAGCTGGGACCACAGGCACCCGCCACCATGCCCGGCTAATTTTTTGTATTTTTAGTAGAGACAGGGTTTCACCGTGTTAGCCAGGATGGTCTTGATCTCCTGACCTTGTGATCCACCCGCCTTGGCCTCCCAAAGTGCTGGGATTACAGGCGTGAGCCACTGCACCCAGCCAAGGCCCAACAATTTGAAAGCTCCTGGAGAATTTGACAGATATAAGGAGGCCAGTGTGGCTGGAGCCTGGTGGATGAGCAGAAGAGTGTGGGTGAGGACTGAGCAAAGAAGGCAGGGTCAAACCATAAATCATGCTAGGGGCTGGGTTATTACCCAACACATAATTGGAAGCTTTTGGAGGAATAGCAATGTGATTAAGTAAAATTTTTGTTTGTTTCTTTTGAGACAGGGTCTTGCTCCGTCACCCAGGCTGGAGTGCAGTGGCGCGATCATGGCTCACTGCAGTCTCGACCTCCTGGGCTCAAGCAATCCTCCCACCTTGCCCTCCCAAAGTGCTGGGATTATAGGTGTGAGCCACTGTGCCTGGCCTAGCAAATGTTTTTAAAATATCACTCAGACTGCCATCTGAAAAGGGGCTGCTGGGATGGCAAGAATGAAAGCAGGAAGAGAGGACTCCAGGAGGGTGGGTTCCCTGAAGCCTAGAGAAGAAAGGGCTTCCAGAAGGATGGAGTGGTCAACTTGCCAAATCCCACAGAGAGGTAAGGTAAGGACAGAGAATGGACCATTGGCTTTGGCAAGATATAGGTAGGTCACTGATGACCTCAGTAGGAGCTGTTTAGTAGAGGGATGCCATGGAAAGCCTCGTAAGAGTGGACTGAGGATGTGAATAAATCAACTACAGTCAACTCTTTTGAGATGGAGTCCAGTTTCATGCCTAGACTGAAATTCAAGATTCATAATGAAGAATTCACTTTTATCAAGCATTGACAGGAGTTAGACACATCTCAAACCATATTTTAAAATACAGCCAGATTACAATGTTACCTGATTCTGAGACTGCCTGTAACTTGATTCATAATAGTGACAGACAGCACTTGGACTAGGACACTAGAGCTGCTGAGAAGGAAAATTGCACCCAGCTTCTTTGCTTCCTGCAAAGATGCACCAGGATCAGAGAAGAAAAGACCAAGTTCTATAATTACCTGGCAGGGGAGATACCATGAACACAAAGATGGTTTTCCCAGGGTGAGTCTCATCCATTGCCCTCCGGATGTGCTGACCCCTGCGATTTCCCCAAATGTGGGAAAGTCGACTGCATAATTTGTGTTAATGGGGGACTGTGTCCACGCTTTCCGCCGGAAAAAAAAAAGAAGAAAAGAAAAAAAAAAAGAAAAGACAAGACAAGACCAAGTTCTGAGAGTGCTTGAAGAAGCGGTACTAGGAGAAGACTGCACTGCCCTAAAACCTTTGACCAGAGATTCTGGGAAGGCTTGGACAGTGACAGGCATGCTGGACCCTGCAGCTGTTGACAAGGGAGAAATCTTAATTATATTGGGTGAAATTCTCCTATAGAGAAAAGAAGATAAAACTATATGTTTTTGACCAGAAATGCCCAAGAGAGCTCTGCTACCCTCAAGAATCTATTCTTCCTGAAAATGTGAAGATAATGGCTTAGATCTGGAAACCAAAGATAGTCTCAGATGTGGCTGTGAATTTTAGTGGGTGGGCAATGTGGGGTGGAGTGGGGATAGAGGGCTGTTGTGGAAAAGGCAGCCCAGCCTGCTCAGAGGTGTGTATATAGACCCACATTGCTGGCAAGCAACTCATCTCACTACCACACAATGTTTTTTTGTTTTTTGTTTTTGTTTTTTTTAAGACAGAGTCCACTCTGTTGCCCAGGTTGGAGTGCAGTGGCATGATCTCAGCTCAATGCAACCTCTGCCTCCTGGCTTCAAGCAATTCTCATGCCTGAGCCACCTGAGTAGCTGGGATTATAGGTGTGGAGCACCACACCTGGCTAATTTATTTTTTTTGTATTTTTAGTAGAGATGGGGTTTCACCATGTTGGCCAGGCTGGTCTTGAACTCCTGACCTCAAGTAATCCGCCCACCTCAGCCTCCCAAAGTGCTGGGATTACAGGCGTGAGCCACTGTGGCCAGACACAAACAATGTTTTTTTTGTTTTTGTTTTTGTTTTTCTTTGAAACAGGGTCTCACTGTTGCTCAGACTGGAGTACAGTGGTGCAAACATGGCTCCCTATAGCCTGAACCTCCTGCACTCAAGTGCTTCACCTGCCTCAGCCTCCTGTGTAGCTGGGAACACAGATATACGCCACCATGCCTGGCTAGCTTTTGATTTTTTTGTAGAGATGAGTTTTCACTTCATTGCCCAGTCTAGTCTTGAACTTTTGGGCTCAAGCAATCCTCCCACTTTGGTCTCCCAAAGTGCTGAGATTACAGGTGGGAGCCATTGTGCCCAGCCTTTCTGCAGCTGGAAAAAGAAGACCAATGAGCTGTAGAGGGAGAAATTCCACAAGGCATAAAAATATACCAGGCTTATATCATCCAGGGCTGCAGATGAGCCACAGTTGAGGAACCAGGCCATGGAACACAGTGAGGGAATTCATTCTGCTAAATTAAAGCATCCTTCCTCCAGGATTGTCACCATGAGGGCATGGCCTGGCCAGAGTTGAGACTGTCAAATGGCTCTCAAGATAGTTCTGAGGTCTAATATAGAAGAGGCTAATGAAAAAGGAAGTTGCTCATGAATGCTCACCCACTTACTTTAAAGAGGTAAGTCAACAAGAACACTAGGTGGGATGGAGTGGGGGATGGGATAATTGTTGCTGATTAAAAAAAATTTGCAAAATTGTTAAAATAAAGGCTGGAAAATAATCACCTACAATGGATGTATGACTGCTTATTTAGGTATTCCTCTATTGTCAGACACATAGAATGCTTCCAAACCTTGTTGATGCAGCCATTAGCATGGTTATCATGCTGCTACGGCACAGAGAAGCGGATGCCAGGCAGGACCACCTGGACATGCACTCCGATTGCAGAATGTGAAAATCTCCCGCAAATCGAGAAAGATCAGAAAGGGACATTGAAAAATGAAAATATTTTCGTTAGGATTGTGGGCTTATGTGTATTTTGAAAAGTTTAAGTTAAAGTTATTATCTATTTAAATGTTCAGTAAATTTTTTAGGCAACTGTTTTGTTTGTTTGTTTGAGACGAAATGTTGCCCTGTTGCCCAGGCTGGAGTGCAGTGGTGTGATCTCAGCTCACCGCAACCTCTGCCTCCAGGGTTCAAGTGATTCTCCTGCCTCTGCCTCCCTGGTAGCTGGGATTACAGGTACCCAACCCCATGCCCAGCTAATTTTTGTGTTTTTAGTAGAGACGGTATTTGGCCATGTTGACCAGCCTCGTCTTGAACTCCTGACCTCAGGTGATCCGCCTGCCTTGGCCTCCCAAAGTGCTGGGATTACAGGTGTGAGCCACGGCACCCGGCCCCAGGCAACTGTTTTAATAATAGTTTTGGTAATGGCAATAGATGAAGTTGTGAGCCGCTAGGCACATGGCAGCGTTAACTCATACTGGTTGCCTTTGTCCACATCTCCAATCCAAACACTGCGCTTTTCCTGAGCCCAGAGAATGGTGGGTCCTGGGACCCTCCTCCACAGGAGAAAGCAGGCACAGTTACTTTTCTTACTTGAGTCTGCTGAGGACTGAAGATCAGCCACGGAGAAGCCCTGGGGTGAGAATCAGACCAAACTCTAGATGCTTGAGGTGGGAAGGCCTGTTGATCCCTGGGGGAGGAGCTGTGCTTGTCCACTCAATAATTCCTTAGAGGTTGCTCTCCCATGCCAAGGAGTGAGGGAGCTAAGCTCTTTCTACCTGCAAGGCCTACAGCCAGTCAGCTGAGGAGACTGGGGAGAGAGAGGCTTCCTCCTTGTGTTCAGGTGGGCTCTGTCAGCTGGGCAGTGGTTGCACAGCTGAACCATGTGGGGAGATAGTAGTGTTCCTTCCACCACTCATGGTACTGCTGCCTGCTATGGTCTGAACGTTTGTATCCCTCCCTGACAAATTCATATGTTGAAACCTAATCCCCAGTGCAATTGTTTTAAGAAGTGGGACCTTGGGAGGTGATGGAGCCCTCATGAATGGAATTAGTGCCCTTATAAAAGACACCAAAGGGAGCTCATTCACCCCTTCTGCCATGTGAAGACACAGATAGAAAATGCCGTCTATTAAGCAGAGAGTGAGCCCTCACCAAACACTGAATCTGTTGACATCTTGATCTTGGAATTCCCAGCCTCTAGAACTGTAAGAAATAAACTGTTATAAGCCATCTAATTTAGGAGATTTTTTTTTTTTTTTTTTTGAGACAGAGTCTTGCTCTGTCGCCTAGGCTGGAGTGCAATGGTACAATCGCTACAATCACCTCTCACTGCAGCCCCGACCTCCTAGGCTCAAGTGATCCTCCCACCTCAGCTTCCTGACTAGCTGGGTCTATAGGCATGCTTCACCATGTTTGGCTAATTTTTGTATTTTTTGTAGAGATGGAGTTTTTGCCATGTTGTCCAGGCTGGTCTCCAGCTCCTGGGCTCAAGCCATCATCTCGCCTTGGCCTCCCAAAGTGCTGGGATTACAGGTGTGAGTCACCATGTCCTGCCAGGATTTTTGTTACAGTAGCCCAAATGGACTAAGATGCTACCACTGTAAGTTCTCCCCAGGCCTGAGTGAGCCACTGAGGGAAAATAGCAAAGAATACCTAAGGGACCCAATAGCCAGAGAAACGGCAAACAAGCAGAAAGTCGGCAGTCCCCACGAAAGTGGAACTGTTGGAGAAAACAAATGACAACCTGAACCAAAAAATGATAAGAGCATTTACAAGAACTCTAGCAGCCCCCATGTGGGGACAAGACTGACTTTATTTTAACTGCTAATCTGCCTGACTAAGCCTGAGTCCAGGAATGCCTCCAAAATATGTAGTTGATGTATTACTCCTTATGTAGGAACACCTATTCATTGTACATTTCTTCCAAAACAACCTTCATTGCAGAAATCATATGCTGTGACCCCCAAAGTCACCTACATGTTCTTTCCAGGGTACTTATGCTTTTTTCCCATGATATAAGCCCTGGGTCTGAGGCCCTGTGGGGCAGAGCTCTACCTGTTTCTTGGCTGCCCAAGACCACACTTCTCTCTGTAAGTTCCCTTCATAAATCACCCAATGCTGAGAAACTGAATTTGTCTGCCTCATCCTTTGGTTTCTTGGCTCCTTCAACATTGGGGTTCACTTCACATATATGGACCCTTTCATGGAATACCCCCGATCCCCACACAAAAATTTCTGGGAACAAAAATCTTGATTTGTGAGCTAGAAGCATTAGTAAATAAACTAAAAGGGAGGATGATCATTGTTGAGATCTGAAATGGTGGCCTGGAAGTCTAAAAGTGGTAGAAATATATCACAACCCAGAACAAAAATATAAAAAAATAAAAATCATGAAGAAAATGATAAAGGACTCAGATCTAAGAAACTTCCCATGCAAATAATAGGAGTTGCAGAAAAATCAAAAAGAAATATCAAGAAGGGGAAAGAAGACACACTGAGCTCCAGGCAGATTGATCAAAAATAATTTCTGAACTGGAAAAATAAAGAGGAAATCTTATATATTTCTAGGCAGAAAGAAAAAGAAGCAAATGGTTGGATGCGGTGGCTCATGCCTATAATCTTAGCACTTTGGGAGGTCAAGGCGAGTGGATTGCCCGAGCTCAGGAGTTCAAGACCAGCCTGGGCAACACAGTGAAACCCCGTCTCTACTAAAATACAAAAAATTAGGCCGGGCGTGGTGGCTCATGCCTGTAATCCCAGCACTTTGGGAGGCCGAGGCGGGCGGATCACAAAGTCAGGAGATCAAGATCATCCTGGCAAACACGGTGAAACCCTGTCTCTACTAAAAATACAAAAACAAAATTAGCCAGTGTGATGGCAGGTGCCTGTAGTCCCAGCTACTCAGGAGGCTGAGGCAGGAGAATGGCGTGAACCCGTGAGGCAGAGCTTGCAGTGAGCCGAGATCGCGCCACTGCACTCCAGCCTGGGCAACAGAGCAAGATTCTGTCTCAAAAAATAAAATAAAATAAAATTAGCCAGGTGTGGTGGTGTGCGCCTGTAATCCCAGCTACTTGGGAGGCTGACACAGGAGAATCCCTTGAACCCAGGAGGCAGAGGTTGCAGTGAGCAGAGATTGCACCATTGCACTCCAGCCTGGGCAACAGAGCGAGACTCCATCTCAAACAAACAAACCAACAAAAAACAAAAGAAACAAACTAGTATGTGACTGCAATACTGGAAGGAAAAATACATTCATGTAACATCCTCAGACTACTGAGAGAAAGTGACTGCAACTCAAGGATTTAACATTCAACCAAAATATTATTCACCTGCCAGGGTAAAAGAAAGATATTTGCCGACAAACAAGAATTCATAGACTCTCTCACTTGCATATGCCACTAAGAGCTCTTGCCAAACAACAAGGTTACTGGAACAGAGATTTAATATGTGGCAGAAGACTTATTTCACATTGACATGTGGTTAAAAGGATAATGATAGAGTACCTAGGAAAGTATAATTTAAACATTAAATAAAATGTCTTGAAAAACAAAAGATGCAATTCATTAGAGGGAAAACCTGCTAATGGCCAGGAACACAAAGGACTAAACTATCTCTTCAAAACGTAGGAGCTGGCCTGGCATGGTGGCACACTCCTGTAATCCCAGCACTTTGGGAGGCTGAGGCAGGTGGATCACCTGAGGTCAGGAGTCCAAGACCAGCTTGGCCAACACGGCAAAACTCCATCTCTACTAAAAGTACAAACATTAGCCAGGGGTGGTGGTGCATGCCTGTAATCCCAGCTACTCGGGAGGCTGAGATAGGAGAATCGCTTGAACCCAGGAGGTGGAAGTTGCAGTGAGCCAAGATTTCGCCACTGCACTCCAGCCTGGGCGACAGAGCGAGACTCTGTCACACACACACACACAAAACAACAACAACCTAGGAGTTGAGGTATGTTGGATAGATGGGGGAAAGTAAAAGTGATCTAATATTTGCACTAAGTGGGGAACTAAGAGGATTCTGAGGGTCTTTAGGGGAAGAGAATAAACAGTGGGAGAATTAAGCATTTTCCATAAGAGAAAAAGGGTGCTCTCTTGCTCTCTTGTTTCCATATAACATTATACTAAAGAAATATATAACTATAGGGAAAATAAAAGGTAATCAATGGTGGAATAAAAAATTACAATAAAATCTTCAAGTTAGTGAAGGGAGAAAAGAGAATGAAGAGCAACTTGTCAAAACCATAAAAGCAAAGACAAAGAAAAGAGAAAAATTAAATAAATAGTAAATATGATGACAAAAAGAATAAAACTAAAAGGTCAATTTTACTAAAAATGAGGTAAATTAATTTTTCTATTAACAAATTCTAAAATATTATAACAGAAAACAACCCCCATCTCTATATTATTTATGAGAAAGACATTTAAAATGGGGTAAAAAAGTTTTAAAACCAAAGTGATACACTGAAGTAATACAAATAAAACAACAGAAAGATGGACATTATGTTAGTGTATGACTTACAACATATAAAGGTATTACTACATCATAAACCTGTATGTACCAAACAACATGGAGCTAAATTTAAGGAAAGGAAAGGTGATAAAATATAATGATTTTTAAAATTGTTATTGGGAGATTTTATTTTATGGAAGACTTTCATATACATCTTTCAGAATCAGAGAAACTTAATAGTCTAAAAGTAATTAAAGGCTGGGCATGGTGGCGCATGCCTATAATCCCAACACTTTGGTACGCAAAGGCAGTTGAATCACTTGAGGTCAGGAGTTCCAGACCAGTCTGGTCAACATGGTAAAACCTTGTCTCTACTAAAAATACAAAAATTAGCTGGCATAGTGGCACAGGCCTGTAATCCCAGCTACTCGGGAGGTTGAGGCAGGAGAATCGATTGAACCCAGGAGACAGAGGTTGCACTCAGCCGAGATCAAGCCACTGCACTCCAGCCTGGACTACAAAGCAAGACTCCATCTTAAAAGAAAAAAAAAGTAAGTAAAGACACTGGGAAATTGAATGATATAGTCAAAAATTTCAAGTTAGTAGATATGGTCTTTGTATCTTTTAAGTAAGGATATGTGTGTGTGTGTGTGTGTATTATATATATTTTATATATATGATATATATCATATATCATATATATTTTATATATATGATATATATCATATATCATATATATCATATATCATATATATTATATATATTATATATACCATATATCTTTTATATAATATATGTATCATATATTATATATTATATATGTATATTTCTTCCCATATGTCCATGGATTATTTATAAAAATTGGTAATTGGTCTTAAAGAAAAACTTCTAACAAAATTTTAAAATTTTCACAAAGTTTGCAGGCCTTAAAGAAAATCTCACGCCAAATGTTTAAAAAGCTTAGAGTATAACACAATAAAATTAGAAATAAGTGTAAAAAAGATACACAAAAAGACTCAATTACCTATAAATTAACACATTTCTAGGCCAGATGTGATGGCTCATGCCTGTAATTCCAGCATTTTGCCAGGCTGTAGCAGGTGAATTGCTTGAGGCTGGGAGTTTTTAATCAGCCTGAGCAACATAGTGAGACCCTGTCTCTATAAAAATTTTTTTTTTTTTAAATTAGCCAGGCATGGTGGTGCCTCCCTGTAGTCCTAGCTACTTGGGAGGCTGAGATGGGAGGATCACTTGAGAACAGGAGTTCAAGGTTACAGTGAGCTATAATCATGCCAGCTTGGGTGACAGAGCAAGACTTTTTCTCAAAAAAAAAAAAAAAATAAAACAAAGAAGAAAAGAAAAAAAGGAAACATTTCTAAAAATCTTGGATTAGTGAGAAAATCAAAACAGATTAGAAAGGAAAATATGCAAAATGGAGGGAATGGAATACAGTAAAAGCTGCATTCTGAAGGAATTCTATTAGTCTTTTTTTTTTTTTTTTGAGACGGAGTTTTGCTCTTATTGCCCAGGCTAGAGTGCAGTGGCGCAATCTTGGCTCACTGCAACCTCTGCCTTCCAGTTTCAAGTGATTCTCCCGCCTCAGCCTCCCAAGTCACTGGGGTTACAGGTGCCTGCCAACCACGCCCAGCTAATTTTTTTGTATTTTTAGTAGAGACGAGGTTTCACCACGTTGGTCAGGCTGGTCTCGAACTGCTGACCTCGTGATCCACCTGCCTCAGCCTCCCAATGTGCTGGGATTATAGGCATGAGCCACTGCGCCTGGCTGGAATTCTATTAATATTATTAATATTATTAATTCTCATTAATTTCCAACGAAGAAAGACTATAATAAAAACAAACCTGATAGTAATCTTAATAAATTAGAAAAATTCATAAGATATTCTTTTAAAAAGTATGAAGGGGGAATAATAAAAATAAAAGCTGAAAATAATGACATGTAAGTAGAAAAAATAATAAAAAGAAAATTTTAAAGTTGATTCTTTGAAAAAATAGTAAGAGAGATAAACTTTTCCCAAGCCAGATTAATTTTTTTAAAAAGGAGAGAAGGAAACAAAAATACAGAATTAAGATGAAAAAGGAGATAATCACAGACTCTTCACTGATGAATGAAATTATAAGCAACTGTAACATTTAATATCATAGAAACTAATGAGAAAACCTAAAGGAAATCACCAGTTAGAAAAATATGTTTCAAATTTGTCCCAAGGAAACATAAAATAACTCGAATAAACTATCAGAGAAGAGACTCACAAGGTATTCAGAGATCTATCATGTAATAAACTTTTAGGCCAAGCACAGTGGCTCATACCTGTAATCCCAGCACTTTGGGAAGCTGAGGCCAGAAGACTGCGTGAGCCCAGGAATTTGAGACCAGCCTGGGCAACATAGCCAGACCCCATCTCTACCAAAAAATTAGCTGGTTGTGGTAATGTGCGCCTGTAGCCCCAGCTAGTCAGGAGGCTGAGGTGGGAGGATTGCTTGAGCCCAGGAGGTCAAGGCTACAGTAAGCCATGGTCATGCCACTGCACTCCAACTTTGGGTGAGAGAGAGATACCCTGTCTCAAAAAATAAAAGGCACTTGGGAAATGCAGCTGGCAGATATAATAAAAAAAAAAAAATCAAAGTAAACCAGAACATGCTTGGGGAATTCTCCTTGGCACTCTTGGAGCTAGGGTACAGGTACCAACCCTGTGATATTCATCCCACTTGGGTAAGATATAATTCACAAAAGCAGGGGCCCAAGGGGGATTTCCTAATAGGACAATATAAGGGCAGTACTTTGATAAATTTCAAGGATAGCAGTAGGAAAAAAAAAGTCAAGGTTTTAGACATAGGCAGAAATTTCAAGGCAGCATTTTTCTGGAGAAGCACTTTTAAGACAGGCAGTGCCAGCTTCTAAAACATACAATCTGTGCACTCACACAGGGACCTGCATTTTCATTTTGTACTCAGCTCTGCATGAGATTGATCCTGAGTATAGGTTAGCACTCATCTTCAAGGCGGGTGTTTTGCTGCCACATACAGATCAATTTTGACACACTTTAAATGTCCTCAGGTGAATTAAAGAAGCTAATACAAATATGTTGGTGGTCATATTCAAGAATGAGGCTACCTAGTGTGGATGGGTAGACAGGTTTAATGTTTCTAGGCATTGTCATTCTTAGGTATCCTTAGAATAGATGCCCTTAATTTCACAATTAAAAATTTAAAAATAGTTTAAAAATATAGTTACTTCTGAATATTATTTAACCTTAAAAAGAAAGGAAATCTTGTGACATGCTATAACATGCATGAACCTTGAAGACATTATGCTAAGTCAAATAAGCCAGTCACACACAAAGTACTGTATTATTCCACTTACATGGCATATTGAAAGTGAGCAAATTTATAAACAGAAAATAGAATGGTGGTTGCCAGGTACTGGGGAGAGGGGATAATAGGAAGTTATTGTTCAATGTTACAGACCTTCAGTTTTGTGAGATGAAATAGTTCTGAAGATTGGTTGCACGGCATTGTAAACATACTTAACACTACCGAACTGCACATTTAAAAACAGTTAAGAGGCCAGGTGTGGTGGCTTATGCCTGTAATCCCAACACCCTGGGAGGCTGAGGCGGGTGGATTGCTTGAGGCTAGGAGTTTGAGACCAGCTTGGGCAACATGGCAAAACGTCTCTACAAAAAACAAAAAAATTAGCTGGCTTGTGGTGGTGCGTGCCTGTAGTTCCAGCTACTCATGAGGCTGAGGTAGGAGGATCACTTGAGCCCAGGAGGCCAAGGTGGCAGTGAGCTGAGATGGTGCCACTGACTGCACTTCAGCCTGGGAGACAGAATGAGACACTGTCTCAAAAACAAACAAACAAACAAACAAAACACACACCCACAAAATGGTTAAGATGGTAAATTCATGTTATGTGTATTATACCACAATTAAAAAATGGAGAGATAGAAACTTCTGAACAGTATAGTGGGGTGCTTAGGCAGAACATATGAGGTGCTTTCCTCCATAGTAGACGAGACAGAAAGTATGAGATTTCCAGATGCTTAATGAGAGATTTGGTATCAAGAAAGATTATTTATTTATTTATTTTGAGATGAGTCTCACTCTGTGGCCCAGGCTGGAGTGCAGTAGCGCAATCTTGGCTCACTGCAACCTCTGCCTCCTGGGTTCAAGCAATTCTCCTGCCTCAGCCTCCCAAGTAGCTGGGATTACAGGCGCCTGCTACCATGCCCGGCTAATTTTTAAATTTTCAGTAGAGACAGGTTTCACCATGTTGGCCAGGCTAGTCTGGAACTCCTGACCTCAAGTCGTCTGTCCGCCTCAGCCTCCCAAAGTGCTGGGATTTTATAGGTGTGAGCCACCAGGCCTGGCCTCAAGAACGATTTCAAAGGTTTGGTTTACTATCCCATCTTTTCACCTCCAAAGAACTATACAATGTGAACTATGTTATTCTGACTCCCCCTAAGTGAGAATGGGACTGGACTTCCCCCAGTCCTCTGATTATCCTAGTCCCAAACATTTTTTTCCAGAGCCTACAATGCCCGAGGCACTGGCCTAGGCACTGGGGACACAGTGTCAAATCTCAATAGATTCACCTCATTCCCTGACCTCATTGGAGATAAGGTTCTTGTGAGGAAGACAGCTTATCACACAACTAACTCGTGATAAATGTTGTGAAGCAGACATTAAAGAGGCAACGAGAGAAGTGATCTTCAGCTGAAGTAGAGGTGATATTGAGCTTTAGTGATCTTCAGCTGAAGTGGAGGTGATATTGAGCTTTAGTGATCTTCAGCTGAAGTGGAGGTGATATTGAGCTTTAGCATGTGAACAAGGTTCCCAACATTGTGTCATGGCAGTGGTTTTCAAGTTGTACTTTCTAGAAGCATTTTTGGACCTCTAAGGAAGAGTGGGGAAAGGGGAAAAGGACTGACAGCTCAAAGTAGGGTAGGGTTGAGAGGCAATAGATTTATTTACCCAAGCATTGGAGACTTACTTTCTCTGAGTATCATAGCTGCAGCAGGAGGTGGGATGAATTTGCAACATCTGAAAGCAAAAAGATTTGAGAGTTGCTCATAAGGGAATAAATAAATACAATCTGATATTCCCTGGTTTCGTGTCACCAGCTTATCTATAAACTTACAAACGTCTTATGATTCCTGGAACCTCTCCTGGTCTCTGGCACCCACAGCTTCAACTCCAATTTCCCGGGGTTGCTGGGTGCTTACCCCCAAAAGCCCAGCTGCATCAGGACACTCTGTCGTATCGAAATGGAAGAATGTCCTGGTAGAGCTGAAGCTCTGCTTCTACTGTCTCATGCCGCAACAGCTACAAGTCCTGCTCCCTCCAGAAAGCCATGCTTGCTAGTTAGGTCTTCTTTCTCCACCTCTCTCAGGAAGGGGGTTTAAAACAAGAGGAGATGCTAGACAGTCTCTTTGTTAATAACAACCACTGCTATTTATTGCATGCTTACTGTGTCCCAGTATTTTATTTTTAATATCACAACAATCCCATGAGGAAAGAAATATTAGCTCTGGATCCTAGATGTGAAACCCGAGGTTCAGAAAAGTTATGAATCTTGCCCAAATTTATACTGCTCATAAGTGACAGTGCCAGGTGTGAGCCCTTTGTGTGTGCTCCAAACCATTCAGTGAAAAAAGCAAGAAGTCAGCTGGGCGTGGTGGCTTACACCTCTAATCCCAGCACTTTGAGAGGCTGTGGCGGGCAGATCATGAGGTCAGGAGTTCGAGACCAGCCTGGTCAACATAGCGAAACCCTGCCTCTATTAAAAATACAAAAATTAGCCAGGCATGGTGGCACACACCTGCAGTCCCAGCTACTCAGGAGGCTGAGGCAGGAGAATCACTTGAACCTGGGAGGCAGAGGTTGCAGTGAGCTGAGATCATGCCACTGCACTCCAGCCTGGGTGACAGAGCAAGACTCCATCTCAAAAAAAAAAAAAAAGGCAAGAAGTCTTAGACCACTTCTCTAGTGGTAGGCACAGAGTCATTCAGATAAGGCCATTAAAAAAGAAGGTGGAAGGGGAAGATGAGTTAGTACTTGAAATTCTGCTGTCTTGACACAAATAGCCTATCCCGAAATGATAAATGTATTTGTTAATGGAATTTACCCATTTTATACATCGCACATGTTTTGTATGTGGTGTTGAGCATAAAGGTCTTCATTATGAGTCAGGAAATGTAAGTTCCACTTCCAATATGAGCTGTGTCGCTGTCACAAATGGCTTTATTATTCAAAATTTTCAGACCACAGTTTCCGTCTTCATTTGACTGAGAATAATTCAACGACAGAGAATGTTCTAGTCTCCTTTGTGTCTCTAGTATCTAGTACAGGCCCCAAAATGTTTCAGGGTGGAATGGCTAGGGAAGGAGGAGAATAAAGGAGGAAGAGATTTATCTTGTAACATCTGTCCTGATGTTAGCAATATTAATTAAAACAGTTTGCAGGTTTTGTTGAAAAGGTCTGTTGTCCATCTTGGTGGCAAACTAGGAGGAAATGGTATCTAGCAAAGGCCTCTTTGGCATAAAGGGCACAGAATGTGAAACTGACATGTACACACAATGGGATGCCTTCCTTTGGCCACCCTTCGTTTCCCCTTGTTCTTTCCGAAGCAACTGACACCACAAAATGAGAAGAGGTGGAACGGGAGAACGGCTCGCAACAATGACTTACCTGGCTGCTTCCTTTTCAGTTACCTTTGTGGACAGACACAAGAATGCAGAGGCCAGAGCTGCCCTAACACAATGTGGAATTGTGAGCTAGTTTTGTGCCACTAAATATTCTTTGTGCCACTATATATTCTTCAGTGTCCTCAATTCTTTTTACCTTTGCAGAGCTAACTCTTATTTTAGGGTTGTGCCAGGATTTAAACTGGGAGCATCAGCTGCAGAGGGCAAAGGAGTCAAGCTAATAAGCTCTCCAATTCTGCTTCTTGCAGACTGCTTCAGTTTTGAAGGAGAAGTCGTCATTTTTAGAATTCTTACTTGCGTTCACCCTGTACCCTGAATGATTAACTCCTAGTGTGTCCCTTAAGTTTAACCCATATTCCCCCTCTGCTCCTAGGAATGTGAGCACGCTTTCCACTCAGTGACCAGGATTTTAAAAAACTATTTTCAATCTGCCTCCTCTTCCTCTACCCATTTCCCCAATTGCAGCCCTTACCCTCCACCCCTCTCCTATTAAACTCATGTCCATTCAATCTCCAGACTTGTTGGGGGAAGTGGCAGCATTGTAAGATAAACCTTAAGCAATTATTAGTATTTATTTATTTATTTTGAGACGGAGTCTCTCTCTTTCGCCCAGGCTGGAGTGCAGTGGCGTGATCTTGGCTGCAAGCTCCGCCTCCGGGGTTCAAACGATTTTTCTGCCTCAGCCTCCCAAGTAGCTAGGACTACAGGCGCACGCCACCATGCCTAGCTAATTTTTGTATTTTTAGTAGAGATGGGATTTCGTCATATTGGCCAGGCTGATATCGAACTCCTGACCTCGTGATCTGCCCACCTCGGCCTCCCAAGGTGCTGGGATTACAAGCGTGAGCCACTTGCACCCGGCCTATTTTTTTCTTTATCTTAAGTTCCAGGGTACATGTGCAGGATGTGCAGGTTTGTTACATAGGTACACATATGCTATGGTGGTTTGCTGCACCTATCAACCCATCGCCTAGGTATTAAGCCCCACATGCACTAGCTGTTTTTCCTGGTGCTCTCCCACCTCCGGCACCCCAGCCTGAAGTTATTATTAAAGTTCAGTTTAACTCTTGTGGTGTCTACAAAGCGTGACTTTGTTGAGTCTTCAACAGATTGTAGCATTACTCACCTTATGTCATTAAACTGGAGAGGCTGGGGTGATAGGATAAGGGAAGCACACAGCTCAGCATGTGGGGAGTTTATTTAAAACTCTTGTGTCTTTCATTGACTAGGCAGATGAAGTCATTGCTGACATATAAATCAACAAAATACTTTTAAAATGTAACTTTCTTTCGTGGTTTGTTATAATAAATTACCCCTGACTACTCTTTAAAAAAATCACAAAGAGAAAATTATAATTTTCCTTCATCAAGTTCAATACTTGTGAGCGTCTTTCAGGTAAATTAAGAGGAAAAATACATACAAATAGTTACATTTTGGAAATATTTGCACCTAAAACAACAGAATATGTTCTATGGGAGTAATAAGTAGTTCCTAATGTTGATTTATCTAAATGTATTATTTCTTTTTTTTAATAATGTGACTATGATGACCAGGAAAGGAGCCAAAAAAAAAAAAAAGGTTTGAAAATAAATGAAAATAAATGCAAAACCTTAAGTGGTGCACACCTGTAATCCCAGCAATTGCGGGCGGGGGAGGTGGGGCAGTGGCTGAGGCTGGAGAATGGCTTGAGCCCAGGAGTTTGAGACCAACCTGAGCAACATAGTAAGATCCTGTCTCTTTAAAAAAGAAATAAATCGGCCAGACATGGTGGTTCATACCTGTAATTCCAGCACTTTGGGAGGCCAAGGTGGGCAGACCACCTGAGGTCAGGAGTTTAAGACCAGCCTGGCCAACATGGTGAAACCCTGTGTCTACTAAAAATACCAAAATTAGCTGGGCGTGGTGGCGGGCGCCTGTAATCCCAGCTACTGGGGAGGCTAAGGCAGGAGAATCGCTTGAACCCAGGAGACAGAGGTTGCAGTGAGCTGAAATCACACCACTGCACTCCAGCCTGGGTGACAGAGCAAGACTCCATCTCAAACAAACAAACAAAAATAAAAGAGAAATAAATAAATAAGGAAAAAAGGAAAAAGAAGAACTTGTGAACTTGCAAAGAAAAATGGTCTCATTTGGTAACACTGCCCAAATTGGGTGATTTTTTTTTTTATTTTATTTTTTAACTTTTTACTGACAAGAGAGATTCTCTGGCACGAACTGAAGGTGCCCTCTCTTCTGGGTGATGTGTATTAACATTGTACTGAGTCTGGTTAGGGTGGCTCTTGACAGGATAATACTTTCTTTTTTATTAAAAATAATTGTATTTAGGCCAAGTGTGGTGGCTCACGCCTGTAATCCCAGCACTTTGGGAGGCTGAGACAGATGGATCACCTGAGTTCAGGAGTTCAAGACCAGCCTGACCAATATGGAGAAACCCCGTCTCTACTAAAAATACAAAATTAGCTGGGCGTGGTGGTGCATGCCTGTAATCCCAGCTACTGAGGAGGCTGAGGCAGGAGAATCACTTGAAACTGGGAGGCAGAGGTTGTGGTGAGCTGAGATCGCACCATTGCACTCCAGCCTGGGCAACAAGAGCAAACCTCAGTCTCAAAAAAAAAAAAAAAGGAAAAAAATTTGTATTTACTTAGAAGCATTCAGAATGTCAACAAAATGTCAACAAAACAGCTGCAACTTTTTTTTTCAATTATAGAGTGGTATTCAGTTAATGGAACAACAATTATTTGGTATAAGCTGCATCAGAGACAACTGAAGATGAAAAAAACTACCATCACCATGTATAACTAATTTGCGCTGTGCACCAAAAAGAACCTGTTTGAAATTTTCATGCCAATTTACAACCCCCATACTTTACCAGGCAAGGTTAGTGGTTATTGAAAATACTAGCAGGGCATGGTGGCGTGTGCCTGTAATCCCAGCTACTCAGGAGGCCGAAGCAGGGAAATCGCTTGAACCCAGGAGGCAGAGGATGGAGTGAGCCAAGATGGTGCCATTGCACTCCAGCCTGGGTGACAGAGGAGACTCAGTCTCAAAATATAAAAAGAAAAAAATACCACCAAGACATCGCTATCTAAAGAAACATTTCGGTAATGTGTTAATTATACAAAAAAATAGAATGTATGGTTTAAAAACAAATTTTACACAGCCTTACATTTCATTTTTTTTCTTTAAAAGGAGTGAGTTGTGTACAGGCGGGCTAAATGCTTTACAGACAAGAAAAAAAAAAACTAGAACCAACTTATTCATTATCATTGTCTTCTTCATCTTCATCTCTTTATCTTCCCCCTCCTCACCCTCTTCATTTTCCTCAGCTTCCTCCTCTTTTTCTTGCTTTTTTTCAGCCTTGACAACTCCCTTTTTTGCTGCATCAGGCTTTCCTTTAGCTCGATATGCAGCAAGACCCTTTTCGCATTTTTCCTTCGGCTTTGCAGCCTTCTTCTCCTAAGGCTGCTTGTCACCTGCAGCAGTGTCATTCCACATCTCTCCCAGTCTCTTCGCAGCATCACCAATGGACAGGCCAGGATGTTTTGGGCAATACTCAGAACAGAATAGAAAAAAAGGCTGAAGGAGGCCTCTTGGGTGCCTTGGGATCCTTGAACTTCTTTCTTGTCTCCCCTTTAGAAGGGATATAGATTTTCATTTCTCTTTCATTATGGGCCTTGTCCGCCTTTGCCGTATCTTCAAATTTTCCTTTCTCTTTAGCAGACATGGTCTTCCACCTCTCTAAGCACTTCTTAGAAAACTCTGAGAAGTTGACCTAAGCATCTGGATGCTTCTTCTTATGCTCCTCCTGACAAGTTTGCACAAAAATGCGTACGATGACATTTCGCCTCTTGGCTTCTTAGGATCTCCTTTGCTCATGTTGAGTAATTTTTCCTCAGTGAGGCACAGAGTCGCCCAGTGCCTGTCTGGCTTTCACTTTCCCTGGTGCTGTCTCTATCGAGAGGATAATAATTTAAAAGTTGTAAATAAGCATGTCTTATCCTTCAGTTCTCTAAAGCAGGTTTTACATGAAATCTGAATCTGACTGAGAATGTTACTGTTCATTCTTTTCAAAGTTCCAAGTAGACAAGCCACAAAAGCAATTTCTCAGTTTCTTTGGTATGGCTCATGCAAATAAAAACTGGTGGCTAAGACCTAAAGAACAGTTTTAATCTCTGAAATACCGATGACTTCAGGCAGAAGCACAGATGGGTAGGAAGAGGGAGGCAAGGGGAGAGATTTCTCTCCCATGATCATGTTGTCCCAAAAAGGGTCCTTGTGTACAGTTTATAAGGTCACATGTTGACACAATGGTTGTTAAGACCTTGATGAAAAGAGTCAGAGGAAGCCAGTGTGAAATACTCAATGACATATCAGTGGTGAGGCCTTGAGGCATATAAAGAAGGTCATCAAAGTTTGCCATCTCTTTTATCTGCTCTTGCCCACCTCTGCCTAGATGTTACAAATGAAGGAAATATTTGTTGAGAATATATTTATCTGAATGCACTACGTGAATAACGAGAATGTTGGAAGAATGTATGACGGTATATATTGGCTCTTTCAATATTAAGGACCTCGTATAGTCCTTTACTAATCTTAAGGCTTGTCCAAAAAAGATTAAACAAATACACAAAAACAGCCTCCTCCCTCCTACAGTAAACCCAAATAAATCTGATCAGCTTGAAATTATTTCTACAATAGCTCTCACGGCTATCAGGATTTAGTCTGATCTCCTGGCAAAGCCAACCCAGCCCCGCATGAGCCCCCGACCCTCTGCCTCCATCCTTCTCATTCCCCCCGCTGACCCCACCCCCGCCCCCCGCCATGTTAACTGTGAGGTCCTTGACATGCACGCTCCCGCCTCACACCTCCAAGCCTTTCTTTCTCCTGTTCCCTTTACCTCCATGTCTGTCTACTCTCACCTGTCCTTCCACATTTAGTTCCGACATCACCTCCTCCTGAAGGCTTTCCTGCACTGTCTCCTTGCTCACACCAAGACTGGTGCCTCGCCAGTGTGTGGCCATGCATGCTGTCCAGGACTCCAGCACAGGGTTCTACTGAATGGAAACCTTTTTTCTTTTCCTGTTTACTGTTTCTTGTTGTTGTTGTTGTTGAGAGAGTCTCGCTCTGTCACCCGGGCTGGAGTGCAGTGGTGCGATCTCAGCTCACTGCAGCCTCCATCTCCCTGGTTCAAGCGATTCTCCTGCCTCAGCCTCCCAAGTAGCTGGGATTACAGGCATGTGCCACCACACCCGGCTAATTTTTGTATTTTTAGTAGAGATAGGGTTTCACCATGTTGGTCAGGCTGGTCTCGAACTCCTGACCTCAGGTGATCCACCCACCTTGGCCTCCCAAAGTACTGGGATTACAGGTGCGAGTGACTGCACCCAGCCTCCTGTTTACTGTTTCTTTTCTCGTAATACAAAACCTGTCGGATAGTAAGTGTTTAATGTACATTTGATGAATGAATGGTTTAATCAGAGTTTGTTTCTAATCTTGTTTCCAGCCCACATTAGCTTATTCACCTGTGTGCAAAAGTGGATGAGGACAAATAATTGTTAAATCGTTTGCTTGACTAAGAATGTTTTACTGATAGCAAGTTGGCAATCTGAAAATTAGTGGGAGAAGTAGTGATGGGTACTGAACAGACTGCCAACTTAGATTCTGATTATCTGCTGTGAATCATTTCTTTAACCTTTGAAAGCTTTTAAAATTATTTTTCTGGGTATAATAATAATGTGGCTAACTAAAAATAATGAAGATCATGTTTATTGTAGATGTGTGCTAAACATCCATGTTTTCATCCAAGTGCTACAATTGCAACCCCCACATTACCTCCTTTCCCCACTCTGCCTACTCCTAGCATACATGCGGGCATGCGTGCATGCACACACACACATACACACACACACACACACACCCCTAGACTAAACCTTACCAGATTTAGTCTGGTAAGACACATTTCACCACATTTCCAAAGTTATAATGGATCTTGGAAGGGAAAGCTATGGAAAACAGTGATAGAAACATACTTATCACACAGCGATAGAGCTCCCTTTTGATCTCTTCAAACAAGACAAGAAACAAAGAGCGAAAATCATCTGAGAATTCAAAACTGCTGGACTATTCCCATTGCACCGAGTCATGTGGATCTGTGTCAAGTACACAATCAGTTGCAAGTCAGCTGATAGACAGAAAAGAGTTACTTCAGAAAGATAATCTCAGGGAGCTTATTATACTCCCTTTGAAGTAATGAGTCCAGTGAACTTGAACTGGAGACTTGAAGTCTCTGATTTCTGCTGTCACTGGAAAGGAATTACTTTTTCTTTTTTTTGAGACAGAGTCTCACTTTGTTGTGCAGGCTGGAGTGCAGTGGCGCAATCTTGGCTCACTGCAACCTCTGCCTCCTGGGTTCAAGTGATTCTCCTGCCTCAGCCTCCTGAGTAGCTGGGATTACAGGTGCGCACCACCACGCCCGGCTAATTTTTTGTTTGTTTGTTTGTATTTTTAGTAGAGATGGGGTATCACCATGTTGGTCAGGCTGGTCCCAAACTCCTGACCTCGTGATCTGCCTGCCTAGGCCTCCCAAAGTGCTGAGATTACAGGTGTGAGCCACCATGACCGGCCAGGAATTACTCTTGACAATTTTCTATGTAATTTATTGGAGAATGACAAAAGTGGTTGAAAATATTATTAGCTGGAATCTTGGCCTGTGTTGGTAAACAACAGATAAAAAGTTTTAAGGGTGGAACTTGCAAGTCTAATTACACAACATTAAAAATAAGTCTCCATATCAAACATAATTAGTAGATTTCAGATGAACTTGAGGAACTATTAGAACAACTTACCTAAAGCAGTTTTGTTTCTCAGAAAAATGACGTTATAGATCTGGCCTAGAATTTGGCATAGAAACTTTTCCTACAAGGTATAATGAGAAACAGAATCAAAGCAAGAGTCTTAAGACTCAGTCTTAGTTCTAGTTTGGTCTTTGTGATCCTGGCCAAGTCACTTCAACATGAACTTGGTTTTCTATGTCTACAAAGTAAAAGGGTTGGGCTACTATCGCTGCTGTACTACTACTACTGATCTATTTGTGCTGGATTATTCTATATCCAGATAAATGAGGCCAAGTGTTTCTGGCATCACCAACCACCATTTAAACAAATAGCATCCCCTCCATAGGGGAGGAGGCTGCACACATCTGCTGCTCTCCACCCTGAGAATGTGGATGAATTCCAATCAGCAGCCACCACCTGACTGATTTGCCCACAGCCTGCTCTGGGTCCATTGGCTGGGAGGCTTCTGGAGGCAGCTGGGTCATGTCATCCCAACCCAAACTGGTGATGTGAAAGAACAGTCACATGTGTGAGCAGGTGCATAACCCATTCTCAGGAGGGAGAATGGAGTGAAGGAACAGTGGTTTAGGTAATGACTCATTCAGGTTATTCATTCTGTGTGTAAAGCCCAAGGCCCTCCAACTGGCCCTGACCTACCTGCCCCGACTCTTCTGCTTTCCCGACACCTTCTCTGGGCCTCTATTGCCCTTCTCGCTAGTGCAGCTGGCCCCTTGATGGCTTATATAGAAGATAATGTACCTAAGTCATTCGTCACCCCAACCCTTGTGCATAGGTTTTCCTTGTTGCCAGAACCTGGATTTTGTTCAAGGGTGTCCCCAGCCCTATGTGATCAAGTGAAGAACTCTTAAGCTTCATCCCCAAAGGAAAACTGATCACTATGCTCCCATTGGTTATTGGCCTAAGCCAATCACTGCACTCCCATTGATAATCGGTCTAAACCAATAACTGTGCTCCCATTGGTCTAAACCAATAACAGCGCTCAACTGCGCTGTCTGTATGAGATGCTTGCAATGCTGCTGCCATCTTTTGAAAAAGAGAATGATCAGCTGACAGGCTGAGTGAGCAGAGAAATGAAGAGAATCATCTGGGGCCTGAGTGAGATCACTGGGCTGCTTTGTTAATCTACCCTAGATGCTCTCTACATCTTGAATTCTTGTTATGTGAAATTACAATTTTTTTCTTACTGTTTGAGTCAGAAGCCCAAGGTATCTTGCTATTTTTCACACTGGCACACTGGAGAGGCAACAAGAAACCCCAAGTGGGGTTAGTGGAGGAATCAGTTCCTCCACTTAGAAGCCATTACTGAGGAACAAATTACTTCAAAATTTAGTGGCTTGAAATAACAATAAGCATGTATTGTCTCTGTTTCTGTAGGTTGCAAATTTTGGATCTTTTTGAATGGGAAGTCTGGCTTAGATTCTCTCCTCTCATGAGACTGCAGATGGGTGTGGGCTGGGGCTGCCCTAATCTGAAGGTTCAACTGGGGCTGGTGGGTCTGCTTCCAAGGAGGCCCACTCACTTGGCTGGCCAATGGGGGCTGGCTGTGGTGGGAGGCCTCAGTTCCTCTCCATATGGGCTTCACCACATGGTACTTGAGTGTTCTCTGTTTAAAATATAGGTTTTATTAATATTTAGGTATGGCAAAGCCATCAGATCAGGAATGACTGCTAATAAAAAGATAGTTTGTTATGCTCACAGATCTCAAGAGGAAGGGGTGTGTCACACCAGCCACATGGGGAAGTACCAAGATCAGTCAGGAGGCAGAGGGAGCAGAGTGAAAACAGGGGCACAAACTTTTTTTTTTTGAGATGGAGTCTCGCTCTATTGCCATGCTAGAGTGCAGTGGTGAGATCTTGGCTCACTGCAACCTCTGTCTCCTGAGTTCAAGTGATTCTCCTGCCTCAACTTCCCGAGTAGCTGGGACTACAGGTGTGTGCCACCATACCCAGCTAATTTTTTGTATTTTTAGTAGAAACGGGGTTTCACTGTGTTAGCCAGGGTAGTCTCATTCTCCTGAACTTGTGATCTGCCCGCCCTGGCCTCCCAAAGTGCTGGGATTACAGGCGTGACCCACCGCGCCTGGCCAGGGGCACAAACTTTTATTGTGGTTTCTGTGGGAAGGAATGAGTGAGGGAGGGTAATTGGGCTTTGGATTGAATAGTTTGAATCATTTCAGCAGGCTCTGGGCCATACGGGCTATCCCTAGTTGCCTAGTTCCTACTCCTGGGGTGATTAGGGCAGGTGGATAGTGGCCTGGAGGGTGAGAGCCCATAATGGAGGTGGCAGTGTGTGGGCTCTGGATTGATTGGTTTACATTTGTGACGCACCCTCATGGTTGTTTGCTATTTCTAAAAACTGGCTAGTCCTGGGACAGGCATAAAAATACAAAAATAAAAGACATGGTAAATACATTCTCACAGCATGGTGCTGGCTTTGCCCAGAGTAAGCAATCCAAGAGAGCAAGACAGATGCTGCAAAGTCCTTTATGCTCTCAATTCAGAAGTCACATATTATCCCTGCTGAACTCTACACAGACCAGTCCTAATTCAACATGGGAGTAGACTATGCAAATAAATACCTAAGAGGTGAAGATCACTGGGGGCCATCTTGGAGGCTGGGTATTACACATCTGGCAAGTTCCTTGACCTCCAAATGTCAGTGTCTTCACTTAAAAAAGATGGCAATAATATTATGTTACTTTGACTTCTAAGTTGAAAGCGAACAGAAAGTGACTCTGGCTTGCTTAGGCAAAAGAGGAATTTATTGAATCAGTTTTGGACAATTCACACAATAGAAGGGAAGGCTATAGAACCAGGCTTAGCAGAACCTAAGGGAGCTCAGGGAGCAGGGAAAGTCATGCAGGGCAAAGCCTCAGGGTTGGTCTGGTTGGGAAACTGATGTTGACATCAACTGCACTGGCCACCGGATATTGTGGCCAGAGCTAAATGCTCAGCACCACTGCTGCTGAGCAACTCTCAATCGCCTCTGTGCCCTGAAGCTTCCACAGTGTGGGGAGAGTGGAGAAAGGAGGACCAGGTCCCTTCTGCTTCTGGGATTACAGCATATGTCCGCTACAAATATGGGCTTCATGGGATTCACCAAAAATATATGAGCACCTTCCTTGGAAAATCGAGAATGCTCAGTAATGGTTGGTTGCTTAATAGAAAGGAGAAAGCAGATACCGTGGGATGGAATAGAGTGAGTTTGGAGATCTCAAGTTGAGAGTGAGAATAAAGCATGCTCATTACATTTCCAGCCACACTGAGCATTTCTAATCGCACTCTTACCTTGTCTTCACTCCTATGCACATTTGCAAATTCTTAAATTGCTGAGATTTGTACAAATCTTATCTATATACTCTATCCAGTGAACCAAGTTGGAGGCAAGGGAACAGTATGTTATTAAGAAAAGGTAAAGTGAAAGCCTCCTGTGAAAATTGCAATACTGGCTGGGAGCAGTGGCTCATGCTTGTAATCCCAGCACTTTGGGAGAATGAGGTGGGCAGATTAATTGAGGTCAGGAGTTCAAGACTCCTGCTTGGGCAACATAGTGAAACCATGTCTCTACTAAAAATACAAAAATTAGCCAGGTGTGGTGGCGCACGCCTGTAATCCCAGCTACTCGGGAGACCGAGGCAGGAGAATCGCTTGAGTCCAGGTGGCAAAGGTTGCAGTGAGCTGAGATCACACCACCGCACTCCAGCCTGGGCAGCCGAGTGAGACTCCATCTCAAAGCAAAGCAAAGTGTAGAGAAAAGAAAATTGCAACACTAGCCTCTTGGTACCTTGACATGAACCACAATTAACCACACTCTTTAAGTGGTGGTAGCTTCCATTTCTGTCACTGTTACCTTCATAGTACTTTTTTTTTTTTTTTGAGACAGAGTTGCTCCTTCTGCTCACTGCAACCTCCACCTCCTGGGTTCAAGCGATTCTCCTGCCTCAGCCTCCCGAGTAGCTGGGACTACAGGCACATGCCACCATGCCTGGCTAATTTTTTGTATTTTTAGTAGAGACGGGGTTTCACCGTGTTAACCAGGAAGGTCTCGATCTCCTGACCTCGTGATCCGCCCACCTCGGCCTCCCAAAGTGCTGGGATTACAGGCGTGAGCCACCACACCTGGCCCCTTTATAGTACTTCTATCTCAGTTTGAATTTCCAAGGCAAAGCCAGACACCTTTTCTCACAAAGCCTGTGCTCTGTTGTTAGGTGTGGGCATGAGTCTTGCTGTTCAAACTCAACTATTTCATTCAAAGTGACCTTTCGTGGGTTTACAAATTCATTGAGGTTGAATGTGTAACTAAATTCTAAAATGTTAGTTCTAAACTAAGTTCTAAAATGGTTCTAAAAAGTTCGTATGTAAGGAGCACCAGGAGGGCTTGCTGAAACACCAGTTGCTGGGCCCCACCCCTGGAGTCTCAGGTTCAGCAGGTCTAGGGCGAGGTCGGAGGATGTGCACTTCTAATACGTTCCCAGGTGGTGCTGAGGCTGCTGGTCTGGGGGCCACATTGAGAAACACTGACTTGAATGACTTGATGCTGTTGCTGGCCTGCTTTGTAAACTTCTTAGACCCTATCCAGTAATTGCCTTTCTTTTCTTTTCTTTTCTCTTTTCTTTTTCTTTTTTTTTTTTTTTGAGACAGAGTTTCACTCTTGTTGCCCAGGGTGGAGTGCAATGGTGATATCTTGGCTCAGTGCAACTTCCGCCTCCTGGGTTCAAGTGATTCTCCTACCTCAGCCTCCAAAGTAGCTGCGATTACAGGCATGTGGCACCACACCTGGCTAATTTTTTTGTATTTTTAGTAGAGACAGGGTTTTACCATGTTGGCCAGGCTGGTCTCGAACTCCTGACCTCAAGTGATCCACCCATCTCAGCCACCGCACCCAGCCAGTAATTGCCATTCATAAAGAAAGCCAAGATGACACCTACAGAGCAAAATTATGTGATATTCAGGAATAAACACTGAAACATTATTTTGATTAGAATAATAGCTGCACGGAACAGAAACTTAGCTATAAGAGCTTAAGCAAATAACAGTTTGTTTTTCTTACATTCCCAAGAAGACTAGAAGCTGTGATAGGCTGGTGAAATGACTTCACCTCATCAGGGGTCAAGGCTCTTGCTAACTTTCTCTTCTGTCATCCTTGGTAAATGATCTTTGTCCTCATGGTCACAAGATGGCTGCTGCATCTCCATGTATTGCCTCTGCACTCTAGGCAGGAAAATGAATGATGAAGAAAAATGCATGTATGAGCTTTTCTGAAAGTCCCTCTAGAGACTTCTGTTCCCATCTCATGGGTTAGAACTATGTCACATGGCCACACCAAGCTTCAAGGGAGCCTCAGCACTCATTGACCCACATAAAATGGGGTTCCCGTCGATGAGAAAGGAAGGAAGAATGGGTGGTAATCAGCAGGCTCTGGGATGCACTCACCTGCTTGACTCCCAAAGGGTCACATTGCGTACTCAGGCCAGAGCCACCTACAGTGCTAAACCAGCCACGCAACAAGTGAAAGGGACAGAGAAAAGACATGAAGCCACTTCTGTACTAGCATTTCTTGCCTCCTGCTAATGGGTGTTATATGAAAAGGGAAAACTGAACTAGAACTTCTTTACTATAGACTTCTGAGAAGTTTTATTAAGCTTATGTATGTGATGACATTCCAAGGCAGGAACAAACATACTGCATTTTCCAAGCTTATTTGACCACAGAGGCTTTTTAAAAATTTTTCTGGAGCATCTCTCTGAACTACATTCCATGGAAATTTTTGCCAGAAAACCTTGATATATACAGTGTCAACTATCAGTGTGTTTTTTAAGACTCCTTACGAGAAAAAAAGCCAAGTATGTTCTTCTTACATCAGTGAGATAGTTCTACTTTTTTTAAGGGGAAGGAAATGAAAATAGGAACAGTTTGTGAGTCAGGGCGGGGGGTGTGATACCAGCCTGCCACCTGAGAACCATGCAACCTTGACAGGCCTGGTGGCCTCCCTAGAGTCTCCTGTGGTTTTTTTTTTTTTTTTTTTCTGTGAGACAGAGTCACCCAGGCTGGAGTGCAGTGGTGCGATCTCGGCTTACTGCAACCTCTGCCTCCCGGGTTCAAGTGATTCTCCTGTCTCAGCCTCCAGACTAGCTGGGATTACAGGTGCGTGCTACCACACCTGGCTGATTTTTGTATTTTTAGTAGAGATGGGGTTTCGCCATGTTGGCCAGGCTTGTCTTGAATTCCTGACCTCAGGTGATCCGCCCCCCCTTGGCCTCCCAAAGTGCTGGGATTACAGACATAATCTACCACGCCCGGCCAGAGTCTTCTGTTCTTACTTGCAAAACAAGATCTGTAGGCAAGCACCAGGATGCATCCCAATAAACCAAAATTCTGCAACTTCACAGCTCCTAGAAAGATCAAGAAGGGATGCCTGAATCAATCTTTGGTAATGGGAGATAGAGGATATATGCCCTCCTGTTGGGCGACAGAGTGAAACCCCGTCTCAAACACTGGAGATGGACTCTCGGGGTTTTGACATGTTGGCCAGGCTGGTCTTGAACTCCTGACCTCAGGTGATCCGCCTGCCTTGGCCTCCCAAAGTGCTGGGAGCACAGGTGTGAGCCACCACACCAGGCCTGGTTCTCCCCTTTTAAGGGCTCATGCATTCTATTAAGCTCACCTAGATAATTTAGGATAATCCCCCCATCTCATCACATCTGCAAAGTCCCCTTTGCCATATAAGGTAACATATCTACAAGTTCTAGGAATTAGGACATGGACATCTTGGGACTCATGGGCATTCTGTCTACCATGCAGATGAAATCTATTGTTTAAAGAAGTATAAACAGTGTTGGGAAACTGAAGACTATAACAAAAAATTCAAATTAGGCTTAATAGTATGTGAGACAAGCAGTACAAAAGGTAGAGAAGGTTTATGTGAGAAAAGAAAAGAAAAAAAAACCCAAGAAAGGAGATCAATTACAATACAAGCAAAAGTAGGACAACACTAGTTACGAGCTGGAAGCACGTGAATCCTTTAAGAGCCCGAGCAAAGGGCAAAGGTTTAGTATGGGATTGTTGGAGTTTCTTTCTATTATATATTGTACCTTCACCAATAGAACTAAAAGTCTAAAATCACACTATTTAAAAACCGAGAATGTATCAGCATTAACCAGATTGATCCTACAGGCGCTGCTTGACTTTCAGGTGTGGAGGTGGTAGGAAGAGCCACAGAATGGCCTGAAATAATTGCAGAGCTCCAGTGTTTGAAGAATGTATAGGAACCTGGTGAGGTGAAGGCACCCGTGCCTTTGCTTAGTGGCTTCAGGATGTGGAATAAAAAGGAACATGACATCTACATCCAGGTGAGAATTAGGCTTGGGACAAAGGGTGGTGAAGTATTAGTCCAAAGGTCAATAAAAGAGTAAGAATCACATGCAAGTAAAAGGATCCAGGCAGAGGGTGTGCAATAAGAATTTCTCAGTCCTGGTCCTGTTGTCATTGTGAACCACATAATTATTTGTTGTGTGGGTGTCCCGTGCATTGTAGGCAGGTTAGCAGCATCCCCGGACTCCACCCATCTGATGCAGTGGCACCCTGCCCCAGGATGTGACAACAAAAAATGTCTCCAGGCCTTGTCAAATGTCCCCAGGGGGAGGAGACAAAAATCACCCCAGTTGGGAACCACTGGTATACACTGAAAGAATAGGTAAGGGGACACAACACACCAAAAAGGGGGAGCCTGCAAGCCTGGAAAGAGTCTTTGAGGCTGCAAGGACACAAAAACCGAGGGAACCTTGTAAGGGGCCTGTTGCTGGAGCTGGTGGGCTGGCTGGGAGCCACCAAGAGCATCCAGCTGGTTTGCATACTGGCCTGTAACTTGGCCAGGGCAGGATCCAGGTCAGAAGAGCTCAAGTCTAATTCGTTCAGGGGTTGCACTCTGGTTGTTTTCCATTTGTTATGCAAGCACAGGTTTCAAAAGGCAATTCACCTGGGCAGGGGATATGCTTGCTTGCAATATAAACAGCTTGGAACCTATTATCTTACATGGTTGTTTCACTTCATCTAGGTTCACTGTCTGTCCTCCTGACCCCTGATTTGTAGAGGAGGGAGGAAACAAGGATGGTGGAGAGACTTGGATGCAAGTAGTGCCACCTCCAGCCTTTACAAGTGCCGTTAGGAGAATTAGAAAAGGTGCATCTCTGGCTGGATGAATTAGGAAAGAATGTCCCCTCAGGGAGGATCAGGAGTGGGGCTAGGCTAGGAGAGTGGATGGCACCTTATCTCCAACCCTAGCTGGGAGCGCAGAGCTGCGTGTCAGCGCCCCCATAGTGAGTACCTGCAGAGTTCCTATGGGAGCAAGCCTCCACCATGCACACTACATCTTACATAGCCTGTGAGGCAGAGGCTTACTCATGTAAACCTTGAGGGGCAGACATGACATATGGGGCCTCCGAGCTCTGAGGGGTACTAAACTTTCTTACCAGCAGGATTAGAATTTTAGTATGACACATGGTGAGAAACAAAGGCAATTGATTCTGTAGGAATGAGTGTAAGGTGGCTTAAGAATATTCTAAAGGAGAAAAAAGCAAAATGGACAGCTAGGAGAGACTGTGCAAAGTCGCTTCTGTGCATCTGGCCTGATGAGCATATTCATTGATAAATTTAGGACCTAGGTGATCAACAAGAGCACTGCACTTTTGCAAGTGAGGGCAGACCTCTAAAATTCCTTCTAAGGTTCAAACACTAATGGCCCAAGGCTATTAACTGCATCTAGTTCAGGGGATGTGTTCTATAAAGTAAATCATGATCTGCTGCATAAATTCCTATGCACTGGATGTTGTAGAAAAATCTTCCTTTGATGACCTTGGAAGACTAGACATGTTAGCCCTCTTTCTACAAGGGCAAGGAAGGTATCATGCAGCCAAAGGACAGAGAAAGATTCTAAGTCAAGAAAACGCCCATTAAGTGCAGATGTGTCCACGTTATAGTTGGAGACCTTGAACCATAGGGTCAGACTAACCCTAACATTGCAGAGTTGCAGAGGGTGAGAGTGTGAATGGAGACCTACACAACAACTGTCTAATTTTGTTTCTTTTGAGACAGGGTCTTGCTCTGTCACCCAGGCTGGAGTGCAGTGGCGCAATCACAGCTCACTGCAGCCTCAACCTCTTGGGTTCCAACAATCCTCTCATCTTGGCCTCCCAAAATGCTGGGATTACAAGGATTAGCCACCACGCCCAGCAAATGTCTAATATTTAAATAAACTTTCTTCCATCTTTGTACTTTGTCAAATATACTTTCATAGCAAGAAAATGGGGGAAAAGTGAAATTTACGGTTTTTATATGACTGAAAGTTTGCAAAAACAAGAAGAAATAACTGGACTTCATTATTACATGCCTGTAGGTGTTCTGTTAATGGGCTGACATGTGTGAATGCATACTGAAGACATATACAATTCATGCATTATATATTTATCCATAAAATTAATGTTTCTTGCTTTCATTTCAGGAAAATTACAATTATGTTGTTATAATCAATATTTTCACATAATTTGTGTTCTATTAACAGTAATACCTAATTAGATTACCTTTCTTGAATCTTAGTTTTTCTTTTCATTTTTTCAAGTTTCCATTAGAAGCTGCTCGGCAGAGGCAGTAGCAATTGCAATTGTCATTAAAATTCTTAAAGCAACCCTTCCATTTGGAAATGAATCATGAATTTTATGTCAGTCATTATAATTGGGTTGCATATGGTATATTGCCATTATCACAGGGACTATCACAAAATAGTTTAATTTCATCCCATAAATTACTATCACTTACATAATGATTTTCAAGATTTCTTATAATAATGTCTTAAAAATCTATACCTATATAGTTTTGTGAAGGGTTGCTATCACGTTTCATGCTTACATGTGCAGACCTACATATACACACCTTTAAGACTAACATGAAGGCTGGGCACGGTGGCTCACGCCTGTAATCCCAGCACTTTGGGAGGCGGATCATGAGGTCAGGAGTTTGAGACCAGCCTGGCCAACGTAGTGAAACCCCGTCTCTACTAAAAATACAAAAATTAGCCAGGCATGGTGGCATGCACCTGTGGTCCCAGCTACTCAGGAGGCTGAGGCTGGAGAATCACTTGAACTCAAGAGGTGGAGGTTGCAGTGAGCCAAGATCGTGCCATTGTTCTCCAGCCTGGGTGACAGAGTGAGACTCCGTCTCAAAAAAAAAAAAAAAAAAAAAAAGACTAAAGACTAACATGAACTGTTGTGAATATTGTGCTAATTGATGAGTAACTCCAGAATCTTAAATTGGAACATGAAGGGAAACAAGACTCTTGCATTCAGGCTGAGAGGAAGATTTTGGAGAGCTGTCTTTCCTCTTACCAAGGAGCTCCTGTTACCCCAGTTCTCCTCACTCCCCAAGGCAGTGTCTGTGTCTGATGCCAGCAGAAGTACAACCTACAAACCATCACAGCTCTGGATGTCATTACCTTTTGTTTGGAGAACACGGGGCAGAAGATTTAGAGGTCCCCTGGCACCTAAATGATGTTAGTCATGACTGGTGTTCAGGGTTACAAGTTGCACTGAGCCAATGGTGAATGTGAAGTGACCGAGGACCTTCTAAAGTGAGGGTCCAGGACCCCCTACCCTAGTCCTTGAAGGCCAATGCTGCACCCCTTGCTAAATAACCATACAAATATTACTATAGTGGATTGAATGGTGTCTCCCATTAGAATGTCCACATTCGAATCCCTGGAACTTATAAATACAACCTTTTTTTGGAAAAAGAGTCTTTACAGATGTGTTAAATTAGGAATCTTGAGATAAGCTCATGTTGGATTATCTGTGTGGGCCCTAAATTCAATGACAAGTGATTTTATAAGAGACAGAGGGGAGTCGGAGAAGAGGAGAAGGCCATATGATTACAGGGGCAGAGACTGGAGTGATGCAGCCACAGGCCAAGAATGAGAGTCAAGTTATAGCCTTCGGAGGGAATAGGCCCTGCCCATAGCTTGATATTGGATTTCTGGCCTCTGGGACTGTGAAATAATAGGTATCTGTTGTTTTAAGCACCAAGTTTGTGGCAATTTGTTACTGCAGCCACAGGCACTAGGGCTGATGATAACAGTGACTAATAACCATGAGCATTTACCATGTCATTTAACAGTGACTAATAACTATGTGCCAGGCCCTCTGTGAAGCCCCTTTTACAAGCATTATCTCATTTGAATCTCACAACAGCCTCATAAGATTGGCGTGATTATTTACCCCAATTTACAGATGAGGAAATTGAGGTTCAAATGGAGCAAGCAGCTTGCCTGAGGCCACATGGCTAGCAAGTGGCTGAGCTGGGATCTGAACCTAGATCTGTGTGACGGTAAGACCTACTTGAAGCACAGGCTGAAGCCTCGCTGCCTGGTCACATATGGAGCTGTTACAGACAAGCCCTATTCTTGGTGGTTCCGGGTTGATAGTTCTGTGTTCTTTGGCCCCCTACTTAAACGGTGGTTCAAATATTTTAGCACTTGCCCCCTCAACCTTCAGCTCTGTACCACCCCTCAGAAGTGATACATAAATTATAATCAACCATTTATCTAACTCAGAAGACCAAGGGAAAACTTTCCTTGCTATAAAGAAACATTTTAGCCATGCTTAGTCACATACAGTTCTTTGCAGCTATTTTGCCTCTGGGTCATTTGGGTTTATTTGCAGATGTTGCCAAACGAATCAGAAATCTTGGGAAACGGTCTTTGGAGAAGGACAGCAATCAGAATGATTTTTTGTTAGTTTCTTCTCCCAGGAGAAACCTTTATAAAGTCAGAAATAAGTTTGTTTTCTTAAGACTTAAAATATGTTCTCTGAGCTCATTAAACTATCAGAACGTGAAGTCTAGACTCTGGTAATAGTATGACTTAGACAGGATTTCTTTCCTTGTCTATCTTTGTCCAGTCTACTGGGGACTAGAAGAGATTGTTCTTTATCTGCTGGCCAGCCCAAAGACTGTGTGTGTGTTTTTGTGTAAGTGTGTGTGTATGGGGGTTCTGGATGAGGTGGTTACTTTTATTTTGTTATCCTTTATTTCTTTTCTTTCAAACTAAATCTACACCCCATTTTACAGGTGGAAACATTGAGTGTTTTGGTGACTGTAAACAATTTTCTCCATGGCGACTCAACTATGCAGGCTTATTACAAATGCTGTGCTTGTCTTCTCAAGAAATCATTCCATTTAGTGAAAACGAGAGCTGTTATACAATGAGTTTTGAGGCTAATTTTAAAGCAAGTCATGTGTCCCTCCCATTGCTCTGACCCAAATATGAGACAGGGATTCAAAGTTGCACACAAAGAAAACCAAAATCAATCAGGAGGCTCTATATGAACAATTTAGTGGGTTACAGGAATGCAAGCTTCATTTTTCAGCCACTGCAATGCTTTATCACTTGACATTTATTTAGTGTTCTAGTTAGTGCCTGGGAGACTGTTGGGAAGGAACCTTGAGTCCCAAGCTGGAACCTGAGACTGACCTTGGGTCACTTGTTCTCTCTGCACCTGGGTTTCCAGAGCAGTAAAGAGATGCTATTCTAACCTCTCTTGCAAAGATGCCTCTGTAGTGTGCTAACCAACCACTGCGAATAGAGGTTTGAAGCCATGATCAGGAGCATTCTCTTGAAGGCCGATGGTGAAGGGAAAGGATAGAGACAGGGTTGCAGATAATCCTTAATGCGGCCAGGGCTGAAGAGAGTTGGTGCAGACTGAAAGTGCCAGCGTAGACAAAATGGAAGTTCACCTCTAATTTCATTTGTCTGAACCCTTTCTTTCTGTCCAAAGTTAACTTTATGCAATCACTGGGCCCTGGGGAGCTTTCCTCCTCTCTTATTTCTCCAAACCAAAACCTGCTCCCAGGAAATAATCTGATAAATTCAGTTGCATCATGGAGAATGGACAAACTGTTATCTTCTGCAAGCCCTCACATTGAAAGTCTTAAAGCAAAAGTAGTGTGTCAGTGTGCAATTCCAGGCAACAGAGAAGATGGGGAAGAGAGGTGAAACCTGTGGTAGGGCAGGGAGTGTTGAGGAAAGTGTTAGGAAAGTTAGGGTCCCAGGAGGACAAGCATTGCCAGAAAGGCAGGCAGAAGTCATTAGCAAGGTATCCAGCGCCTGATGAAGCAGACCATGAAGCTAAGGAGATGAAGAGCAGAAAACCTTGAACAAAAGCTCATATGGAAAGCTATTTGCTTTTTCCCTCAAGCAAAAGATTCAAGAAAAGCAAATGTGTATATAAAACTCATTCACTCATTCATTCGTTCACTCATTCATTCGTTCATTCATTCATTCATATAAAATTGTATTTACTATGTTCCAGGTATCAAAGAGCCAGGAAAAAGATAAAATCTCTGTCTGCATGGACCTTTCTCTCAGGCTAGTAGGTGAGGCTAACAACAAACAAATAATCTCAGGAGGTTGTAAGTGTTTTGAAAAAAAGTAAAACAGGGAAAGGAGATGAGAGGGTAATGGAGCTGGATGAGGGGGTTAGGAAAGGTTCTTATGTATGGCTGCCTGAGTTAGCAAATAAAAATACAGGACACCAGGTAACTTTGAGTTTTAGATAGATGACAAATGCTTTTTCTTTCTTTTTCTTTTCTTTATTTCAATAGGTTTTGGGGAACAGGTGGTGGTTGGTTACATGGGTAAGTTCTTTAGTGGTGATTTCTGAGATTTTGGTGCACCCATCACCCAAGCAGTGTACACTGTACCCAATGTGTAGTCTTTTATCCCTCACCCCCTCCCACCCTTCCCCCAGGGTCCCCAAAGTCCATTGTATCATTCTTATGCCTTTACCTCCTCATAGATTAGTTCCCACTTATAAGTGAGAATGTACGATGTTTGGTTTTCCATTCCTGAGGTACTTCACTTAGACTAATGGTGTCCAATTCCATCCAGGTTGCTGTGAATGACATTATTCCATTCCTTTTTATTGCTGAATAGTATTCCATGGTGTATGTATATATATCTATATATCTATATATATCTATATCTATATCTGTATATATCTATATCTATATCTATATCTATATCTATATCTATATCTATATCTATATCTATATCTATATCTATATCAACGTTTTCTTTTTTTTCCTTTGTTTTTGAGATGGAGTCTTGCTCTGTTGCCCAGGCTGGAGTAAGTACAGTGGCGCCATCTCGGCTCACTGCAACCTCTGCCTGCTGGATTCAAGCCATTCTTCTGCCTCAGCCTCCTGAGTAGCTGGGACTATAGGCGACTGCCACCAGGCCGGCTAATTTTTGTATTTTTAGTAGAGATGGGGTTTCACCATGTTGGCCAGGCTGGTCTTAAACTCCTGACCTCAAGTGATCCACCTGCCTTGGCCTCCCAAAGTGCTGGGATTACAGGGTTGAGCCACTGCACCCGGCCCCCTATATACCACATTTTCTTTATCCACTCATTGATTGATGGGCATTTGGGCTGGTTCCATATTTTTGCAATTGCGAATTTTGCTACTATAAACATGCGTGTACAAGTGTCTTTTTTGTATAATGATTTCTTTTCCTCTGGGATACCTAGTAGTGGGACTGCTGGATCAAATGGTAGTTCTACTTTTGGTTCTTTAAGGAATCTTCACGCTGTTTTCCATAGTGGTTGTACTAGTTTACATTCTCACCAACAGTGTAAAAGTGTTCCCTTCATACCACATCCATGCCAACGTCTATTATTTTTTGATTTTTTGTTTATGGCCATTCTTGTAGGAGTAAGGTAGTAGTATTCCATTGTGGTTTTGACTTGTATTTCCCTGATAATTAGTGATGTTGAGCATTTTTTCATGTTTGTTGGCCATGACAATTTTTTTTTTTAGTATCAATATGTCCCATGCAATATTTGGGACATACATGTGCAAAAATATTACTCATTTATCTGAAATTCAAATTTAACTAGACGTCTTGAATTTTATCACATAACTCTCTCTACTCCCATGAGGCCCCCATGAATGAGGTGAGGTTGTATCCCAGGAGATAACAGTAAGTGCAAAGTTTTCCAGGCAGAAATTGATCCTAGTTTGCTCAGGAAGAAACCCTGTGTGGCTGAAATAGAGGGAATGGGGACGGGGAAAGGTGGGGGTTTGGGGGTGGTAAAGATGACCCAGTGGAGGTGGGCAGGGGCCAGATCTTGTGGGGCTCCAGGCAAGTGTGAAGAGTTTGCATTTTATTCTGATCTTTGGAGTTTTAAAGAAAGCTCTCTCAGTACTACAAAGTATTCATTTCCATGAATATTCCAATATAGTACTGTATTTCCCAAAGCAGTCTCCACTGACATTAAGAACAGACTTTATGATAGGAGAGAGTAGGTGCCCCTGCCCTGGGAGAAAAAGAGTGATATCCCCTCTAACTCCACCTGACCTCCCTTCTCTCCCTCCACCCCATTCACACTTTCTTCAGTTTTCCTAACACCATTTCACAAAACCTTAATAAATGAGCTTAAAATGTTACTGGGAGAAAAGACTTAGGTACTCAAATTCTTACTAGAAGGTAAGTGACTGCTAGACTGCATATAGTATAGATTAGGTGAAGATGAGAAAATAATGAAAAAGGGAAATTTGACAGTGCTGGCCAAGTGCTGGCAGCTTGGCTAGTTTGCCTACCTGTGACCCTGAGAGTGAGAGTGTTTGCTGAGTAGAAATGAAATCCAATTCTCCCATTCTCTGTGGTGAGATGGCTAAGAAGCTCTCATGGAAGGGAATTCATTGGGAACCAGGCTGCCTGGGAACTGATACTGCCAGATGGCAGAGTAGTCAAAACAGTTAGCTATAAAGCCCACACTGTTTTGGAAAAGGCTGAACTTGCATCCCTGCTGCAGACCTCAGTGGGCTCCCATCTAATGTTTCCTGCCTCCTCTGCCTTTTGCCTCAGTTGATCATGGGTGACTCAGTGCTCATCTCTGGCAATTCACTCTTTGCAGGGATTTATCTTTCTGAACCAGCCTCCTCTCTGGCCTTCTATTAAAATATATTCTATGTCAACAGAAGAGTCTTGACTGTATTTCTATGGGAGAGTTTCTCTACCTTACTTTTCATGCAATGTGGGATTTTTCATACCTAATAAAAATCTTTTTTTTTTTTTTTTTTTTGAGACAGGTTCTCACTCTGTAGTCCAGGCTGGAAGTGCAGTGGTGGATCTTGGCTCACTGCAACCTCCGCCTCTCAGGCTCAGGTGATCCTCCCACCTCAGCCTCCCAAGTACCTGGGACCACAGGCAAGTGCTATCACACCTGGCTAATTTTTGTGTTTTTTTGTAGAGACAGGGTTTCGCCACGTTGCCCAGGCTGGTCTAAAATTCCTGACCTCAAGTAATCCACCTACTTCGGCCTCCCAAAGTGCTGGGATTACAGGCATGAGCCACTGTGCCCAGACCTAATAATAATCTTTTAGCTAAACAGAAGAGTGACCATGCTCTCCATCTTACAGATAGGGGAAGTGACTGAGAGAACTGACTTGCCTCAGGTTTCCAGAGTAGTAAGTGGCAGAGCATAAATTTGGACCTCTTATTTGTCTTTTCTAACACACTAGGGGTTGTTAATTTGTTTGAAAAATATTTAATGATTTGAGCAAGATTGCACGGCTTCATGCCTCCCTCTAAAATCAAAATGTTCTTTTTCTATAGAAACCAAGAGCAGTATCTACAGTAGAAAGAGCTTTGCTCTCATTTTTTTATTTAAAAAAGTGTTTATTTCAAATAGATTGAATCACTAGGTGATGGGCTGATTCTTTCAAAAAAATTTAATGACCTCCCCATTATACAAACAATAAATGTTTATTGCAGTAACTTTAAAAAAGTTAGAAAGCCACAAAGGGAAAAATAAAAATCACCTATAATTCACCCACCCAGATATAATTGCTATTGACATGTTGATACGTATTCCTCCAATCTTTTTCATACACATGTAAATGTAGTTTAACAGATTGGAAGAAATGTGCTATAAAATGGTTGATAACTTACTTTTTTATTTAATGATACTTCCATGACCATTTTCTAACATTGTTAAATTTTTTCCAAAATATGTTTGATCAGAGCATACTGTCTAACCTATGAATGATACACCTACTGCACATAACCTATTGGTACTTTGAGATTATTACCCATTTTTTTATTATTATAAATAACACTACAGGCTGGGTACGGTGGCTCACACCTGTAATCCCAGCACTTTGGGAGGCTTGAGATGGGCAGATCACTTGAGGTTGGGAGCTTGAGACTGGCCTGGCCAACATGGTGAAACCCCATCTCTACTAAAAATACAAAAATTAGCCAGGCATGGTGGCACACGCCTGTAATTCCAGCTACTCGGGAGGCTGAGGCAGGAGAATCACTTGAACCTGGGAGACAGAGGTTGCAGTGAGCTGAGATTGTACTACTGCACTCCAGCCTGGGCCACAGAGCAAGACTCCATCTCAAAACAAAAAACCAACAAACAAAACAAAGAAAAAAAAAACAACCAAAGAACCACCCTGCAATGACCATCCTTGGTCTTATAAAAACTTAGTGTTGTTTCCACTCAGTGATTTGTCTAGATCTTGCTTGGAGAAAAATAAAAACTGGGTAAAAAACAGAGATAGTTAATAGACATTAGTTTGATTTTTGTCTGTTGGAGAAGGGAAAAGAACAAGGCCACTGATTTCAAATGTCTCTTCTGTAAAGGTCATTTGCTCCCCCGTACTCTTAGTTCTATTTCCGCTAACTTGGCTCTTGCACTATCATCCCTGTAGCCCCAGCTTTCCATCCTGCCACTGCCTTCAGCTGCAATTCTTTGTTTTTGCCCTACTCATCACCTTGGAACCTACCTCCCAGGTCTCACCAGCTGCTGATGGATGTTTTCTGTCTCTGCTCAGTGCCTGAAAACTTATTTCTCAGGGCAGTCGATGAGGGATCCTTATCACAGTATCTGGAGTCATGCCCATAAAGCTCTTTGGCAAATCATTGCACTGTGTTACCTGTGGGTACATCCCCACAACCCGGCTAGTGTTGACCTCGTGGGGAGGGTAATAAGCTTAGGGATTATTCCCAGTATTGTGACTTATGGATTTCTTTCATTTCTTCACTGGACTGAGCTACTATCTCTCCATTCTCTTCTTATTAGGAGCTGTTTGTTAGTTCTAATAACAACTAGAAAAACTGTGGTGATTGTTAGTCCCAAGCTATAATCTGAGGAACAGTTAAGAGAGGTCATAAAATCAAATAAGGTTAGACTGAGTGCCTTTAAAAAAAATCTCAGTTGTTGCAGGGTTCTAAAAATAGTTTCCAATGCCATCCTTCACCTTCACAATTATTTTTGTCTTCAGTTCTAAATGTGAAAGGTACAGAGCAGCAAATTTATACATTAACTTCATAGGAGAACAGAAAGCTCATTAATTCTTAACATTGGTGGGATTTGATGGTTCACCATCATATGCTCTGTTCCGAAATATGTCTGGGTCCACTTTTCTGAGATGATTAAGATGTCCTACTGACAACCTCAGGGCTATTAAAAACACAGTGCCCTTCATATGTGAGATAAGGTTACAGCTCCCACAAGGGAGGGTTTGGGCAACATCAACGTTAATCATCTCATGTTCATTCATTCACAAATTCATTTATTCTAATATTTGAGACTCTCCTATGTGGCAGGCAAAAGAAAAAGCCCTTGATTTCAATATAGATACAACACAATGGAAATATTACAGAGAAAAATAAAGCCAAGTCAAAGAGAGGTGTGTGTGGGGAGGGATGTGAGGAATGATATTTTAGATCTGGTAGTTGGGGAGGCCTCTCTGGGAAGGTGGCATTTAAGTGCAGGGACAAGCCATGCAAATAAACATCTGGAGGTGAGAACAAAGGCCTTGAGATGGAAGTGGCTCCTCTAGAGAACCAGGCAAGAGGTGAGGGCAGCTGAATGTGGTGAGCAAGGAAGAGGATGGGACATGTGAGAGGGGTCAGGGCCAGCTCCAGGAGCCTGTAGGCCATGGAAAGGCATAGGATTTTATTCTCCGTGAAGCAAGTGCCTAGAGGTGGCTCCCAGACACAGGCAAGCTAGTGACCTCAAGGGGGCCTTGGTCCTGCTCCATCTGAAGAGCTGATTCATTAGACTTTTGCAGTCCCTGATCCCAGGAGCTACAACCTTAGATTGCCAGGGAACTGGAAGCATTTAATTAGGGATTCTGGGGAGAAGCTGTGGGTCCTGTGATAAGGTCCCTGTGGCTGCAAGACCCACCCTCCTGGAGGTTTCATGATTCAGATGAGCTGTTCTGGCACTCTGGGTCCACTAGAAGCTGATGGGATTTTTAACAGAATGTTATTCCCACTGTGCCACCAGCAGGTTTTTATGGCCTCATGTGACCATTAACTGTTGCGTGGGGATCATAATTCTAAGAGACCCCCCTGGAGACCATATGGTCTGTATCTATTTTCTTGAATCCTAGAACCATGCTGAGGTTTAGGAGGTTAGGTAACTTAACAAGGGCACATGGTTATTGAGTGATGGCAGGATTTCATCTCTGATCTAATTGGCTGGTGATATGGTTTGGCTCTGTGTTCCCACCAGAATCTCATCTTGAATTGTAATCCCCATAATCCCCCATGTGTTGAGGGTGGGACCTGGTGGGAGGCGATTGGATCATGGGGTTGGTTTCCTCCATGCTGTTCTCATGATAGTAACTTCTCACGAGATCTGATAAGGTTTCATAAGAGGCCCTTCCCCCTTCACTTCCTTCACACGCTCTCGTCTGCTGCCATGTTAAGACATGCCTACTTCCCCTTCTGCCATGATTGTAAGCTTCCTGAGGCCTCCACAGCCATGCAGAACTGTGAGTCAATTAAACCTCTTTTGTTTATAAATTACCCAGTCTTGCGTAGTATCTTTACAGCAGTGTGCAAATGGACTGATACAGCTGGAAAGCTTGTTTTCCCCGTTATGCACCACACTAATATTTCCCAAATACTTCCATTCATTCATCAAAACATTTATTGAACATCTGCTATGTATTCAGTGCTGGGCACACTACAGGGATGCAGAGACAAATGAGACAATTCCTGCCCTCAAGTGTCTTGGAATCAAGTGGGTTGTTTAGAATATACACTCTATCTTCCAGGATGAAGTGAGATTATAACACACAGCCCCACTTTTAGACTTTCTGAATGGAGATTTGTCTTATCCTTATAAAGGAACTTCGCCAGCTGCCAGGCAGGACAATGAGGTACTTGTCCATACCTGTCATTGTGCATCTGCCATTGTCACGCATGAAAATCATCCATTGATCCATCTGTCCTCAGTTACCGTTGGCATGTACTACCATTCTGTGCATTTCACTCACATTTGGATCCTTGTAACTCTCAAAGAGATCACACTGCGATTCAGGACTAAACTGAAAAGTCATCAGTTGCCCATCACACAGGAACAATGCAGCTGAAGGCAGTGGGAATTGCTAAGTCTCTGAGTGCTCACAGAATTGTTAGGGCCAAGCGTAGGCCTGACTCATGAATGGCGGACTATCATTTAGGTGGAGAACAGAAGCTTCAGATAATCAGAAGCTTCCAGATAATTTTTTAGAGATGTGAAACTTCCAGGAATATCTTATTTGGTTGAGACAATAGGAACTACCCATTTAACCACATAGGTAAAACTCCAGTATCTTTTGACGTGCCTCCAAATTATCTTTACAAGTACCTAAGAGATTATTCTCACATCAGAATTCTGATTGTTGCCGTCAGCATACTTCCTATAATTTGTAATTGTCTTTGTCCTTCACCCAAAATGAGGTTATCTTTTCATTTGTTGTTTCCCCAGCACTGGCAAGATGCCTGGAGCTGCGAAGGCCCTCGGTGAATGCTGCAGGATTGCAAGCAAGGGTTGGGGAGAGCAGCATGCTTCTGAGATTCTGTAGACCTAACCATGGCCAAAATGATTTTGAACTGTCTTTAATGTCTGGCAGGAGCTTAATCTCAGAAGCTTCACTCTTATTATTTAAAAAGTGCTACATAGTTGTATAAACATGATACTACTCAGTTTTTAAATACAGAATTACAAACATGTAATGTGTTATCTCAAAAAAAGTTTATTTTTTTTTTTAGATGACGTCTCACTTTGTCACCCAGGCCGGAGGGCGGTGGCGCCATCTCGGCTCATTGCAACCTCTGCCTCCCAGGTTCAAGCAATTCTCTTGCATCAGCCTCCCAAGTAGCTGGGATTACAGGCTCCTGTCACCACGCCCAGCTAATTTTTGTATTTTTAGTAGAGGTGGGGTTTCACCACGTTGGTCAGGCTGGTCTTGAACTCCTGACCTCAGGTGATTCACCTGCCCTGGCCTCCCAAAGTGCTGGGATTACAGGTGTGAGCCACTGTGCCTGGCCAAGTTTATTAGATTTATAGGTATTACTCGGTAATTACTTTTATGACTTGGCAGTTTCTTTTGCTCAATGGCATCACAGAATGAATGAAATAGTATTTGAAGGATTTTCCCTATGTCTCTTCGCTAATCCGTGAGCGGAACATCCTCACTAGATAATGTGGACTTTATAAATAATTTACAATCACATTGATGTCACCATAGACAGACTATTGTCCTGGTTAGAAATGTCACATTGTCCTGGTTAGCCAGGACAATGTGAGTCCCTGTAGCTGTAATTGTGTCTAGAGGGGTGGGTCTGAGGGAGCGCTTTCTGTACTGTCTCCCTGCCTAGTGAGCTCCAATGCCTGGCATCAGCTTTGGACCAGGAAAGCCCATTTGAACTCTGGTGTCAAACTTACCTTGGGCAGGTCATTTATCCTCTCTGGATTTCAACTTTCTCATCTGCAAAACGGGGAAGAGAGCTGCCAATACCTAGACACTGGGAGGAAGGTACCTTGGCGTCTCATGCTTGAGAGGTGCTCTGCATCTGACTTCTTTCTAAAACACCTTCTGGAAACTGCTTTCTAGAACACCTTCTGAGCCAGCAGTGAATCCCTGGTGAGCCTGCTAGTGAGTCTCAGTAATTTGGAAGGTCACTGAGAACACCATGCTATTTAATTCAGATCATGAGAAAAACTGCTATCTCTAGAAAAGTACTCCTTCTCTGGTACAGTTATTTCATCAACCTTTCATTTTTTTCCTTCTATCCAAATTTTATACTTTCATCTACTCTATTCCTACCTCAACTTCTTCAGAAACTTCAAGTCCCACCACAGGTCCTGGGACACAGTCTATTCTCACTTGGATCCTGGGCCAGTGTGGACACTTGGGAGGCTGTTTAATCCCTTGATCTCATTCCATAAAGAAACACATTTAAATCACCTCCCATCAATTTTTTCCCCAATTGAGGTAAATGTAAAATGAGTTGTAAAAAAATATGTAACATTCTTTCTCAAATGTATTCTCCAAACATTAGGAAATAATGCAAAAGAGGCCAAATGAAAGTGTGATATAGTGAATACGGTTGCAGAGAGTCTCGCTTAATTTCACATTCACTTATTCACCTGCAGGCAGCTTTCCTGAGCAGTGCTGTGGTCCACACAGGAAGGTCTTACCGGCCGCAGTCCTAGACAGAAGTTCCCTGTGTGCAGGCCTCCTTGCATTGACTGTACGCTGTGTGTAACATTTAACCTTTAAGACGTATTGGAAGCAAGTTCTACTTTATGTCAATGTCCTGAAAAGGAAAGGAACTAGAAGTAAATCAGGGCTATGCTGGAGTGCTACTTTGGAATCACGAATGTTCAAGATGGAAGGAACCAGGGCACTCCCACAACCCCCTCCTTGTAGAGGAGACCCAGAGTCATGATGTGCCTCACCAGAATCACATGCCAGTTAGTGCCAGAACAGATAATTTTTGTTCTTGAGTGACAACTTATGACTAGACAATTCTCATATTAAAACCATTTTGTAAGTCAAGTGAATTGAAGACATCCAATTTGTCCATTTTTTTGGAGAAATTTGAGTTATCTTATTAAATGCTAGTATTAACTGAGTTTTAACCAAGGATACTTTAGTGAAAATAATGTGTTGGGTAATAAAATTTTAAATCTCATGCCAAATTGATTAACACACATCTTCCTTGCTTAGTTACCTACCTGGTAATAAACCACTCTTAACAGTAAGTGCCTGTTAGGGTAAAGCCCTGTGCTAAAAGCTTTCTTTCATTTCTGCATTCAATTCCAGCAATATTAGCTAAGCATCCGTATCTCTTTTTTATAGTTGAGGAAACTGAGGTTCAGAAAAGAGATAACTTGCTTGTGGTCCCACAGTAGTAAATAGCAAAGCCTTTCTAACAGGTATGCTATGCCACCTCCAAACACACATAGAATTCTTCTAGCATCGACAGAGGTGTCCCATCTGTGCCCTAGGATATGTATCCTTCTATACTCAGTTCTAAAGTAAAGGTGTAATTTAGGTTCTAGCTTGGGGCCATCACAATTTCCCTCTCCCATTGCCCTTAAGAAAGTAGCTTTGTGTGCTTAGGATTTGGATTCTGACTGTTCCCTTGTTAAGATCATGGGGTGACATTTGGCCTTGTTGTTGTTTTTTTGAGACAGAGTCTTGCTCTGTCGCTCAGGCAGGCTGGAGTGCAGTGGCGTGATTTCAGTTCACTGCAACCTCCTCTTCCTGGGTTCAAGTGATTCTCCTGCTTCAGCCTCCCGAGTAGCTGGGATTACAGGTGTGCACCACCATACCCAGCTAATTTTTTGTATTTTTAGTAGAGACGGGGTTTCACCATGTTGGCCAGTCTGGTTTCGAACTCGTGACCTCAAGTGATCCACCTGCCTCGGCCTCCCAAACTGTTGGGATTACAGGCATGAGCCACCACACCCAGCCCTGGCCTTGGTTTTAAAATACACTTAACCCAGTACTCCTAGAGGGCTGGAGCTCTGCAGGAATGGCACAGGCAGCAGGCAGTTGGGACTTGGTCAACCCCTAACCATGTAGCCTTCCTGGAGGACTGAGAGCCACAGCAATTAATAAGGGAGCAGGGTGCTGGGAGCAGTGGCTCACACCTGTAATCCCAGCACTTTGGGAGGCCGAAGCGGGCGGATCACGAGGTCAGGAGATTGAGACCATCCTGGCAAACATGGTGAAACCCTGTGTCTACTAAAAATACAAAAAAAAAAAAAAAAAATTAGCTGGGCGTGGTGGCAGGTGCCTGTAGTCCCAGCTACTCGGGAGGCTGAGGCAGAATAGCGTGAACCCGGGAGGTGGAGCTTGCAGTGAGCCGAGATTGGGCCACTGTACTCCAACCTGGGTGACAGAGTGAGACTCCATCTTAAAAAAAAAAAAAAAAGGGGAGCAGGGAAGGGCACAAGGTTGTTGGAACCTGGTGCTGATGCTTTCCTACAAACAGGCACCTGTTTCACTGGGAACATTGTCAAGGGGAAAGCACACAATTTGCTGAAAAGTGGTAGCTTGGTTAAAACATTGTCAAATTCATCCAAGGGAAACCTGCATCTATGCCCATTATTTGAACAAAGAACACCAGTAGGAATGTGTGGACACAATCATTTAAGAAATATTTGTTTATGAGCCAATGTGGGATTTCAATCCCGACTCATCCCATCAGGGGTCCCGTTTTCAGATTTCAAATGCCATCTCTTTGGTGAGGAGCAATTTTCTGGCAAAGGTCTGAGGTACCCTTTGAACCTGCCCTATCTGACAGAAGACTCCATCAGCTTATAACTGAGACTAATGTGAGTCCTGGTTCTCGTTATCATCATGTTCTGGCTCCTCCCTGGCACTGCTGGTGATGGGAGCAGGACGGCTAGGGCACAGGCCAGTGACAGGAGGCTCTGCTCAGAATGGTTCCTTTACACATAATCACTACTTCCTCTGGGAGCTCTGAACAACATTCTACACATTTCATCAAGGAGAACACCCAGACAAATTCCACTCTCTTCCCACTTGACCTCATTTTTAAAACAAGCAGTTTCACCCACAGATCCACTCGAGTGCAGTGTGTCATCTCCCTCTGGGCCTTCTATGCATTTGCTCATACTGGTTCCTGTATGTGGAATGCTGTCTTCCCAGCACCTTCAGGCTCCAACTACTGAAACCCAGATGGTCTCTGAATGCTCAGATTAAAAGCCAACTCCTTTACAGTGCTTTTCTTACCCACCCTTGCTAGAAGGGTTCTCCCTCCCTGGACTCTCATGGTAGCTGGTTTATACCAGTTTACGGCAGTCACCACAACCATTTTACACAGAAGGCACATGTGTGTATGTTTGATCCCAATTCAGTAGAGGCTCCTGCGAGGGCCGGTTGTTTTCTCACAGATCCCTGTTTGCTCAATACACCTAGCTCAGTCCTCTGTACCAAGCACTCTCCCAGTGAACAAGGTCACATTCTGCAAAGGCCTGGCCAACAGAGTAACATAAATGGGGCAACAGACAGGGTGGTAGGTACTGTTCAGGAGAGTCCTGATTATGTGAGAAAGGGAAGCATTACAACTGGGTCTCTGTCACCACTACATTAGCCATTCACTGGATCCTGCACTGCTTGTTCCTACAATTTCCACCCCAGAAGTCTTCCTTGATCTGATCAAGAGTCGAATCCAGACATCCTCTGCAAGCTATAGCAAAAACTGGCCCAGGAACTTTCTTTTCATGAGCCATAAACATACCGAAGAAAGAGAGAAGATAAGGACTACAAAAATGTCAAGGATAACAAAAGCAGGTTTTAAATCTATGCCTGGAGTAAGAACTAATGGCCAATGAAGCAATGCTGAAGAGCAGAGCAAAAAACTGACAGCAACCACTATTTGGCTCCATCTGCTCCACTGAGGACAATCATTTCCAAATTAAAGAGTGTAAAGAAAAACCTGGTTAGGATTTGAAGTCCAAGAGTGATAAGGGGATAGCAGGAAACACCTGTTTTAAACGAGTTCTCATGAAAGACATGTCAGTCGCTGAAACAACCTGTGGATATGACTGCAGAATTGTTGTCAGAACTCCAGGGAAACAATGAACGAAGTCCAGATACTGATAATCACTGCCCTATTTTCCAAAGTAGATTCTAAAAACTCCAGAATGGTGAACTTAATGTAAAACTCTGGCAAAATCAGGAATAATATAGACGGTGAACATTTGACTCCTAACAATTGCTGATTTCTTTTCAACACTGATTTAACAAAGAAAATGTCACACGAAATAACTTCCTTCCCTTTTTTTGGATAGGATTACTAGAGCAGCCAACCAGGGAAATAACAGTGAAACAATAGCTTACAGCTGAAAGAGACCAGTGGGGTGAGTTGAGATTACAATCCTGAAGTTATCACTTACACTTTACTCTGAGCTAGATGGGGTTCCAAAGGCTTTATATATACAGTATCATTAGTCATCTATTTAATCCTTACAAGGACCCTGTAACATAGAAACTAACATTACTCCTATTTGGCAGAAGAGAAAACTAAGGCAAAGTTTTCTTGCCAAAAGGTCATACAGGTAGGATTTCAACCCAGCCAATGTGGTCTCCAAGTTGTACTTCTCATATTAGTCTACAATGCCCTTCACATGATTAGCAAGGCTGCCAAAAATAGAGGGAGAAATGGGAATCCTCCCTTTTCCATACAAGAAAAAGGACAGCAGAACACATCTGCCCTCTCTCTCGCCTCTTATCCACTCACTTCTCTGACGGGAGGAGGGAAGACTTTGATTGCTGCTTGGGAGGTGCAGCTAAGCACACTTTCTTGGCATGGTAAGGTCATCAGTGTAGAATCTGCCACAAGGGGAGTTTACAATTTAAGGTAGGTAAATTCCAGGACTGATATTTAATATATTTTAATAATCACTTTATCACCAGACCAACCCTCAGAGCAACCACTGGTGTGCTACTGAGCCCTGGTAAGTTAGGTTAATAGAGTTATTAGCAAGGGTTAATTAGAGAGCCACACTGTGGTCTTAGTTTCACCAATCCAGCCTTCTTAGTAAGACACATGCTATTTTGATTCCTACTGGTCTAATTTCCAGTATTTTTTCAATTTGTTCTGAACTTAGAGGGGAAAGACAGGGATATAATTTATTCCCATCAACTCCCCAACAATCCTCTTACACCTTCTGGATAATATCCCAAGTACTAAATGCAGTTTTAGGTGACATTTCTCTGGAGTTCTGACAATTCTGCAGTCACATCCGCAGGTAATTTCAGCAACTAACATGACTTTCATGAGCACTCATTTAAAACGGTATAGGCTTAGTCTTGGCTCTTAGGTGCTTTCTAGTTTAGTACCTAAGAGCCTATACTGGGGACCATATGGTATGAAGTAGATGGAAGGAAGATGGACCATCCATGTCATCTCTCCTGTTGTAGACGTGAATGTACCTGTAAATTCAAAATAAGTAGGGTACGCTGGGAAGGGCCACAATCTGGGACATAAAATGATCTTTGGCAAATAAAATGATTGAGCTTTAGGTCCAAGGGGAGGGGACCTCATTACTCTAGAGTAGAGGTCAGCAAACTATAGGCACAGGCCTTCTGTTTTGTAATTTTTTTTTTTAAAGAGATGGGGTCTCACTCTGTTGCCCAGGCTGGAGTGCAGTCACATGACCCTAGCTCACCGTAACTTCGAACTCATGGGTTCAGGCGATCTTTGGCCTCATCCTCCTGAGTAGCTGGGACTGCTGGTATGTACCACCATGCCCAGTTAATTTTTAAAAATTTTATGTAGAGATGAGGTCTTGCTATGTTTTCCAAGCCTGTAAATAAAGTTTTATTAGAACACAGCCATGCCCATTCATTTACATATTGTCTATGGCTGTTTTTGTGCTCCACGATGGCACAGTCAAGTGGCTGCAACAGGGACTGTATGTCCTGCAAAGCCTGAAATATTTTCCAACTGGTTCTTTCCAGAAAAAAATTTTGCAGAAGACCTATGGTCTAGACCTAGGAAAGTAATTCTAACATTCTCAGGGTAAGGGGAGAGATTGGGGCCAATGGGGAGGAAGGACAAAGGAGCATATTTAGAGCTGGAACCTTTAGTGGGATTACCTGGAGGAGGCAGAGGGGACAGCATTAGGGTGGAACCACCACTATGCCTTATTATGCAGGGTCCTTCCTCATTGAGAACTAAGCAATAATATGGCCTTCCTAACTGAATTATTTATATCCATTTGTGTAAGTTCCTAGACAGTGAATTAAGTGGATTTTTCTCCAGTTCTTCAGAATTGCCAGCACAAAAAATGTAAAATGCAGGCACAGGTAATCAAAAATGTTTTAATGATTACTGTTTAGACATTTAACAATGTAGGTATATCCAGGTGAGCTAAGCACACTTTGACAGCACACTATTGAATGTTATAGTTTCTGTATTGAAATATGTAAAGACATCTGCAAATTAGTACCTAGCAATGAAGACATACATTTATAAATATACACATTCTAGGTTTGATAAGGTAAATGTAAACAGATGCCATGACTCCTTTTCAAACAGAAAACCCACAAGACTAATAGAGAACCAATAGGCTCCCTATAGTACGAATGTGCAAAATTAAAGCATGGTAAACTGATATTTACATAAATATCAAACCAACAATTAGTTTATACATTGTCAATGACCTTCTAAGATATGTCATGAGTGGTTCCAAGAATATCTTTCCCCCAATGGAGAAGGTATTCAGAGGCTAAATTCCGACACTTTAAAATGACACACATCATAGGCTTTACCTGTTTGACCACTGCCTCAAATGTGTGAGATGTGATTTTATGATAAGCAGTCTATTATTTTTAAACAAGAGGTTCTAAACACATCTTTAGATTCTAAGCAGAAAGAAATTACAAGTACTATTAGATTTACATTAAACAAGTTACCTCTATCAAATTTCTCGATTCTCTTATGCTGTAGCTATATTTGATTTTACCTTAAAAAGTTCTAAGGTCCTTTCCCCCCCTTTGTTAATTTTGGTAAACTAGGCACATTTTACAAGGAAATCTGTGTCAAAACAGATAACAGTGCATAAATCAATCCAAATTTAGACCCTGGCAACCAGTTCCCCATTGCTCATCTACGGGACTCTGTCAAACGGTAAATAGGCAATCATCTCTCTTGAAAAGTATACATCCTCTCTCGCACTGGTGGAAAGCAAAATTGACTTTTTGTTTGCTGTATAAAAACACTTAGCACTTCAGAAATTAAAAATGGCCTACTCACCCTACACCCTTCCTAAAATCTCGAGGACAAAGAATATATATTTAAGTTTCATCACGACTGCTGTAGAGCCCCCCCCTTTTTACATTAATAGTGGCACTCAAAATAAAAAAATAAGATCTGTTAAAAAGTTAAACTGACTGTTCCACTAGATTTGAGCCTGCTTGATTCAAAGCCAATAGTACAAAACTGAAGGTGCCGTGTCTGATTTCACATCAACAAGTCACTGGAAATTATGTCACATTAGTTTCATAAATCATGGTCTTTGATTTTTTCTAAACAGAGCTATTACAAATTAATACAAACTTGAAACATACCCTAATTTAAACTAATAAGCTTTGGGCCCTGCTTTTTAAATTTTAAGGCATGTGTGTTTCTCTACCATAACAACATTGTACAAATTTACATTTACAATCACATGCATGATCTACAGTTAAAAAAAAAAGTTTGGATTACAGTGTTTTTAAATTGTGAATCACAATTCAGCACCTATCATGTTATAACTAATAAGGCAACAGCAGTGTTGTATACTATAATAATACTCCCTTTCCACAGTCTAGCGCAGGGGTCAGAGAGCCCAGAAATGTTAGAAATCTTATCCCTACTTATATAATCTGTATACGTTTTCTAGGGGTTTTGAATTGATGAAAGAAGTCCTACATGAATCACACTATTGTAGGCCAGACTAGTTACAGCAGCTGTTAACGAGCATTGGGGCACAACTCATATTGTGCTTACAATCAGATGACGTGGTTTGGAGGGTTTCAATTCTTTGACTTCAATCCTTCCGCAGCTTCCTTGGCTTCACATTGTTTTCCAGGGGTGAAAAGCTGTTGGTGTGTCCATTCACAGCAGCCATGGACCCATTCTGGTGGTCCTTCAGGTGGTCTTTCCTTCGGGAGGCCCCTTTCTTGTTGTAGGTCTAAAATGTGTAAGGGCAGATGAGAACCAAATGACCACAGTTTTCTTTATAGGGAACTTTACTGAGAATTGCATCCCTAACACTAGGCCTAGTTTCAAGATCAAATCTTATCAAGGAGAAACTCCTGAGGTCAAGTCCTCATTGACTAAATCTTTTGTCACTGGTTTCAATCATTCTTCCTTTTTTTTTTTGAGGCTTAGCCTGAGGTAAGTTAACTGAATCACAGGCTGCAACAGAAATACTATTTAAAATGTCACATAGAAAATTCAATTTACACTTTGCTTTGCCTTTTAGTATCTGGATGGCAGATGACAGGGGTTATGTGGCCAAATTGGTCTTTCCCACCTGGCAGCAGCTCTCTTGACACCCACATCCCTTGTTCGTCTTCAAAAGTTCCTCACTGCCTCGGCGACTATCTCAGCCTTCATGAACAAAGTGCTATGCTGCTATAAGTAGTTAGAATAAATGTGATTTCAGCTTCATCGGGTCCTATCCTTTCACCTTCCTTGTAGCTGGTGTATGTCCCACAGTGCAGCCATAAACTATGAAGCCCAGAAGTATATGACTTCCACTGAAACTCAACATGCCACACACAGGTGCTTGTGGGCACAGAAGAAGAAAGGACAAATGTCTGAGCCTCGGGACTTGCAGCCTCTGCCCTTGCTCCTGACCTCCGTGTTTTGCCCAGATCAGCAGGCCTTATGGCTACCAGGCACTGGCAACAAAGGCAGGACACATGTCATCTGGGGGGTGACGCATGGCAGGAGAATCAGCAGTGGCTGCAACGTGGTCAGGCTCCACTGGAAATTATCTGCCCTAAATGGATCTTTCTGTGAGCAAAGACCTACATCACCACATCATATGCTTAGGAATGAACCGAATCCTCACACCTGAAGACTGAATGTATAAGAAAGCTGGGACAAAAAAGCAGATCTCCATATCTGAGGACTGTGATAAAAATCTCTTCTGAAATTTCATTTGGCCATGACGTTCAGGGTAGTGAACTGAGAGATTTCTGATTGAAATCACCTCTCACGTCTCTGCTGCAGGTCAGAGGGAAGCAACATAGGGTCCTGCTGCACAGTTTTCCATTTCCCAGGGGAATCCCAAGACTTCCTCACCCAGGCTCTAGAACAGGATTCTAGTGTCTTCCAGTGAGCTGTGAGCCCCCCAGAGGCAGGGGCTGCTCTTGTCATAGTGACTCCATTAGAGGCCAGAGCCTGTCACCCAGCAAGGGCTCCACATGCCCATTAAGTAAATAGATGAGGGCCTTTGTTGGTAAAGGCCCCAGATTCCAAGTCCCAGAGAAGGGTGAGATTTACCTGAATGTAGAAGTTTGTGAAGAGAGCAATCAGGGAAATCATGTATCCAATCTGGAAATACAACCAACCAAGAGGGAATGTGCACGGCCAGATGACCCCGCAGCTGGTCTGGATGATTGTCAGCACAAACTGAAGCTAGGGGAACAGAGGGGATGCAGCTGAACAGGGACAGTGCATGGACGAGGCCCCACACCAGGCAGACTTTTTAACCAGCATCACCTAAATTTCTGAATTAACACTTACTACCCTTGCTGCAGGTACAGCAGTCACTTCATGAACACAACACATACACTATACTTATCCTAAACTCTAGGTGTGTTTGTCTTATATATATTCTTCCTCTGCCCTCCAAGCTATTTAAACTACCTTCTCCAAATTTCAAGGATACACTATAGAGACATCCAAGACTTTTTGTTTTTATTTTTTGAGAAGGAAGAGCAAGTGTGTATGTTGAAAGGGCACTGATAACATCACTGCAGGATGTGCCACCTGGCTGGACATCCTTCCAACTCCTTATCCATGGACGCTTCTGGTTTGGTGAAGGCTGATGAGTAGATTTAAACCTTTACTGGCAAACAACACTAAGTGCATTGATTAATTTTGATGAATAAACCTTGAAACGCATGTGAACTGGTTAGAGAAATGGTGGAAAGATGTTTTAAAAAGGGCTAGGCTCAGGCCGGGCGTGGTGGCTCACGCCTGTAATTCCAGCACTTTGGGAGGCCGAGGCTGGCGGATCACAAGGTCAAGAGATCAACACCATCCTGGCCAAAATGGTGAAACCCTGTCTCTACTAAAAATACAAAAATTAGCTGGGTATGGTGGCACACGCCGGTAGTCCCAGCTACTTGGGAGGCTGAGATAGGAGAATTGCTTGAACCCAGGAGGCAGAGGTTGCAGCGAACCGAGATCGCGCCACTGCACTCCAGCCTGGTGACAGAGCGAGACTCCAGCTCAACCCCTGCCCCTCCCCCCAAAAAAAGGGCTAGGCTCTGCACACTGTATTTCTAGCAGCTCCAATGTTTCTATGTAGAGTTTTTTGTTTTTAATTTTTGAGACAGGGTCTATGTTGCCCAGGGTGGCCTCAAACTCTCAGGTTCAAGAGATCCTTCTACCTCAGCCTCCCGAGTGACCGGGACTCCAAGCCATGACCCACTGTGCCTGGCTGTTTGCCTTCTCTTTTTTAAGGTTAGTACTGCAGACTGAGGAATAACTAGGAGTGGTGCTTAAAATAAATCCTGACAACCTGGGTAGGTTTAATCTTCCACCTCAAAGTACAGAGCCTAACGGGAGACCAACTTTGCCAGTCTGTTCTTTTAAATTCTGCTTCCGCCAGACCCAAAACTGTGGTATAAATCAATTTCTGCATCATTTCTCCTCAAGTATAACAAGGAGGTTAATCAACAATTTTCCTTTTTCACAGGTGGGTGAGAAAAAATTAACAAGGACCATATAGCAGCTGGCAGAGAGGTGAAAATGAAACATCAAACACTTCAGTCTCTAAGATTTTCTCAGACTTTTTTTTCAGATTGTTATTTTTAAATATTGAAAAATCATAATTGACTTGAAGGGATCTGAATCAGCTTGGTGTGTTTAGAAAAATGTGTTAATAATGCAAGGACAGGGCAAAGGGTTTAATGTCCACACCCCTCAGTCAGCTAGCTTTGGCCTATTGACTCAGTGTCATCTATAAAATAGGGACAATAATATGTGTTTTTCTTTTTGGTAGAGACAGGGCCTCACTATGTTCCCCAGGCTGGTCTTAAACTCCTGGCCTCAAGTGATCCTCCTGCCTCGACCTCCCAAAATGCTGTGATTACAGGCGTGAGCCACTGTGCCTGGCTTGGGGACAATAATATGAAATCAGGCTACTGGAACAATCTATGTAAAATCATGTACTTAGTATGAGTACCCAACATGTGCTAAACACTTAGGAAATGTCAGTGTTTAATATGAGCAGTAGTAGTATTAATTAGTTCATAGACGAATTCATGAGAGGAGAGAAAGAGGTTACCTATAATATACTGATGAATGCAGAAGGCTTAATCAAGGATGGTGAGAAGTATCAGGTGAAGTGGCCTGGCCCTGGCAGTAAACCAGGGGAGGAGCTGTTAACTGAAGCAAACAGCTGCCATCCTCACCAACAGGTGCTCCACTGCATGGGGGCTGAGGGGTCATCCATACCTGCCAAACAAATATCCTTGCTGCCTAGTAATGGGCTACACATACCCTGGACTCCATACTACTCTCCAGCTCCTTCTAAAACCCCTGGAAACATACAATTTTCATTTTGGATTTTGGACTATAATTAGAAAACACACACACATATACACACATACATGCATATGTGCTTATGTGCAAAAACTCAGAAGAGCTGAACTTGAAGTTGGCAAATTAGATTCTAGACCTCTTTGTACAATTCAACTAGCTGTATGCCCATGGTCACAGTTCACTATCAGTTCAAAACAAGAAAATTCCCTAATCTACCCACTTCAAGGAATTTAATTACATCAAATGAAAAAGGGTGGAGAAGGGGCATCTTAGATGCTATTACATAACACTAAAGCCAGGAAGAGGTCTGTATCCACCAGGAAGTAAGTCCTGGGGAAAGAGGCCAAGTCACTCACCAGCTGCCCCTGAGTGATGTACTTCTTCCACCAGAGGTATGGACGCATGGAAGGGACTGACGACAAACCATAGTAAGAGTACATGAGGACGTGGATGAAGCTATTAAGTGTGGCACCAAAATAAGCTGCAGGAACAGAGGGATTTGGGAAGGAGAATGTATTAGTGTTTTAAACAGAACAGGTGGTAAAAAAAAAAAAAATACAAGATTCTTTTTGAATCAGAAAGAGAGATGACTTCCAACGGAGCTGACAAACACTGCAACAGCAAGCAATGCATGGATGTGTAATGAGAATTCAATTTCCACTTGGGCAGGCAGCCACCAGGAGGCTCCGAGCCCAGGGGTCAGCTGTAGCTGCTAGAGGGGCATCTGACACTGAAGCCACGACGCCATCCCAGCACCTACAGGCTTTGCTGCAGATGCCCACCCACTCTCAGAGACAGCTGTTTTTCTTTACATGCACAACTGCCCAAATATGCTCTCTGAAGGCTGTGGAAGACAGCTGATGGGCAATATGCTCAAAAATGGTTGTTTCTATACATTTGCTGGGGTGTGGAGAGGTCTCTGAAGCCATCTTCTAATTATTTCCCAGGACTGCAGTGCTGAGGTCATACATTTTTATTAATAATAGAGTCAAGAGTCTAGCTCCTTAGAGATAAAAGAGCCATCTTATCACATCATTTTCAATGTTCAGTAGGACCACTAGTTCTTTTTCCAGACTCTGTCCTCCTCCCCAACAGTCAGCAACCAAACCAAGCCATCTGGCTTTTCCCTGTGCAGTTGCAGGTGCACAGCCTGGTGTTAGGGAAGTTTCTACTCCTGGCTATGATAGGAACTGGCTTTTGACTTTGGACACATCACATCCATTCCCTGGTTCAGTTTCTCATGGCCCAAGTGGAGCTGATTAAATCTGTCCTCCTGAAAGTTCTCTGAAAATTTAAAGCACTCTTCAAATGTAGGGAGGGGCTGTTTCTATTAGAAAGTTAGGTCAGTTAATCCACCATCATGAGCTCTGACAGTGGGAGGAAGAGCAGAAAGCCCCAACTCTACCCACCTTTCTGTGGTCTTAGTTTCCTCCCAAACCCAAAGGATCTGTATTTGGAAAGCTTTTTTTTTTTCCTAGCTCTGGAATTCCATGACACTGTGAATCTTAGCAGGCTCAGGTAATCAAGGGCAGTGCTATCCCAGAGAAAAAAATATCCATAAATAGACCCATAGGTTCTCAGTTAAATTCTTCAGTGTTTGGATGACGGGACTTTTGACTGAGACATTTGCTAAAACTCCCAGGCTGAATCTGAAGGTGGCAATCTCTGAAAATTATAAGAAACTTTGGACTACAAGCTTTCCAAAAACCAAGTACAACCTTAGAAAATTTATATCAAGTTTTGGTGCTCGTTATAGAAGACACCTTGATCACCATGCTTCAGGGAATATGAGGGTTGTTAGAACATGTGGAGACTTCCTAATGCATGACAGCTAAAGCTGTATTTCAAAATGAGCCTTGCTCCCTGGTACTCATGCAACAGTGTGATCCTATTTTCCTCACCTGCCCGTCTCAAACCTTCCACACCATACAGAAGGACCAGAAAGAACCTGGAAAGTTGCCCTCTAAGTCAGAGAATATTGTACCTATTCCTTAATATGTCCCCAGTGGTATCTCCCTCATCTCACCCAATCAGCACAGAAAGTTCACTTAACTAAAAAAGGGTTTTGTGTGCATAGGTACATAAACTATCATTAAAAGCAACTTGAACACAAAGCTGAAAGCCTGACCTAGACATTTACAGAAACAGCACCTTTTCTGAAAGCCTTAGTTTCAACTCTCCTCCCTGCTCACACCTGTTCCCCAAGTCCCCGTCTCTAATACTTACAGTGGCCGCAGGGGACCCAGTTCATCACAAACCACCAGATGTTCAGCATCGAGGCATGGTGGTAGACGTGCAGGACCGTGATCTGGTGGTTGTTCTTGCGCAGGATGAAGAAGAAAGTGTCCATAAATTCTATGAGTTTGGAGAAGTAGTACCACCAGAGGACACGGATAATCTAAGAGGAAAGGGTCAAAGATTTAAGGCTTATCCTCACGGCTTCTCTGGAATATCACCTCTGACATGTTTCACTAATATCCAAAAATCTGATGTCAACTCGGAGAAGCCCGAGTGCCCCAAGAGCTCTTAATGTCCATCAGTGGCTGGGAGCTATGGTCACTCTCCAAGTACCTTTAACCAAAGAACATGATTGGGTTGGGACAGCTGGAGGGGTTTGAAATGACTACAGGGAATATTTTTGAAAGGGTCCCTGACACTCTTTGAGACTAACAAAAACATGAGGCTCAAGGTTCAAAACCTTGAAGTCTGCCTATTCCCTCTGGAAGCAGCCTGCACAGCCATTAGCAAAGGAAAACCATCTGAAAAACGCTATTGATTTCAGGGACTAACATGGAGCAGCCGACCTGATAAGTGACACAGAAGAAAAGGAATCAGAACCTGCAGTGTCAGGTCTCTGCCCAATTAAACATGTCAAACAAGTGCTCTAAGGAGATGACTGCCCATGCTGAGCTGCGACTGTTGGCCTGTGATTTAAAACAAACCTCATGAGTGGAAGTCAGATTTTATTTTTAACACCACTACTCGGAAAAAAGTACTTGGATGAATGATTTTAAAAATTTAAGACATTGCTCTTATGATCCTGATTGTGTAAATATAACATACTGACTGCATGTGATTTTTCCTGCCAATTGTTAACCGGAGTTATTTTTACAGAGGGGGATGCTTTAGGTTTTATTTTATACCTTTCACATTCAAATTTTAATTTGATGTGTATATATTGCCTTTTTTATTCTTTTAAAAATATCAACAGGGATTGCCTGGGCAGTGAGGTTATGGGCCATTTTGTATTTTATACAATTTATTTTTAAAAACTCAACACTTATAATAATAAAGTTTCTGAAAAAGAGACAGTACCTTCATATCTGATTCTCCTGCGGTGCGTGTGCCCTGACAGAAGAAGTTGTATTTGCCTTCCCATACTCCTGTTACTAACTAAAAAAGAAGAAAGAGCCAGTCACCAACAGCATCTGAGCCATGTAAAGTCCTCATTGAACTTTATTAGTTGCAGAATCTGTGATAATTTACCTTGGGCTGTGCTGAGCCAAGTTTGCTCTGAGAAAAAACAATTGTAGGCAAGTGTAAACAAAAGGAAAGCTTTAATGACTTGAGTCTCAATTTCCTAAGGGGTGGGCTTAAAAGTCACTCCCAGGCTGCTGCCCTCAGAGACCTTCCTTTACCACGCTGCTTCTCTGCAGAACCCTCAGCCCGTCACCCCCTTGGTCCTAGCACAAGTGCCCAGACCAAGCCAATCACAGGCTCCCTGCTCTGCCCCACAGAAGCCTCTGGCTGCTTTCCCTAAGCCAGTGCTCCTCAAACTTGAGTGTGCAGCACCAGAATTACCTGAGGGGTGAGTTAGTAAAACATGGGTCCCTGGGGGTGTTTCTGTTCCAGTAGGTCTGGGGGCCTAGAATTTGTATGTCTAACAAGGTCCAGGTGATACTGATGCTGCTGATGTGGAAACCATACTTTGAGAACCACTGCTGTAGGCTCAGGGATAATTTAGTCCAACTTTATCTTCATTATTTCCTGTTGTTGTATGTACAATCCTCCGGATCCATGAATTAGGCTTCACAAACTGAAGGCTTCACAAGTGCCCATGCCTCAGAATCACTTGCAGCACAGTAGGCACTATGCTGTCACAGAGAGGACCCCAGAACTGGGGTACAGGCTCTACATCACAGCCCAGCAGTTATCACGGGCCCCTCCCCTCAATGGGCCCGTGATAACTGCAGGGCTGTGATGTAGAGTCTGCACCCCAATTCTTGTGTTCCCTGTCCTTGAACACAAGAGTTTAGCTTGGCGAGCAACACAGATTCCCCCCCAGGGAACAAGAGGTGATTACAAGGATCTGAAGACACCTTGTGATATTTCCACCTGGTCTGACATCAGAAATAAATGGCAAAAAATGGGTGTAGCCGCTGCACTCACGCTGGGTATCCTGCCTTCTATCTGATTTTTCTTTGGTTATCTTTCTTCTTGCCATTTTCCTTCTGCTTTGTCACCTTCTACACATAAAAAAGCACTGAGAGTTAACAGGCTTTTCATGGCCAAAGAAGAGCACAAGGATTTAGCATGGGAGAAGCATCAGTTCATGATGAAGAGCCATGGAATTAGGAGGAAGGCTTGAGTGCCAGGCCCAGCACCTGGGGCAAGCCAGCTAATTCCTGTGGGCTTTTGTTGTTTTTACTATAAAATGATGAGGTTGGACTAAATTATCTCTAAAGGGTCTGTTCCAAATTTCTGTAGCTTCATGTTAACAGACTTTAAAAACAGACCACACAACAAACTATTCTATACTATCTTTGAAAGATCAGTACCCACATGGTAATTCATTAGAAGGTGTATTAACTTTTCTGTCTTCTACTACTCTCTAAAGTCATGGCCAGTCAAGCAGGATCCATGCAGGCTGATCAGAAGTCCTAAGAAGCAAGACACAAAGTCTGAATCCAAAGTGCGTTGGAGGTCGGGGGAGGAAGCTGGCATGCACTCTTGAGACCTGGGGTGGAGAGGGAAGGGCCAGCTTAGCACAGTGCTCTTTTTGCTGCCCTTCTTTCTACCCCAGGAGGGAACCAAGGAACTACCTCCTGTGGCTTGAGGGTACAGAAAGGAAACTGGTGCTTCTTGATGAAATGTTTGTGGGACAACCGCGAATAAGAAAAATAAGGACAACGCAGTAAGGTTTTCATGAAGATAAATTCGTGCAATGTAAAAGATCCTCTTTTTTAAAACAGCAGCCTCTCTTGGCAAAATTAAAAACGTACTAACATATGACTGTCTTCATCAGAGATATTTTTGGAAATGTTACCATTTTATGAATCTTAAATCTGGAACCTACCATCACTGTTTTTTCCAGCGACTATTTTGGTTTATGGTGTCCAGAGACATCCTGGGTTGGTTTTGCTTTTGTCTGTTTTAAAATAGGATGGCTGGTGTGTGTGCACTTGTGGAGGTGTGGATGACTGCATTCATGAATGTCTATCTTGGCAGGGGTGGGGAAAATCAAGGTAGCTCTCTGGAGAAGAGGAGGACAAATCCTCTCTTGTAATTCTGCAGGCGCCTCAATCCCAAAGATGAGAACGGGTTGAAGGGGTCTTGTTAACTCAGCAGAAGGGACTCTTGGACACAGGCTTCCTTTTTAAGAAGGGATCCAGGTGGGATTGCCTTGACTCTTTAAACTAGTTAACCTAACGTTCCATTTGCCCTCTCCCCACCCATAAATGGGGCAGGGGAATCCATGTATAAAACACCTGTTGTCTTTGGAGTTTAGTTAAAGAACTCAAACCTCAGTATTGGGTGGTGAACTTTTTTCACTCCTGAAGCATAAACCAGGTATACACACAAGAAGCTGCTCACTCGGTGCCACTCCACTTGACCTAGGCCCACCATTCCTCTTCCACCTGTTGAGGTTCCCTGTAGGAGCTCTGTCATGCTTCAATGCAACACTCCCTCCACTGCTACTCACACCTACCACACTTCCACTGGGGCCGCTGTGCCCCTCAAACCACTGAATTCCATATTTCCATATTTAAAACCCTCCAGTGAGTCATCATTGCCTTCAGAATGAAACCCTGAATCCTAGGTGCAGTGTCCAGGTATTTAGTCTTCCACAACGTGGTCCCAAGCTTATCTTTCACTTCTCCCCTACGTGCACACAAATTGGACCTCTTCCCATTCTCCAAACATGCCCTTCCTTAACCGCTACACAGTAGCCAAGGGGAAAGAGCATGGGTTTGGGCATTAGCCCATTAAACCCTAGCTTTTTCACGTTTTGCTAGGTGACCTTAGCTAAGGTATTCCAACATTTTAAACTTCAGTTTTCTCAGTCCTCAAATGGGATAAACATAAGGCTCCCACCATGAAGTACATAATGCCTGTCTCACCCAATGTGGTTCATAGGATTAAACATAAGTGTTGGCAGTGACCACTGTTTTATTCTTTTCAACTAGAATGCCCTCTGCACCTATGTACCCCCATCTCCAGCTCTCAAAATCCTATCTATCCTTCAAAGTTCAGTTAAAATTCTATTTTCTTCATGATTACTCCCTTGAGCACTAGAGCCTGAGGTCTATTCTCCTTCCTCTACCCTCACCTTGCAGTGACCTGTAGCTGTTTGCTCACATGCTCCCTTTGTTAATGGGCCTGTTGTGTGCTCTTCTGTAAGATTTCGAAGGGTGGTGACTGTGGCTCCTGCATCTGCATCAACATATTCCAGCACAGGGATTAGCGTACCAGAGATGTCAAACAAATATTTGCTAAACAAATGACAAAGAGTTCAAGACTGCCAATTCTTTCCCCTAAATCTAGGCCTAATGTTTCATGTGCAGCAATAAAGAGAGCTTCATAGTATTTTAAACGAGGCTTGACTTTGTGATCATATTCATCTGAACTCTGTTCACAAGATGAAAACTCTTCATCATCAATTTCATAATGGGGTCATGGAAATTCTCAAATCTCCCTGGCTTCAGAAAGGATAGAATAATTTAACAAACCAAGACCAAGGACCTGAGTTGAAGCTTATTCACCTAAGACCCTCATCAAACCTCCATAAAATGGGCTAGCAGTAGAGGGCTCTACTCCCTCCATCCCCCTCAGAGGATAGCAATGTGTCCATGGGTAGTGGACTACAGAGGTGCTCAAAGCAAAGGACTGACCCCTGTAGCCCCACTAGGAGCACATCACAGGAGACAATCCTCAAGTCAAAGTCACATCAGCCACCTTTCCCTTTGGGACTGAGGCCTAGCTTCTTTCCAAAGAGCTGTTTTGGTCAATTTCCCAGAAATTCTTCAAGTTGCGTGTTAAGTAGACACCACAGGGTGAGAGGACCCAGTAGGCTGGAGAAGGTGAAGTACTGAAAATAGGGGCAGGTGTCTGTCTACCTTGGGCTTCTGAGAATCAGATCGAAAGAGGACAGGACTATACTATAATGAAAAAGCAGGCCATCACAAACAGCTAACCACTACCTAACGAAATTTTCCATACCACTGCCAACTCCAAGAACCACCCAGGGGCATTATTTGCAGGCTTTTTTCTGAGGAACTGAGATACAAACAGTACCACTGCAAAGCTTTATACACTTCCTCCTTCCTTGGAGTAAAGCAAACTTTAATTAGGCCAAGAGGATGTGCAGAGCTATAATTAAAACCTAGCTACAAGCTCTTTTCTCCATATGAGATAAAGTCAATAACCCTGATGGTTTCATGCACCTTTTCAATGAAAGAAAAAAATGTAGGTGAGTTTCACACCTGGTTCTGGATGACATAATTCATGGAGTGAATCTTTTTTCTTTGAGACAGGGCCTGGCTGTGTTGCTCAGGCTGGTGTGCAGTGGCACAATCTCAGCTCACTGCAACCTCCACTTCCTGGGCTCAAGCCATCCTCCTACCTCAGCCTCCCAAGTAGCTGAGACTACAGGTGCACGCTGTCATGCCCGGCTAATTTTTATATTTTTGTTGTAAAGATGGGGTTTCACCATGTTGCGCAGGCTGGTCTTAAACTCCTGAGCTCCAGTGATCTGCTTGCCTTGGCCACCCAAAGTGCTGGGATTCCAGGTGTGAGCCCCTGCACCCAGCCAGGAGTGAATCATTTTTAACGGTGAGTTGACTTTTCCCATCTAATAACACATTTAACCACAAACAACTTGTAACCTTTAGCATAATAACCATTTCCATGGCACTTTCTGGAATGCTACTGAAACATCTCAGGAAACAAGGTCACTGGAAACACTTAAAGAAAAAGGAGGAAAACATCATCTTGGGTGGCCCTTATCAGCCATTAACATCAGCATCCCAAGATGTCAGAGCAACAAGATAACCCCTTTCCAAAGAAGACTGGCTGCTTCTGGTGATAAGAGCTTGATGAAGCTGCATGTTTACTACCTCCTATGCAGAAATGGGGTAAAAAGTAATGAAAAATAGACTATCCATACTCAAGTTCAACTACATCACAGGACCTAAGGTGCTTTTCTAAGCAAAATCTCCAAGAATACGTAGGGTTGACCCTCTTCATAGCTTTGTTTCTGTGTGAGTCCTCAACTGTGTATTTTTTAGATCTGGTACAAGCTCGTATTTTTAATGAGAAAACAGGGAATGAGAAGTGATAAGGATGGCCCAGGTCTTGGTACCACTGGGATTAGCACAAAGGAATCCTGACTCTCAGTCCAAATGCACCTCAAACAGCAGTTCCAAGCATCTTTGCCCTTCTTCATCTGTTTTTGAATTCTTAGTAAGAACATGGTAGGGATACTCTGTCCATGAAGAATTCTGTGGAAAAGCAGACCTTTAACTGCATCTTTTTCTTCCGCAGATGTTTGGTTTAAAATTAACCATGAACTACTCAAAATTGAAAGTACCTATTTCCTCTAGGGTTTAGTTGGCCAATTTTCGCAGTGCTATTAGGGAGTGCCAGGTCAAAGCATGTGGTTTTTACATTTCAAATCTTTCATGTCCAGAGCATAAGGATGCCCATTAAGATAATTTCACACCCATGACCTCCACAGGTGTTTTTTTTTTTTCCTTCTCCTTGTGAACAGGAATACCCCTGGGTTATAGCTGAACGTAACACTCTTGGCTAAGTTAAAAAAGACAGGTTCTGTACACTTGAGAAGTCTTTAAAACAAAACACAAAGAAACAGCCTGTCCTCAATCCAAACTGAAACAGGTATGTCTGGCATTTTCCCTGAATCCTCAAGCCCTGCCCTCTTATGCTAGCAGTTCTCCCTGTTCAGGCCTCCCAGAACTTTCCCTCTGTAGAAAGCAGATGGTAAGAGTGCAATAAGCATTAGATTAGTTAGCCCAATACCTGACATAAGGTAGGCACTATCTGTCTTTGCTATGATCTTAGGCAAATGTTAAGTACTTTTGCTTCCAACTAGGGCTAAGGTGGTGCTGGATGTCCCAGCCAAAGTATAATTTGTGTCATTTAAAGGAAGGTCTCCAGCCTACCCACTGACGCCTGCTTTGCAGAGTTAAGTCCACTTTAGTTGAGGATCTGTAGAGTGATGTGCTCCTAGCTACACCAGCTGCAGAGCCAAGCTCTCCAGGTGTTGCAGGGGCAAGTTTAGAGGAGTGAGGCCTGGCTCTGGACAAGCCAGAAGGCTTCCTCTCTGTAGAAAGTATTCCCTTCCCCTCCCCTGGGTGTGGGTGAGGAATGAAGGATGTTTGAGCTGCATCCTTCTCTCCATTCTCCCTACCGTGAGGCATTCTCTCAGGGCAGTGTCAGATACACTAGGGACAACTAACTGTTTCCTTTCAGGCCCTGAGAGAAGTTTCTTTCTCAGCAAGGAATTTTAGTTGTAAGGAAACTAAGAGTGAAAAGTATTCTAGGCAATGATCAGGCATTTCTTGTAAGTACTAATTTCACCAGATGTTTCAACTGCTCTATACCTCTGCTAAATGGGAAAAAGAACAGCAAATAGCCTTTTCAAAGTATTTTGGTAAACAAAGTTATTTTTCAAATAAAATTCAATAATCAATTGCCAGGTTGCTTAAGTGTTTTTCCAAATCCTATTTTCCCACAATAACGTATCTATTTTAGGAAAGCCTGAAGGGAAAGAAAAACAACCAGTTTAGAATATTATGTTTCCAAAGCAACTGCTCTGTGGTTCCATCAGATGGCCTTCAAACCCAGAGCCTGGGGAGATGCTTTCACAGCCCACAATTACAGAGGTTAGAAAGCACAAACAAAGCATTCAGTCACCAAATGCTCAACTTCTTTCATCTTTCCAATAAAAAAGCATCACAAATTTTCAAAACAAATTCAAAGGAAAAAAAACTGACTTCTGGTTCTAGCAACGTGGCAAACTGAACAAAAGCAGAACCAACTCTCTCACTATAAACACAGGTAGGAAAGTGGTATAAAACACAGCAAAAACTCCAACACAATCAATTCTTACCTATAATGCGAGGGAGGTCCCCACAACAAATTATTCTTTAGAAAAAGAGAAATCAGCTTAAATTCAACTCCTTCCAAAATCTTTATGTGGAAAAGGCATGTTTACCTGAGATGACCCCCAACAATACTAGTTTGGGATGCTTACACAGAACACTAGGCAAACCTTTACTTCTGTTTTAGGAGGTAAAGAAATTTAACACAGACAATAATTATCCCAGAGGCATTACCTCACAGATATATCTGTAAGCAAGCTTTTAATAGAATACTTAAAAAGGCAACACAGCAAATGGTTAAATTTGGAGATCACTGTCATCTAATCTATATCACTGGGGGGGACAATACTTCCATGTTATGGAATAAAAAAAGAGCAAGCAGTGAACTTTCAGAAGTAAAAGATACATAGCCATTTAAACTAAAAACACAATAGATGGATGAAACAGATTAAAAACAAATGAAGGAAGTAGGAGTGAATGGAAGAATGCAAAATTTTCAAAGTGCCTAGAAAGAAAAAAAGATTACCCTACAAATGAGCAAAAGTGGGACCACAGCAGACTTCTCTGGAATAAATCTTCAAAGTGCTGAGGAAAAATAACTGTTAATCTAGAATTCTATGCCTTGATAAAATATTATTCAAGTGTAAAGGCAAATAACATGACACTCAGACTAAGATATTGCCCTTCATAGAAAGAACTACTTACGAAAAAAATTGAATCAAAAAGGAAAGAATAAATTTCACAGAGCAAAGAAAATCAGTAAACACTGATGGCAATAATGGTGATTATTTAGGACCTTAAAAAAAAAAAAAAGTGAGGCCAGATGTGGTGGCTCACGCCTGTAATCCTAGTGCTTTGGGAGGCCAGGGTGGGAGGACTGCCAGAGCCCAGGAATTTGAGACCAGCTTGGGCAACAAAGTGAGACTCCATCTCTACAAAAAATAAAAATATTAGCTGGGCACAGTGGCATGCTCCTGCAGTCCCAGCTGCCTGGGAGGCTGAGGCAGGAAGATCACTTGTGCCCAGGAGTTTGAGGTTACAATGAGCTATGACCATGTCACTGCACTTCAGCCTGGGCAACAGAGCAAGACCATCTTTTTTTTTTTTTAAAAAAAAAGGTAGAAATAACTCCTGACAACAGTAACATGAAAGATGAGGGGTCACAGCTAGAATCCTCTAAGGTCCCTGGTATTGTTTAGGAGAATAGAAATACTGACTCAACTGAAACTGTCGTAAGTTAAAAATGCATGGTAAACATCTATGGGTAACCACTCAACAGAATGAATAACTTTTGAATAAGTACAATAAAAAATAATGGTTACAAAAATTCTACAAAGCAGTAAAGGAGAAAAGAAGGCCAAAGAAAACATATATACACAAAAAAGGTGACAGAAAGTACAGGCATACCTCATCTTTGCTTTATTGCACTTTGTATATATTACAGGTTTTCTTAACTGAGGTCTGTGGCAACTCTGCATTAAGCAACTCTATTGGTACCATTTTTACAACAGCACGTGTTCACTATGTGTTACTGTGTCACATTTTTGTAATTCTCACAATTATAAAATATTTCTCAAAATATTTCAAATTTTTTCACTATTATTATATCTGTTGTGGCGATCTGTGTGTGGTTACTGAACTTTGATGTTACCATTGTAATTGTTTTGAGGTGCCATGAACCACACCTATATAAGACAGCAAACTCAACAAATATTGTCTGTATTTTAGCTGCTCCACAGACTTGCTGTTCCCCCTAACCATCTCTTTCTTCTCTGGCCTCCTTATTTCCTGAGATACAACAATATTGAAATTGGGTTAATAATCCTACAATGGCCTCTAAGTGCTGAAGTGAAAGGAAGAGTAGCATGTCTCTCACTTTACATCAAAAGCTAGAAATGATTAAGCTTAGTGAGGAAGGCAGGTGGAAAGCTGAGACAGGACGAAAGCTGGGCCTCTCGTACCAGGTTAGCCACGTTGTGAATGCAAAGGAAAAGTTACTGAAGGAAATTAAAAGTGCTACTCGTATGAACATAAAAATGATGAGAAAGCATTAGTAGCCTTATTGCTGAAAGTTTGAGTGGTCTAGGTAGAAGATCAAACCAGCCATAACATTCCCTTAAGCCAAAATCTAATCCAGAGCAAGCCACTAACTCACTTCAATTCTGTGAAGCCTGGGAGAGGTGATGAAGCTGCAGAAGAAAAGCTTGAAAATAGCAGAGGATAGCTCATAAGGTTTAAGGGAAGAAGTCATCTCCATAACACAAAAGGGCAAGGTGTAGCAGCAAGTGCTGCTATAGAAGCTGCAGCCAGTTATCTGGAAGATTTAACTAAGATCACTGACGAACATGGCTACACTAAACTGTAGCACATACCACTGCACCTGGGAGCATTTTTATTTTTAATTTATCTTTTTTTTCTTATAAATAGGGTTTTACTCTGTCACCCAGGCTGGAGTGCAGTGGTGTGGTCATAGCTCACCGGAACCTTGAGCTCCTGGGCACAAGCCATCCTCCCACCTCGGCCTCCCAAGTAGCTAGGACAACAAGCTCGAGCCATGCCAGGCTAGTTATAAAATTTTTTGTAGAGAGAGGATCTTGCTATGTTGCCCAGGCTGGTCTCAAACTCCTGGCCTCAAGCAATTCTCCCACCTCGGCCTCTCAAAGTGCTAGGATTACAGATGTACACCATTGTGCCTGGCCAGCATTTTTAAATTTAGGTATGTCTACTGTTTTTTTTTAAGATTTAATGCGATTGCACACTTAATAGACCATAATGTAAACATAACTTTTATATGCACTGCGAAACCAAAAATGGTATGACTTACTTTATTGCAATACTCATTTTATTGCAGTGATCTGCAACTAATGCTGCAATATCTGAGGTATAAAATAACTATTAACATGCTAAATGAAAATGAATTAAATTTCCCCATTAAAGACAAGAGACTGTCGGATTCAGTCATTAAACCCCTATGCATTTATCTGGTCAAAAAACTTACCATATTTGCATAAGGAGATATGTCTAAGAAGATTCTTGGCACACTGTTAATTGAACAACTTGCATAAACCCACATAGCTGGGCACAGTGGCTCACACCTGTAATCCTAGCACTTTGGGAGGCTGATGTGGGAGGATCACTTTGAGTCCAGGAGTTTGAGATCAGTCCAGGCAACACCGTGAGACAATGTTTCTACCAAAAATAAAAAAATTAGCCAGGCATGGTGGCACATGCCTGTAGTCCCAGCTACTCAGGAGGCTGAGGTGGGAGGATCGCTTAAGGCCAGGAGTTCTAGGCTGCAGTGGGTGAGGTATGATTGTGCCACTGAACTCCAGCCGGGGTAACAGAGCCGGACTCTGTCTCAAAAAACAACAACAAAAAACAATCTAACAACATACATATCCATCCAAAGAAACACTTATAAAATGGTGTAATAAATTCCAACACTGAAATAATACAAAGCAGATAAAATGAATTTCTAATTAACTATAATTAACATAATTATAATTAATGAATTACATCTATACGACTCAAGATGAATTGGTCAAAAATATACTGACTGAAAAAAATCTATTTGAAAAAGAGTTTAATTAGTATACCATTCACGTATGGTTTTTAAAAACTATCTTAGAACGTACTATGTGTTGTCATGTATACATATATATGTAGTAAAAATACATCCAGAGAAAAACTGTACAAATTTCCGAAGAAGTCTGGAAAGGGACTGTACTTTAGATGCATTTTTGTAATGTTTTCTTATTTAAACAAACAAACAAAAATCAAGCATTTGTTAGGTGCACAGATATCATCTATATAATTTTATTTTAAATATTTTCAAATAGTTCCAAAATTACAATTTAAAATAAAAATTGAAAAGGGGAAGAAAGATAAGTTTGGATTTATGCCAAGCCAGATGCATCCATCCAGCTTTTTCAAAATTACAAATTTTTTTCTTTCAAAATTACATTTTAAATGTTCTGAATATTTTAAAGCGCATTCTCTCACACTATTCACAACATATAGTTCTAACTGCAAGGGAGGAAACATACACAGATACTCAAAAAATAATCTTGTCTGTAACCCATGATTTATCTTTGACTACTAAATAACTTGAAAATGTGGTTCCGACATTTGCTTATTTTTGTATTCTAATACTCAGGATCCATTTGGTGGAGTAATCAGGTATAGTAACAGTGGGATGAAGAAGGTGGGGAAAACATTGTTTCATTCTAGCCTAAGCCAGTGAGTGTCAGTGGGGCAAGGATGGGATGCTAAGGGGCACATCATGAGAGTACTTTGAAAGGAATGCATCATAGTCCGTGGGAACAATGGGATAGCCAAAGAGGCTGGGAGAAAAAAAAATTCACTCTCTAGAGTTGAGTCCTCTTCCTTAGTACGCTCATGGCTTCACAGAGGAATTGGATCCTTCCACACAGTCCTCAAAAGTGAGAGGGAGACTGCCAGGCAGAAGTGGGAGTTTTAAGGGGTAGAGCCCAGAAGAATGAAAGAGCCTGGTGTTGCTGGGGTTTGAGTAGAGCTCAGCATAACAGATCGGCTAAGAAAGGCCGGAGTGCCTCCTTCTGAGGAAAGGAGCCAGCCATCCTTTCAACACAGTGTTCCTGGGGAATTCAAAGCCATGTGCACTGCACAACACTGACCCTGTTTTCTGGCAGCTGCTGCTGAGTCGAAGGATCAGTTCGTGAGGCACAGGCAGATCGACGGGGTTGCTCCCTTTTGGACTGTAACAAACACAATTAGATCCTCTCTGCTTAGGGTCTAAGAGGTCTGAGGCACAGCAGGAGAAGAGTAGACACATTGAATGGCTTCACATGAGGACAGAGCATCTGCCTAAGAGGGAAACCACCTGTAACACTCTAACAAAGGAGTTAAAAGTGGCTTTGATAGCTCACTGGATGGGTCAGGGGAAACCTGATCCAACCAGGTAGATAAGGCAGAGTGAGGGAAAGCCACCGTTTGGCACCATGTATGTAGAGGTTCTCAATTTTGGGACTGGAGACAAGAGAAAAGACACATGGATAGTGCAAAAAATCAGGCTTCTCTTCAGAGGACAAATGCCCTGAATCTCGGGTGGCTAAAAGGCGCACAAGATTTTTAAGTTTGCTGTAAGGGCATCGTTTTACAAAGCTAAGTAACTAATGCAAACTAAGTTGTTTCTCTTCTATAACCTGGAATTTCATTTCCGAGCTTTCACCAT